>NC_000009.12:112595552-113220552 GCF_000001405.40 Homo sapiens
GGGGTGGGGTGGGGGTAGGCGGAGCTGAGGCAGGAGAATCACTTGAACCCAGGAGGCAGAGGTTGCAGTGAGCTGACATCATGCCACTGGCATCCAACCTGGGCGACAGAGTGAGACTCCATCTAAAAAAAAAAAAAAAAAAAATTAAGCTTTACTAACATTTAATATATTGATTGGCAGTAGCACTTATACATAGTGTAAATAAATATACATATTCTGGGGCTGTTGTTTGAAAGCATTTTTTTTTTTTGAGACGGAGTTTCACTCTTATTGCCCAGGCTGGAGTGCAATGGTGCGATCTCGGCTCACCGCAACGTCCGCCTCCCGGGTTCAAGTGATTCTCCTGCCTCAGCCTCCCGAGTAGCTGGGATTACAGGCATGTGTCACCATGCCCAGCTAATTTTGCATTTTTAGTAAAGACGGGGTTTCTCCATGTTGGTCAGGCTGGTCTCGAACTCTTGACCTCAGGTGATCCGCCTTCCTCCGCCTCCCAAAGTGCTGGGATTACGGGCATGAGCCACCGCACCCAGCCGAAAACATTTTTACATATGGAGTATACAGTAAAAAAAGCTGGGACCTCTAGGACAACAAGTGAAATGACCGATTATAGTTGAGAATTTTTTTAAAATAACTCAATTATTACTTAATTTTTCACCCTTCATTTAGCAGGGAAAATAATACCTCTTATTCTAGAGTATACTGTTTCTATGAATCTGACTTTAGAGTTTGATTCAAAGAATATAAATATATCTTTTTAAAAAATAGTACCTAAAATTATATTTTACAGAATATTTTTAGTCTCTAGGATATATTATTAAGATTTATGTTACAGGTTACTAGCTTTTTAACACTTTGTATACTGTTAGAATTAATGCTACTAAATTATTATTCTGTGTTATGGAAGGCAACCATCTCATAATTGAAAGAAAAGCTTTCTTTTCCTGTTTTGCCTATACTTATAAATGAGTATAGAATGCTAATCCATATAGGAAAATACCTAACTTTTTTTCTCTATAGTGTCATGGAACAACATAATTTTTATTTTATAATGAACTTCTCAAAAATATGTGTTGCTATTGTCCACTGACCCACTTAGAAATCAGCATCCTCCTATCCATTAGGTTATTACTTCTTGGGTGGAATTTAATGAATATTAATAGCCTAACTCAGAAGAGAAGCAGGTAATTTATTATAGCTTTGTGCATTTCCATTTTTATGTGTTATCTGTTTTCCTTTTGCTTTATGTGCCATACATCTTTTGTTTCAAATTGATTAATAATACCTTTTTGTTTTTGATTTGTACTATGCATTTTTAGTAAAAGATGCCTTCATATTTTGATCCTTACTGATTAATATATGCAATAAATGTAGATATGTAAATTGAGTAAATTTAAAGGAAGGAATGGTTTCTAATCAAATGTTTGTAATAACTATTTCTGTTGTGGTATAGTAACAGTATTTCATCTCTTAAAATTCATCAGATGTTATCTCTAATGTTTTGTTAGAGTTTGTTCTCAGTCATTGCAGCCATAAAATTTCAGCAAACTTGTGAAAAACACCTTTCAGATACTCAGTTCTGACTGTCATACTGATGAACTGTTAACAAAGGTGATCTTATTTAACTTCCCAGACTCCTCTTCAGTCTGCAGAGTCATATGCTGTTGGCTCTCTGTGATTACTACATGCAAAATAGCAATAATAATAGCCCACACTTCTAGTGTGCTTATTATCTCACTAATTATTTATGTTAACTCAGTTCTCACAACTCTCTGAAGATAGGACTATAATTAACTCCATTTCACAGATAAAGAAACTAAGTCACAGAAAGATTAGAGTTACTGGAGGTCACACAGTAAGAAGCACGGAAAGCTGGAATTTTGATCCAGGTGGTTTGATTCCCAAATTTATGCTCTTAACCAGTAGGCCCCCTTGCCATGGTGATGCTTCTCTTACATGTCTCAGCATCCTCCCTCTTGGCTGTTCCAGGACATGGGCCAACTTTCCCTGAGTTTGCTTTATTCCTCCAAAAACTTCATTGCCAAAACTTCTCCTCCTGCTCTTCTTTTTCTTGTTCCAATCTCTAACTCCTTCGTTAGATGGAAATCAGAGTGTTTAACAGTTGAGGGAGACACGTACAGACATGCTTAAAACAATGCCTACCATGTTGAGATGCTGAATATGTTTTTGTTGAATGTTGAAGCAAATATGCAAATAGTAAAGTTTCTAGAAATGAAAAAGGAGATCACTTTCATTTTCTTTGTTTTCTTTTGGCTTTATATTTTTCTTATATAGTTTTAGTGTTTCTTTTCTGATAATCAAGTTAATTCACTTATTTAACAAATATTAACTAATGAGTGCCTGCTATTCATTTCTTGAACCATGGATGAAACAGTGGGGAAAAAAAGGTTCCTTGCATTCTAGTCTGGGCTCCTCACAGAGCTTACTTAATGTTATAGACGTTAATCAAGTAGTCATAGAAATAGATAATTATAAATTGTTAGACATGCTGTGGTAGGAAAAAGCGGAGAATTTGTTGGCATAAGGAGAGGATAATGGAAGATTTTTTTTTAAGGAAGTGACATTTGACCTGAGAATGAAGGATGAGAGGTTTGGAAATGGAGGCCAGGAGTGTATTCCTGATGAGGGGCCAGCTCGTGCAAATGCTTTGAGAGCGAAGATGCCTTAAGATACTGAAAGGAAAGCATATTTGAAAACTTGCATTGAGGCCACTGTCGTTGGCATGGAGGAAACCATGTGAGCTTATTTTCAGATGCGACTGGTGAGGTGACCAGAGCCTTGTGGATTGAGATACTGAAGATTGAAGTTTCACTTAAGGACAATAGGAATTCAGGGAAGGAATTTAAGCAGGGGAGTGACATGGACAAACTGGGAATCCAGAAAGCTCATACACTCAGGCTGCTGTGTGGAGAACATTTTGAATGAGGGCAAGAGTGAGCATAGGGAATTCTCAGTAGCTAAATAAGGAATTTCTGTGTCACCCATGGAAAATAAATCCAATGCCAAACCCTTATTCAAGTCTTAAAATCTGTAATTTTATATGATCAAAAGGAATACATCAGAAATATCCAGGCATTACTATGTTAATAGTAGTTTTTCTCTTGGAACATGTCACAAAGCAGTATATCCTGAGAAAAAACAAGACACACAAGAAAACTGAAGTGTATAATTAAGACAGAATGGACTAGACTCTTGGTAATTAAAGAGTACTATTTTTAGGCCAAGCATGGTGGCTCACACCTGTAATCCTAGCACTTTGACTTTGGGAGGCCTGGGTGGGAGGATCGCTTGATGCCAGGAGTTTGAGACCATCCCAGCCTGGATAACATAACAAGACCCCATCTGTACAAAAAATTCAAAAATTCGCTGGGTGCAGTAGCGTGTGCCTGTAGTTCCAGCTATTGGGAAGACTGAGACAGGAGGATCGCTTGAGCCCAGGAGTTCGAGATTACAGTGACTGAGCCACTGCACTCTACCCTTGGTGACAGAGTAAGACTAGAGCAAAAAAAAGGAAAGTAATATTTTAAATTAAAATTTTGCATTGGAAAGCTATGCATCACAGTACTTCCAATGGCTATCTTTGGATGATAGATTTACCAACAGTTTTTACTTTCTTCATACTTTTTGTATTTTGTGGGGAAAATTTTATATTAACCATATATTGCTTTTATGATAAAACTAATGAATTTATTTTTATTAGGGGAAAATGCATCATGTAACGTTTTCCTTATGTGTATAGTGACCCTTTAAACTTTTTTAAACTAAAGTTTATTCCTAAATTAGAAGATGCTTATATACAGCAGATTTAAGGGTTTTGTAAACTCACTGAAGTGAAATGCAGTCATAGTTGAATTTCTTCTGAACTGTGAAAGGACTCATTTTTAGCTTTGAAAATGATTTAATGTTCAATAAAAACTTTTTTTCTGAAGAGTCAGATATTGAAAACAATGGAACAACATGTATAGGTTGTTGAGATAATGCCTGTTTAGAATATTCTGTGCTGTATACTAATGGAGTCATTAAAGAATGAGCTGAAAAGGAGAGCCATATGTGCAAAGCTGTGGCTTCATGGCTGAAGCTGTGGAAAATGTAAATGTCACATCTATAATGAATCCATGTGTCTTCTACAACTGCCTTAACTCAAGGAAAGTGAGAGTTAAAAAACAAGATTCTTTTTGGAAATTGTATATGATGTCTTGTATATCAAAGTCTGATGGCAGCAGCTCACTATGTATTTTATGTATTATACCAGCAGCAGATATTTCAGACATATCAGAAGAAGGTTCTCTTGATTCAGTGTCTCTGGCATATAATAAAAAAGTGGGGGAGAAATTTCTGCAGTCTCTAATAAGCAATATATCAATGAGTACTGTCAGATTCTGTAGAAAAGTCCACAGCATGATTTATTACATTAATTACAGTCCTGTGGGTTTCATGCTGCTAAGCCGGCAAATGCAGCTACATTCTAAAGTTGATTTAAGAATATATTTTGGCCGAGACGAAAGTGCTTCTTATTGTGATTAATATAGTACAATATTTATTCTCTTGTTCTACTCTTCTTTCACCTTGGCTGTAGCACAGAATGCTTAATTTCTTTTCTGTGACTTGGAACTGGAATTCACTTTTAGTTTTGAGGAGCTTCATCTAGTTATTTATCCGCACCTGTCATCTGGTCTCCTTTTTGCCTTTTTGTGTCTTGGTAGATTCACCTAATGTTGCATCTCCTCCACGTGTGAAGCCTGTTTGAATTCACTCCCTTCTAGCACAGCAGGGCTGTCCTCAGGCTTGTTAGGTCACACCTGCAATGTTACGTCTCTTTTTGAGGGGAAGGAACCATTGAGGAAAAACTTCATTGTTGTAATTTAATTTTTAAAAAGTAGCATTCTTAAAGGGGAGCATTCTCTGATTCTACCCTTGTTTAGAACTGTACTGAATTCATACAGTCACATAGTGTCTCTTCTTACAGTGACACAATTAGCTTATCAAATCACAGAATTTTCAGCTTTATGGAATGGACGGTCTCCTAAAAGCTGTTTTAGATATAGATATTAACTCTGGTTGTTCACATATGTCCATGGCAGGATATTCTTTTATATTAAATACATGAATGCCTGACTTCAGTAGCCTTTGTAGAATCTAGCTTGGAATAATTAGCAAATATTTGCCAGAAATTAAAGTAGCAATAGAGGAGGAGCTCGGGCTAGGTAGGAAGACTTTGATTTCATGAGTTGGAACACATTTTCTAAGCAGCAGTATGTTTAAAGAGTTGAACTAGATGACTTATATGTCCAACACTGAGCTAAGTGGCTTACTTTCCTATTGTATTTGATCTTCATACAACTCTTAAGAGATAGGTACAGTTTATACCCATTTTACAATTGAAGAAACCAAGGCTTAGTTTACAGCACTTTCACAGATTTCACATAGCTCATTAAGTGGCAGAGCTGGAAGTTGAACCCAGGCATTCTTGTTGGCAGAGCTGGAACCTTTAACCATTGGCTATGCTACCTGTGTCAGGTACCCTGAAAGGGGTCAGCTAAGATAAGAATTGGAAAATGGTCTTTGGCCATTAAGTAGACAGTTTTGAACTTAAGAATAACTTTAGAGAAGTTAAGAAAGAAAATATCTGAATCTAGTGGGTTTCAGAAAGAATTCCTTAACTCATTATTTTGTCTAATAATAGGACCAGTCAGTCCAGCATGATTGTTGTTACTGTTTTTCACTGAACAAAAATCATTTAAATAAACATTATTTAACAGCTATTCTGCCTGGGAAATAAAAACTTTCAGACCAGAAAATCTGCTATTCCAGCAGTGTGGCAGGAGTTGGGTCTAAAGCTTATTTGAAAGGAGGAGTCGTTTTCTAGGTCTTCTTCGGCACTGTGTCTCAAAGTGTGGCTTAGTAGACCACACTGATATTAGACCTATCTGGGGACTTGTTAAAAATGCAGACTCCTCCTTTGACCATAAGTTGATTCCATGTTCTGAGGATCTGCAAGGTCAGTGCCTGGTCTCCTGTACACATTTGATGTCTCACCCCCACCTTGCAGCACGCACAGTGCCTGATTTAATGAATATATGAAGACCACAGTTGATACAGATGAGAAAGCGGAGGAAGCTTTTTCCCTGTTCTTTAGGACCATGTGTTGGTTTAATAAGTACTGGTAAATTTTGTGTTCTATTTCTGTTTTCTAAATTTTTATTAAGGAGAAAATTCCTCAGAGGCTGTAGAGTCACATAGCATACATCCAAGAGAAATGAGCAGATGACTAATGTTTATTTAAGTGATTCTGCTTCAGTGAAAAATGCTATCAAGAATCATACTGGACTAACATACTATCGTTCCAAATTTTAGAGCTCCTGAACATGTATGTAAGAAATGTGTTTTACTTCCACTATTGGAAAAGATTAACCAAGCATAAAAATAATTTGCTGGTCAGATAGCTATAATAGCTTACAAATCAGGCTTCAATTAGTAATGTTAACTATCCTAGAAAACAGCCTTTGTTTTAAAGTTCTAGGAGAAAACATAATATGCAAGGAGTTGGGTGTTTAAAAAAGAAAGAAGATATTGACTTTTTAATTTTATTTTATGGTAGTTATAAGGTTGTTACAATTAATTTTCCACTTTTAAAGTAAATATAGCTTACTGGGTTTTTTCCCCCAAAAGATTGCAGGTATTAGGAGCTATTGCTATAATATTTTCAAAAATGAAACACGAATGTTGGCAAATATGATTTTTGTAACCACTAACAAATAAAATTGAAGTTGGCCTATTTCGTACGATCACTAACCAGGGATCATGTTTTTTAAAATACCAAGATCGTTTCCCTGAACATGAAAGGAGTCATAAGAAAATTTGATTTCTTTCAGATGAATGCATCTATGGAAGAAGTTAGTACAGTACCTAATAGACAACATCGTAACATCAGCATAATCTCTTTTTTAAAAGGAGGTTGAAGGGAGAGTGAGGGAGCTATCCATTGGTTTTATGGGTTATGTTCATTCTGGTATGGACTTTAGTTGAAGTATTATTTGCTTTTTTCCTTATTCTGTTAGTAAGATAAAGATATTGTCTTGTAGTAATTTGTGTGATGGCCAACGGGTCCTTAATTCCTAAGGAACTATCCCTGGGAGAAGCTTCCAGCGGCCTCATAAGTCATTTTAATACCATTTTTACAGATGTCCACACCACCTTCCCTGACTCTCTGAAGGGTCCTAACAAAGAATAAGGTGATTATGGAATTCTCACTGTGAGTCCCAACATTTAATTTTATGCCACTCACTTTTGTTTTTAATGCTTTCTAAATACAATCAGTATGGTTGGTCTGAAGTGGATAAGTGAAGTGAAGTTGTGTAATTACACATGGAGTTATCTCCGTAACCTCCCTTTCTGCTTTGGTGTTAATTCAGTCAACAAATACTTATTGAATCCTACTACTTTTTTCAAGTGCTTTTCTAGACCCTGGGAATAAAGCAGTGAAACCTCAGCTCTTTTGGAGCTCATGGTCCATTGGGGAGAGATAGACACAAAACAAGTAAACAAAGAGATGTATGGAAGAAGTAACAAATAGATGTATGGAAGAACTTAACAGCAAAGGAAGAATAAGGAATGTTAGAGGTAGAGAAATGGGTGTTGATTTATTTTTTTTTAAAGCACCTTATTCAAGTGTTTGGCATTTGGAGGTTTTTGCATTTAACATATTCAGTCTCTTCTCCTTGCATATGTATTGATATTACTATAAAAACATTTCATGTGGCTATCCCATTGGTCTAGCTTTATTCCCCTACCCCAAAATCAGGATTGGTGTCTTACAGCCTATGAGCACAAGCCAGACTCATTCCCATGTCTTTCCCTTTGCTCGTGCAGCTTCGTCCTAAGATGCCCTATCCTACTGCCCTTCCTAAACAAATGATACCCATCCTTTAAAACCAACCCAAGTCCCACCCAGTTCCACCATGGATTAGAGCCCCCACACAGCTTAAGCTCTATTTGACTTCTCTCTCCTCTCCCTCTTTCTGAATTCCTATAGGGCCTAGAGCCCACACCATAAACTCAATGCATAATTGCACAGTGCCATGTGTGGTCTTTTTAATTTGTTTTATGTGTATTAATCATCTACCTATGATGTAATGTTCATAACCATCAGGGACTTACCTTTGACTACATCCCACAGGTCTTCTTGAAATGCCAGGGGGCACAGTGGGTACTCACAAATGTGGATTAAATATTTATCTCAGCTGCAACTTCATAAATATAAATCTGCTCGCCAGATTTCTTTTTACTTTTCAAATTTAAAATACATTCTTATTTAATAAGCTCATGGACTTATCAGTCACTGGTATGTAAAGAGAATTCAGACATCATTTCTTTTCTTTATCAAGTGAAAAATGAGACAAAATAGTCTTCTCTTAAATGAAAATAGTAAAGAAAATGTTTCTTATTGCTTCAAATGTATTGCTTTAATAAAATCACAGAGGAATGTGATAGCCAAGTTTGTTTTTATTTTAAATTGGGTACTGTAGCAATAGAAGCAAATGGATCTGAATTTAAATCTAACATAAATCTCCCCAAATTAAATGAGAACATAAGATACTGCACTAATTATGTGTTTTTCCATGCCATCTTCTAACAAGAGAGGAAATAATTAGATTAATGGGGCATGGAGACTATGTAAATAAGTACAGAAAAGCTGTCTGGATAAAAACTTAACTCAGGCTATCCTGAGCCAGTGCTGAGGCTGTTCCTGAGACCCCTCTCCAGGTCACAAATCTCTTAGAAGTCATTAACCTAAAACTTTTCGATCTGTCGGCTACATTTACTGAAGGCTCATTTTCACTGTGCTGGATTTTGTGGGATGGCTTCTCCTTTAGAGAAGCTTTGAGTAAATTTAAGTGGTACTTGTGAATGGTACAGGCAAGAAATACAACCTTTCATTCAAAGAACTAAGGTCACCTATACCTTCTTTAAGAGAATCTATCCAGTCTTCCTGTTTATAAGCAAAACCAAACTAGTGATGCAGTGACAGCAAGGACTGCTAAAATAGTAGCCCAGCAGGCTATAACAGGTAGGTAGAAGGGAGCTAACGTAAATGCAAGTTCTAGAGGAAAGACATTTTTAATATGCATTTTTGAAAACCATGCATGTCCAGAAGTTCTCCCCTTCTTATCATACTCAAGTGAAAGCTTGGGATGTTCATCCTTTGAAATATATGTGGTGGATCTTTGCATTTAAAATTCAGAACATATGCTGAGTACTCTGGATTCACAGATGACAAAGACGTGAAAAATAATTGACTTAACAGGGCGTGGACACTATATATATATAATAAATATTTTATATACTATATAAATACATATTTTATGTAATATATATTTTAATATATGTTTATATATTTTTATATATTATATATTTTATGTATAACATATTTTTATATGTTATATATTTTATATGTTTATATACATTATGTATTTTTATATATTTATATTATATATATAAATTTGTATATATATATTTAGAGAGAGAGAGAAGCTGTCTGCTTTAACACTTTGCTAAAGCTGTCTCTAAGCATTTCTTTCTCCTGGAGGAGGTCACAGCCTAACACAGAGGTTTGAAATGGACACAGGTAACTATGTAGGACAATGTAAGTCTAATCACCTGCTGTTTCCTGGTTCTTTAATATTTAGATAAGATTAGCTTGAATCTCTCTTCCACAGTTTTTACAAACTATGATTTTTTGCTGGGGCTGAGGATGGGTTGGGGAAAAGTGAAGTGGTGGTTGACTTGGATGTTCTCCTGTTCCCTCTGCCTCTGACCTCCTGCTTCCACTGAGGTAATTGAGGTTATGGATCATTTCGTTTTCTGAGAATATTTCATACCAGGTCATCTAGACATCAGCCCAGCCCCTGCCCTTCCTACTTACACAAAGCAGAGTTTATTGAAGATTTTCTTAATATGGGAGAAAATGGGTAGGTTTGTATCATAACAGAGCAATGCAAATCTGACCATGTACTTTTCTGACCAACTAGTTTTCTTAGGATAAAACACAAGGCCCTGCATGACCTGGCCCCAGTGGGCTTTCAAAACCTGTCCTCATACCATTCTTGCTCTTAGTCACTTCACTCCAGGCACAGTGATACTCTTTCAGTTTCTCAAATTTTGTTTCCATTGCAGGAACTTCTCATATGCTGTTCCCTCTACTGCTCCTCCTTCTGCTCTTTGCGTGACTGGCTTTTCATTTTTAGGTCTTAACTAAAAGATATTTTTAGAGAGGACTTCCTAGAATATCCATCCTTAAATGTGTCACTTATCCTCTCTGATAACACCCATTATTTTTCTTCATAGCACTTCTGCCAGTTTGTCCAAGATTTTCTTATTTGTATTCTTGTCTGTTTTCCACCACCAGATGGTAAATTCCACAAATGCAAGACTGTTTCCCTTATATCCATCTCTGTAGACCCAGCCTACTTAATTCCTGACATGTATCAGTTACTCAGTCAGTGTGCTTGAGTGAATGAATGAGGTAGCTCGGCAGGACCTGATTGATTAGGTGTAGCAGAAAGGGAGAGCAGGTATCAAGGATGGTGTGCAGGTTTCAGGCTTCAGCACCTGGGTAGGTGGTGGAAACACTGAGTAGGTGGATGGGCAAGTTTGGGGACAGATCCTAAGTTACATCTTAGGTCTGGGTACAGATGTTGATTAGGCTTTTGGGTACATAGGTTCACGGGAGCCATAAGAAACATTCTGCTGCCTGCCCATTAAAATTTCATTTCTAATTGTTAAATAAATACCTGATCTGCTTAGAAAAAAAAATTTGTACTTGCATATTTGTAGTTGCCATTCAGTTTTCTAGACCTTTGGGATTTTACCCATATTCAGTTTTTAAATGTGTTATTAATCACAGCTTCCTTAATGAGACCATTTTGCCCATCTCAATGCATATATTTCTCATTAGTAACAATGACTCATTCAGTTCACCTGCTAAACTATATACATACTTCAGAAAATTAAGTCATTTTTATAGTATATCTTCTTTTATGTTGAGAAAATTTTTTATCATCAGCATTAGATAAAACAACAGCTATTTAGAGTTCAAGTTATATTTCTTACCATGTACATTCAAAGAAAATTTCAATGAAGTTTGTCCACTGAGTTACTGATGAACACCCAGATCTTCAGGATTAAAACCCTTCTTTATAGATCAGAAAGCATTGTGATTAGAAAGCTTTCAACAGACATTTATGGGATCCCTGTAAAATCCAAAGCACCAAGTTAGGGACTAGAAGTTACAGCAATCTCATTCAAATGCTGAGAACTGGATCAGAATTCTGGCTTTGAGAACACAGAACAAAGATGTTTCAGCCACTTCTCTTGGAAATCATTTCACAAATATTTTCTTAAATAAAACTGAAAGTCTTCTGTAACCCAGAACCATAGTATATAAAGAAGGGGTGCTGAATGCAGTGATGAGACTGGAATTTGAATATGGCGTCAAGAGACATGGGTGCCAGGGGCTGTGGTTCATGCCTGTAATCCCAACACTTTGGGAGGCCGAGGTGGGCAGATCACCTGAGGTCAGGGGTTCCAGACCAGCCTGACCAATATGGCGAAACCCCATCTCTACTAAAAATACAAAAATTAGCCGGGTGTGGTGGTGCACATCTGTAGTCCCAGCCACTCAGGAGGCTGAGGCGAGAGAATCGCTTGAACCCAGGATAGCGCCACTGCACTCCAACCTGAGCGACACAGCAAAACTCTGTCTCAAAAAAGAAAAAAGAAAAAAAAAAGGCGTGGGAATGTAGATTTCAGATGGAAGTGAGAGAGAGACCTCAGTTTTCCACTGAGGTGGTCCATGCTCAGTGGTAAAATAAACGTTCCCTTTTGAAGAACTGGAATGGGGAACTTAGGTTGGTGGTGAGAGCTTCCCTGTGCCCTGTTTGACACCAGAGAGTAGCATAGGAGGCAGAGCTGAGTAAAGAAACACCTATACACTTGCCAACTTTGAGGGAAGTGGTCTGCCGGTGAGACAAGGCAATGGGGAGATACTTGAATTTATGGCTTGAAAGGATATACTCTGTACCAGAAAAAAAGACTAATGTACAATGATCAGCACTGAGACATTTCCTAGTAAAGTTATTGCCCCTCATTGATAAAAAGATAATCATTTAGATATCCAAGACAAAAAAAAAAAAAAAAAGGCAAAGGCAATCCAGAGACCTGTAAAGGTGGAAGATAATGCTGACCATTGGCTTTTCTAAGACAACATTGAGTTCTAAAAGACAGCTGAACAATGCCACTAATGTTCGGGCTTGGGGGAGAATGAGTATGAGTGGAGAATTTTGAACCTAATCAAACTGTTGCTCAGTTATAAAAGCAATAAAAGTGTAAAGATATTCTCAAGAACTTAGGACCTCAGGAAACAGTTTTCATAAATACTATTTGAATAAGCTGTTAGAGGACAAACTTAGCCAGCTGAGAGATGGAGAGTGGCAAAACACTTGAGGTAAGTTTTGATTCCCTCCATTTAATTACAAGACTGAGACCAAAATGTGGGAATTATGGTTAAAAACATTATTTTAAATTATTTCTAAATATTTATGGTAATTATTTTAAACCATGACAATGAAGAAATGTCTAATTGTTAAAAGTTGGGAGGGTAGTAAGTGGGAAATAGTATAAAACAAGATTCAAAAGATATTTAAACTAATAATTTAAACTAATAATTAAACTAATAGTGTTTATAAACCTTTGATGGTATAACAGGTAACATTAGAAAAACTAAATAATATGATTAAAAGCTAACAATTACATAGACCAAGAAAAATAATGTAATGGAAAAATGATTAGTTGGAGACAGAAAAGGAAGCATATGGTATATTAATTCTGACATTTTTTGTAGTGGAGTACCAAAATATGCTGTATAAAAATAGAGAATTTGGCTGGGTGTGGTGGTGCACACCTGTAATCCCAGCACTTTGGGAGTCCAAGGTGGGTGGATCACTTGAGCTCAGGAGTTTGAGACCAGCCTGGGCAACATGGCAAAACCGTTATCTATACCAAAAATGCAAAAAGTTAATCGGGCATGGTGTCACATGCCTGTGGTCCCAGCTACTATGGAGGCTGAGGTGGGAGGATTGCTTGAGCCCTGGAGGTGGAGGTTGCAGTGAGCCGTGATCAAGAGGATTTAAGCTGGGTGGGGTGGCATGCACCTGTAGTCCCACCTGCTCAGGAGGCTGAGGCAGGAAGATTGCTTGAGCCCAGGAGTTCAAGGCCAGCCTGGGCAATGTAGCAAGAGCCCCTTCCTCAGAAAAAAAGAGAAGAGAGAGAATTTATGATATGATGCAAAGTTATAACAACAGTGATAACACTAGAAAAATTTACAGTAGAATATAAACTGGAAAAAGTTTCTTTACTCCTAAAAGGAGATACTGAAATAGTCTCTTTTCAGCCTCTGGCTGTTGTTTTTCTGCCTGAGATGAAGCCAACAGAAGGAGGAGGATTTGGCCAACAGAAAGAGGAGCTGAGCAAGAGCCCTGATGCAACAATGGAAACAGAGAGCTTGACATATATTCACATATATCTTATGTGTATTCATAAAATCACAATATAACTATAAACTCTGTAGAGACTCTCAGATTAGATCGCAAGTTACCTGCTGTGCAGGTAACTGCTATCAAATGATATATGCGTTTCTGAAAACAGTTGACACTCTAAAAAACAATGGAGCTATAGGGCACACTACTTAAATTCGACGTAACTTTATAATCAGATAACTAACAAAGCTAATTCTAATAAAATACTAGTATAGTTTAAAGGACATGATAAATTTTTGATAAATAAGCACAAGTTGCAGTAAATATAGGAATTTACTGTAAAAAATTTTAAGGTGAAGTTATGTGACTAGAAAAGGATGTAAGGAAAATTGAAACTTGAATTACAGAGGCAAGTGCAAAATGCACAGAGATTGGGAAACTTTATATATACGTAATTTTTGTTTTTTGAGATAGGGTCTCGCTTTGTTACTCAAGCTGGAGTGCAGTGGCATGATCATGACTCACTGCAGTCTCAACCTCCTAGGCTCAAGGGATTCTCCTACCTTAACCTCTCAGGTATCTAGGACTACAGGCATGCACCACCACACCCAGCGAATTTTTAAATTTTTGGTAGAGACCAGGTCTCACTGTGTTGCCCAGGCTGATCTCCAACTCCTGGGGTCAAGCCATCCTCCCCGCTCAGCCTCCCAAAGTGCTGGGATTACAAGCTTGAACCTCCATGCCTGGCCAGAAAACCCATATATTAAATGACCAAATTGAGCCAAGGAGAAGAAAAGTGGAGAGAATGGACATCTTGTATAATACCCTATTCTTCCACAGTGCATTACCTTCTGCTGTGTTGGAACACTGGTGAAAAATCTCAGTAAAATGTCCAAAGTAGAAAATAGTTGGAATAATATTTCAGAACACAATGAAGCAAAATTAGACATTTTTAACAAAATTAGGAAATGAAATGAACCTACCTCCTGGAAATGTTATAACACTAAATTTTTTTTTGATTCAAAAGTTTTTATTATGAAATCAATAATGCAGAGTAACTAGATAAAAATAATCATGATGACAATAATAGCATTATATAGCAAAACCTAGAGATGCAGATAACCCAGTACTCAGAGGAAATTTATATACTTAAAAATTTTATTAATATAAATAAGTAGGAAAAGAAATTAAGCATCCAATTCAAGAGGTTAGAAAAAAAGATTTAAAGCAGAAGGAAAGATAGTTAACAAAAACAGAGTATTAGAAAAAAGTAGAACCAATGAAAAAATATCCAAAATCTAAATCTTTCAAAACACGAATAAAGTAAACTGGTAGATAACCAAAAGGGGTATGGAGGAGAGATTAAGAAGAGGAAGCATAGATATAGAAGACAATAAATGAAAATGAGAAGTAATCACGGGCCCCCCAAAAATTGAAATTATCATAAGACATTACTTTATACAACTCTATGCAAATCACCTTAAAAGCTTGGAAGAAGTAGATGATTTTCTAGAAACTGTAAATTAACAAAGAGCTAAGCCTCTTCTCCTCACAACCCCTCCAGGACACATACAGAGAGCATCAGACCTAGATGGTTCCACACGTGAATTCTACCAGAATTTCAAGTATAGTTAATACTTTCAAATCGTTTTCTTATGCCAGCAGAACTATAATGGTAATATGTAACAGAAATAACATAAA
This sequence comes from Homo sapiens, assembly GCF_000001405.40. Classification (NCBI taxonomy): domain Eukaryota; kingdom Metazoa; phylum Chordata; class Mammalia; order Primates; family Hominidae; genus Homo; species Homo sapiens. The sequence goes on from NC_000009.12 coordinate 112,610,804, forward strand.
ATAGACAAAATTTGCTTATGAATACCAGTGCAGAAATACTAAATAAAGTATTAACATGCAGAATTCAACAGAGCATTAAAGGAATATACCACAAGCAAGTGGGATTCATAACAGACATTAAATAATGCTTCTACATTAGGAAATCTTTTAATAGAGCAAAAGAAAAATTGTATCTTCTCCATAGATGCTGAAAACCCATTTGATAAAATTTAACATGAATTTTTTAAGAAATGCCTTATTAAAATATGAATAGGAAATTCTTTAATAAGTCTTAAATTGATCCATATCAATATATCTGTATCATTTAACCCCAAGGTTATCATTGTTCTTTAAAGTAAAACGCTGGGAGATTTTCTCATTAATATCAGTAATGAGCCACAACCTATCACTGTTTTTTAACATGTTCTAGAGGTACCTATTTTGGAAGTACTTAGAAAACAAAACGCTATATGGAGCATAAACATTGAAAAGAAGTGATAAAATTACCATTTTTGCAAATGATGTAATTGTATACTTGGAATGCTTGGATTATATACTTGCAGAACCCAAGATTATCAACTAAAAATCTTGGGTAAGTTGGTTGGGTACAATACAAATATACAACAGTTAGTAACCTTATATACAATTAACAGTTAGAAAATAAACTGGAAAATTTCCATTTGCAGTAAGAATAGCATTACAGAAAATACCCAGGAATAAATAAATTTAACAAAACTCTTTAAGATTTAAAAAAAAAAAATTGGGGTGGGGAGAAAATCAAAAAGCTGTTTGGGAGATGCAGAAGATATGAAAAATGAACAATATGGCAATAATCTATTCTTATAGAGGAAGATTCCCAATCATAAGTATGTCAGGTTTTCCTAAACTTAGTATACATTTAATTTTATCAGTGCAAATACCAACAGGATTTTTAAAATGATAGGAGCTGATTCTAAAGCTTATTTGTTATACAAAAGTTTTAAAATATACTGGAATGTTCTGAAATAATAGAGTAAGGAGGGGATTGAATAGGCTTGTCAATTATTAAGACAAATTTTTATTATACCTAATTTTAAATAGTAGTATACTTTGCCCTAATAAGGATACTAGTTAATGGAATAGAATTAAAGATTCAGAATAGACCCAAATACATTTAGGAATTTAGCATATGATAAAGATGCCATCACAGTGAGGAAAAATAGAGTCACAAAGACAAACTAAAAAAAGAAAAATATATATTATTGACAAAGGGTTAAATATATATTAAAAAATGTTTATAATACATAATATGTAATAAGGCTAAATTAATAATATGTAAATAGTAGATATTAAGAATTAAGACTTTCTAGGCAGGGTGGCTCACACCTGTAATCCCAATGCTTTGGGAAGCTGAGGTGGAAGAATTGCTTGAGTGCAGGGGTTTGAGACCAACCTGGACAACTTCGTAAGACCCCCATCTCTAACAAAAAAAAAACATGTATTTTTTTAATTAGCCAGGTGTGGTGGTTTGTGCTTGTAGGCCCAGCTACGTTGGAGGATTGCTTGAACCCAGGAGGACAAGGCTGCAGTGAGCTGTGATCACATCACTGCATGCCAGCCTGGGTCGCAGAGTGAGACCCTGTCTCAAATAAATATTGTTGTAATGAATTAAGACTAAATATGAATATAAATATTCTTAAATATATCCAGAGTTCCTATAAATCAATATTTTAAAAAGAAAATGGACAGATGACAAAATTCACAGAAAATGAGAAAATACAGATAACTAGTATGTACTTGAAAAAGCATTAAATCTTCTAAAAGAAATGCAAAATAAAATCATAATATATATTACAATTAAATAAGCAAAGATGAAGAGGTTTGATAATATATCTGGGAAGGTGTGATTGAAGCAGCACTCTTATGTCTTATCATGGGAGTATAAGTTAGTTCAACATATGTGCAGGGCGGTAGCAATATAGCAGTTCCACTTTTGGAAATTCATTCTATAGATATACTTGCCCATGCATGGGAAACGTTCTGTCTACAGGGATACCCATTGCAGTGTTGTTTGTAATAGCGACAGGATGCAAATAATGGAAATGCCTATCCGTAGGGAGTTAGGAAACTGGAAAAATTCTGTTATATCCATATATAATAGAATGCAGCTATTAGAAAGATTAAGGCAACTGTATACATAATGATATGGCGCTATCTCTAATACATAGTGGTAAGAAGCAGAGTATAGAATAGGATGTATAGTATGTTCCTCCCCCCCATTTTGAAAGGAAAAGAATAAGAAATGTAAAAACTTGAAAATTATATATAATCAACTGGTAACATTGGTTGTTGTGAAGAGGGAAACTTGGTAACAAAGGGTTGAGATGAGCAGGTGCCTTACTTTTACTCTATACCCATTTGTAGCTTTAGAAACTGTCCTATATGCTTGTATTGACTGTTCAAATTGTATTAATTAAAATCAAATGGATCATGATCCTTATTGAAAAAAATCTTAATTTCTATCTCAGAACATATAGGTGGATATTTTGGTAAATGGCAGATCAAAAATACGCAAGTCAGTTCTAGGTGGATGGCAGATCAAAATGTGAAAAGTGAAACAGTAAAGCTTTTGGAAGAAATGGAAAAATCTTTCATAACCTTGGAATAAGCAAAATGTCTTCAACAGGAGGCAAAAAGCATGAATCATAAGGGAAATAAATTGATAAATTGGACCATATAAAATTAGGAATTCTTGTTTATTAAAATATCATTAAAAAATGAAAAGGCAAGCCACAGATTGGAGAAGATATTTGTAATAAATATAACAAACATTCATATCTAGAATATGTTAAAAACCTTCTACAAACAGAAAAAAGCAGACAATCCAGTAGATAAATGGACAAAATATTTGAACGGGCACTTCATGAAAGAGGATATCCCAATGAAAATTAAAACCACACTGGAGTACCACTACATGCCCAGAATGGTTAAAGTAAGAAAGGTTAACAGTATTTAGTGTTGCTGAAGATAATGGAGCACCTTTTCCTCATGGTGGGGAAAGTAAATTGATATGACCACTTTGGTAAATTGTCTTTAGTATTATGGCTGAATGCATGATTTCCTGTGACCCAGCAATTCCACTCCTACGTATATACCCAAGAGAGATGCATGCACATGACCACCAAAAGGCACCCACTAGAATGTTATGGCAGTTTTATTGGAAATAGCCAAAAACTGAAAACTAATAGAATGCAATGTCCAGTAGAATGGAAAAATAAATTATAATATATTCACACAATGGAATGTTGTGCAGCAATGAGGATAAATTATCTACAAATACACAACAGTATGGATGAAGTTCACAAACCATAATGTTGAGCAAAAGAAGTCAGACACAAAAGAGTTTACGTTCTAAGAGTCCATTCATATGTGTTACAATAATAGGCCAAACAAAACTATGATGTTTCAAGTCAGGAGAGCGGGTTTTCTTGGTGAGAGCAAGTGACTGGAAGAAGAGGACATGAGAAAGGCTTCTCGGGTGCTGGTGATATTCTTTTTCTTAATCTGGGCACTGGATTCACAGGTGTATTCAATTTGTGAAAATTAATCACATGCACTTAATGACTAGTCTATTTCATTGTATGTATGTTACACCTATTAAAAAGATTTTAAAAGGAATGGGTCAGAAAAATTTCTAAAACTAGAGGTAAATGCAGACAGTTGTAATAGTTTTGTATTTTATTATCAGTCTTCTCTAGTCTTACTTGATTTTGTTATTAACTAAAAAACTTATTCCTATTACTTGACTTTAAAACTATTTCTTTCCCTCTTACTCATGTAAAATCAATGATGGTGTCTTTACCCTTTCAACCTCTTCATGTAGCTCATTCCTGGCTATTAGGAAAGGATATGACAGTGTGACATTTGTCTTTAGTTTTATTTTCCTGCAGATGGAATGGCTGTTTGTCAACTAAGATTGAGGCCCAGTAGAAAAGAGGGAAAGGCTTGGCTGAAGATGAGTTGAAAAGGTGTGAATGTGTCAGTCATCTTTGTGTATGTTAGCATGGTGCTGAAATGTGGAGGAGATACAGAAGTAGGAGAGCTTCACTCGGGACTGTGGCAGGTGACAACATCCACACCAGCATTCTGGACCCTTCCGTGGTTGTCTTCACCAGTTCCACTAATAGCAGACTGACTAATGCTGCTTAATTAAATCCAACAGACTTAAACTTTTTTGCTTACATATCCCTTAAAAGAACTTTGAATAGTCTTTACCACTCACTTTTAAATTGACACCCAAAGGTTTTTCAATATGTTTCAATCAATTTACTTTTGTAAAAAAGGAGTAGTGAATATTTTATAAAAATGAAGAGGAGGAGGCCGGGCATGGTGGCTCATGCCTGTAATCCCAGCACTTTGGGAGGCAAGACGGGCAGATCACCTGAGGTCAGGAGTTCAAGACCAGCCTGGCCAACATGGTGAAACCGCATCTCTACAAAAATACAAAAATTAGCCAGGCATGATGGCGGGTGCCTGTAATCCCAGCTGCTTGAGAGGCTGAGGCAGGAGAATAGCTTGAACCTAGAAGGCGGAGGTTGCAGTGAGCCAAGATCATGCCATTGCACTCCAGCCTGGGTGACAGAGCAAGGCTCCGTCTCAAAAAAAAAAAAAAAAAGAGGAGCAACTCTACCTAGAATCAGTATTTCATGATATGATTTGATAATATTAAATACCTTGTGAATAAAAAGCACACTGAATCATCTGAAAGAAATTAATAAAATTTTAAGCTGCTACTTTATCTTGAGCTTTTTGGTAGTTCTGCAGAATATTCTAGTTCTAGTTAGAAGAATCAGCCTCACTAACATATAACCCCTTCATATGTCCTAAATTCAGAACACCCCATTCAGGCCCCAAACACTGTTTCTCATGGTAGATTTCATCTTTGTCAAAATATGCATAAGACAGGAAATGCTATGGGTTTACTTATTTAAAGACAGGAAATGCTAATGGGTAAAAGTCAAGGTCTTTCGACTTTGAGGAGCCAAACAAAATTTATAAGTCAATACACCCCAGAGTATGTACCGTAGTAGGTTTGGGATGGCAACATGTACAACTCAGTTTACATCTCAGACAAGAAAGTTTTTAAAAGATCCCATGTGAAAGTTGGAAACCTGGAAATTTTTCTCCCAAAGTTGTCTGTGACTGTTTATTTCTTAGAAAATCTTTGTTTGAAGTTAGAAGACTGCTGTGATAGATATTTGAACAAGTAACCAAGAAAAACAGATGTGCTGGCCCCTTTGGCTTTCCATTGTAAACAGTCAAGGAAGCCAGCATGTCAAATGGTTACATTCAACCTGTGGCTTCCATGTTTTTGATGGAAAGATAAACACCTTTATTGTTAATAGATAAACAGTTTCAACTGGAAGAAAATAGCATGACTAAAAGTTAAGTGTATTGGAGCATAAAGCTTACTTTTGTATATTTGAATTTTGGAAATGTGATCCCTCAAAAATGTGCCTATAAAAATAGCTAACTAGTTTTGTGAATTTTAGTTTATATCATTTTATAAAGTTATGTGGATTTTGGCAATAATGCCCCATGATTGTCATTTTAAAATAGCATGGCTATTCATATATATGTATAGTAATACAAAAAGTAGTATGTAAATAAAATTCAGTTTATTAGAAATTTTATCATTGGATGTGGTAATTAGAAAGACTTCCGCTAAGCAGTCTTACAAGTTAATATAACTTTTTCTAGATAACATAATTAAGATAAACAAAATACTTTTACTTTATACTGTAGAAATCAGAAATTACATATTTTATGTTGTTTGAAATTAACCTCTGTGTTTGCCTCTCAACAATCAATAGCGTAGCCTGTTTCTGTTTTTTATTTCTATGCCTTCTTTAGGGTTTCTCTTTTGAGTTTCACCAGACCATGTCTAACATAATAGTGGTGATTTTTGACAAAATATTTTATTGTTAATGTTAAGATCCTAAATTTAAATTACATTTTACTGAAATGAAACCATGTAAATGATGTAATTGAACTTAACTATTATTTTAAAATTGGTGAAAATAGAGTAAGATTTCCTGCCTAGGACACAAGCACTAGAACTTTGTTTCTCAAAATATATTCTCTCAAACCTCATCATGAACACAGAGATGCTGGTTAAGATACAGATTCCTACACCTGCTACGTGGTAATCTGCATTTTGATCAAGCATCCTGGATGATTCTGAAGCACAGCAATCTGTGAAGACAGCTATTCTAGGGCAGCATTACTTAACCTTGGATGATCCAAAACAGAAAGAGGCACCTCAAGTCCTTGGTAGCAGAGTACAAATAATAAAGTAATAAAAAGAAACAGTGGATCCTGGAGACATACCCCCTTTTTTACATCTTGACTATAATAGCCTAATTCAAATGTAACTGTCCTGTCTTTATAGCTATGATGTTTTATCCTCATTACCCTCCAAAATACCAAATATTTCCATTCATCACTTATTACAAATGCCCTGCAATTACATGCAGAATGCTTATAAACTGTGTTTACCCAAATTGCTGTAGAACAAGTATTTAATTAACTGCCATAAAAGATCTGCTTTGTCATTTTTAAATACAGATTTTTAGTGATGTGTTAAAATAACAAATACAGATATTTTAGTTTAATTCAATAAAATGGAACCAGTACAACCTCTGTTTTCACAAATGAAGTGATTCGGAATGAGTTTGTCAGCGCTAATGGGGCTCTTGCACGCTGCAGTAGGATAAATAGCACATTTCTGTCCCACATTTTTCCTAAAACGAAGGCTGTCTCTAATCTCTCTCTTTCGACAAACCTTCATGCACTAAACTATGTGCCCGTGACATAGGAAGCTCGTTTTGCTTGTAATGGGCCATATGCTTGTCTAGTAGATCTTTTGTGAAACTGAAGTTGGCTATTATAATGTGACAGGTATGTAAATAACATTTATCAGTGATCTCCGTAAAACTGATTCCTCCTTTCCCTTGTCATTATAAAAGGAAACTTTATTTCAGAGTAGAAAGTGCATTGTCTGAACTCATCAACACCCTCTCTATCCCTCCCCCCCCAATTTGTTGCAGACCAGGATGAAAGAGCAGCTGAGCTCAGCAGGGAGCAGAACGAGAAAACCATCCGGAGCACGCAGACCGCGCTCCGCAATTTCCGTGAGTTCCTCATCTCCAAGTATCCTTCTGAAACAAGAGAGATTTATGTCATCCCTTGCAAGGAGTTGGATGCCTACCTTGCCTCTTTCTTTGTTGATGCCAGGCAGAAGGATGGGTCCGAATACGAACCCAACAGCTTGGCCAATTACCAGTGTGGGCTCGAAAGGTACCTGAAAGAACACAGGTATGGCTATAGCATCACCAGGGATAAGGAATTCAAGCGTTCCCAAGAGGCCCTGAAGCAGAAGCAAATTGAACTCCGCTGTAAAGGAAAAGGAAATAAGCCACACAAGTCCATGAAGCTCACCTTTGCTGACGAGCTCATCCTGCGGAAAAGGGGACTGCTAAGCCGATATAACCCCGAGGGTTTGCTCAACCTAGTCTGGCTCAACAACACAAAAGCTTTTGGGCATTGCACAGGCTTCCATGGATCTACCTTAAAATGGGGTGATATCCGGCTCCGGGTAACAGAGACGGGTCTCGAGTACTTGGAGTGGATGGGTCAGGACACTGGAGACTTGAATGCCAAAACCAAGAGAGGGGGGACAGACTCCCGTGTGTATGCCACCCAGCACGCCCCACAGACCTGCCCTGTCCAGGACTATAAGGAGTATGCCCAGCGGCGGCCTCCCGCCATGCGCTACGAGGATGCCCCTTTCTACTTATCCATCAAGCCAGTCGTGAACCTGGCGGCTCTGCATTGGTACAACTGCCAGGCCCTTGGCAAGAACAAGCTGGCCAAGATGGTGAAGACCATGTGTGAGAAGGGCAACATCCCTGGCAGGAAAACCAACTTCAGTGTGTATCAGAGCTGCAGCACCTTGTCTGAGGCCCAGAGCAACCAGCTCGTGCTGATCTGTAACAATCTGAGCCAGCAGGCTGCCCAGTCAGTGGCCGGCCACTCCAACAATGGCAATTTCATCGTCTCCGCCTCCTATGACTCTTCCTCAGACACCGCTTGACCAGGTGGCTTGAGCAAGACTCCAGTTTGGTTACTGTGTCCGGAGAAACTGTGATTATACACCGCTTCTCGTTCCCCTTCCTGTGCCCTCAGTGTTAATTCACTTTATAAAAATATAAATATATAATATATTTTTCTTTTTACAAATAAGCCAATGGAGATAATTTAGTATTACTAACATAGTATTTATAGGCTTAAGACAAATGTACTTGTGGGCGATCAAATGTAATTACTGTTACAGACTTTACAAAACCATACGTGGTTCTCAGGCAACACAAAGTAGAGAGGGAATTCTGTTTTTTAAAAACTGTCAAAAAGGAAATTGAGAGTCATCCTAGACTTAACATGCTTGCGTCCTCAACTCCTGCTTTTCGTTCCCACCCCAACTCCCCTTTTTTGTCTCCTTAATAAATGGCTTTATTTTTTTAATTTTTAAAATTCTATATTAATCAAGAGGAGACATTAACTTTACTGCTGACGCAAAACTGTATTCAGCTAGATCCACAATATGAAAATGTATAAGCTCAACATCAAATTATTTACATCTTCTCTTTTTTAACTTAATTAGAGTTTTAGCTCCTGTGCCTCATTTTTTACAATGTATGAGAATCTAGATGTTTAGCTAACATCTTTTCTTTTTGGGGGGAAAGGGTAGAAGGAGGGAATAAAGGTGCCATTCTTTTTGGGAGATACATGATTTTAAAATAATACCCAAAGTCTAATATTTTGGCTAAAAAGACTGTTACATAGCTCATTTTAACTATTGTGCTTGAACCTGGAAAGAATGTTTCTTTTTTTGTCCCTAAGAAATGGGTATAAATGAAGTTTGACAGGAAATTTAAAGCTACCAAAGCTTTGAAAATGTTGCCAAGCATTAGATTGCCTATAAAGAAGGTAAAAGGTGGAAAGTCTTACTAAAAATCTAGAAGCAGTAGTCGAGACAACAAAAAAACTCATCCTCTTCAAAGTTCATATTCCCTGAATTATTTACTTAGAAGCATTAAACAGTCTCTTTTCTCCTGAGGCAAGGGTGTGTATTCGACTCTGTGATTGAGATCCAAGGAATATTGGCACTCATTTTAGGTAACAATATTTTGTTACCAGATTTTGCTGAATTCAAAGCATTCTTGAAAATGTGCGAGATTTTTCTATAGTAAATATAAATGCGTTTATCTGTGATATCCTGCAATTATTATAATAATTTTGGTTAAACATTTGTGGCAGTTTTTCCAAGGTCTTTGTTTTCAAGTCTTGATGCCTGTGGTGAATTATTAGTTAAGATATTTCAAAAATAAAATAAATTTAGACTTTAGAGCCACAATAAAGCTGAGCTAGGTTCCTATTCTGTATAATCAGCAACACACAGAAACTCCAAATCTTGATTGTTTTGTTGGACCCGTGAATTCTATTGGGAAATATTTGTTCTTCAAGGCAACCTCATAATTCACATTAGCTAGAAAGGTAGGTGGTATTTTGTACATTAATTTAGTGTATAACCAGGACAAATTTCATTCTGAATTGCTTTGCTAAATCATCACAGAGCTGAGCTCTCCCATGGTCAGGGAACTCCTTCCAACACCAAGTCATAAGCACATAAAGACCCGTTCCTCTAAGCTGTGACCTTTCATCTGGCTAAGGAGTGGGAAGTCAGCCATGGACTTTGTGTCGTGGAGTTAACCTCATGTTCATGACTTTTCCTCCATAGAGAAATATTCATTTATACATCCAGAAACAAGAAGAAAGGGCAGAGAATGTCTTGCTTTATGTTTTTGTATTGATAGTGATGAGAGCTGCCATTTTTGAGCCAGCATGCATGCCAGCACTGTGCTAAGTGACTTACATGGATCACATATGTAAGTCATAGTTACTAATCTTAAAAAAAAAGAAAAAAAAAATAGGAAAACACAGATAAGGATAAAGAAAACAAAATACGTACTCGTAAGTCTTCTAGCCAAAGATAACTACTGTTAACATTTTGGCAAATATTTCTTCAGACATATTGCAGTACTTACATATTTATTTCTATATATATTAATATTTTCAGCAACTTTGAAAAGGTGAGTTATCTTTATTTTATGGTCAGGTCAAGATAAGTCAATTAGGTCATAGCTAAAGAAATGGTAGTCTGTCATTTCATTCCAGAGTTTTTTTCTATTTAAGTTTCTCAGTACCAGCTCATCATTAATTTCCAGTGGTTTGATCCAGAGCTGGGGACACAGTGTCTTAACATCTCTGAAGGATGTCTGATCAAAAGGAATGCTGAGTAATCTTCCATGGTGGCAGCATGTCCTCTAGTCCTCTCCCACACCCATACATTTGGAGCCACAGAGCCTCTTTCTCCCAGTTCTCTTTACAAAACCTTCCTGTTCGCCTTATTCTATAGTTAGTCCTTACGGCATCAGACAGCCTACTTTAAGGGAACTCTTAAACTCTAATGTTTAAAAAAAGGTCTCTGTAAAACACTTAAAATGTTATGGTGCATTTAATTTTTAATTGACGTAGTTTCTAAATTTTTGATATGTTTCTGACAGCACAGTAAGTTTGTCTTAAGGAAGAAGAGTAGTCAGTATGCACTGTGAAAGCAGAACTAGAAAATGTCAGTTCCCTATCTGTGTTTATTAAGGTACTAAAATGAAAATCTTTGTCCTGCTTAATCATATTGCATCTTCATTTAGAAAAACACAAATTGGGAATGTGAATTATTTTTATTTATTTATATTTTTCTGTGATAACTCAAGCCAAATAGGAGCATTGTGACTTTTAGTTTCAGAAAACTGTTTTCTGAATGATGGCTTGGTAGAAGCCTAGCCAAATTACAGTATCAGTCTTTGTTTGTTTGTTTGTTTGAACAGAGACAGGGTCTTGCTCTGTCACCCAGGCTGGAGTGCAGAGGTGCAGTCATAGCTCACTGTCAACCTCAAACTCCAGGGCTCAAGAGATCCTCCCACCTCAGCCTCCCAAATAGCTGGAACTACAAGTGCACACCATCACACTTGGCTAATTTTTTGTAGAGATGGGGTCTCACTGTGTTGCCCAGGCTGGTCTCGAACTCCTAGCCTCAAGAGATCCTCCTGCCTTGGCCTCCCAAAGTGCTGGCGTTATCTCTTGGAGTTACTTACATTATGAAAAATCTACAACTACCTCTAAATTTTATTTTTATCTAAATGATACTGAGAAGATAGCACTGCCAGATGCCATTTTTATTATTTGGAATATTAACTTAAGAAAAAATCATGTTCATGCTGTGGCAGAGGCAGATGTCAAAATTGCATATATACTTTAGCAAAAAATCAACAGTCCAGGAGATGTTCACTACAACTGAATGCGCTGCCTTTTCAGGCAATCCTGTGGCTCAAATAAAGCCATATTTGCAGTGCTTACACTTTAAGATCAATGTAATGTCATGTAAGAAACCCTCCAGTGTTCCTCACATGACTGAAAGTTTTGCACTGTCTACAACAAAAACACTGAACACTGTCAGCATTTGGATGACATAGCTGCATAATTTGGTCTTTCTACCATATTCATGTGAGTGACTCTTGAAAACCATAGATGCTAGCTATTTTTAAAAAAACTATAATGTTTGAAAAAGTTAAGAGATAGGATATTTATTCAAGACAGCTTATTCTAGATTCCATTTGATATCATGGTTATTAGGGCTGGTCTGAATATGACTTATAAATATATATCAGCAATTTAGGATATTTATAATTATTTTTCCCTATGGTTAAATTTTCCCTATGTTAAATCACTGCCTGTTCTACAAAAGAGTAGTCTGAAAATCTTCTGGCATACATTTGATCTCTTTGGTTTTTCAGTTAGATTATTATTAGCTGAAACTTTCATAGCATTTACTTGACTAAATCATATGGCTTAGCTTGCAGATGCCATGAAATCAATGACTTTATTGAGATGAGAATTTGTAGTCACATCAACAGTATTTATTGAACAGCTAGGGGCCAAACCTGGAGGGGTATAAAGACACATGAAATAGTCCCTGCTCTCAAAGAATTTATAAAAGACATTGTAATAAAAGTTAGTTCATTTTTGAGAGCCCAGCAAAAAACTCTATGCTAATACTATTTTGCATAGTTTTCCAAACTTTGTACCCATGCAATTTATCCATTATTTATTCATTGAATATGTTGGTCTGCTGTGGAATACGTAATTCTGCTTTGAGTATTTTCTGGAGAATCTTTCTTAGAGCCTGTTTTAAAATCAATAAAGTGAAGGCATTTCTGTACCATCCACTGTGTTCATGTAGGTGCACATATGCATCAGAGTGTACAGATCTGTCATCAATGACTATCACCTCTTGAGCACTGACAATGTGCCATTGTACTGAGTGCTTTATAAGTTGTTTCACTTAATTCTCACAATAGTCCCATTAGGTAAGTATTATTATTTCCCTTTTATAATTGAGGAAATCCAGAAAAGTCAAATGGCTTGCCCATGTCACAGTTAATATGTAAGAGCATCCGTATCTGAAATTAGATCCAGATCCCATTAAGCACTCTCTTTTTCTGCTGTAGCTACTTGTTCAAGAAGTGATTTGCTGTGCTTCTGTAGACCCTCTGAAGTTATAAATTATAAATGAAATCCCAGGTGTACTAAAATCATCAAATTAATTCAACTCATTGATTGAGATCAATGTTAGCACAACATTATTTAGGCGTCATTACTGTAGTATTTTGAGATGAGATATTAAGCAGTTTGTTTATCCCTGGTTACCAGCAGAGAGCAGAAGTTTGTGTCACTCTAAAAAACACCTAACTTTGTCATGGAGGCAAGTGTGTATATGTGTATAATTTATTTTTACCCCAATTAAAGCCAAAACCCCAATTTCAAGAGAGTCCTTTATAATTCAGGCAGGGAAGTGGGAGGGTCTAGGCAGAGGGACTGCCTATAAGCCAGTATCGATTGCCATTGACCAGATACTAAATATGAATTAGAGGTAGACTGTGAACCTATTCAGATTTTTTCTGGTTCGACTATCTGCAGTTTAATGTGAGACAGACACTTCTGATCTTAATCAGCCCTCTTCTGACTGATTTTCTTTATCTATAGGAAAGGTATATTTTGATCCTTATTTCTCTAGCCAAAATAAAGCTGTAATACTAAGCACCTGTAAATAAAAACTCTCTCCCAGATGACAGAAGAAATAGATACCTAAGCCTAGGGAGGAAAGTCAAGGGGAATGTATAATTTCTTGGAGCAAGATATCTTTTAAAGCGTTCATTAAAAAATAGTTACAAGTACTGAAAGAATTAGCAAGTTCTCTATCAGCTTAATAAATGTTTCCCAAATAGAATTCTATTATACAAGATATGTCTCTGTACATCTACCATACAATATGGTACAGATAGGCAGTGATCAATTAAGAAATGCACATTGGCAAGGGCATCCTCAATCGTTGTTTAGTGCATGGTATTCAAACATTGCTTTCCCTTCCCACTTGGATCTGGTTAACATGATATTGAGTGCATAGCCTTTCATAAAGCAAAGTGATGAAGCTAGGATAATTTTAGAGATCCTTGCCATCAAATAGAACTGGAATAAAGAAATACATTGCAGATATCATTCTTTTGGGAGTTGGTGTATTTCTAGTGATATAACAACAGAAAAGAAGAGATGATATTGATGGAGTACCAAGAACTCTAATTTTACTTTTCTAAACAGAAAAGGAAGACATTTAAAATTCCTCATGGTCCAGCCTGTTTGTAAATTGACCAGTTGGGCCTGCCAAAGCTGAGCAAAAGCTTGAAAAATTTTTTTTAATGGCATTTTAATACACTTACGTTGAGTTCTTATGTAAACAATGACTTTTGTGAATTAGAACCAGAGTATTAATTAGGTCAGAGTCCCAGTTTGATTAGAATATTAATTAGGTCTGTGTGTTAATGTAAACCATTGTCTTTGTTGTATTATTAGTCATAGAGGCTAGATCTGGAAAGGACCCAAGAGATCATCTAGCCCAGTGATTTTCAATGCTGTGAAGAGTAGGAGTCACCACGTCCTCATGTAGGTAGGGAGTGGGGAGCGCAAGAAGATAGAAATAGCCAAGAGAACACAACCTCAAACAAATTCCCCAGAGGTCTCATGTTTCCTACCCCCTCCCCTCCTTTGAGACTCACTAGACTGACTGAGCTGCTGTTCCCTCTGGAATGCATCCTTCAGGTGTGCTAGCTGGAAAATAAAATTGGAAACATTTAATCTACCTTTTAATGTATTTATTTGTTTTTCGAGACAGGGTCTCGCTCTGTTGTCCAGGCTGGAGTGCAGTGGCACAATCAAGACTCACTGCAGTGGCACTGCAGCCTTGAACTCCTGGGCTCAAGCAATCCTCCCAACTCAACCTCCCAAGTAGCTGGGACTCCCGGTTCATACCATCCTGCCTGACTAATTTTTAAAAATTTTTTGTAGACATGGGATCTCACTGTGTTGCCCAGGCTGGTCTCAAACTCCTGGACTCAAGTGATCCCCCCACCTCAGCCTCCCAAAGTGCTAGAATTACAGGCATGAGCCACTGCTCTGTCCTCATCCACCCTTTAACAAAAGAGGCAATAGCCCCAGAGAAAGGAGGTGAATGCCCAGGTGCTCACACCCTGTTAGGGTGTGAGCTTTCCCTTGTCAGGGTTAAAGCCGGGACTAGAGGCAGGCACCCTGACTTCCTGTCCACAGGTAGAGTTTAGAGAGGAAAAACAACCCTATATTTCTACTTCTTGTTTTCCAAATTTTAATTGTTTTTAAAACCCACAAATTTCTCTTAGGAGTAGATTCAAGCTGCCAAGTTCCAATAGGCTGTTCTTGAATGTGACATTTCACTTTTCATTGTGTTGTGTTACATCTTAGTTTTAGCAACTTTTCTTTTTGGAGTTTGATAGGAAAATCTGTAAATGTAATTGTTCTTTGATTCTAACAAACATCTCTCAGCCTACCCAATTTATATTTAGTTTTCAGTTATGGAGGGGAAACTACAGTCTTCAAGAATATCAATTCTAGTTATAGATTATGAACAAAAATACATTTTTGTTTAATTTGATATTCACTTGGATATCGAGCTACATAGCATCTATACTACTGGTTCTGAATGCAACCCACAGTATTTTTTAGTCTGGCAAGTTTTACAAATCGTATTTAAAGTTTTGGGACATATCCTCAGTCAAAAGGATCAAATTTCTATCAACATAATTAGGAAGTTTCTGAAGTAAATTTATTTAGAGATAGTAAAGGGGAAAAATGGTAACTAAGGAAAGAGGCCTACAGTAAGTAGATGTAGAAATTCAAACTTACTTAAATGCAAATTATTTGTATTTCTCATCTTGCTTACTCTTCTGAAAAGGAACTCAAGCATAAATATTTAAACGTTTCACAAATTTTTATTTTACAAATCATATTTACCAGATCATAGTTGAAAAAGTTCAAATTTTAGATGTTTTTTAAAAAGGTACAGTGTGATTTGTCTTTTTTTTGTAATGTTGAATTATGTTAGACTTCTAATGTTTGTCTTGATATTACACTGGAATTAGACAGCATTTTTACCATTTATACATTCATTTCAATAAGAGCTTTGAAAATGCTTTGGCATTGTTTGTTTGTGATAAGTAGAATTAGGAAGATATCAGCAATATAGATTCCTAACAGTAATTGTGTATACTGTGTTTTAGTGATTTTTATGTCCATTTATTTTCTGTAATTCTTTTATAAATCCCTTAGTGTACTTCCACTAGAAATTAATTTATAATTGTTTATTTATATTGGATGAAGTAGGAGGTCCATGTTTAGTATTAACCCACTCAGATTAACTTTATCTAACTGAACTTTTATATCTATAACCCATTAGATTGTTACAACTTTTTAAACAGCATTTATAATGAAATAACTTTTGTTTTATAAAGCATTTGTTACAAAAAAAAAAAAACACCTTGCCAAAAATCATTACGATTTCTATGCATTGTGTAATATTCAGTGATGTTGAGATTTTGCATGTTGTTACAGGTGCTCTTTCATATGTGTGTTTGTGGTGTTGATGTGGAATTGTTAACCACTGCTGCTATCACTTATTGTAGTTAAACTGAAAAACTGTGTTAAAAGGCTGTGCCAGTCAACATTTCTATGTGTGACTTAAGTAACTGTGTACTTCATTGTTTAATATTTTGAGCCAGCACTTAGTGGCCTCTACAGAAGGAAATATTGTAGTTGTCAAAGTGGTGCCAAACTTGAAAATCTTGTGTCATGTTTATAATTCCAGGCCAGGTCAGCTTTTCTTCAACACTTTCCGAGCTCTTTGAAAGCAAAAAACATTTGCAAAAAGAGAAAGAAAGCAAGAATTCTGAACTTTTCTAATACTCTCTCCTCTAGAATTTTAAATATTTTTTTCTTTTGATGTTTGAGTATCTTACAGAAAAATCCAATCAAATGACTAGCGGTAGAATTTCCCTTGATCTGGATATTTTTAGGCTGAACAGTGTAATAGCAGAGGACTATGAGGTGCATACATTATTTTTGTTGGCTATCATGGCTTATTGTTTGAATTTCATTTAATAACAATATTCAGGCTGGAGGTGGTGACTCACACCTGCATTCCCAGCACTTTGGGAGACTGAGGCGGGCGGATCACCTGAGATCAGGAGTTCGAGGCCAGCCTGGCCAACATGACGAAGCCCAGTCTCTACTAAAAATACAAAAATTAGCTGGGTGTGGTGGCTCACACCTGTAATCCCAGCTACTTGGGAGGCTGAGGCAGGAGCATTGCTTGAGCCTGGGAGGTGGAGGTTGTAGTGATCTGAGATCACACTACTGCACTCCAGCCTGGGTGAGGGAGCAAGGCTCCAACCCCCCTAAAAAGAAAAAAAGAATATTCAGTAATTTTATTTCCTTTATTAAGAACCATTGAAACCTCACAGTTCCCACTTGTTAACTTTTACATTCAGCATGTACACAGACTTACTTAACATACTTGGTTGCCTTATGGCCATCAGGATTTTTTCATGCCCACCTGTCTAGTTTGGTACCTGGTGTTTCCATCTTGCCTCAGCAATTCCAAACAAACTGAAAGTAAAGAGAAAATCGTTTCAACATATTGACTCTACTACACATTGTTAAAATTTAATATGGGAGGAATACCACTATACTTTTATTTATACTCTTAAAATGAGTGGGGGGAAGCTGTCATAAAGTGTTAAGAAAAGAAGGCTGCTTCCTGAAGAGCCTTTTTACACCAACATGCCAGATCTCCACACTTGATGCAGGGTTTCCTTCTGTCAGTTCAATGGGCTTGTAATTACAAGATTCTTTTAATAAAGGGGTAATCTCCTGAACTTTATAGAAACTTGTTGTGTGACTGTCACATATGCAGCAACAGCCAATGCTGTATTTGGACACATTGCTGATGAAATTACTGATTTAATTCTAAGACTATCAAAACTAATTCGTCAAGGTCCCCACCACCTCTTTGCTTAAAGGAAAACAAAGGCAGATTTTAACTGTGAGCCTCTTCTCTAGAATATGCTGTAGACATTTGCCCCTCCGTGAGGTGATAAAGCAATAAAAATAAATTTAATTATGTGTGGTCTAAAGAAGTTCTACCTCTGTCCATTGGCCTCCAGAGTCACACAAAATTATTTCTTGATTCCTACATCAGAGGTTTTCAGGCAGAGCCTTTGTACCAAGAATTCCTTTTATATTTTGGACACCAAAGATTATGGCATGATATATCCTGATGATTAACAATTTAGCAGTGGGCACATTTATTTGAGTCCTGCTCTTGGATTTATTTCCCACCTTTGGGTCTTACGTACATTTTGTATTTCTGTCCTGAGGACTTTTTGCCTCAGGCAGTTTTTAAATCAAAAAAATATATATATATTTATTAGGTTTCTAATTTATAGAGTTTCCAATTTCTCCCACAATTTTAAATGTTTTCACTGCCAAAGTTAGCAGTAGATTTGCTAGGTTAATGCCATGGTCAGTAATAGTTTGTACCTTTTATGTTGTAGCCTGAAAATGTAACTCTAACCCCGTAGGCCTGAAACCTGGTGGGAAGATGATTGAAAGTGTTTTAGATTCAACAGATTGACTATGTATGACTTATCTATTAAAATGAAGAACTTCCATGGTTTAATAGAATGAATGCTGTATTCAACAAGGTCTTCCATCCTTCTTATAAATCTTAAGACTGTGTTTAAGCTTTCTTTCACTTTTACTCTATCCCTTGGAAGTTAATTGGGAATAAAAAGATTTATCAATTTAGTCACTATAATTTAAGGCCAGGCATCTGCTTGGAAATACAATAACCACAATTAATACTTAGAGAAAATTGTTTCAACAGATTAACTCTGCTATTTTAAAAACTATAGTAGTGTTCTTTGAGGATGCATTTACTTTTCCCCAAATTTGATAGATAGTTATTTTTATATATTTTTTCTGGCCACTTGGCTTCTAACTGATTAACATGAAAAACGCACGTGTGCCTGTTTCACTCAAATCATATTTTACAACTTTTTAAAAGCTGCTACAGTTATAGTTTGTGAAAGAGGAGAAAGGTGAATTGCAACAGAGGGAAATTACTGTTACTGTGTCAAATATGTGACTGATGCTTTTGGTCAGATAATCTGCTGCCTGTCAATATTTGTAATAACAGAATTTTTTGTTAAGAGTACTCTCATCTTTATTTTGCTGCTCACTGATTTTTTACACTAAGATGTTCTCATCTTTGTCGACTCACTGTTTTTGCTTCATATTTGTCTGTGTACTTGTGCTCTAAATAAAAATCTAGTTTTATGTCTAGTTTATTCCATTGTGTGTATAATGTTTGCCTCTGATGTAGTGTAATTTTCTATTGTTTTTGATGTTTGTTGGTACAGCCTAAAACTTATGGAAATAAGAAAAGCAATCCAATAAAGTCAGCTAATGAGTGTCAACAGTGTCTCTATAATGAGAGCATGCTTGAGTCACAGTGTTTTGTCTGTATTTGGGCATGATGACCAGTCTTCATTCATTTAATGAATTGTCTTCTGCAAAGCTGGCTGATTTTTGTAGCTACAACAAACAAGTTAAACCACGTTTTGAAAAACATGTTGTTGACCTGGACATTGTGCACTGGCCTCAGGATATACAGTCAATGCAGATGAGCCAAGCAGCCCATGTGCAGTGTTTCTCACCACTGAAGTTGGGGGGAAGCCCTGGAAGGGGAAGCATTGCGCATGTGACTGTGCCAACACAGATCATAGGGTAGCAACAATCCTTTAGTAAAGGATCTACAGTTGAATTAATCGTAGGCTTCCTGGAGCCCCAAGCCTGAAAATCCTGTTAATAGAAAAGAAAGCCCTGCTGCAAACAATTAACTCACTTGTTTTTGTGTGGAGCTCTGTTGGCCATTTTTCTTTACCTCCAGTAATCCCCTTGTCAGACACTTCTTAAATAGGTGCAAAATTATACTAAGCTGCGGCCGGGCACAGTGGCAAATGCCTGTAATTCCAGCACTTTGGAAGGCCAAGGCAGGAGGATCGCTTGAAGCTGGGAGTTTTGAGACCAGCCTGGACAACAAAGGGAGACTTTCTATTTTAAAAAATAATTTAAAAATTTTTTAAATTATACCAAGCTAAGGAGATACCGTGTTCTAAAATTAACTTATTTTTAAGAGAATCATTTTAGTCAGATATAATTCTCCATGTACCATTTATTACCTTTAGCACATATTACAGTGTTCTTTGAGCCGAATAGGAATGGTTCTCCAAAATTATTAAGTTGGTTAACTTCAGACACATTTTTTGTGTCACTAAAATCATTTAATAATGAAAAAACATGTTAAAACATCTGAAAATACAACATCTCTCATACAAAATTACTTTGCAGAAATGCAAATGTTTTTCTTTCATGGCTGAATAGTCCACCAGTCTTTACTCACAGTTGAATATTCCAAATAGAAACAATGACCGTATTTTTGTATGATGATAGATTATATAAAATTACAGGTAGTTACACCTTTATATTTTCATAGTATTTAAACGAGGAACTCATCTTTAAGTGTGCTTGCAAGTTTTACACTTAAAATGTGACAAATTTTATTTCCTTGCTAGGGAAAGAATATTAGAATTCAAGTTGAGTAGTAACTACAAATCAAATAATGTTTTCCTTTTTAAAAGTCTTATTTATTTTCAATTTATTCATATCTTTTTGAAGAGGATTTGATGTGACTAAAATGGCTAATATGTATAAAACTCTTAATGTTGGTGATATATCATCTCAAAAGATAATTTTAAAAGCAAACACTGAATTTGATGGCAAACATGTTTAGACTGAACCATCAAATAAAAAAATGGAAGGCCAGGTGTGGTGGCTCATACCTGCAGTCCCGGCACTTTGGGAGGCCAAGGCAGTAGGATCACTTGAGCCCAGGGGTTCAAGACCAGCCTAGGCAGGCAGCATAGTGAGACCCCATCTCTACAAAAATTTTAAAATTAGTCTAGTCTGGTGGTGCGCACCTGTGGTCCCAGATGCTAGAGAGGCTGAGGCAAGAGGATTGTTTGAGCCCAGGAAAGGAGATAGGGAATGCAGCAAGCTGTGATTACGCCACTGCACTCCAGCCTGGGGAATAGAGCAAGAGCCTCTCTCAAAGAAAAAAAAAAAAAAAAAAAAAAGGAAGTAAAACCACCATTTGCTTTGTTAAGATTTATAATGCTTTAAAAATGCTAAGGCAGTAAGTAGACATTTATTATTAATAATTGATAAATAGTAATATCAAATCAGAAATAAAAATTACAGGACTCATTACCTATAGATAAGAACGTTTAACTTTTGATGTTTGATTTTGGACTGCTTCCTTACAAAAATATACTTCAAAAACTAATCTAGCTGTAGTTACCATTTTGTATGTTTGTAAAAGATCTTTAGTTTTTGAAAGTAGATTTTTATGTAGCTACACATTTTTCCATTGCACAGATGTGCCAAAATCTATTTTATAGTGCTGTTGTTAGATTGGATTTGTTTCCAGTTTTTTGCTTTTATAACTTTGGCTTAAAGAACATCCTTGAGGATACATTTTTGCATACTTCTCTGATGAAATCCTTAGGATACATTTCTAAAAGAGGAATTCCTGGGCTAAATAAAAAGAACATTTTATTTATTTTTCTTATATATACATTTCCAAAGTCCTATTGATTTTTATAACTTGCAAATATAATATGTTCATGTTGCAAAACTTTAAGTCCCATGGAGCTAATCACTAACCAATGTGATGTGTCTCCTTCCAAATTTTTTCTACATAATTATAAATCGTTTTATTTTTCATATAAAAATTGGAATTTTGCTATGCATATTGTCCTAGAGTGAATTTTTCTTTTTAAATTAATATATTGCAGAACTGTTTTCATGTTAGCATGTAGAAGGGTAACACAATTTTTAATGACCACATGTAAATATATATATATATATGCACAATTATTTAATTATTCATCTCCTAATGGGTTTTGGTGATCATCTTTGTTCATTTATCTTTGCACACTTGTGTATTTCTGCATTTAGTCAAAATTACCCACCAAAAAGTTGTACTGATGTAGACATCATTCAGTATTGGCTGAGAATGCAAGCTCCCAGCAGCCTGGCCAACATTTAGATATGGACCTTTTTGTATTTTTGATAATCTGGCAAATGAAATATATCTCATTTTAATTATAATGCCTATTTTTTAATGCATTTTGTTATTTGTATTTGTTCTGTGAATAATTGCCTGTCATATCCTGGGCCCTTTTGCTAGCGAGTTATTTTTCCTTTTGGTTTGTAGGAGCTTTTCATATGTCCTTGGTTTATGTTTTATAAGTATTTTCTCCAGTTATGTTTATTGTCTTTTGAAATTTGTTCAGTGCAGGATTTTCCAAATTTTTTCGCATGTAATCATCTATATTTTATACCTTCTGTGTTGTGTTGTGCTGAGAAAGACTTTCTTTCCTCAATCCCCAAATCATGAAAATCTGTCTTCTTTATGGAAACAGCCTTTTTTTTTTTTTTTAAAAAAAGAGCCATTTAGATATGTGGATTTTGTGTGTGTTATGAAACAGGTACCTAAATTTGCTTTTGTTTTTGCTTTTCCAGCTCAACCAATTATACCATTTATTGAAGAATCCATCTTTCCCCAACAATTTGAATTAGAGTCTTTATTATACCCTCACTTGGCATACTTGCAGACCTTTTCTGGATTCTCTTCTGTAGCAATGATCTATTTGTCTATTTCTTACAAATACTAACTTACAAATAGTAATTTACAATTTAAATTACAGTGGTGTTATGATACTTTTTTTTTTTTTTAGGGCAACTCCTCCCAATTATATTTGAAATTGCCTTCCTTTTCTTACATGTTTACTTTCTTAAACTTCAGAAACACCCTAACAAGTAACAACAGAAAAGGGGGGATTTTAATTAGAATTACATTTACTTAAAGATTACTTAAAGAAATTAAATATCTTTATAATATTGAGTCTTCCCATCTAGGTTCATGGTATAACTCTTAATTTATTAGGTTTGCATACACATTTTTAAAGGAATTTTTAAGGATTTTTTAATGTTTTCTTATTGAATTATACAATACTTATTGAAGTACTTATTATACTTACTGAAGTATAGCTTGATTAATTTTTATGACGCTAATATATTGCTGTAACCACCACCTGGAGGGAGACATAGAATATTACCCGAACCCTAGGAGCTTCCCTCATGTGCCCTCCCTTACCTCCCTAAGGTAATCACTGACTTCACCATAGAGTCATTTTATCTGGTTTTTAATTACATAAATGAACCCTTTCAATATACTCTTCCGTGTCTGGCTTCTTTTGCTTAACATTATGTTTGTGGGATTCTTCCATGCTTTTGTATACAGTTCACTCCAGTAGTCCACTCCTTGTCACTATCATATAATAATTCATTGTATAAATATTTTATAATTTTATATGCATACCATTGTTTATGGGGTCCTAGGGTTATTTCCAGTTTGAGGCCATTTATTATTTGTTGTACTATTATGCTTTTATGAATATTCATACATTCATGATATGTACACGTTTCTGTTGGGTATATATTTAGGTGTAGGATTACTGAGTCATAGAATTGGTGTGTGTTCAACTGTAGTAGATACTGTCTATATTAGTGTCCAAAGTGGTTGCACAAATCAATGCTTGTACCAACTTAGCAAGAGTGTTCCTGTTGCTCCATATCTTCACTATCACTTGATATTTGCAAATTTCGTTTTCCATTTTAGACATTTCAGTGAGTGTATTTTATGTTTCCTGGAATATTAATATTTCTATGCAAGGCCCATTCAAATTTTGTCCTTTTTTTGGGATGGAGTTTTGCTCTTGTTGCCCAAGCTGGAGTGCAGTGGCGCAATCTCGGCTCCCTGCAACCTCTACTTCCTGGGTTCAAGCGATTCTCCTGCCTCAGCCTCCCGAGTAGCTGGGATTACAGGCGCACACCACCATGCCCGGCTAATTTTTTTGTATTTTTAGTAGAGACGGGGTTTCACCATATTAGCCAGGCTGGTCTTGAACTCCTGACCTCAAGTGATCCGCCAGCCTTGGCCTCCCAAAGTGCTGGGATTACAGGCGTGAGCCACCGCGACTGGCCGTTTTGTCCATTTTTAATTGGACTATCTCCCTTCTAAATGATTTTTTTCCTTTTTAAAAAATTTTTAAGTTCGAGGGTACATGGGCAGGTTTGTTACGTAGGTAAACTTGTGTCATGGGGGTTTGTCCTTCTAAATGATTTTTCAGATAAATGTACCACAACATCTTCTGCCACTGTGTGGCTTGCCTTTTCACCTCTTAATGCTGCATTGTGATAAATGTCTGTTTTTCATTTTAGTGGAATTCTGTTTATCCACTTTTTACTTTTGGGGTAGTGATTTTGATCAATCTTTTACTTTAGGGGTAGTGATTTTGATGTCCTATTTAGAAGTGTGTAATTATCCCATGGTCATAAAGCTGGTCTCCTGTGTTTCCTTCCTTCCTTTATTGTTTTATCAGTCACATTTAAGTCATGATCCATTTGGAATTTTTTTTTGTTTATGATGTGAGGTAGGAATTCCGTTTTCTCATAGTGTGTTGAAGATGTTTGTGTTTATGAGCTCAGTTGGCCTATAATTTTCTTTTATTGTATTATTCTTGGCTTATTTTTATATAAAAGTTATGCAGTCCTATAAAAGAAGTGAGTGTTCCCTCTTTTTCTGTTCACTAGCAGAGTTTGGCAGTTGGAAGAATTTACTGGTGAAACCCATCTGAACCTGAAGTTTTATTTTGAGATTCTTTATTTTGTGTGTGTGTGTGTGTGTGTGTGTGTGTGTGTGTGTGTGTGTGTGTGTGTTTTGAGACAGGGTCTGGCTTTGTCACTGAGGCTGGAGTGCAGTGGTGCAATCTCGGTTCACTACAACCTCTGCCTCCCAGGCTTAAGCCATCCTCTCACCTCAGCCTCCAAGTAGCTGAGACCAGAGATGCATGCCACCACACCTGCCTAATTTTTTTGTAAGTTTTGTAGAGACAGAGTTTTGCCATGTCACCCACACTGGTCTCAAACTCCTCAGCTCAAGTTATCCGCCTGCCTTGGCCTCCCAAACTGTTGGGATTACAGGCGTGAGCCACCTCATCTGGCCTCCATTTCTCTAATGGGTATAAGACTTTTCAAACTTTCTTTCTTACCCAGTTTTGGTGAGTTGTGGCTTTTCTAGATATTTGTCCATTTTATCCAAATTTTCAAATTGATTGACATAATCAAGTTGTTCATAGTATCTTTTTACTGTCTTTTTACTATTTGTAGGATCTATAGTGATAATTAACATGTTTTTCATTTCTGGTGCAATAATTTGTGCCTTCTCTCTTCTTCTTGCTAGTTTATTAGTCTTTTCAAATCCGTCTCTTACATTACTTTTTATTATAAATTTCTTTCCCATTTTATTGATTTATGTTCTTAATTGTAGTGTTTCCTTCCTTCTACTTTTTTGGATAGATTTCTTGTTCTTCTAAATTTCTTGGTACAGTTGATACTCACCTTTTCTTCTTTTGTAGCCTATGCACTAAATCGTATTATTTTCTGTTTAGGCAATAACTGCATCCCACAACTTTGATATGTATTGTCATTATCATTCAGTTGGAAATATTTTCTAATTCTCATTGATTTTTTTTCTTTTACCAGAAAGAATTGTTTATTTTATATATATATATACTATACATATATCATATATATTTTTGTATTATATTAAATAATATACTTATTATTATTTAGGAATATATAATTGCTTGTCAAATTATCTTCTTGTAATTGATTTCCATTTTATTCTACTTATATTAGAGATCATATTCTGAATTATTTAATCCTTTGAAAAGTTGAGACTTGCTTTATGTCCCAGCATTTCTATGTTGGTAAAAGTGACATACAAACTTGAAGAAATGTGTATTCTGAAGTTGTGTGTGTTGTTCTTCTTTATGTATCAATTAAGTCCAGTTTGATATTTGCATTGTTCACATCTATATCTATACTGTTGTTTTGCTCCCTGTTTTGTCAGTTGTGGGAAAAGATGGGTTAAAATCTCTTAATCATAGATTTGCCTATTTCTCTTTAATTCTTTTAATTTTTGCTTTCTATATGTCTATAGGCATTGTTATCAGATCCATACAAAAATCTAGGATTGTTATATATACCTTCCTGTTGAATTTTAAAACCTCCCTCTTTATTTCTAGTAATACTTCTTGTCTTAGTCTGTTTTGTCTGTTAGTATATAGGTATACCAGCTTTCATTTGCTTATTGTTCCTATGGTATCACTTTTTTCAACCTTTTGCTTTGAATCTTTATGTTCTATTTGTTCTTATATGTAAGGTGTATTTTTCCCCCAGGAGAATATAGCTGAATATTGTTCCTTTGCCCAGCCTGACAACATTTATCTTTTAATTGGAATATCTATAATAATGGATATATTTATGTTTAGATCTATCATCTTACACTTTTTTGGTCCCATCTATTCTTTATGCCTTGTTTTTGATTAAACAAGTCTTTTTTATCCCATTTTCCTCCTCTGTTAACTTATAAGTTATACATTATTTTATTCTTATAGTGTTACCATACAGATGTAAACGTGCACTCTTGCATTATTAAGATCTACTTTAATTTTGTGTTTTCATCATTTTTTGGACAATGCAAGAACTTTTCAAAACTAGCTTCAGTTACCCTTATTTGTGTTATTATAATGTTAATTCTGTATATATTTAGAACCCCACAAGACGTCACTAGTATTGTTTTAAACAGCTTATTCGTTGAGAATCACCTACATATTCACACTTTCCAATATTCTTCATTCTTTTCTCATTAACTTGCTGCCATCTTTTTTCCTTTTGCCTGAACATCTGTCTTTATTTTTTAGCGCTTGACTGCTAACAATGAATTTGCTCATTATTTTGTGTGACTGCAGCTGCATTTTACCTTTATTTTTATTTTATTTTATTTTTTTAGATGGAGTTTCGCTCTTTTGCCCAGGCTGGAGTGAAGTGGCGCAATCTCAGCTCACTGCAACCTCCTCCAGTTTCAAGCGACTCTCCTGCCTCAGCCTCCTTAGTAACTGGGATTACAGGTGCCCGTGACCACGCCCGGCAGATTTTTGTATTTTTAGTAGAGATGGCTGTTCACCATGTTGGCCAGGCTGGTCTCGAACTCCAAACCTCGTGATCTGCCCACCTCGGCCTCCCAAAGTGCTGGGATTACAGGCATGAGCCACTGCACCTGGCCTTACCTTTATTTTTGAAGGATGCTTTGCTTAGTATAAATTTTAGACTTGTAGCAATTTTCTTTTAGCATACTAAAGATATCATCTGTTTTCTGGCTTCCATCATTTCAGTTGAAAAATCAGTCTGATGTTGTGCTGTATAAGGTAATTTGTCCTTTTTTTCCAGTTTCTTTTTAAACTTTCTCTTATGCTGGGCCAGGCGCGGTGGCTCACACCTGTAATCCCAACACTTTGGGAGGCCGAGGAGGGTGGATCACCTGAGGTCAGAAGTTCAAGACCAGCCTGGCCAACATGGCGAAACCTCGTCTCTAATAAAAATACAAAAATTAGCCAGGTGTGGTGCTGCCTGCCTGTGATTCCAGCTACTTGGGAGGCTGAGGCAGGAGAATCGCTTGAACCCAAGAGGCAAAGTTTGCAGTGAGCAGAGATCGTGCCACTGCACTCCAGCCTGGGCAACAGCGAGAGACTCCATCTCAAAAAAATAAACAAAAAATAAAATTTTCTCTTAATGTGGTGTTATGTGGGAAGTTGAAAAAGAAAAATAAAGAAGGCTGGGCACAGTGGATCACACCTATAATGTCAGGATTTTGGTAGGCTGAGGCAGGCAAATCGGTTGAAGCCAGAAATTGAGACCTCCCTGGGCAACATAGTGAGACCCCTGTCACTACAAAAAATGTAAAAATTAGCCAGGTGTTGTGCATGCAGGTAGTCCTAGCTACTCAGGAAGCTGAGGCAGGAAGATCTCTTGAACCCAGGAGCACGAGGCTGCAATGAGTGATAGCACCATTGGTGACTATCCAGCCTGGGTGACAGAGTGAGACCCTATCTCTAAAAAAAAAAGAAAAGAAAAAGAAAATTTTCTCTTTGACTTAGATTGTCAGCATTGTTATTCTACGTGCCTACATTTAGTTTTCCTTGTATTTATTTTGCTTGGTTAGGAAAGCTTCTGGAATCTGTAGACTGAGGTATTTTATTTTGGAAAATTCTCGACCAATATTTTTAAAATATTGCTACTTCCCCATTCTCTCTTCTCTTTCTGAGACTCTTAATTACAAATATGTTAGACATTTCACTATGTCCCATGTGTCTATTTTGCTATTTTCTGTATATTCTTTTCTATTTTTTCTATATTCTTTTCTCTCTCTGCCTCAATTTGATTGTTTTCTATTGACCTTTCAGTTCACAAATCATCTATGTGTTACACCTGCTTGTTACCCATTTATTGAATTCTCAATTCATTATTGCCTTTTTAATAATTTTTAAAGCTTGAAACAATCTTAAACTCCAAAAAGTTGCAAGTGTATTACAGAGAACATTTTTTTCTCAACGAATTTTGAAATTAAGTTGCCAGCCTGATGTAGCATCACCTGCAAGTGATTTCCTGTGATTTTTCTACAAATAAGGACATTTTCCTGCATAACCATAATATAATCATCAAAATTAGGAAATTAACCCTGATGCATTCTTTCCCTCTAAACGTCTATTCCTATTGAAGTTTTGCCAGTTGCCCTAACAGTGTCTTTTATTGGAAAAGGATCTAATCAGAATCATGTATTGCATTTAGTTATATCCTGTTCCTCAGTCTTTCTTCAACTTTCCTTGCCCACTCAGACTCCAACACCCAACTGTGCTCTGCCACCCACATACATACAGATGCCATCCTTATCAGCTCAACCTATAATGCCCTGCACTGGGCCATCCTCCCAACCAGAGACACCTTCCTTACTCCATTCAACCTTTAACATTTCATCCTAGGACACCCTCCTACATGGAAGCCTTCTTCATGCTGCTTAGGCTATGACACCTTATGCCAGGTCACCCCCATGCATGGAAGGCCTACTCACCCCAGTCAGGCCCTGACTCTTCACACAGGGCCTCTCCCCATGCCTCCCCCTGCTGCATGGATGCCCTTCTTAACCTGCTTAGATTATGGCACCACATACCAGGCTGCTCCTCCATGGATACTTTTTTCTCTTGACTCAAGCCCTGTAACTGCTTGCCAGATTGCCCCCATAGTGTAAGATATTTCTCACCCTACTGAAGTTCCAACACACCTCAATGGGCAATTCTCCTATGCAGATGCCCTCCATGCCCTTACTGGAGGCCATTGCATCTCCATCAATACACACATACTGTGGTATAAATGTCTACCTCATCCTGCCCTACCAACAACTTTAAAAGTGCATAGTTCAGGAAAAAAAGGGAAGAAGAGGAAGAAGAGAAAAAGGAAAGAATTCTAGAATTTCTGTTTTGTTAATAGATTCCAATGCTCTAGTAAAATTCTCTGTCTTTTCATTATTTTCTTTAACATATTCAAATTATTTTTGTGTCAGAGAACTTGAATAATCCATGTTATCTGTAGGCCTATTTGTATTGCCTGATCTTTCTCTTAGTTTTCATTCATTTGGTCTTGTTTTATGGTGTGCCTGTTAACTTGCTATTGAATGCTGACCACTGTGTATGAAAACTTTTGAAGATGTTATCTTCCTCAAGAAAAGATTTAAAGTTCTGCTAGCCAGCACGTAAGGTGGGTGGATCACTTTAATGCAGTCTAGACTGATCTATTTCCAGTTTCTGTAACTCTTACAGTTAAGCCCTTCCTGGATTTCAAATGAAAGCTGGATTGTCCAAGGCATCTCTCCTCTTTGGAAGGCCCCCACCTGAATTACTATTTTTGACTCCTCAGTGCCATGCAATTGCCTCTTGGTGATTTCTTTCTGCTTGGCTTTTCTGTATCGTTTCTCCATATGTGGCTTAAGATCAGCAATTTCTGGAAGGAAAATTATATGCAGAGTGTTGACTCATTTTTCTGTGGTTTCATTCCTCCAGGATCTCGGTCTCTCAAGCGCTGGCTGGCTGCTTGGTAGCCCTGCACTTGAATGTTCATGTACCTGTTCCACTGAGATTGCTGTAGACTTCAGGCTGCTGCTTTCTGTTTGGGTTCTATGTCCTGCGCTGCAGCTCTGCAAATGCCTTAAGAGAAAAACATGGTGACCAGAGCAGGAATCACCTCTATGTATTTCCCTTCTTTCTGTAATTTTTGCTTCTTGAGTTCTGGTTCATTTGATTGTGTTCCAGTGAATTTTATCAAGGTTGATTCTCAGCAGGAAGAAGAGTATAATACCAGCGACTTCATCATAGTCCTAAGTGGAAGTCCTCCACGTGCATGAATTTAAGTTTTCTATACATCATGGCTTCTTTGTTTGTTCTTTATTTCTTTTATTAACCAGTTCTACCTTTTGCTAGATAGATTGCAGGTGTTGGATTTTTGGTTCAAGATTTTATTCCATTATGCTTCATCTATTTCACAATCCTTTAAAAAAAAACCTTCAATGAGATATATTTTACATACAATATACAGTCCTTTAACAATTGTATTCAGCTTTATTGCCACATTACTGAATGTTAAAAATAAATGTTTGCTCCTCACTATGTCTTATACCCTGTATCTTCCCCTTTGTTCTATCCATTTTTCATTTTGCCGGCAAATATCTGTAACTAATTTTTTTAAAGATAGGGTGGGTGCTTGGATGCTACTTCTTTCATGATTGAAAATATCTTTATTTTGCCCTAGCATTTGAATGCTGCTTTAGGTAGGTAATAAATTTCTTCATTTACAGTCTTTTTCCCTTACAACTCTGAGGAGACTATGTCTTTTTTTTTTTTTTTTTTTAGCCATTTGGTGTTATAGATGAGAAATCTGATTCTTCTCGCTATGTTGACAGCTCTAGTGCCTCTTGGTGGCTTTTTTTTTTTTTCTGCCTACCAGAAAAGATTGTAGAGTTTTTTCTTTGTTCTTAGACTTTGGAAATTTCACCAAGATATGTTTACGTGTATGTCTTCTTTCAGTATTTCTATTTGACAGTTCATGAACCTTAATATCCTAAAGTTTCAAATCTTTCTTTGATTAATGGAACTTTTCTTATATTATTTGTTTCATCCTTACACGTTTTTCCTTTGAATTCTTAGGATAGATATTCAGTCTCCTGGATCTGTCTTTCATATCTCTTAACTTCACCCTCATAACTTCTTATGTCTTTGCCTGCCCTGTAGGGAAGAGTCCTTCTAGATCACTAATTTGCCTTTAGCCATGTTCATTCTAGTACTCAGCTCATCTATTGTTTTTAAAATATATTTTTTCAATCATCTTAAATTTCCAGGATCTTTCTTGTTTTCCTGTTTTTCCTTTTCCAGTAAAGACTGTTCTTATTTTAAGGATGTTATCCTCTCAAATCTCTAATGATATATTTGAAATGTCTAATTTTTTGTCTTTGGTTTTCCAGATTAAGTCTCCTTTCAGGGGGACGAGTAGGGAACATGAAATTAGCTTTTCTGCTTGCGTAGCTTGGTGACTGTCATGCTACTGGTTTTCCCCATTGCCAAGTGATGCTTATGTACTCACATTTTAAAATTCAGGTCTAGATTGATCATTAATGGTAATTGATAGGGATTTCCTTAGCTATTGCTAAAGGCTCCTGTCTGATAACACTTGGATTGAGCTCTCATTTCTGCAGGCCATGGCTGAGCACAGGGTTCTGCAAGTGGACTTCAAGCAGCTATGATAAGTGGCTGAAGAAGTGTTCATGAATAGGCTTCCCTTCAGGGTGCCTGAGCTGGCAACAAGCTGGGAAACTGGAACTGTCCCAGTGATAGACACTAGGAAGGTGTTATTTGAGAGATGGCAGCGTTCAGGGATTTCTTTGCTTTTCTTAGCTGCTTTGCTTTTTCCCTTGTCCATGTCCAATGGGACTGCCCAGAGTTACCAGAGGCAGTGCTCCCTTTCCTTTCTCTGTCCCCTCAGGGTGGCTTCCACAGCAAATATCCCTCACTTCACGCAGCCGTACTTGCCAGCACTTGTGCTGGTGGTAGATGATGTAAGGGCATCCGCAGCCTAAACTACCACTATCTCATAGTCCCTTCTTTCTCTCACGCCCAGCTCCTCCTCACCTTAAGCTCGGGGTTTGTCCTGTCCTCTGGCAGAAAAAATCATTCACATCTTCGTTTAGTAGTTCCCGCTTTTTCCTGTGTTCAGTTATAAGTTACTACCTTTGTTTGTTTCTTCACCAATATAGTCTTTTAAAAATATCCTCAGCAGCATAACACAACTCCTACCTCCAAAATTTTGAAAGCAGTTTATTAAGTATATGAAATTTAATCCATAAATATAATCATGAACGAACCATATATGTCATTTAATCATTTTCACATCATTTCTGTCCCATTATGTAAGCAGATAAGTATTCTTTATTTGTTTCACTGTGTACTGGGATTTAGGTTTCCTTTTTCAATGTATACTCTCTGTCCTGTGATTTTAAGAAAATTTTAAGAAATTATTTAGCGGTTTAATGTGATAATTAATCATGTTTGAAACAGTAGTGGTCATCTAAACAAAGCAGGCTTAGTTATTCTTATTGAAGGTTCATCTGAGTACATTTGGGGGACCAAGGCATTTTTTCATAAGCACAAGCTAGTATCTAAATTGCATTCTTTACTGAGAATTTTATCCTTATAGTACCTGATTCTTTCACTGTAGTGACTCAAGCATGGAGTCAGAGACCCGGGTTCAAATCCTGGCTCTTCCACTTATTAACTCCATAATTTAAACAGCCCAGTGCCTGGCACAGAGAGGGTACCTTGGTAAATATTGGATGAGTGAATATGTGAAGTTACTTACATGTATGAGGCTGAGTTTCCTTACCTTGAAAACAGGAATAACAAAGGGATTGCTTATGGATTATAGACAATTTATGTAAAACCTCTTGGCATATAGTAGGCATCAATTAGTGCTACGTATAACAATAATAAATTTTATACAAGAGTCCTTTTATTAATATCAAGCAAGTCCCACAAGTAATAGGAGTTATCCAGGTTGATGGGGTGGTGAGAGAAGTCTACCTACAAGACACAGTTGCTTCAGATAGTTTCCAGCATTTTTTCTTCCTCTCTTGCTGTAAACATTTATTAAAGCAGAGTATGTTCAACAGTTCTGGGCAGGATCAAGATTGAAAGCACAAAGACATGGTCCTAAGGGGCATGCAGACCAATTGAAGAGACCTTCTGGACACAATGAGAACACACTCCTAAAAAATAGTAAAGCAAATGTGAGGCATAGACTGAAGAAGAGAATAAGGGAGTGGAGTGAGTGTGAGGAAAGGTTATGTAAAAGTGGATTTCGAATTGAAAAAAAAGACGGTATTTTGATTGGCGCAAAGACCATGTGAAGGCCGGGTGCGGTGGCTCACACCTGTAATCCCAGCACTTTGGGAGGCGGAGGTGGGCAGATCACCTGGGGTCAGGAGTTCTAGACCAGCCTGGCCAACATGACAAAAACCCGTTTCTACTAAAAATACAAAAATTAGCCGGGCGTAGTGGTGGTCACCAGGAGTCGCAGCTACTTGGGAGGCTGAGGCAGGAGAATCGCGTGAACCTGGGAGGTGGAGGTTGCAGTGAGCCAAGATTGCACCACTGCACTCCAGTCTGGGCAACAGAGCGAGACTCCATCTCAAAAACAAACAAACAAACAAAAAACAAAAAACAACCATGTGAAGATTGCTCAGGCAGTGCATGGGGAAGGTGTAGTGTGGGTGTCCTGGTGCAGACAGATCCTGGGGACGGTAAGAGACTGGTAGTTTGGTATAGAGGAGATGCTCAGAGGGAGCAGGAAAGGTGAGGTGAGGGAGGTAAAGTGAACCCAATTTGCAGTTCACCTTGGTCATTGCATTAATTTTTCATTTTGCTGTTTCCCACAGCCCTAGCCAGTTAGCACCTTGTTTGAATACATTCATCAATAGTCCAGAGAGGGTGAGAACTATTAGATGAAGTGTTTTTACTTTGAGATGCTCTACCTTGACTTACAATTTGAACAGATTAAGCCTGGTTTTAGCAGATCACAGGGTCTTAAGAAAAGCCAGCTAGTTATTCCTTTGGCAACCAACATTTAAAATTGGACATGTTGAGACCTGTCTTTATCTGAAGTAATTATGGCAAGTTAAACCATGTTCCCTTTCCTCTGAGGAGATGTGAGCCCCTCTGAAATATTCCTCCCTCCTTCCTACAATTTTTCTCTCACTTGACCTTCCCTTCTGATTCAAAGCTGGTTGATGGGTTGTGGAATCAGGATTTAAACACCTCTCTCTATGAATTTTGTGAACAAAACTTTAAAAAAAAAATGCTAACACAGAGCTGGCTGCAGTGACTCATGCCTGTAATCCCAGCCCTTTGGGAGGCCGAGGTGGGTGGATCACCTGAGGTCAGCAGCTTGAGACCAGCCTGGCCAACATGGTGAAACCCCATCTACTAAAAATATAAAAAATTAGCCAGACGTGATGGCAGGTGCCTATAATCCCAGCTACTTGGGAGGCTGAGGCAGGAGAATCGCTTGAACCCAGGAGGCGGAGGTTGCAGTGAGCCAATATCCCACCATTGCACTCCAGCCTGGGCGATAAGCGCAAAACTTTGTCTCAAAAAAAAAAAAAAAATGCTAACACCATTTAATTCAAGGCTGCCCATGATGGCACACAAGACATTTGAAAATGTAAATTACAAATAAATGATAGGTCTTCATGTGCTAAGGGTATATCATTTTTTATTTGCTTTCTCTTTCTTCCTTTTGATTGTTGTTGTTGATAGAAATGCTATTTTTTCAGTGAAAATTTTAGATAGAACAGTCTTTGATTTTCAGCATTTATTTTTATACTTCTATTATTGGAATGCCTGCATTAGTACATAAGCTAGTATATATGGCAAAATTGTTGGGATTAAATGCAAGCTTACTGCATTGATTCCATGCTATAAGTATTGTTCCCTACTTATTCTAATATATACAGATAGATATAGATATACATATACTTTAATAGACATTTCATGTTTTAAAGTGTTGTCTTTTAGAGTTTTCTGTTATTTATCATCCCAAGATGTAATTCTCTAAAGAAGGGAATGGCAAATTATTTTAATGCTTTTATTGTTTTTATTTCTAGCTTATTCCACTAAGCTCAACAAATTTCCTGTATTTAATATTAATGATGACTTGAATGATCTGTGTACCAGTGCAGTAAGCCCAAATACTACCAAAGCCACGCGGTACGCCTTGAATGTGTGGCGTTATTGGTGCATGACCAACGGGCTCAAAGACCACACAGACATCACCAAGGTAAGGGACTCTTGAGTTTACTTCTTTCAGCCAACTTCACTGAGCTTCCAAATGCCAGGCACTGTGCTAAGCATTGTAGGGAACACAGAACGGTGGCTTTCTGCCTGGGGAAACTTTGGAAGAACATGAAATAGATAAAATCCACACACAAAGCAGAATTTAACAAGCGTTTTATGAATTTATAGATTGGAAATGCCTGAAAAGTTCAGAGGGCTAAATTAATTTCAATTTGGTAAAACTGGAGAGAGAATTGATATTTAAGTGGTTTTTTTTTTTTTTGAGGAAAGATAAGATTTTAGTAGAATTAGATGAGGACGGGAGCCTTCTAGGCTGAGTGATGTGAGGAAGAATAAAATTTGGGGAGACAGACTCACTTGACTACAGCAGAGGCCTCATATCTTGGTATCATGGACAATAAAACCAGATTCTGATAACCCTTAAGTGCCAGGCTAAAATCTTGTGAACACTGGAAAATCACTGAAATATCTTGTTTTGTTTTTGCTAAGGAGAGACTTTATTTGAAAGGATTATTGCAGGGGCAGAGAAAGGGACTATTGTAGTAGGGAAAACACTGTGACCATAAAATCTGCAAGCATCCTAAGGATTAGACAAAAGGGAAACCACTGAAGTTGTTTGAGAGAGAAGAAACATAATGAAAGTGGTATTTTAGGGAAATAATTGGAAGTGATGAGCAAAAAGTTAATGTCCTTGGTCCTCCATTTCCCCATTTGTAAAATGAGCTCTTAAATTTCTTCCAACTTGAAAGCCAGGGGTACTGGCACACACCTGTAACAGTCCCAGTTACTTAGGAGGCTAAGGCAGGAGGATTGCGTGAACCCAAGAGTTCAGGGCTACAGTGTGCTACAGCCATGACTGTAAATAGCTACTGTACTCCAGCCTGGGCAACATAGCAAGACGCTGCCTCTAAAAAACAAACAGGAAAACTGAAAAACTCATCCAACTTGAAATGCTTGAGGTTTGTAAATCGAAGGAAAAAATCTTGGACATGTGGAGATAGAACATAAAGGTACTGTATTTTGATTTGACTGCATTGAGTCTAAATCAGATTTGCAGATGGAAATGGCCAACAAAGAGTTAGGAATGTGGGACTTAAAACATGGTGGAACTGTTAAAGCTGGAAGTATACATTGAAAAGTCTTGCAAATAGAGGTCATAGTTGAAGCCCAAGGGCAAGTGAGATCTCCAGGTTTGAGTGATGTGCTTAGGGAATCAACAACAGATGAAATAGGACAGGAAACCCAGGTTTCTACTTCTGGCACCATGGTACACTACATAGTGTGAGGGGCCTTTCTACTGTACTTGAAGACAGGGAAACATCCATGGGACCAAAAAAAAAAAAGTGCAACAGAAGCAGTGACCAGTAAGCACATATGAAAGGCAGGGTCCTGTCTGAGAGCATATGTTGATAACATTATTTTAAAAAGGGAAGATGAGCTGATGAATCCTTGATGAAAAAGAGGACCTGAAAGGGTCCTAAAGTGGTTCTAGGTAGGTAGCATACCCTGGCTCCTGGCAAAGTCATATGATAATACTCTTTTAAGGAAAATATCCAAAATGTAGGTGCTCAGGTTTTTTTGCAGATTCAGAGCAACTACATATGTGCTCGTTAAAAAAAACAAAAAACAAACAAACAAAAAAAACAGCGCTGAAGGAAATAAACCACAATGCATGAGGATGAATAAAAACAACAAACAACAGATTTAGACACGAAGGCCTTTAGATAGCAGATTATAGACTATATATGAAAACATATAGAAATACGCAACAATATACTAATCACAGTAATCTAGCAGATTTAAAAACAAATTGAAATTTCCATTTCTTGCCAGAATTACCCTCCTAGAAAACCAGACACAACATGTGAAACAATTCTTTTTAGACAGAATGGGCTGCACAGAATGTGAGCCCTAAGGCACAGGAAACAAGTGAGAGGAGCGCTGTCATCTCAGGATTTCTGCCTGGAGGCAATTTCTGAACTGCAATGAAGGGAGGGGAATCTGCTCAAAGTTTGGCAATCTCACTAATTTGAGGGTAGGCAGAGATCACAGTTTAGAAAGGCTGAGGATACAAGTTCACTAGAAAGAAATTTCATCGTTTATTGAGAAAAAAATGACAAAATTCAGAATCCAGTATTGTAAATTTCACAATTTCTAGTGTCCAATCAAATATTACTAGACATGGGAACATGTGACTCATACATGGGAGAAAAATCAGTTAAGTCTTTCACTTTGGCCAGTTTGCAGAGCCAGATTTACCCTTATTCTTGAACAACCATAAAACAGATGAAAGATATAAAACAATGTTTTTCAAGGCATTATATAATAGGCTAAGGACAGTGACCTCCAAGAGACAGCAAACAAGGTAATACCTGTGACTGCTCCAGCTTACTGCCTTGAGAGAATTAATAGTAGGTTTGTGGTACAGGGAGGGAGAATCCAGTCAGAGCCCAGCGGACTTGCTGAATTAAGGAAATGGAGCTGAGAGTCCAGAGAGACCAACATGGCTAAAGTTGTCATGACAGAGCACTCAGAACTAGAGAGCTGCACAGCAACATAACCTAAGAGCTCTGAAGATAATCTCCCTCAAATACTCAGCTGAGTACTGATCAACATATATGTGTGAGGAAGCTATCTGAGGCTGACAAAGAACTGCCTGAAGAGATTAGAGGGAACAGTACTTGGCACTCACACAGAATTGGAAACTGTACCTGTTCCCACCAGCCAAACTGGAAAAACCTCAGGATTCATGGGGTACTCAGAAAGGACTTGCATCAGGTATGGGGAATAATTAGCCCTAGACAGAGCACTGCTCTAATCCCATCCAAGAAATCTTGAAAATGCTTTGATCCAAAATGAGAATCTCACAAGGATCCAAAAGGATCAAAGCATTTTCAAGTAACTTAATCATGTCCCAGAACAAAGTTTCAGAATATGTATAGTAATGTAAAAATATCTAGAACACAAGAGATAAAATTCACAATGTCTAGCATCTAAACAAAAATTATCAGACGTGCAATGAAGCAAGAAAATACATCCCTTAAAGGATGAATCCATCAAAACCAGGCCAGAACTAACTAGATTATATAACTAGAAGACAAGGACATTAAAACAGTTATTGTAACTATATTTGATAAGTTCAAAAATTTAAGTAGAGACATGGAAAATATAAAAAGGACCAAAAATGAACTTACAGATATAAAACTACAATGTGTGATGAAAAATAAATGCTTATGCATATTTTACTTAGAGAAGAAAATATGTGAACTTGAATGTATAGCAATAGTAACTATGTAAAATGAAACACCGAAAGAAAAGAGAATTTTTTTTTTTTATTTTGAGACAGAACCTTGCCCTGTCACCCAGGCTGAAGTGCAGTCCAGTCATAGTTCACTGCAGCCTCAATCTCCTGGGCTCAAGTGGTCCTTCCACCTCAGCCTCCTGAGTAGCTGGGACCACAGGCATAAGCCACCACACCTGGCTAATTTTTTTTTTTTTTGTACAGACGATGTCTCTCTGTGTTGCCCAGACTAATCTCAAACTCCTGGGCTCAAGCTATTCTCCTGCCTTGGACCTCCCAAAGTGCTGGGATTACAGACATGAGCCACCATACCCCACCTGAGAATTTTAAAAAATAATCAGAACATTACTGACATGTGGGACAATTTCAAGGAGCCTAATGTACATGTAATTGGAATCCCTGAAAAAGAGAAAAGGAGGAGGAGGAAGTAACCAAATTACTTAAAACCAATGATAAAGAGAAAAAAGCAGCCAGATAAAAAAGACATATTATATACAGAGGAACAAAGATAGGGTTGACAACAGATTTCTCATTAGAAACAATGAAAATTAAAAGGCAAGGGGCAATTTCTTTAAATTATTGAAAGAAAAATACTTTCACTATCCTCTGTGAAAACAGCTTTAAAAAATGAAGATCAAATAAAGACTTTTCAGGCATTCAAAAATGAAGGAATTTATCATCAGCAGATTCACACTTAGAAAAATGTTAAAGGAAGTCCTTCAGCCAGAAGGAAAATGATACCACATGGAAATATGGATCTAAACAAAGGAATGAAGATTACTGGAAATGATAGCTACATGGGTAAATATGTAAGTTTTTAAAAT
Organism: Homo sapiens; assembly: GCF_000001405.40. Lineage (NCBI taxonomy): Eukaryota > Metazoa > Chordata > Mammalia > Primates > Hominidae > Homo > Homo sapiens. Next base: position 112,649,965 of record NC_000009.12, read on the forward strand.
TTTAAATTTTCTTTCAAAGATCACTGACTTTTTAAATGAAAACCATAACAAGATAAAATGGAATAGTAAAAATATTAAATTGATACAGAAAAAAAGAAAAAAAACTCTCATTAGAAACTGTGCAAACCAGGAGACAATAGAATAACATCTTTAAAAAGCTGAAGGAAAAACTGTCAACATAGAATTTTATATTCAGAGGAAATAAAAATAAAGGTGAAATAAAGACCTTTCAGATGAACCAAAGCTGAGAGAATTCATCACTAAAAGACCTACACAACAATATATATTAAAAGAAGCTCTTCAGGCAGAAGCAAAATTATACCATACAGAAACAAGGATCTCACAAAGGAATGCAAAGTACTTGAAATGGCATATAAAATTTGTTTTTCTCATAACAATATATTGCAAGGTTTATATTTTATATATGGAGGAAAAAATGCATACAGCAATAGCAAAAAGGATAAGTGGATGAATGAAAGGGTAGTGTTGTAAAGTTCCAACAATATTTGCGGAGTGGTATAGTATTTGAAGGTAGACTGTGATAAGTTAAAGATAGATATTGCAAATCTTAGAGCAAGACTGAAATATAAAACAAAGAGATAGAGTGGATAATCCTAATGTGGAAATAAGTGGAACTGTAAAAAAAAAAATTAAATGGAAAAGAAGAGGAAAAAAGGAACAAAGAACCAATGGAACAAATGAAAAACAAATGGCAAGATATGGTAGCTGTAAACCCAGCTATCTTGATAATTATATCTACCCATGAAAAGAGAGATACTGTCGGACTGGATTTTTTAAAAAAGCAAGGACCAACTATGTGCTATTCACATCTGGCTTTAAATATAAAGACTGAGAAATGTTAAAAGTAAAGTGATGGGAGAAAGATATACTATGCAAGCATTAATCATAAGAAACCTGAAGTAGCTGTTAATATCACACAAGGTAGAATTCCACAGAAGGAATTTTAACAGGAAGAAGGAAATTTCATAGTGATAAAAACATCAATTCATAAAGAAGACATGAAGATCATGTGTATACACTTAAAAACAGAGCATAAAAGCACATGAAGCAAAAGATGATAAAACTTAAAGGAAAAATTGCAAATCCACAATTGGAGATTTCAGTACTTCTCCCTTGGTAATTTATAGAACAAGTAGACTGAAAATCAGTAGGGATAAGGACTTAACGCTGTCAAACTGACTTAACCTAATTGACCTGTATGTAGCACTCCAACCAAGTGCAGAATACAAATTCTTTCCAAATGCCATGGAATATTCACCAAACTAGACCAGTATGGTGGGTCATAAAACAAATCTCAATTAATTTAATTAAAAGGGTTAAAATCATATAGAATATGTTCTCTGTCCACAATAGAATTAAATTATATTTAATTCTATATATATATTTTTTATATTTCTCTATATATATACATATTTTTTTTTTTTTCGGAGACAGAGTCTCACTCTATCCCCCAGGCTGGAGTGCAGTGGCACAATCTCAGCTCACTGCAACCTGTGCCTCCCAGGTTCAAATGATTCTCATGCCTCAGCCTCCCAAGTAGCTGGGATTACAGGTGCCTGCCACCATACCTGGCTAATTTTTTGTATTTTTAGTAAAGACAGGGTTTCGCCATGTTGGCCAGGTTGGTCTCGAACTCCTGACCTCAGGTGATCCTCCTGCCTCGGCTTCCCAAAGTGCTGGGATTACAGGTGTGAGCCACTGTGCCTGGCCAAATTAAATTATAAATTAATTACAGATAGCTAACTAGAATATACCCAATACTTGGAAGTTAGCATATTACTAATAACCAAAGGACCAAGAAGAAATCACAAAGGAAGTTATAAAATGTCTTGAACTGAATGAAAATTAAATCACCACTTACCAGAATTTGTGAGTTGTAGCTAAAATAATGTCTAGAGAAAAAATTTTTAGCTTTAAATGCTTATCAAAGAAGGTCTAAAATCAATGAATGTGAAACAAAAAGAAATAAAAAATATGCTCAAGTGATTCTCCCACCTCAGCCTCCTGAGTAGCTGAGACTACAGGCGTGCAACACCATGCCTGGCTAATTTTTAAATTTTTTTAGACACAAGGTCTCACTATGTTACCCAGGCTGATTTCAAACTCCTGGACTCAAGTGATCCACCTGCCTTGGCCTCGCAAAGTGCTGGGATTACAGGAGTGAGCCACCGTGCCCAGCCCAGTTTTTATTTTATTCTTTCCCACTTGGTGTCATCAGCCCCATGACCAGTCTTTGACTTCTCTTTGGTCATTTTTACATCAAGGAAGCCAATTTTATCATCCATAGTGAGTCTTGACATGGTGAATCAATTCAGAATGGTTACTAAAGGAAAATGGTTTCTTGCGATGTCTTTATAATTGATTGAAACCTTAGTAACCTGGGGGAATAATCACTAACTAAAACTGAGTCAGAGAAAACTAAGGAGGCAAACAACACGGGCCAGAATGAACTGTTTCTTGTGTGCAAACAATATAAGTGTTGTGACTTGACATTTCTCGAGGAATTGCTTTGGCTGTGATTTTACTTTGAGACTTGTAATGTTCTGTGGAAATTAAGAAAAACGTTCTGTATCTTAAGTCAGCTTGGTTCGCCTGGCACTAGGTTAATTCGTTGGTTTAACCCATTGTTTTTTTTGTTTTTGTTTTTGTCTTTTGAGACGGTCTTACTCTGTCACCCAGGCAGGAGTGCAGTGGTGTGATCTTGGCTTACTGCAGCCTCTACCTCCGGGGTTCAAGTGATCCACCCTCCTCAGCCTTCTGAGAGTAGCTGGGACTACAGATGTACACCACCATGCCTGGCTAATTTTTGTAATTTTTGGAGAGATGAGGTTTCACCATGTTGCCCGGGCTGGTCTCAAACTCAACTCAAGCAATCCGCCCACCTTAGTCTCCCAAAGTCCTGGGATTACAGGCATGAGCCACTGTGCCCCGCCTAACCCATGGTTACATAGTGCCAATCATGTATTTCGGGACTTCTGGTATGTGTTAAAGACCCAGTCATAAATGAAATGTAGTTCTTGTCTTCAGGGAGCTTTCAGTCCACTTCAAGAGGTAGACATAAACTAGGTAAGAGAATGTACAACATGGAAAGGACCATAATAAAAATTTAAATTAAGTGCAATGGGATCCCATATGAAAGAATAACTTTGCTTAGGTGACGTAGAAAGTAAAATTTGAGCTAATTCTGGAAGAATGAATAGAGATTTTCCAAATAGAGAAGGTTAGTAGAAAAAAGCATTCTTGGCAGAGGAAGTAGCATGAAAAGGTCTTATGGTTTCTAGTTATGGCAAGAAGTTCGATGAAGCTGGAAAATAGAGTACAAAGGGAACCAAAAGGTCAGGTTACAGAAATAGGGTGTGTACTGGTCATCTACGGCTCCATAACAAACCACTCAAAAATATAGGGACCTAAAGCAACAGCCATTTTATTTGTTCATGATTTGATGAGTGAGTTAGCGTTTTGTACTGAGCTCAGCTGAGTACCTCCCCTACTAGTCTCACTTGGGGTACTCATATGGGTGCAGTCATTTGGATGTTAGATGGGAAACAACTTTTCCCCATATTCCCACAGTCTAACTGGGCCTCCTCACATGGCAACACCATGCACTAAGCCAGTGAGAACCTACAAGACAGAAGCAGGCCACGTGCGGTCACACCTGTAATTCCAACACTTTGGGAGGCCAAGGCGGGCGGATCACTTGAGGTCAGGAGTTAAGACCAGCCTGGCCAACATGTTGAAACCCCGTCTCTACTAAAAATATAACAATTAGCTGGGCATGGTGGTATGCATCTGTAATCCCAGCTACTCAGGAGGTTGAGGCAAGAGAATCGCTTGAACCCGGGAGGTGGATGCTGCAGTGAGCCATGATCATGCCACTGCACTCCAGCCTGGGCGACAGAGTGAGACTCTGTCTTAAAAAAGACAAAAGCAGCAAAAGCAGAACCCCTTGAAGCCTGGGAATTCACACATTCCTTGAAGGCTTGGAATTCACACACTGTCACTTCTGGTTAAAATAAGTCACGTGGCTAGCCCAGATTCAAGGGGTGGGAAAATGGATTCTACTTGATCGGAGAAGCAGCAAAGTCTCATTGCCAAAGGGTGTGTGTACAGGGAGGGGAATCGTAGCTGTCTTCTCATACTGTCAGAAGCAGATTGTGAAGACTTGCACACAAAGTAAACAGTTTGGAATTTATCTCAAGGGCACAGGAAACTATCAAAGTTTGGCTTTTTGGTTTTTGTTGAAAGCACTAACATAAAAAATAAGATTTTCTACTCAGCACCCCTTATTCAGGAACCGTTCCTCTCTTGTAATCCACATGGTTATTGCAGAAACCATCACATTAGGAGAATGGATAGAATGGACTACCTTTTGGCAAGTTGTTTGAATTAGGGCCAATCAGAATCCTTCTTTTTGGTGTTTTTCTCCTGAAAATGAGAGTTGGTCTCTTGCTAAGCCTGAAGCTTTAAGATGTAAATTTGGGGGAGTGCTAGGTGGCTGTGCTTGCAGCTATGTGAAAAAAGCACTCCGCACAAAGAAGCAGAGGCGAAAGATGAGAATCCTGATGGCCTTGGAGTCCGCTCGTTCTGATATCCCTCTCTGCCTCAGCTTCAAGTTTGGTTTGTCTCTTGGAACCAAAGGAGTCTCGACTACTATAAAGAGAGCTTACCACCTGCAAGTAGGGAGTTGCAAGTGACAACATAAAAATCCAAAAAAAAAAAAAAAAAATCCAAAGCCAGCTTTGTTTTAGTGCAATGGTTACTGGCAAGTTATTTTAACTGGTTATCACTGGTATATAAGAAAGCTGTTTTTCTTATAGTTTGCATACAACTAACCTACGCTGATAGCTTTTCAGCTGAATCTCTTGGGGTTTCCTAGACCAACAACCAGGTTATCAGAAAGCAATTGTATTTTGTCTTTTTCCTTTCCCATATACATGCATATGGATGTGTGTGTATATATAAATTCTTTTTCTTGTCTTATCTGGTTGGTGAGAACCTCCAGAACAGTATTATATAATAACAGTGATATTCAGTAAGCTCTTCCTGTTCCTGACTTTATAAGAAAGATTTGAATATTTTCATTTGGGTACAGTTTTTCTAGCTCTTGCCTGTAAATTACACTTCATTGTAGTAAGAGGATCTTTTTCTTCCTATCTAAATTTGAATTTGAATTTTTAAAAATTTGTAATGGATGTCACATTTTTTCAAATACTTTTCAAGTATGTATAAGTTCATATTTTTGCTTTAATGTGTGAATGTCAATTATATTAAAATATTTATGAAGATGGAGTCATTTTGTGTTCACTTCAGGAATCAAACACTTCCCATGATGCCCACAGGATAGGTTCGATGCCTCTCTGTGTCTTCCCATAATGCGTTGACTGTATTGTCATTAATCCATTCATCCAACAAAAACTTATGGCACTCCTCTATAAAACAAAAAAAGAGATTGAATCATTTTTACGTTCTACAATAATCCCCCCTTGTTTTGATGCAGCATCGCTGTACTGCAATCCTAAATTTAACTTGATAATACAGGCATAACCAAACACAGGTGCCGCTGCTCACCACTTGCAAAGCCAGTAACAAAGGTGAGATGCAGTGAAAGGAAAGTGACTTTCTTCCAGAGCTAGCAGTGGGTAAATAGCCAAGGCTAGTGCCTTAAAGAAACCATTTTCAACTTTGGCTGGAGAGAGGGGCTTAAAAAGGGAACTTGGAATGGGAGGCATGCGGGAGTGTTGCTGGGCACAAGGTCTCTGTGTCTTGTTTCAGTGGCTATCTTGAGTCGTGGTCCACCTGGAGCATGGTGGCCTCATCTCAGTAATAGCTGGGTTGTTGACAAACGGCCTTGAGGTAATCTCTGGAATTTTGAAACTGGATCTCCAGGCCTGGTTTCTCTCCACATTAGCCCTGGAACTTCTAAGAAAGCACATAGTTAGATAAGTGTGCCTGGTGTAAGTTGAATAAGTACATAATTAAATAAATGTGCATGGTGTAAGGGAGTGTCTGGTGGGAAAGGAGGGAAACAAAGGGTTTTAAGGTACATTTCAAGGCTACATTCTGAGGCTAAGAAGAAAAGAAAAACAAAACTTTACAATGCATTTTAGCTGGGTCCAGTGGCTCAAGCCTATAATCCCAGCACTTTGGGAGGCCTAGGCGGGCGGATCGCTTGAGGTCAAGAGTTTGAGACCAACCTGGCCAACATGGTGAAACCCCGTTTCTACTAAAAAATACAAAAATTAGCCGGGTGTGGTGGCACACACCTGTAGTCTCAGCTACTCGGGAGGCTGAGGCAGGAGAATCACTTGAACCCAGGAGTTGAGGCTGCAGTGAGCTGAGATCATGCCTCTGCACTCCAGCCTGAGCAACAGAGTGAGACTCTGTCTCAAAAAAAAAAAAAAAAAAAAAAAAGCATTTCGAGGCTGGGATACCTGGTTACACAGGCAGTCGTTGTTTTGAGAGGTACCATATGAACTGGAATCTGTGTGTCTCAGAGCCATGCCCTCGCTGTGGGTGGTACTAATGTGCATACATTCTATTTAACCTAATAACATGCAAAATGAAAATTGCTTGTATTTTACTTCGGGGAGTTTATATTTATATACTTTGGGTTTTAATGTAATATTGGTCAGATTTGGGCTAGAAAAAAATGAAGAGCCTTTCTGTCTTTTTCTATGCTCTGAAACTATTTAAATGAAAAAGAAAAGCTGAACTGATTCCATAAAGGCATCCCTTTAGGAACAATATACATCTTTGACAATCATTTCACACTCTTTGGGGCTATTGAGATCCTTTACCTTTTATTGAACCCATTTTAGTAATTATATTTTGCTAGACAATTGTTCAGGTTATCTAGATTTTCATATTAATATGTATAAAGTATGTGATGTTCTTTCATATTCTTTACTCTCTTCATTTTCTATATAGTCTTTCTTATTCCTAATATGATTTAGGTGTATACACACTTCCTTTCCTCCTTTCTCACTCTCTTTATAAAAAAGTCAGACCTGCTAGAAGTTTGTCAACTTTATAGGTCTTTTCAAAGATTACATTTTTATCTATCCCAATTTATTTCTTTTCTAGTCCATTAATTTTTTATTTTTATTGATTCACTCTCCCTTTTTTTTTGAGATAGAGTCTTGCTCTGTTGCCCAGGCTGGAGTGCAGTGGCATGATCTCAGCTCACTCCAATCTCTGCCTCAAGCGATTCTCCTGCCTCAGCCTCCCAAGTAGCTGGGACTGGACTACAGATGCACACCACTATGCCCGGCTAATTTTTGTATTTTTTTAGTAGAGAAGGGGTTTCGCCATGTTGGCCAGGCTGGTCTTAAACTGACCTCAAGTGATCCTCCTGCCTCAGCCTCCCAAAGTGCTGAGATTACAGGCATGAGCCACCATGCCCAACCCCACTCTACGATTTTGAGTTTAGTTTACTTTTTCTAGCTTTTTGAGTTGAATAATCCGTTTGCTTATTCTCAATAAAGTTTTCTAACAATGTCATTCAAAACTATGATGTATATTTATTATGTATATTTAGCAATATCTCATACATTTTGATATATAATGTTTTCGGTTCGGTTAATTTTTAATCTATAGTTCAGCTTTTATTTTTGCCTTAATTAAGGGCTATTAGAAGAATGAATGTTACCTGTCCAGTGTCTACTTGATAAAAAAAAAATTTTATTGGGACTTTCTAATTGTCCTAGAATATGTATTCAGCTTGAATAGACCATGAGCAAGGGCTGGTTTGCCCTTCATAGTTCCATCTTGAAAATAAAGCTTTCTTAATAACCAAGCTCTTCCTTCTCTTCCACCTCTCTCTAAATAAAGAGCTCATTCTGTCAAGACAGTCATTAACTTTTCCTTTTTCTTCCTTTTTTTTTTTTTTGAGACAGAGTTTCGCTCTTGTCACCCAGGCTGGAGTGCAGTGGCGCAATCTCGGCTCACTGTGACCTCCACCTTCCCGATTTAAGCAATTCTCCTGCCTCAGTCTCCCAAGTAGCTGGGACTACAGGCACACACAACCATGCCCAGCTAATTTTGTACTTTTAGTAGAGATGGGGGTTTCACCATGTTGGCCAGGCTGGTCTTGAACTCCTGACTTCAGGTGATCTGCCCACCTTGGCCTCTCTAAGTGTTGGGATTACAGGCGTGAGCCACCATGCCCAGCTTTTTCATATCTTTTAAACAAACAACTGATATTGAAAACCTGTGGCTCATTAAACCACAGCTATTTCAGGACCTATTCAGATAAATTCAATGGAAAAATCAAGGAGCATTAACTTGCTGTGCAAAATGGACATATCAGATGTCTTTCCCTACAGCACTATGTCTAGTAACCAAATGTTCTGTGCAGATATCAAGGAAATCAATGATGAAGTTATTCAGAGTTTGTTTAATTCAGGAATTTTTCAGAGAGTTTGGTTGAATTTTATTAAAGGAGAGGGAAGCAAATGATTTGCAAACAAAGAAAACCAAGGGCCTTCCAAGAGGAATAGTGAAAGTTACAAACAACCAATAATAATAAGTGTGTATATATAGATGTATTTGCAGACACACATGTATATATGTGTATGGGGGGGTGTTCACTACTATTTACACACCCTTTCACGGTCCTCTGCTTTAAGCATTACAGCCTTGGAGAGGGTATTGATTATGAGTTCTGTTTTGCAGATTGAAATACTGAGGTTTAGACCAGGCGTGGTGGCTGACGCCTGTAATCCCAGCACTTTGGGAGGCCAAGGTGGGCAGATCACGAGGTCAGGAGATCGAGACCATCCTGGCTAACACTGTGAAACCCCATCTCTACAAAAAATACAAAAAATTAGATCGAGACCATCCTGGCTAACACTGTGAAACCCCATCTCTACAAAAAATACAAAAAATTAGCCGGGCGTGGTGGCGGGAGCCTATAGTCCCAGCTACTCGGAAGGCTGAGGCAGGAGAATGGCGTGAACCCGGGAGGCGGAGCTTGCAGTGAGCCGAGATCACGCCACTGCACTCCAGCCTGGGCGACAGAGCAAGACTCTGACTCAAAAAAAAAAAAAAAAAAAAAAAAAGAAAGAAAAGAAAAAAGAAATACTGAGGTTTAAAGAGATTAGGTGGAGCCAAGTATGGAACCTAGATCTTCCAGTTTGAAATTCACTGTTCTTTCCATTGTGTCCTGCTAAGGGGTCACAGAATGTCCTCAACACAGCCCCTGGTGAGGATTAGAAGGAAGGAGGGGTCTGGCTGTGTGAGTGTCAAGTGTGTAACCTCCGTGTTTGTCTCATTTGAGATCCCTGCAGTGAAGTTGAACGAGCTGCTCGAGAACTTTTATGTCACCGTCAAGAAGAGCGACGGCTCGGACTTCCTGGCCACCTCGCTCCATGCTATTCGCCGAGGCCTGGACCGCATCCTGAAGAATGCAGGTGTCGGCTTTTCCATCACCAGCAGCACCTTCAGCTCCTCCACCAAGAAACTCAAGGAGAAGCTGTGGGTGCTGAGTAAGGCAGGCATGTCGGGCGCGCGTTCTCGCAACATCGTCTACTTCTCCCTTTCTGACGAGGAGGAGATGTGGCAGGCAGGGTGTCTGGGGGATGACAGCCCTATCACTCTCCTGTCCACTGTGGTCAAGTACAACAGCCAGTACCTGAACATGCGGACGCTGCAGGAGCATGCGGATCTGATGTATGGTGACATCGAGCTGCTCAAAGACCCCCAAAACCAGCCCTACTTTGCCCGGACGGACAGCGTCAAGCGGGAGAGTCGGAGCGGCTCCACCAGAGTGTGTCACGGGAAGATCTACCATGAGCATTCCCGGGGACACAAACAGTGCCCTTACTGCCTCCTCTACAAGTACATGTACATCCACCGGCCGCCCACCCAAATGGAGGCCAAGTCCCCCTTCTACCTGACTGCCAGGAAGGAGGCCACAGACATGGGCAGCGTGTGGTATGAGGAGCAGAGGATGGGGCTGCGCTCTCTTCGGGGAATTGTCCCAAACTTAGCCAAGAAGGTCAAGCTGGAAAACTGTGAGAACTTCACCTTTGTCTCGTTCACTCAGGTCTCCCGGAGGCTTGGCTCCCACAGCTGCTGCCAGTGAGCCCCCACTGGGGCCCGGCCACTGCCCTGTCACCTGCTCGGGCCAGCCAGGGTTGGAGCAGCTGGAGCTCCTTGGAGGCAGGGGCTGACCAGGTGTGACCTCCCGGTCTGGCGGCTCTCCCCTGGTGTGGCCTGCCCTCCCTTTGACTTGGGGTTTGCTTTTTAAAATGAAACTAGATGAGTCTAAATCATTCGGATGGTTTATCCAAATGTGCGTCAACTTCGTTAGCTTTTAGAATCTAACACAATGTATAATTGTTACATACAAGAGTGAGGAAATTCATTTTCTCTAGTGCCTTTCTAGCACAGGTTTTCTCAAAACAAACAAACAAAAAAGGAAACTGTTAAGTAGTCGTTTAAAAAAAAAATCCCAGTAGCGCAGTAGCTTTAGAACGTTAGGAAGACTGTACACTTTGTTGAATTACACTCACAATTAGAAACTAGAGAGAGGCAGACACGTTCCCTATTTCCAGGAGACAGATTGCGCTTGATGCGCCTTTTTTTTCTGTTGGTGGATAAGGTGGTTCTGGAGGGCAGGCAGCCTTGTGTCGGGGAGTATCCTCAAGCGACACTTGGTCATCTGACAAGGACTTGGGCTGCTCCCACGGCTCCCAGCAGCGGTAGGAACCCCATCTCGGCTGTCAATGGAGAGAATTTTATGATAAAAGATTCACGCACCAGAAGGGTGTCTGTGAGAACAAGGCTTCTAGTGAACTAGACAGTTTGTACCATGAGGGAATTTCTAGTAGTGAAGGAAAATGGCTTGGAAAAGCCAATCTGTGATCAAAATGTGAAAACCTCCTGAAGCAGAAGTGCCTATGTTTTATTTCTCAGCACCATGTGAGAGCTCCTTTGATTGGAACATTTTTTGAGGTTTCTGTCTGTTCTTCGTGTCATCCCATTATTCGGTCAGCATATACCACTGGATCTATAAAACAACTAAAGGTAATTTTTAGTCTTAGCCAAGAAAAGCTAACCAAACAAGCTGCAAAAAACACAGATCCCCAAACTTTCTTTATTAAAGAGATTTGGAATATTTTTGTCAATGTATGACTTTTCAGCCACAATTACATGTCATCATTTTAGGATGGCACCAATACTTGGGACACGATGATTTAGGCACCCCACCAGGTAAGCAAACTCAGCATTAAGGATGTAGTTATAAAATTAGCGCATAATGGTAGGTAATGCAGTTTGAAACCATTTCACTCAGGTAAAATGCAACCTGACCACATTATTTAAAAATCAGCAGAATTTTCTAATAACTACTCTGAGTGCAACAACAAGTGAAAAAGGAGCTCAAAGAGTGCTCATTAAGAGTAACAATAATTTCTAGGGACCTTGACTTTGCATTTGAGGAAAATCTTGTGTAACTTTATTCCATTATGCTCCTAATATGCTTTCTAATCCCAAATTAAAACTCTAATACAAATTCATTTTGTAGAAGTCTTAAAATCAGTCCTCTTTCTTTTTGAAAACATTATTTTAGTATTTATTTTAATTAATTGGTTTCTTAAAAAATCATACACTAGTCATTGACATATGTAATACTTCCTTTACCAGAGAAGACTCAACCAATGCTGCCTTAAGATTTAATGTTATTCCCTTTTTAGTCACTGTGCATTTATAAGTTTGTTTACTAGTTGACCTTTCCTGAATAGAGATTAGTTTCGGCATTTCTCCATCTGTATATAAATAACAGGTAATATTTAATCATCAGTGTATGACTTGATATCACATAACGTTCTGGTGTGGTTTCCTGTAGTGATCTTAGGGTTTTGATTTAAAAGAAATACACAAAACATTAGGTACAATTTCCTTTAGTTTGCTAAACACCCAAAGGATATTTTGTTTTGTTGGTTCTGCACTTAAACTGAAATACAACCTATGTGAACTATTGGGCAAAGCCTGCAGCCTAATTAATTAAAACCTCCATTTTTATTTGAATAGATTCAAGTAGAAATTGCCGTTAGGAATCACTGGGATCTTTTCGGATTTTGACCTTTTCAAAGGTAGCAATAACTACTCCAGAGGTTGTAATCTTTCTGTTGGTAGTGGCTTTTCATCAGCTAAATAATCATCTCTGCCTCAAATGTGTTGCCTGTCACCTAGTTGATGTTCCATAAAATCCCTGGGTTCTGAAGTGAATTATTATAATTAATAATCAGGAGGGCGAATCTTCAGTGGCATCTGATGGAATGAAAGAACTGTGTCTGAGCAGCCTAAAAGCTGTTTGTGACATGCCACCTTGGGAAACAAGAGTGAGGAAGAAAACACAGTCATCAAGTGCCAGCGTGTGCCACCCATTGTACTAGGTACTTTATTATGCATTTATGTATATGTGTGTGTGTCTGTGTATACACACAAACACATATACATAAGTGTTTACACACACACACGCACAATATGTGGTTAAGCCTGGTAAGCCTGCTAAAATGGCAAAGCGGCCTGGCGCGTGGCTCACGCCTATAATCCCAGCACTTTGGGAGGCCAAGGTGGGCAGATCACTTGAGGTCAGGAGTTCAAGATCAGGACCAACATGGTGAAACCCCATCTCTACTAAAAATACAAAAATTAGCCGGGCGTGGTGGCAGGTGCCTGTAATCCCAGCTACTTGAGAGTCTGAAGCAGGAGAATTGCTTGAACCTGGGAGGCGGAGGTTGCAGTGAGCCGAGACCATGCCACTGCACTCCAGCCTGGGCAACAAAGCTAGACTCCATCTCAAAAAAAATAAAAAATAAAATGGCGAAGCACCTGTCCATGTGTTTGGCCAAAGCCGTCCTCCGAGGTCTTAAGGGGGCCAGAGTAGCAGTCCTCGTTGGCGTTCTAAGGCAGTTGTTCTGGCTTCCAGTCAGCTCTAAACCTTACCTTCTGGGGACTCCAGGATTTTCTGCTCTTGGCCTAATGCAAGAGAAAGGAGAATCCCCAGAGAAAGAAGTGGGGAGGTAAAGAGCGTTTTCTCCACTTACCTTTGGGTTTTTTATGCTCCCAAGTAGAAATAAATATCAAGAATTCACAGGTTGACTGAAGCACAAGTTGCCCCTGGGCTCTGTGTCAAGGCTGGTGGTACTGTAGGTGTTATGAGAGGACCCATAGGGTGTCCTTCAGGTGAGCTGTTGTCCACAGCACCTTTCATATCTGCTGTAAAGGGAGCCCTACTTTCTGTCTATCCCCCCCACCGCCGGCCCCCGGAATCTAAGCAGACTCCCTGTTGGAAGCTTACTCTGGCACAGAAGCTAGGATGTCACCTTAAAGGGTGTGATTCAATTGAATATAGTTTAGTGCGGTACCAGGCACATCATAAGCATGCAATAAATGTTAGCCAGCTTAGTTATAACTTTTGGTAATAATTAATATTATTTAACTAATTTGCATTATACCACTTATTTCTTCCATTATGGAGATTCTGTCTCCCTTAAACTGTTAAACTTGAAGAAGAAACCAAACATGATAATCTGGTCAAGTTAACACATTTTCGCCCATGAATTCTACCTCCAACACAGCCAAGCTCTGATACCTCAGATATAAGCAAAAACAAGTGAAGGAAGAACAGAAAAGCCTTATGGGGCTTTATGAGAAGGTTTTTCCATTGTTTAGTGTGTTTGCAAAAAGGAATTTTATGGAAGTACCTAACCAAAGCTGTGACAGAAGGGTCTCCTTGGTCATGTGGCATTTTCCAGCTTTCCTTGGATTTTATGCTACATTAATTTGCCCTGGCTGATAAATGGTGTTTGAAGAAATGTGAAATTTTGTTACTTTGATTTTTATTTTAATTCAAGCTTATTAAAAGCATCAAGCATTATATGCCACACTCAGCATTTTCATAGACATAGTCATTAGGAGAATCTGGACAAAGTAATACTCTTGTAGAAACGGAAGCATCTTGCTGTACTTGAAAGATAACTGGACTCAGAGCTACTTCACTCCTCACTTGGGCAAATGCCGATATCACTTTGCTTAGCTATAAAGTGCCATCAGTGGGATGGATCGTCTTCACGGTGAACCGTGTTACACTTCTGCAATTCCTCAAGTTCATATTAATTAGGAAGTGGCAGAGCTAGGACACAAAATTCCTAATTCCTGAAGATAGTTAGTCTCCTAATTAAGTGCTTCTCACTATATTGGGATGCCTTCTTTAGGAATAAGACTTTCCTTTAATTTTCAAGTTCCACAACTTCTAAAATTATTTTGCTATCTCGAAGCAGCAGAATATTGATCATTTTTCTCAGTTTAGGCTAACACAGTCCACACCATTACCACTTAAATAAAGTAACCGAATGCTAAATATTATCCTTATCAAACATCCATCACTTTGTTGCTTTTATGAGATGTAGATTGCTAAAAACTTTTGAGCTAGTAGACGTTACCTTTAAGCATCAATGAATGCAAACAGTGAAGACCTCAAAGAAGAGTTACCTCATTTTCTCTACATGATCTCCAATGTAGTCTCAGATAAGGCCCATACATAGTTAAAAGCTGGTAACAGCTCTGAACAGAAGTATGTATTAAATGTTTCAAACTTGTATATATTTTTGAATGCTTTTGTTTTTGGAGTGAATTTTTAATACTCTGTGTTAAAAGAAAAACATTCCATCTTGTAGGCAGTGTTCCTCAGTAAAAATCTTTGTTGCATTTTCCCATATAAATGAATCACCCTTATTAAAACAGGAGGAGGGAGGGATTTGTGGTGACCTACCGCTGCCCTCCCTTTCTAAGAGAAGAGGAGGCCATGGGGTATGATAACTAAATGAACATCTCTGGAAGTTCCTCCGTCTGATATGTGTATTCTGACATAACAGAATTTCCCAAGACTTCTTTGAGGAAGGCTGTCCACGCTTCAGGCAAAGTTTACCCATTATTATTATGATTTTGAATATTCCTTGTTCATTACAGTCCAGAAAATCTGCAGAAGTTCTCCATGTTCAGTGGTTGACCAGAATCTGATTGTTGCGCTCAATTAAAGTGCTTATTATTTAGCTAAAACAACTTATATGGAAGTTAATTATTTCAGGAAATACATAATAAGACCAAAAAAATCACTGGATAATATGTAGATATATTTTAGTTCCATTACTATTAATAGCAATTAGATAACTCTCCCTCCCCCCATTGAGGTGAGAATGGGCTCCTAGATACTTGGTGGTCAATAGAACTGATTTGATTAACTTTCATTTAACTGTGGTTATTGTTACATCTACTGATTTTTTCAAATAAAAATTTCTAGAAGGCTCAGATTTGACTAAGACTGTGTTACGTGCTTTCTCACAGCTGCCATATATTCTCATGTAATCTTTACAACCGCTCTACAAGGTATGTCTAATTATTTCCATTTTACTTATTGAGAATCTAGGCTCAGAGGAGTTAAAATTCTGAAAATCTCACCGATAAGTTGGAGAATTTAAGTTTGTAAGTTGGAGAATGCAGGTTTTCTGACTCCAAATCTAGTGCTCAGTCCATGAGACAAAACTGCCTCCTGGAGGCCATGGAAGTCCATTAACTTTAAGAAAGTTAAACACAGTTTTGGTTTGTTTGGCAAATATTTCATCTCTCAAGCCATACTGTGTCACCCCTCCATGTATTCTCTTACTAAATGATTGCTCACTTGGGAACTTAATCGATCCTGGAAAGCCTGGCGGTTCCCCAGTATTTTCTGCCTACTGGGAACCTTCTGTCTTTATCCAATAAGTAATTTATATTACCTGTCATCTACCTTAAAGGGCAGATGGTCATGTGAATTTATTCTAATGAAAGTTAGTTTACAAGCTGCACCTGTTTTGACATTGGACTCACTGCTTAAAAAGTAAAGGAGTTCCTAACTTACGCAACAATTACATGCTCAGGTTTTTTACTTTTGCCATTTAATTTTGGTCAGAGGATTTTTATAATCTGTAGGCTATAGCACTGTCATAGAAAAATATACCTTTTTTTTTTTTTGAGACTCAGGAGTCTCACTCTGTTGCCCAGGCTGGAGTGCAGTGGTGCAATCTCTGCCTCCTGGGTTCAAGCCATCCTCCTGCCTCAGTCTCCCAAGTAGCTGGGATTACAAGCGTGTGCCACCACGCTCGGCTAATTTTTGTATTTTTAGTGGAGATGGGGTTTCATCATGTTGGCCAGGCTGGTCTCGAACTCCGACCTCAGTGATCCACCTGCCTCGGCCTCCCAAAGTGGAAAAATATACTTATTTACTCGTTTTCTGTTCTTTTTTCCTTTATCGGGGCATATTTATTTTCTCTTTGGAGACTTACAAAGCAATAGGTTATATGAAACTCTGAGATCATCTAGTCAAATTCCCCCATTTTATCAATAAGGAAATTTAAGGCCAGAGATATTAAAGGGCCCATCCAAGATCAGCCAAACAATAAGTAATAGATTCAGGACTAGAGAGTTAGTCCAGAACTCTCTCCTCCATATCACAGCTGAGAAGATTTAGATTTTTTTAAATTAATAGAGCTGCATCTGGCAAAATGACATCCGGCTCACAGAAGACCCTAGTGAGCTTCTTGTACCTTCCCAGAAAAACCCAGAAGAAGGCCAAATCTCAATTCTAGAATCTAGAAGGAATTGATGTAATTTATGAGGCATATGGAGGTAGCTTGGGGCAAAAGTTTCCAAGTAGCTCAATTCCTGGCTTACTTCATGAAACAGGCCCTGTGAAATTAAAAACATGAAAGCTATTTAGTACTTGTCCTCTTCCCCAATCATGCCTGTCACCTTACTCGGAGTCAGAGCTCCTGAGCCAGAGAAATACTAGCTGATGCTTATTACACCGGGAAGAGAAAAAGTTCATATCCACCCTCTCTTCTTTCTCCCCAACCCACTTCCTCTTCATTCAATCCCACATAAATCTTAGAGCTAAAACAGGAGCAGAAAGCAGAGAAGGACTATTAGACCTATGGTGGCATCCCAAGAATAAAGCCCTTTAGGTGAAGGTAGAAACAATAAATACCTGAGTAGCAGAACACGCAAATATTATGATTTTTTATGTATGATGTTGGGTTCAGAGACCCATAAAATCAGGCAATAGGAAGGAAAAGGATGCTGCTTCAATAGAAAAGTAAACTAGAAATTGGACTTGGAAATATGTTCATCACCTTACCATTGACCTGGGATTTAACTGAAAAAGGGATTCAACAAACATTCACATGAACAGGGTCTGGGAAGAAAGGACCACGTTTAAGGATGAGTATAGAGAAAAAAATAAAATGAGGCATATAAAAAAGTCAATGGGCCAGGCGCGGTGGCTCACGCCTATAATCCAAGCACTTTGGGATGCCGAGGCAGGCAGATCATCTGAGGTCAGGAGTTCAAGACCAGCCTGGCCAACATGGTGAACCCCGTCTCTACTAAAAATACAAATATTAGCCGGGCATGGTAGCACATGCCTGTAATTCCAGCTACTCGGGAGGCTGAGGCGGGAGAATCGCTTGAACCCAGGAGGCGGAGGTTTCAGTGAGCCGAGATTGCACCACTGCACTCCAGCCTGGGCAACAGAGTGAGACTCCATCTCAAAAAAACAGAAAAAAAAGTAACAAATTGCCTGTAAGAAAACCAAAGAGCATCTGGCTTCAGACTTCTGCTCTATAGCACCAAATGCCAGGAAACAATAGAGAATTGTGAGGGGGAAAAGTTGTGACTTTGGAATTTTATACATATTTTATATGTTAAGATACATAATTTTTTAGTTATGATAACCATCCAGGAAATATATGAGCTATGTAATAGTCTTACAAAGATAATAAGTTGTACAGCAACCTACGAGGCTTGATTTAAATAAAACAATGTTTGCTTAGTATCCTAATTTCAGTGGGCTCTGGGCTATTAAATACCAGGACATTATCCACTAGAGGAAGGGTATGTATGCTTTTAAATAGATAATATGGCTAGAAGCTACATATCTAAAAGCACCCGAAGTCCTCATATGAATAGGCTAAATTAATACAATAAGGTGTAATAAATGCCATACCACAGCATCATGTTTCTTCATTTTTATTACCGAAATAATGTATAAATTGCTCTTGATTTTCCCCACCATCATTTAAAACACTCTATCCTGAAAGAGTCCACTGCTTCCAAGTGAGAAAAGCCAAGGAGTCCCCTGCGTTGGGGGTGTAATAACCTAGACTAGAGCTTATAGACTGAAGCCCATGTGCTTCTCCATGCTCAAACGCAGAACTAAAAATGGGTATAAAGTCAGAAAATTGCAGAATATAAGTCTGTGTTTCAAAAAGCAATCAGGAAAAAACAAACAAAAAACTTGTTTTAGAATACAAATGCAAGAAAAGTTCAATTTCAACAGCAGAAAGATGGCCTGGGGCAGTGAGATGCTTTCCTTAGCTGTACTTGAAGTTTTATGGAACGCCATTTAAATTCAGACATCAAGGGAATGAATGCAGTTTTAAAAATCCGAATTATTTCTGGAGTCTACAATGTCAGTGTTAGAACTAATGCTGGGTTGTTTTGTTTTTTCATTTGCTTGCACTGGAAGGCCTTGAAAACACACAGGAGTGTAGAGTATCGTCAGCTCTGATGCTCAGTTTCTTCCTGGCAATAGAATGGTTTTATCTGTGCCCCAAGCTTTTGCCAATTTAAACTCTAAACTAAATTTTCAATGACACCAGCATGTTTGCTTTAAATTTAGCAATAGAATAGGCAATGGACTGCTTTGCATTTCCTTAGTTTTTCATTCTGAAACAGAGCAAAACATCTTCCCAAAGAGATGGAGACAATCTCTTCTGGGTAGATTCCAAGTATAACCTGTCCCAGGGTCCTCTTGCTCAGCTGTGACTAACAAAAGTCTGTTCAATTTAACTACTTAGATAAGAAGCGCAATGCTTTTATTTAAAAATTTAATATTTTCTATGGGGCTGTATTTTCCAAATAATAGCAACAAAACTGTCCTAACGTTTTCACTGTTCTGTAATTTTGTTTTAATATAGAGGATACCCATAATTTCTTAACACTGGAAACATCATTCTGAACGATGTAGGAAGCGGTCAGTAACGTGAATGATGTTATTGTACCGTCTCCAGCTTTTTCCTTCTTCCCCCAGATGGTCGCACCTGTGCATACATCCCTGTGCATGTGGGGGCACATGAGTGGGAAAGTGGGTGTCACTCCTATTTTCTGTCCTAGAGTGTCAGCGTTGGAAGGGATTTTTTTTTGTTCCTCCAGTCCGGCCCTCTAGTTGATAGTCCAGTAGTCTGTTAACAATTTGTAAGGACCTGGGTTATATTTTAAAGGTGGTTGTTGTTGTTGTTTGGGTTCACTTATGTATATGCAGCTTGACTGTTCAACCCAGATTTTTAAACAATAAAAAGATTTAATGTATACTTTCTGTTTTCTTAGCTTAGTTATTTTAACTTAATCAGCAGCATGTCTGGTTTCTGAATAGTTTTTTAGTGTCACATTCCTGGAGGTAATGTTTGTCTTTGTAGTTTGCGATGTTAGGACATATGAGAATTCCACACCCATATTCTGTGCCTCTGAGCCAATCCTCTGGGTGAAATAGTTGTTCCAGCAGAGTTCCCTCTGGTTTTCTGACTGAGATTTGCCTCACTGGGCAGGCTTGAGGTCCCATTTGGGATGGTGTCATGGTGATTTTATATTGACCATCATGTACATGCCGCTAATTAATGTTTTTCTGCTCTTTAAATGATTATTTATGGCTTTTGGAGACTACATTTAATTCTCAAAACTTTTAATGTAGAAATTTACTGTTCTGTATATAGAGCAGTTAAAAAATAATTTCTAAGAAACAGCTTCTGAAAAATATTTCCTTCTTTTTTTTTTTTTTTTGATGGAGTTTTGCTCTTGTTGCCCAGGCTGGAGCGCAATGGTGCAATCTCGGCTCACTGCAACCTCCGCCTCCCGAGTTCAAGCGAGTCTCCTGCATCAGCCTCTCGAGTAGCTGGGACTACAGGTGCCCGCCACCAAACCTGGCTAATTTTTGTATTTTTAGTAGAGACAGGGTTTTACCGTGTTTGCCAGGCTGGTCTCGAATTCCTGACCTCAAGTGATCTGCCCACCTCAGCCTCCCAATGTAAGAAATCCACTTTTAAAAATTCTTGTACTCAATGTTTTTAAAGAGAGTTTATTTTTTGAGGTATATTCTAAATTATTTAAGCATTTCCTTCAAAATAATCCGGAGGCATAGAGTACATGGAGGCATAGATGAAGTGTAAATTGGCCTTGAGCAGATAATTGTTAAATTATCTGTGATGAGTATGTGAGGGTTCATTACGCTCTTGCCTGTTCTTTCCTATATGTTTAAAATTTTCCGTTAAGGAAAATGTAAAACAAAACAAAAAGCTCCTGTACTACAGATTCCACAAGCCTCCTCATCGATCTCACAGAATCTTCTAGCTAAAAGGAGAGACATGAGAAGATGATGCTGACAAGAGCAGATCGCAGGTCGATTTTCCAGGTGAGCACGCTGGGTGGTGCCAGTGACGATAAGAGCCAGTGGAGTTGAAGCCATTGCTTTGAACTTGGCCTCATTTGTACCGACCACAGGGTGGAACCTGGGAACACATTCTCTCCCTTGAATGCAGACAGTAAGCAGATCTGTGGAAATCTTGGGGTTGATCCCAGCAGGCCTAAGAGAACCACAGTTACGACGCCCAGACTGAGATGGGACCCAGTCACGCTGTGAAGATGGCAAACTGAGCCAGGAGGTCCAAGGGGCTGGAATGGCACATGGCCTTATCCTCCGCCTCTGGGACAAACGCTCCTGGGGAGCGCTAGTGGGGCATGAGGTAGATGCCTCAGGGCCCCTGGGTGCCTGGCGTCCCCACCCTCATTGATGTGTCACGACACTGCCTCCCCAGGCCTGAAGGGGTCTCGTGACCAATATGTCCTGGCGTATTTTAGAAGATGTGTGTCCCCGTCTTTCCATCCCTCCCCACTACATTTCCTTTTCCTTCTCTTCCTTTCAGTTTCCCTGTTTTATTCCTTCCTCTGCCTAGGAGAGTTTTCATCACCATCTTTCCTAGTTAGACACCAGGGACAGACATGAAAGACATTAAGGAAGATGTATTTCAGCAATAAACAACATTCCTGTATTTCTCAGGGGATCCCAAAGAAATAAGGATGAGAAATAAAAATTCCTGCTGGGGTATTTACAGTGTACTCAGCTGCTGAAGTGTTCAAAATGCAATCAAGGAAGTAATTTAGCACGTTTCTAATATACTTAACTATGGCAATCATGTTGAAGAGTTTGGCCAGATTCAAAGAATGCAGTGAATCTTTTAGGACATTATTAAAGAATCTAAAGCCCACCGATAACAAGTACATTTTTGACAGTTACTAGTTAATAAATATTTGTGCTTTGTTGTTGTGTGTCCTTGGATAATGGCCCAGAATTGAAAGGATATGATCTGACCTCCCCACTAGGCAGGGAAAACTACGTTTCAGATGTTTCCTTTTGTTCCGTATTCTCAGTACATGTGCAGACTACTCGGTGTAGGTCAGTACCATGGATTCCTCTTTCTTTCTTTTTTTTTAAGGTGGAGTTTCGTTCTTGTTGCCCAGGCTGGAATGCAATGGTGCGATCTCAGCTCACTGCAGCTTCTGCCTCCCAGGTTCAAGCGATTCTCCTGCCTCAGCCTCCTAGGTAGCTGCAATTACAGGCACCCGCCACCACGCCCAGCTAATGTTTTGTATTTTTAGTAGAGACAGGGTTTCGCCATGTTGGCCAGGCTGGTCTCGAATTTCTGACCTCAGGTGATCCACCTGCCTCGGCCTCCCAAAGTGCCGGGATTACAGGTGTGAGCCACCACGCCTGGCCGGATTCCTCTTGCTCTCTCATTACTTCTCAGTGTAAACTATCCACCCAGGGCACTGTCGCCCAAGGGTCAGTCATTTATGTAGTACCTTCACAACGTTTGTGATAACTGAGTCCACTTGTCCTATTATTTATTTGATATTTTCTTTAAATTGATTCATTTTTACTTGAATTCATATTAAAGCAAAGAATAAGAATATTAATACATACAAAGCACTTAAAACAATGCCTGGTACAGAGTAACTGTCTAGAAAAAATAGTAACTAGGCTGGGTGCGGTGACTCATGCCTGTAATCCCAACACTTTGGGAGGCTGAGGTAGGAGGATCACTTGAGCCCAGGAATTTGAGACCAGCCTCAGCAACATTGTGAGACCCCCATCTCCACAGAAAATTAAAAATTAATCAGGTCTGGTGGCATGCATGTTTATTCCTAGCTACTCAGGAGGCTGAGGTGGGAGGATCGCTTGAGCTGGGGAAGTTGAGGCTGCAGTGAACTGAGATTATACCAGTTCACTCCAGCCTGGGGGACAGTGTGAGATCCTGCCAAAAAAAAAAGAGGGAGTCCGGGCGCGGTGGCTCACACCTGTAATCCCAGCACTTTGAGAGGCCAAGGCAGGTGGATCACGAGGTCAGGAGATCGAGACCATCCTGGCTAACACGGTGAAACCCTGTCTCTACTAAAAATACAAAAAATTAGCCGGGCCTGGTGGCGGGCGCCTGTAGTCCCAGCTACTCGGGAGGCTGAGGCAGGAGAATGGCATGAACCTGGGAGGTGGAGGTTGCAGTGACCCGAGACTGCGCCACTGCACTCCAGCCTGGGCGACAGAACGAGACTCTGTCTCAAAAAAAAAACAAAAACAAAAAAGAGAAGAAAAGGAAAGAAAGAACAAAAAGTAACTATTAGCTATGGTTATTATTTATATTACTATATAAATGCTATATTACTTGCAATAAATATAACTACATAACTATTAAAAGTGTTTGCCCATATGTACTCCAAGAGTTACTTCTTAGGATCACCAGTGGCACTTTGGGAAATAGCTCCCCCACTCCCTGAAATGCTCTTCTCCTTGGTTTCCACGCGAGCTTAAGTATCACTGTCTTCAGGTTTTTCTGCAGCATCTCTGGATTCTTTCTCTGGCTCCTCATCCTATGATGTTCTCATTTATATGGATTCAATTTTATACGCTTTCTCAGGACAGTTTCCTCCACTTCCATGGCCTTAGCATAAGTAGACCTAGATTTTTTTTTCTTCAACTTTTAAGTTCAGGGGTACATGTGCAGGATGTGCAGGTTTGTTACATAGGTAGATGTGTGCCATGGTGGTTTGCTACACAGATCGTCCTATCACCTATGTATTAAGCCCAGCATCCATTAGCTCTTCTTCCTGATGCTCTCTCTCCCTCTACCCCACCCTGACAGGCCCGAGTGTGTTGTCCCCACCACGTGTCCATGTGTTGTCATCATTCAGCTCCTACTTGTAAGTGAGAACATACCGTATTTGGTTTTCTGTTCCTGCATTAGTTTGCTGAGGATAATGGCTTCCAGCTCTATCCATGTGTCTGCAAAGGACATGATCTTGTTCCTTTTTATGACTGCATAGTATTCCATGGTGTATAGGTACCACATTTTCTTTATCCAGTCTATCATCAATGGGCATTTAGGATGATTCCATGTCCTTGCTATTGTGAATAGTGCTGCAGTGGAGATACGCATGCATGTATCTTTATAATAGAATAATTTATATTCCTTTGGGTATATACCCAGTAATGGGATTGCTGGGCCAAATGGTATTTTTGCCTCTAGGTCTTTGAGGAATCGCCACACTGTCTTCCACAATGGTTGAACTAATTTACATTCCCACCAACAGTGTAAAAGTGTTCCTTTTTCTCCACAACCTCACCAGCATCTATTGTTTGACTTTTTAATAATAGCCATCCTGACTGGTGTGAGATGGTATCTCATTGTGGCTTTGATTTGCATTTCTCTAATGATCTGTGAGGTTGAGCTTTTTTTCATATGTTTATTGGCTGCATGTGTGTCTTCTTTTAAGCAGTGTCTGTTCATGTCCTTTGCCTACTTTTTAATGTAGTTGTTTTCTTCTTGTAAATTTGTTTAAGTTCCTTGTAGATTCTGGATATTAGACCTTTGTCAGATGGATAGATTGCAAAAATTTTCTCCCATTCTGTAGGTTGTCTGTTCATTCTGAAGATAGTTTCTTTTGCTGTGCAGAAACACTTTAGTTTAATTAGATCCCATTTGTCAGTCTGTGCTTCTGTTGCAATTGCTTTTGGCATTTTTGTCATGAAATCTTTGTCCGTGTCTATGTCTTGAATGGTATTGCCTAGATTTTCTTCTAGGGTTTTTATAGTTTTGGGTTTTACATTTAAGTCTTTATTCCATCTTGAGTTAATTTTTGTATATGGTGTAAGGAAGGGGTCCAGTTTCAATTTTCTGCATATGGCTAGCCAGTTCTCCCAGCACCGTTTATTAAATAGAGAATCCTTTCCCCATTGCTTGCTTTTGTCGAGTTTGTCAAAGATCAGATGGTTGTAGGTGTGTGGTCTTATTTCTGAGTTCTCTATTCTGTTCCATTGTAAACCTAGATTTTCTAAGCGTTTCTCAACTGGGCTTCTTCAGCTGAACCACAGAATGCAGAAAAAGACTTGAGGCCCTATTTTTTCAGTTCTTCAAGGAGAACTAGGTACATAACTAGTACCATTCCAGATGCAGGGGAGAGACGCTCATTCATTCCAGACTGTGAAGCCTTGGGGCTTTCAGGCTTACTTCTCCAGTGGGACCCCAGTTGAAGCAGGCTCCTCAACCCCATGCCCCACCCTGTCTTTCCTTCCTAAGGAAATGGTACCTGTACCTACCTTGTTGCCCAAGCCAGAAACCTGACAGTTCATTCTAGGACCCCCCTCTTTCCTCTCCTCCTTCCTCCAAAATCAGTTTCCATTATCTAATCATTCTATCTACTTTTGAATCTCTTCCCTTCTCATTCTCCTCACTGCCACCAACTTGGTCAGCCCACACCATTTTGCCCAATTATTATTCAGAAGCTGCCTGAGTGGCTTCCTTGCCTCTTGCCTCCACCAGTCCCTCCCCAGCTGCTTCCTAGAAAAGCCTCACAGCACACAAGTCTTATTCTATCATTTCTTCCTTCCTGGCTCACCAAAGCCTTTCTGATAAAGCTCCACATTGGCCTTGTGGACTGCCGGATCTTGCATTTACACCATGCCCTCCCTTCTCCTGCCCTTCTCTCCCACCTGCTCCTCTGCCGACACACCCTGCTCTCGTAAAACTCATGCTTCTTCTTCAGTTCTCATCTGGCACACGATATATGCGAGCTCCTCCTGACAGGCAGGCTAGGCCTCTTAGATTCTGCTGCCTCAGAGGACAGCAATGTTGAACAAACCTACCTACAAACCAACCACTGTCACATGCAAGGCGTCTGCCATTCCCAAGGAGCCACATGCATTCAAACAGAGTAGCTTTACATCTGTGAGTGTTTTTGGTTTTTGTTTGTTTGTTTGTTTTTTTCACACGGAGTCTCACTCTGTTGCCCAGGCTGGAGTGCAGTGGTGCAATCTCAGTTCATTGCAAGCTCAGCCTCCCGGGTTCACGTCATTCTCCTGCCTCAGCCTCCCGAGTAGCTGGGACTATAGGCGCCCGCCACCATGCCTGGCTAATTTTTTTTTTTTTTTTGTATTTTTAGTAGAGACGGGGTTTCACCATGTTAGCCAGGATGGTCTCGATCTCGTGACCTCATGATCTGCCCGCCTTGGCCTCCCAAAGTGCTGGGATTATAGGCATGAGCCACCGCGTCCGGCCGGCCATTGGCCATTCTCAGTAGACCAGCAACCTCTCCACAGAAGAGCTAAATAACACTAAGAGAAAAAGGGAACTTGCGTGTTAAAATTCGAGGAAGCTGGGCACAGTGGCTTTCGCCTGTAATCCCAGCACTTTGGGAGGCCGAGGCAGGCAGATCACTTGAGGCCAGGAGTTAAACCAGCCTGCTCAACATGGCAAAACCCCGTCTCTACTAAAAATACAAAAATTAGCCTGGCCTGGTGGTGCACGCTTGTAATCCCACCTATAATCCCAGCTATTTGGGAGGCTGAGGCAGCAGAATCGCTTGAACCAGGGAGTTGGAGGTTGCAGTGAGCTGAGATTGTGCCACTGCACTCCAGCGTGAGTGACAGAGTGAGATTCTGTCTTAAAAAAGAAAAAAAAAAATTCAGGCATAGCACAGTGGCTCACGCTTGTAATCCCAGCACTTTGGGGCGGATCACAAGGTCAGGAGTTCGACACCATCCTGGCCAACATGGTGAAACCCCATCTCTACTAAAAAGGAAAAAAAAAAAAAAAAAAATGCCGGGCATGGTGCCACATGCCTGTAGTTCCAGCTACTCAGGAGGCTGAGGCAAGAGAATTGCTTGAACCCGGGAGGCAAAGGTTGCAATGAGCTGAGATTGTGCCACTGCAGTCCAGCCTGGGTGACAGAGTGAGACTCCATCTCAAAAAATTCAACCAGGCACAGTGGCTCATGCCTGTAATCCCAGCACTTTTGGAGGCCAAGACAGGAGGATCACTTGAGCCCAGGAAGATCACTTGAGCCCAGGAGTCCCAGACCAGCCTGGGCAACATAGTGAGACCTCGTCTCTACTAAAAATTTAAAAAAAAAAAAAACCCACAAAAAATTATCCAGGTGTGGTAGCCTGTAGTCTCAGCTACTCAGGAGGATGAGCTGGGAGGATCACTTGAACCCAGAAGGTTGAAGCTGCAGTGAGCTGAGATTGCACCATTGCATTCCAGCCTGGTGACAGGGTGAGACCCTATCTCAAAAAATAAAGTAAAATAAAAAGATCAGAGAAAGTATACATTAAAATTCAAGGTGAAAAAACATTCACTTTGCCTGTTTTGTTTGTTCCAACGAATAGACTCATCTCATAATATTCTGTATATTTGTAACCCATTGTAAAGATGTTGCCTATTACTCTTAGTGAGGTGGACACTCTAATTAGAATTTTTATTAAATTTTATTGTGGTAACATACACATAAAATTTACCATCTTAACCATTTTTAAGTGTACAGTTCAGTGGCATTCAGTACATTCACATTGCTGTGTGACTGACACTACTATCTATCCATCTCCAGAACCTTTTCGTCTTGTACTGAAAACCTGCACCCATTAAACAGTAACTCCTCATTCTCCCCTTCCCTCAGTGCCTGGCCACTGTTTACTTTCTATGAATTTGACTACTCTAGGTACCTCATGTATATGCAATCATACAATATTTGTCCCACATGTCTTACAGGTTCATCCATCTTGTTGCATGTATCTGAATGTCATTCCTTTTCAAGGCTGAATAATATTCCATCTCATGGATATACCACATTTTGTTTAACCATTCATCTGTTGATGAACATTTGGGTTGCTTCTATCTTTTGACTATTGTGAATAATGCTGCTGTGAACAGGGTGTACAAATATCTGTGCAAGTCCCTGCTTTCAGTTCTTCTGGGTATATGCCCAGAAGTGGAATTGCTGGATCAAATGATGATAATTCTAAGTTTAATTTTTTGAGGAACCACCATACTGTTTCCACAGAGGGTGTACCATTTTACATCCCTACCAACAGTGCACAGAGGTTCCAGTATTTCCACATCCTCACCAACATTTGTTATTTTCTGGTTTTTTATTTTATTTTAATAGTAGCCATCCTAAGAAGTGGGGAGTGGAACCTCACTTTGGTTTTGATTGGCTTTTCCCTAATGATTAGCAATGTTGACCATCTTTTCATGTGCCTTACTTATTTTTAAAAGATCACTCTGGAGGCTGTGTTGAATGTTGTTAACTGTAGGGTGATGGGATGGAGGGCAGGGGAAAAAACATGGAAGGTGGAAGACTATTTACAAGGCTATTGCAGTATTCTAGCCAAATAATTATGGCGGCTTGGAACAAGATGACAGTGGTGGAGGTGGTAAGAGTTCATGGGACTCTGGATGTATTTTGAGGCCAGGGCTGATGGAATTGAAAGAGGAATGTGAAAGAAAGAAAAGTCTAGAATGACTCCTATCTTTATGCCCATGCAAATGGCCATTTACTGAGATGGAGAATGCTGGAAGAATAGTATGCTGGGAGGGTGATATCTCACCCACCCTTATGGGATATGCCATATCATGGGAGGGTGAGATACCCTGCCATATCATGGGAGGGTGAGATATCAAGAACCCAATTTTAGGCTGGGCACAGTGGTTCACACCTACAATACCGTTATCTAAAATGGGATTATGTAAAATGCTACAATCCCAACTTTGGGAGGCCAACGTGGGAGGATTGCTTGATCCCAGGAGTTCAAGACTAGCCTAGGAAATGTAGTGGGAGCCTGTCTCTAAAAAAAAAAAAAAAATTTAATTAGGTGTGTTGGTGCATGCCTGTAGTCCCAGCTACTTGGGAGGCTGAGGTGGGAGGATCACCTGAGCTCAGGAGGTCAAGGATGCAGTGAGCCACAATCATCACACCACTGCATTCTAGCATGGGTGACAGAGTGAGACCCTGTCTCAAAAAACAGAACAAAACAAAAAAACACCAGTTATCTTGATTCCCTGCCAATGCACCAAAAAAAAAAAAATTCCAGTGAACATGTAGACATGTAAGTTTGGATCCCTATTGGACTTCCACGTGGAGATGCTGACAATACATGCTGACAATAGGTACAAGAGTCTGGAGATCAAGGGTGTTTCTGTTATCTTTTGCTGCACAATAACCTTCCCTAAAACTCAGGAGTTTAGAACAGCAACAATTTCTTATTTCTTACAACTCTGTGGGTTGACTGCATTCAGCTGGTCAGTTCTGCTCTATGTGGCATGAGTTGGGGTTGCTCATCTGGCTGCATTCAGCTGGTGGCTGGGCTGAACAGAAAGGTCCAAGAAGGCTTCACTCACATTTCTGGCACCTCAGTGCTCCATGTGACATCTCCACATAGTTAGCTTGGGCTTCCTCACAGCATGGCGGTCACAGGGAGTCAGATGTGTTACATAGTGACTGGTTCTCCACAGAGGACAAGAGCAGAAGCTGTCAGGCCTCTTCAAGCTAGGTCTAAACTGACATAGCATCTCTTCTGCCATATCCTATTTGTCAAAACAGGTCACAAGGCCAGCACATATGTGAGGGAAGGAAAACAGACTCCACTTTTTGATGAGAACAGTGGCATATGTTGACAGGGATGGGAGAAATTGATGGCAGCCATCTTTGGAGACTGCCCACCACAGAGTGGGGTATCAGGGTTGGTGATATACGTTTGAAAGTAATCAAAAGATAGTTGGTACCTAAAAGCCATGCTACTGGATAAGATTACTCAGGGAATGACTGTAGATAGAGAAGAGATGAAAAGGCTAATCTCTAGGCTATTCCAGCGTTTTGCACTTGGAAGGAGAAACCAGCAAATGACCATGAGAAGGAACAACCAGTAAGGTGGGAGGAAAACCAGGAGAGTGTGGTGTTGATGAAGTCAAGTGGGACAGCGTTTCAAGAAGGAGAGGGGGTGATCAGTTGTGTAAAATGCTAAGAGTTCAAGTAAGATAGAGATGAAAACTGACCATTGGATTTGGCCAAGTGGAGATGACTGGCAGTTTTCCAAGGATAATTTCAGTGAGTCTGTGGAGACAGAAGCTTGACTGGAGTGGGCTCCAGAGACAACGGGATGAGAGGATCTGGAGATGGGCAGCATAGACAACTCTTGGCGGGAGTTATACAGGAATGCAGAGGAATAGGGCAGTAATGGAATGGGATGCAGAGCAAGGGAAGACACAGTAGACAGCCTTCAAAAGGAGCGTGAACCATTCATCCGTGACAGTAAGAAAGGCAGCGTATATGGTCACAAGTGCAGGAGGAGAGGTTAGATGGGGTGGTGGGAGGTGCTATAGAGAGTAAATACAGTCTGGTGGTGATGGGCCAGATTAGACCAGGCTTGAAAAAGACATAAGATCATTGGGAGGGCTTTTAATAGGTGCAAATATATAAGCCAAAAGCATGAGCCTGTGGAAAGATAGAAAGTAACTGACAATGTGAAATCTCAAGGTATGTGGCTACAGAAGAGGATGCAGAAATGATGGGAAGAAGGGTAGGGATATACAGTTTCAGCTTCAGGGAAGGGCCAGAGTGTGGTGACCGCAGAGAGGAGAAGGCAGCCTTGAGGTGCAGAGGATGTCAAGGACCTGAGAGGAGGAGCGTATTGTTCAGCCCACACCAAGGTGGCTGTCAATGCAATGTCCCCAGGATAGCAGCAGGAGTAATGCAGAGGAGCTGAAGCTAATGAAAGAGTCAGGGTCCTGAGGGGATATGAGGGGGCACCCCCACACGGTTCTTGGCAATTATGACGCTGGAGTGGGCCTGGCTTTTTTTTTTTTTTTTGGAGACAGGGTCCCGCTCTGTTGCCTGGGCTGGAGTGCAGTGGTGCAGTCATGGCTCACTGCAGCCACGACCTCCTGGGCTCAAGTGATCCACCCGCCTCAGCCTCCCAAGTAGCTGGGACTACAGGTGCATGCCCCGCCTGGCTAATTAAAAAAAAAAATGGTAGAGACAGGGTTTTGACATGTTGCCCAGGCTGAGCTTGAACTCCTGTGCTCAAGTGATCCACTTGTCCCAGCCTCCCAAAGTGCTGGGATTATAGGCGCGAGCCACCGTGCCCAGCCTGGCCTGGCTTTTTTTAAGCAGGGAGGAGACATGCGTTTTTAAGAAGTGAATTCTGAAATGAAGTTAAAACAATATTCTGGAGTGGCAACGGTGAGTGGGCCAGAAACTAGCTGAATCTACAGCCAGAAGGCAAACATATCAGCTTACCTCCTCCTGAGAGGTACCAAAGACCTACAGATTTCCTGAGAAAGCAGGGTATCAGGAAGAAGAGTGGAGACAAAGGGGACAGTGGGAATGGCTTGGAAATACTAGAGATATTTTGGTGATTGAACCAAAGGAATTCCAGAGATACCAAGAGGGAAATCACCAGGAAAGGCCGTGTCGTGGAAGGGTTCAGGTCAGCAGGTAGGTGCAGGGGAGATGAGTGAACAGACGCAAGGGCAAGGGAGGCAACTGACCTGGGTGGTGATTAACAAAGGTGTCAGGAAGGCAGCAGAGGCAGCATGGTGTGGGCTTGAGGAGGGACTGGTGTACTGGAGTTTGGCTTAGATGTGTGGCTAAGAGGCTAGCAAGTTAGTACACTTCGTATGAGGGTAGTTCTATGACAAGTGACAAAAACCTACTTCAATCCAGCTTAAACAGTAACAAGGATTTATGACCTCCCCTCACTGGGCATTCCACAGGAAGGGGAGCTAGCACCTAGGGACTGTTGGGCTCCGCAGCCCAATGATGTCATCAAGGGCCCAGTTTCTTTGCGTTTCTCTGCTGTACCTTTTAGAGTGGTGGCTTCATTTTAAAACTTGCTCCACTTCATGGTCACAAGGTGGCTGCAAAAAACACAGGACAATCTGCTTCCTTTTGCATATCTAGAGAGGGAGTCCCTTTTGATAATGTCTCAGAAAGGTGACTGCCTCTTTTCCATAAGCGCAGCAAACCCCTCCTGGAGTCTCATTTGAGCAATGCCTCCAATCCTAAACCAATTCCTGTGGTGTGGAAATACCACATGCTGACTGGTGTGGGCACGAGTTACCTGAGGCAATCACTGTGGCAATAAGGAATGACCCTGACTGGTTCGGAGCATGTAAGGCCCATTCCTGTTGTTGGGGCACTGTTGGCTTCCCCTGAAGGACACCGGCTGTTGGGGAAGGAGCGTGGCCAATACAAATCTGAGTAATGTTAGGAAGTGGGAAAGTCATGCTGAATAGAGTTCTAAAATATCCACTTCACTACTTCACTGAGCTCTTGGGAAAATTAAATGAATATTTTGTGAGGATGCCTTGCTTTTTCCGTCTTTTTTTTTTTTTTTTTTTTTTTTTTTTTGAGACCGGGTCTCACTCTGTCGCCCAGCCTGGAGTGCATTGGCGCGATCTCGGCTCACTGCAACCTCCGCCTCCCAGGTTCAAGCGATTCTCCTGCCTCAGCCTCTCGAGTAGCTGGGACTACAGGTGTGTGCCACCACATCTGGCTGATTTTTTGTATTTTTAGTAGAGATGGGGTTTCACCGTGTTAGCCAGGATGGTCTCAATCTCCTGACCTCGTGATGCCCCGCCTCAGCCTCCCAAAGTGCTGGAATTACCACACCCGGCCGCTTTTTCCTTCTTAAAAGGCTTTTGGAGTTAGAGATACAGAAGAAAACTGGAGGAAAGAAAGGTAGATAGGGGAGGGAGGTGAACAGAGAGAAATTTGGGGAAGGACCCAACAACTAAATGCAAGAGAAAGCGAAGACAGATGGGGCTGGAGTTGAAAGGCAGATGTAAACAGAACACACCTGTCTCTGAATTTGCAGACATGAAGAGTAATATTCTTTTAGTACCTCACATGTTCCCCTTTCCCAAGAGCTGATGAGGGCTGGATGGGTTCATCTCTGTACCTGCCTATGCCCACAAATGTTCAATGTCTCCCCGCTGTGTACCAAGCTAGAGGTCTGGCGCACCCTGGAATTCCAGATGCTCTGGAATGGATCTAACCTCCGGTTAGCCTCGTTTCCAGTTATCTGCCTAGACATGTCTCTCTGTGCTCCAGCCAAATCGAGCTTTTGGTCTCCCCACAACGCCCACAAACCTGCTTTCCTCCTGCCTCTGTGCAGGTGTTTCCTTTGCTTTGAATGTTGCTCTTTTTTTTTTTTTTTTTTTTTTTTTTTTTGAGACGGAGTCTGGCTCTGTCTCCCAGGCTGGAGTCCAGTGGCTCGATCTCAGCTCACTGCAAGCTCCGCCTCCCGGGTTCCCGCATTCTCCTGCCTCAGCCTCCCGAGTAGCTGGGACTACAGGCACCCACCACCGCACCCAGCTATTTTTTTTTTTTTTTTTTTTGTATTTTTTAGTAGAGACGGGGTTTCACCGTGTTAGCCAGGATGGTCTCGATCTCCTGACCTCGTGATCTGCCCGCCTTGGCCTCCCAAAGTGCTGGGATTACAGGCGTGAGCCACCGCGCCTGGCTGAATGTTGCTCTCTTTCCTGGCTGAAACCGTCTCATCTTGAAAGCCAAGTTCCAATGCTTGTTCTGATGTAGCTTTTATTGGTCCTTTCGGGCTCCTGTCCCCATTCTCTCCTCTCCAGGCTGCTCCTAGGATTGGTTTTTAGTGTGCTTGTCTCAACCAATCTAGATTGTCAGACTCTTGAGGACAGTGACTGTCCTCCTTCTCTTCCTCATTGTCCATGTTCATTATTTGCACATTTTTAAAAAGCCTGTGGCCAGCCAGGTGCGGTGGCTCAGACCTGTAATCCCAGCACTTTGGGAGGCCGAAGCAGGTGGATCACTTAAGGCCAGGAGTTGGAGAAGCAGCCTGGCCAACATGGCAAAACCCCGTCTCTACTAAAAACATAAAAAATTAGCTGGGCGTGGTGGCGCACACCTGTAATTCCAGCTACTCAGGAGGCTGTAGCATGGGAATCACTTGAAACTGGGAGGCAGAGGTTGCAGTGAGCTGAGATGCTGCCATTGCACTCCAGTCTGGGCAACAAGAGTGAGACCCTGTTAAAAAAAAAAAAAGCCTGTGGCTGAGCATGGTGGCACACACCTATAGTCACAGCTACTTGGGAGGCTGAGGTGGGAGGATCACTTGAGCCCAGTGTCCAGCCTGGGCAACACAGTGAGACCCCATCTCTTTAAAAAAGAATCGTGGGTATCAACTGTGTAGAAGTCACCATGGATATAGAGGTGAATAAGAAAAGCACTCAGCAAATACTTGTTGCATTTATTGCTGTTGAAATGGGACTTGTGCTCGCTGATGGGATTCCAATAGAGGGGTTCAACTGCACTAATGAATTGATACTCTCTCTCATTATCTTCTATTCTCCATGTAACCATATTTTCCAAATCCTTTGCCTCAAGAGGCTTTAAACACATGTAAAGGCTGAGGTTCTGTTGCCGAAGTGAAGCAAATAACTGAGACAACTTAATGAGACAGTTTATAGATTGTTCAGGAAAACAAATATGCCTTTGAAATCACTAAGTCATTTCAGTTTTTATTCCAGGGTCAAAGCACTGACATCTGCATTATTTAGAAGCGGCTTTCAAAACTTTTTTTGCCATAACTCACAGTAAAAAAAAATACATTTTATATTGCAACTCAAGTCTATAAATTCTTTCATTCCTTCAACATATTGAACACCTACTATATGCCAAATATATTTTATGTGGAATACAGTAGTGAACGAAGTAAAAGAGGAAGAAAGGAAAGGAGGAAGAGAAAGAAATAAACAAAAATTCTTGCTCTCTAAGACTTTACATACTAGTGGAACAGACAATAGACAAAATAAGTAAGCCAGATGCAGTGGCTCACACCTGTAATCTCAGCACTTTAGGAGGCCAAGGTGGGAGGATCGAGAGGACTGCTTGAGGCCAAGAGTTCAAGACCAGCCTGGGCAACATAGCAAGATGCTGTCTCTACAAAAATTAAAAAAAAAAAAAAATTAGCTGGGCATGGTGGCATGTGCCTGTAGTCTCAGCTACTTGGGAGGCTAAGGGTTGAGGATTGCTTGAGCCCAGGGATTCAAGGAGTCTTGCAGTGAGCTATGATTATACCACTGCACTCCAGCCTGGATGACAGAGCAGGACTGTCTCTTAAAAAACCAACACAATACAAAGTAAAATATAGGAACACACAGAAACAGAATATTCATGAGGCAAAACCACCTATTTCTATATGCAGTACACTCAGATGTTTTTGATTTTTTCGGAAAAAATGCTGGTCAATCCTGTTAAACCATTAAGTTGGCTTCTCAACTCAGTAATGGGTTGAGGCTTTTGCACTTTGAAAAACACTAGTCTAGACAATTTCTGACATGGGCAGAGCATGTGCTTGTTCTCACCTTATGGAGGGAGGAACATACAAAGATATTAACTGAGTTCCTCAAATTCACCCATGATCTGAGGGAAGCAATGCTGACCTCCACCTGAGGGCTTCCCAGTCCACTGCTGCCCTTTCCCTCACCCTCTGCAGTGCCTGCTCTTCTCCTCTCATTCTGAAACCTTGCTCTGCACGTGGAGCAGCTCTTCCTTCCCTTGTCAGGTAAAAATCACATGAATACTTCTAAGCCTAGCCAGACCGCACTGCGTTCCAGGATGCCTCTCTCAGGCCACTACTGCATTCTGGCTCGCTTGATTGATTGATTTAGAGACAGGGTCTCACTCTGTTGCCAAGTTGTGCAATCATGGCCCACTGCAGCCTCAACCTCCCAGGCTCAAGCAATCCTCCCACCTCAGCCTCCCGAGTGGCTGGGACTCTATGCATGCACCAGCACACCTAGCCAATCTTTTTTTTTTTTTTTTAATTTTTTAGTAGAGACAGGGGTCTCACTATGTTGCCTAGGCTGTGGCTTGCTTTATAACTATTGGTGTACCAGAATAGGATCCTCTGCACGGTGACCTCCTAAAAGAGCAGGTACCAGTCACCTTTGTGTCCCCCAAAGCACAGTACTTTATCTGTAGGTATTAATAAATACATAGGAAATTGAATTGAATTTGTAACTCAAAGCAGAGGGGTGGAGAGAAGTGCTTCCTAGCCAGGAATACAGGATTTAGGCCATATCTATTTAAAAGAAGACTAACAAACAGACTAGAAACGATAACACTGGTAAAAAGATCTCTTTACCTGAGCTACAAAAGTCATACATTAGGTAGAGGCTTCAATAGTGTAGAAAATATACTAATGTGTTATCTCCTTAGAGACAGATTTAGAACCATGTCAGTTATGTTGCAGATGACAGAGAACAGAAACCTAGTGAAATCAACTCAAGACAATGAGGGCTACCATAAGGAGGCCCAAGGAGTAGTTGGATGGACCTGAGGAAGGACAGGAGCCAGAGGCCCCCTGAGGAGCTCTGCGCCGCAGAAGTAAGGCTATCCTCGCTGCAATGGTGACCATTACAATGGGGACAGTTGCCACCTCATCAAAATGAAGGAAATCAGTTCAAATTCTAAAAAAAACCTACATGGCACAGCCAATTCTAGAATTGTCCACTCTTGCTTCACTTGGTTTGAGTAGGATGGGGCTGTGTGTTTGAAAACATCTAAGGAAGAAAGGGGGGAACAAACTCTCTGAAAAGAAAGTAGAACTTTCACTAAATATTGACCCAAACTGGAATTTTCAGTTTTACGCTACCACCAGAGAGGATGGGACTCAAGGCCAAGATAAGGTCAGTTACAAAAAGTTATATAAAATACTGTATCTGTGATACAGTGTAAAATATCATTTCAATCCTATTAAAAGTTAAAAAAAATGTAGATTTTAGCTAAATGACCTCTAAGTTTCAGGGATCTACAAACCCATGCGTGTATAAATATATCACGAAAATCTGTACAAGATATTTCATAGAATTCTCTATCTCATGGTTTTCAGACTTTATTTTGAATCAGATTCTAATTCTGTAGGACTAGGGTAGGGTAGTGGGACTGCATACTTAAATAAGCACCCCAGATACTGCTAAAGATGGGTCATGTTGAGAGACTTTCTTAACCTAATCCCTTCCTACTTAATTAAAAAGGAGCTCGACTTGCATAAGTTTTCTTTTTCTTTTTTTCTTTGAGACAAAGACTCACTGTCACCCAGGCTGGAGTGCAGTGACACCGTCTCAGCTCACTGCAACCCCTGCCTCCCAGGTTCAAGCGATTCTCCTGCCTCAGCCTCCTGAGTAGCTGGGATTACAGGCGTGTGCCACCACACATGGCTAATTTTTTATACTTTTAGTAGAGACAGGGTTTCACCATGTTGGCCAGGCTGGTCTCAAACTCCTGATCTCAAGTGATCTGCCCGCCTTGGCCTCCCAAAGTGCTGGGATTACAGGCATGAGGCACCGTGCCCAGCCAAAAAGTTTTCAGTTAGAACAAAAATGGAAAACAGAACCACACAAACTCATCATTTATGTGGTAACACTAAATAAGAGGATGTACAAATTAAAAACCTACCACATTCCCTATTATTTTTAATTGCATCTAGTCACAACATTTATAAGAGCATATGTTTATAAAAGATGGTTAAGACTGGTTAGTAATTTATTCTTGAGGTTTGTTTTAAAGTGAAAAAGGGGGAAGTAGTTATAAGTCCAGAAAGAATATTTCAGGATGATACATGTTGACTATAAACGCAAAAGGTATACTGATAGCAATCCTATAAACAGCAAATATGGATGCAATTGATTTAAGCCTATTAGTTCATTTTTTAAAAGCAGCCTTGTTTCTTTAAAGTTAAGTACTATAAATGATTCTTGAAAATCTACTGTGGACATGATATATTCAGTCAAACTTGCTAGGAGTTGGGGAATGACTTCGTGACCATCCAGTTCACAGTCTGATTGAGAGTTAAACAGCATTACAAAAAAGTTACAGTCACGGTACATAATCAATTCCTTGGACGATACAGCTTCCACAGCTCTCATCATCCTGGTTATTCTTCTTTCAGCTTTCACTTACACATTCCTTTCTTTCAGACAAACAAAAAATATCAAAGTTCACCAAAATTCTTAAAGTCACAGTTCATGTAGCACTGAATGATAGTAGCTTTGGCATTTGATATTACAAAGTCACTTTTCCATCGCAAATGTTTTCTTCATTCTGGGTCAAGGCGAGGTAAAACAGGAAGAATAAGGTTCCCAAATGCAGAGTCTTGAGTGATGAAGTATCCAGATGAATGTGCATGAGCATGCTGGGAAAGATTAAAAACAAAAAGGCAATTAAGCTATTAAATAGAGTCACAATTCTTCGACCAAGGCATTAAAATTACTCTTTCTGAATGCTTGAGACCAAATTTATTTGTTTATTCATTTATTTTTCATTGTTATTGCTGAGATGGAATTTATTTTAAAATCAGTTCTTGGCTGGGCGCGGTGGCTCACACTGGTAATCCCAGCACTTTGGGAGGCTGAGGTGGGCGAATCACGAGGTCAGGAGATCGAGACCATCCTGGCTAACGTGGTGAAACCCCGTCTCTACTAAAAATACAAAAAAGTTAGCCAGGCGTGGTGGCGGGTGCCTGTAGTCCCAGCTACTCAGGAGGCTGAGGCAGGAGAATGGCATGAACCTGGGAGGTGGAGCTTGCAGTGAGCAGAGCTCGCACCACTGCACTCCAGCCTGGGCGACAGAGCGAGACTCCATCTCAAATAAATAAATAAATAAATAAATAAATAAATAAATAAATCAGTTTTTCTGCTGCTGGTTGTGTTTAAATAGACAGGAAATGGACAGTAATACAGAATCTGGGTCAACAAGTTACACCAAGTACTCATTTATCATCCTCTCTCTCTACCCTGTGATCATCCTCAGTCCATAAATGACTCAAAGACATGAACTGTTTTGTTCCTTCCAGTGAGGAAAACAAGTATCAAAGATCCCAAAGTACTCTGATCTTGGTCAACAAACCAGGAACTTGAGAAAGAAGGGTAGTAGTTGGAAGGAGAGGGGGGAAAAGGCAGTGAGATTACTGGTGATTAAAATACCAACATTTGGTAGAGAACGTTGGAATGTAAATAACAGAAAACCACCAGTAACTTCCCTCTGTCATTAAAAAAAAAAAAAAAAGACTGTTTTTAAGTCATCTAAAGTGAATGGAGGGCTGGGCAATGGTGGCTCACACCTGTAATCCCAACACTTTGGGTGACTGAGGTGGGAGGATCATTTGAGGCCAGGAGTTTGAGACCAGTCTGGGCAACACAGTGAGACCCCATCTCTACAAAAAATTAAAAAATTAGCTAGGCACAGTGGCATGTGCCTGTAGTCCCAGCAGCATGTGCCTGTAGTCCCAGCTACTTAGGAGCCTGAGGCAAGAAGATTACTTGAACCCAGGAGTTCGAGGTTACAGTAAGCTATGATGGCACCATTGCACTCCAGCCTGGGTGACAGAGCGTGAGACCTTGTCTCTAAAAAATAGATAAATAAAATAAAATAAAGTGAGATGGTCATAATGTTCCTTCCAATTCTGGGATTCTAAGGTTTAAAAATACAAGTGATTAAATTATGCCTATGGGAAAAAAATGTCCAAAGTCTCTAGAAATCTTAAATTATTCAAGATGAGACTGTAACACTAAAACTATTTATTACTCTGAAGAGTATTTTTTTTAACTGACGAAGCACCACATTTCTAGTCCTATAGTAAGAGTTAGCTATGAAATATTTCCTGCACAACAGTTGTGCTGAGCATTTAAAAAAAAAAATCCAGGCAACAATAATAAACTAATACAACTATCAAAGGATGTAATGACATGATAGATTTGAAAAAAAATGCATGTACTATTTAGCCAGTTCAATTTTTAAGATGATTCCTGTCCAGCCAAATATCCTAGACTCTTGTGCACAAGCAATCCCTTGGCATGTAGAAGCACAGAATCAATCATGACCGAGTCAACACCATAAAAGATACTTTCATTACTGCTGCACTGGTCCTTCAAATCCTCTGGGCTTGACTGAACATCAGCAAACCATTGCAATTATGTGTGGAACATTTTTATTGATATTGCTCCACTGAAATATAAAATAACTATGTGCCGGCTTCTGAGATCCAGGAAACCTCCACCGAGGCAAGAATGTCAGTTACACTGCTCACCTGCAAAGCTGCCTTCTGTTGGGCTGCAATATGCTGCTGCTCAGCGTGATCCCGGAAGTCCTTATTAAGAGAGGGTCTCGAGAGTGCAATGCTAAAATGGGAATCTTGGTTACTCAGCTGCTTAAGGCAGAAACATCCTTACTTTTTTTTGGATGGTAGTAAATTATCTTCTTTTTTTTAAATTGAGGTATCCTTGACAAAAACTGCATATACTTCCAGTGTACAATATGATGTTTTAGTATTTGTATTTGTTGTGAAATGGTTAAATCAAGCTAATTAACATATCCATCACCTCGCATACTTACCATTTTTGGTTGTGGAACATTTAAGATCTCTTAGCAATTTTCTTAGCAAAAAATTCTCTTAGCAATTTTCAAGTATGTATCATTAACTATAGTCACTATGCTATATAGTAAATCTCTTAAAGAGATGTCCTTACTTCTGAATCACAACTTTTCATTATATATTCTTTATAGGGGTAAAAAAAAACCTCCAAGAATAAGTCTTTTTTCCTTCTCTCACTATCTTCATGAATTTATATAAGAAAGTCTATGTTATTTACTGAGATTTTAAATGGTCTGGAAAATGTTATAAAATGTAGACCTTATCCTAACAGTAATAGGAGACCTCCAAAGAGTGTTAGGCAGCAGGGGAGTGACATGATCAGAAGTATAACCCTCTTGGCCAGGCGTGGTGGCTCATGCCTGTAATCCCAGGACTTTGGGAGTCCGAGGCAGGAGGATCATTTGAGCCCAGGAGTTCAAGACCAGCCTGGGCAATACAGTGAGACCCCATCTCTACAAAAACAAGATTAACCAGGTATGGTGGCATGTGCCTGCGATTCCAGCTACGTGGGAGGCTGAGATGGGAGGATCGCTTAAGCTTGGGAGGTCTGGAGAAGGTGCCACTGCACTCCAGCCTGGGTGACAGAGTGAGACCCTGTCTCAAAAAAAAGAACTATCATCCTGTAGTTCAGAAAGACCACTATTGCACTACTGTGGCAGACAGTGTTGGTCACCTCCTCAACAGTTGTTTGTCTCCTTTCCTCCTTGCTGATGGAACCCAAACTTGGTTCAATTATCAGTAGTCACATGCTTCAAGGCAGGCCAGGCTCATGCCCCAGGGGGTAGACCTTGATTGATGTAAGACAATGTCATTCCCCTAGCTGGTTTCTGGTTTAGGCAAGAGAAAGGTACATAATCTGGGCAACCAGACTTGATGGGTGTCTACAGGAAGGCTTCTGAGAGTGTTCTCCTCACTCTTACAAATGGGACACACCATAGGAACCTTTCAGGCTTTTTCCTCTACAGGTGGCTCAGTGCGGGGTGATGCCTAAGCCACTGCAGTCATATTCTGGCCTGAGGGAGCCACTGACCCATGGGGTAAAGCAGAAAGGAAAGATGAATGAAGCTGCATCACTAATGATATTGTGGCCACTGAATTAAGCTACTCTGGAACTACCTTATCTTCACACTCTTGGTTAACAGATACCCAAATGTTTATGCCAATTTTGTTATATTTCTGTTACTTCCCGATTAAAGCTTGCTAAATGACACAACTGATGAATGTATTCAAGAAGCGTAAGACCACAGGAACTCTGAAGCAGTTATAATAATTGAGGCAAGAAATGAGAGTGGCCAGGAATCAGGATAGCATCAGTAGCAATGAAGGAAATGGTCAGATGTGAGACACCTTTCAAAGTATAATCACAAGAGAATGGTGAATGCTTGGAGATGAAAGTGAAAGGAATGGTAAACAACTGAAGTTCACATTTCTGACTTTGTAACTAGTAGATGGCAGCCTGAACCATTTACTGAGACAGGATACACAAGAATATTCAGTAGCTGATTGGAGAGCGGGGAGAATGAGTTCAGGTTGGGACATACTACATTTGAAATGCCTGTGGACATCAAAGTAGAGACATCCAGGAGGCAGAGGTGGTGCTTAGAAGAAAGGACAGACTAGAGCTGCAAATGCGTAAGTGATTAGCACGTAAATAACAGCATGTGGGAAAAGATGCAACTGTCCAGTGAAAACAGGCAGGCTAGGAAGCCTGGTCTAGAACAGAATTCGAAGGGCTGTCAGCATTCAAGGGACAAATAGAGAAATGTCCACAAAAGAAATCAAGATAGTCTCCTCCTACTGTGTTTTACATTCTCCGAGTGAGCAAATGGAAGCCAAGAGAGTACTTTAAGAGAGTGGGCCGGGTGCAGCGGCTCACGCCTGTAATCCCAGCACTTTGGGAGGCCAAGGTGGGTGGATCACTTGAGGCCAGGAGTTTGAGACCAGCCTGGCCAACATGGCAAAACCCCATCTCTACTAAAATTACAAAAGTTTGCTGGGTGTGGTGGGGTACGCCTGTAATCCCAGCTACTTGGGAGGCTGAGGCACGAGAATCACTTGAACATGGGAGGCAGAGGTTGCAGTGAGCCAAGATCGTGCCACTGCATTCCAGCCTGCACAGCAGAGACCCTGTCTCAAAAAAAAAGAAAAAAGAAAAAAAAGAAAAGAAAGAAAGTGATCAGTGGTGTCAAATAACACTAAGATGTCTGATAAGAAAAGGACTCTGGTCTGCCAGATTTAACCCGGGAAGGTTACAAGAGACCTAGGCAAGAACATTTTCTTTGATGGAGGGCCTGGAAGTCAGACTGCAGCGGGTTGAGGCATCAATAAGTGAGAAAGTAAAGATGAGTACAGCCAATTGCTTTAAGAGAAAGACAGAAGAGAGTTAGGGTGGTGGTGGCTGAAGGGGATAATGGATCTTTTTTGTTTGTTTGTTTTAGACAGTCTTACTATATCATCCAGGCTGGATTGCAGTGGTGCAATCAGCTCATTGCAGCCCCAACCTCCCAGGCTCAGGTGAACCTCCCACCCAGCCTCCCAGGTAGCTGGCACTACAGGCATGCACCACCATGGCTAGCTAATTTTTTGTATTTTTTGTAGAGATGGGTCTTGCCACGTTGCCCAGGCTGCTCTCGAGCTACTGGGCTCAAGTGATCCACCCACCTTAGCCTCCCAAAATGCTGGGATTACAGGCGTGAGCCACCATGCCCGGCAATAATGGATCTGAGGGAAGATACTAAATATGGCAGAGACTGAATACCTATAATAAAGATCATCAAGCTACCTAAATTTGGCCTACTTTGCAGAATGATTAAAAAGTGGGGCACTAGCAGCAATTGCAGTAATAAAAAACCATACAAAACTCAAAAAAAAAAAAAGGCTATAAGGGCTAGGTGCAGTGGCTAACGCTTGTAATCCCAGCACTTTGGGAGGCTGAGGCAGGAGGATCACTTGAGGCCAGGAGTTTGAGACCAGCCTGGGCAACACAAGACCTCACTTGTTTCTACTAAAAAACAAAAAAATTAGCCAGGTATGGTAGGGTGCACCTGTAGTGTGAGATACTCAGGGGCGATCACCTGAGCCCAGGAGACTCAGGATGTAGTGAGTTATGATTGTGCCACTCCACTCCACTCTAGGTGACAGAGTTAGACCCTGTCTCAAAAAAAAAAAAAAAAAAGTCTGAAGGCTATGAAGTCTATAGGGAAAATTAAATATTCTAGTTAGAATGTTT
This sequence comes from Homo sapiens, assembly GCF_000001405.40. Classification (NCBI taxonomy): domain Eukaryota; kingdom Metazoa; phylum Chordata; class Mammalia; order Primates; family Hominidae; genus Homo; species Homo sapiens. The sequence goes on from NC_000009.12 coordinate 112,693,101, forward strand.
ACAATTTAATCAACTAAACAGTTTGTTAAAAGTCTGACTAGGAAATGAAGGGAACTAGAATATGTCACCTAAAATATGCTTCTTTGATATAAAAATTATTTTTGAGCTGAAAGCAATTAAGAAGCAGCTCAGTTAATAGGGTTGCTTAAAAATAAAAATAAAAGGCAGCAGCAAACTGAGGAAAAGCTCTCTCTCTCCCCTCCCCACTTTCTGCCTAAAGATAGGATAGAACTTCTCCTCTACTGGAGACAACTCTAGACTCTTAGCCTAGGGACAGCAGCAGAGGACTCTGCCAACAAGCCTTACTCCATTCGTTTTCTCCATATATTTACCTTCTCAGTTTCCCACCCCAAGAAGCCTAAAATCCCTTTTGTTTGTTCCACATTTATTGTTCTTTGTTGAAGATGCTATATAAGTAGAGTTCTAAGCCATGATTTTGAGTTATAAGGTTTCTCCCTTGTGATGTGTGCTGCATGCACTCATAAATTTGTTTTTCTCTTGTTAATCTGTCTTTTGTTACAGAGGTCCCTCCCAATAAGAACTAAGTTGGGCACAGGTAAAGTTTAGCCTCCCCTATACAAAGAAAACACAATGAATAGATTGCAGTGTTAAAGAAAAAAATCATTGCCAGCCAACTTGAATTATTTGGTCCAAGAAATTTTTATATCACTGAATATAAAAACCACATTACAGGCCAGGCACGGTGGGTCACGCCTGTAATCCCAGCACTTTGGGAGACCAAGGCGGGTGGATCACCTGAGGTCAGGAGTTCAAGACCAGCCTAACCAACATGGTGAAACCCCATCTCTACTAAAAATACAAAAATTTGCTGGGTGTCGTGGCAGGTGCCTGTAATCCCAGCTACTCGGGAGGCTGAGGCAGGAGAATCGCTAGAACCCGGGAGGCGGAGGCTGCAGTGAGCCGAGATTGCACCATTGCACTCCAGCCTGGGGGACAGGGCGAGACTCCGTCTCAAAACAAAACAAAACAAAACAAAACAAACAAAAAACCCACATTATAGTGTCAATACCTAGCTCCAGGATGATTTGTTGAAGACTGGTTCTGCATAAGTAGTTTTCTTTTCTCTTTGTCCAGTTCTGCCAAGATTGCAACTCTATTTTTGTTTTGAAAACCTAAAAAAAAGAGGGGAATAGGAGAAAAGGGAGAAAGAGAGAGTAATCAGAAACATTTTAGACCTATTTTTATAACCTAAGTCATCTAGAACCAAGAAAGCAAAACTCCTATTCTCTAACATGATAATGAATTCACCAGTAAGTACTTTCCCTAAATGGTTACTTCTTCCCTCCTACTTCCCAGTAACTTTAACAGCATAATTCATGAATACTTAAGCAGAATATAATATCAAATCATATTATATTTAAAGTGTAGCTGAGGACTTTTAAGACTTAGTTCTACAGAATTTTAATCACCAAGGTATAAGTTACAGCATTTGTTTTTTAACAAAATCTTTGAGGACCCAAATGCTGCAGGGGCCTGTGCAGTCTCTATCCTGCCGAGTCAATCTTTGGGAGGGCAGATGTTCTTAGTCTTCTATTTGAAGCCTCTTTCTGCATGCCTTTTTCATGGGGGGAAAAAGCAGTAAACATACTCAGATCAAAATATTTCTTCTTCTCAACTGCTTCCATTCAGATATGTTGGATAATTTTTCAAGGAACATGTCAAAGAATTTCAACTGACCAGAAAGCAATTCTGAGAAAGAAATGGAGCGTAACTGACAGGATACAAAGAGATATGGCCTTTGTCAAATACTTAATACTGGGCTGGATTTTCAGCTTCAAACTTACGTAAGATATAGGGTAGAGGTTGCCAAGTTATGGCCCAGTAGCAACTCCTAGCTATGTTTTAAAAATCAGAATTAAATACTAACATGTAAACATTGAGAAACTGTACACTAATTTCTCAGATTCCTAGCTTCTCTTGAAATATATCTCAAGATCTGGCAACAAGTGATCTATATGCCCCCACGGCAACAATTCACCAGAACTAAGAAATAGTTGTCCCCTTTAGCTGGGCACTCTCCAGCTCATTACAATCCTTATCACCTTGTTTACATTATCTGTAAGAATTTGAGTTTCTGATCCCTAATTTAGAAAAACAAAAAGAAAGATTAAAGGACTGGAAAACAGAACTACAGAAAAAAAAAAAAAAAAAAAGATAAGGACGATGATGGCTCAGGAGACTGGAATCATTAGGCCAGAAGAATGAATATGGGAGGAAAGCACATTTTCCAAGCAGAGCAGACCTAGGCACTCCTAAGGGTACCCACATGAAGGAGTCTAAGAATTTTATACTGATTATAAACAGGAAGAATTAGGTGGTAGGATGCAAACTTTTTCCTCTCCTTGGGAGAGGAGCAGAGACTAGCTAGGGATGGTGTAGGCTGTAGAAGGAGTATTCATACTCCTTTTGCAGTGTTTTCAGCTAAATCTGTTCTTCAATCAGGCATTAGCATACTGTCTGTGGCCAGGATTCTGGGCAAAATAAACCTCTGGCACATTCATTTCTATCATCTCCCATTTTCCCCTCTCTGCCCACCCATGCTATGTCATCAAACTCTAGTAATAGCAGACTCCCTCTATTTGGATAAGATAATTCATTAAAAAAGAAGAAGAGGAAGAAGAGGAGGAAGAGGAGGAGTAGGAGGAAGGGAGAGGAGGAGGGGGAGGGGGAGGGGGAGGAGGAGGAGGAGAAGAAGAAGGAGAAGAAGAAGGAGAAGAAGGAGAAGAAGAAGGAGAAGAAGAAGGAGAAGAAGAAGGAGAAGAAGAAGACATGCCAGAATGTATTAAGCCAGGGTATTGTTCTGTAGCCCAGACTGGAGTGCAGTGGTGTGATCATATCTCACTGCAGCCTCAAACTCCTGGGCTCGAGCGATCCTCCTGCCTCAGTCTCCCAAGTTGCTAAGACTACAGGTGTGAGCCAGCATGCCCTACTAATTTTTGTATTTTTTTTTTGTAGAGACAGGATTTCACCATGTTGCCCAGGCTGGTCTTGAACTCCTGGGCTCAAGCGATCCTCCCACCTTAGTCTCACAAAGTGCTAGGACTGCAGGTGTGAGCAACTGAGCTAAGCCCATTGTGGTCTTTCTGAAGAGAGTTTTCTAAGCCTTCCAGGGTATTGATCATTTACTCTCATCCTAACTCCAATCCCTTTTTCCTGCCTGATCTCTTAGAGCTTAATCTTCCGGTGGAAGAAGCTCTGTGGGGCCTTTCCATGCTGCACGTCATGACTGGCTCCACCCAGTCTTATGGATACGCCTGTCTCGAGAGAAGTCTTCTACTCAAGGAAAGATTTAATACAGCTTTGAGAGACAGAGGAAAAACCAAACTGTTTTTGGAAAAAACAAACTATTCTCTACTCTCATTCAACACAAAACTTCTAACACCAAGCAATTCTTCAGTGGACACCAGCTGAGTGTCCTATAATTCAATTCTGATACTATCTACCTGGAGATAGTGTGGGGCCCCACAAGCTGAGGCTCAGTTCTACAAGACTGCTCGCCACTTCAGACGCCAATGGCAAGTAGGCAGTAGGTTGTCACCTATGCCTCTGACTGACTGGCTGTAAACCGGGGGCCCCCATGACTCACTCCTTGGATTTGGTTAATTTGCTAGAGTGGCTTACAGAACTCAGGGAAATACTTTACTTACATTCACTAGTTTATTAATAAAGGGTATTACAAAGGTTAGACATGAATAGCCAGATGAAGAGATGCATCGGGCCAGGCACGTGGGAAGGGACATGGAGCTTTAACACTCTCTCCGGCACACCATCTTTCAAGCACCTTCACACATTCAGCTATCCAGAAGCTCATCTGAACCTTGTCCTTTTGGGGTTTTCTGGAGGCTCCATTACATAGGCATGATTGATTAAATCATTGGCCATTTGTGATCAGCTCCACCTCAGTCCCTCTCCTTTCCCCGGAGGTCAGTAGGTGGGACTGAAAGTTCCAACCCTCAAATTATAGGGTTGGTTTCCCTGGCAACCAGCCTCCATCCAGGGCCCATAAAGAGTCATCACATTGAACAAAAGATGCTCCCATCACCCAGGAAATCACAAAGGTCTTCAGAGCTCTGTGTTAGGAAATGGGGTTCAAGGACAAATATCAGAGCAAGGCTGGTGGCTCATACCTGTAATCCCAGCATTTTGGGAGGCCAAAGTGGGAGGACCACTTGAGGCCAGGAGTTCAAGACTAGCCTGGGCAACTTAAAACAACTACAAGATGTTAGGACATAAATACTTACTAGGTTGTTTGGACCTGACTATGTACTAAACAGAATGGTTATTCAAGACCTTATGTCTACAAAAAATTGAAATTACCCAGGCTTGGTGGCATGTGCCTGTAGGCTAGCTACTTGGGAGGCTGAGGCAGGAGGATCGCTTGAGCCCATGAAGTAGAGGCTGCCGTGAGCCATGATCGTGCCTTTAACACTCCAGCCTGGTCAACAGAGCAAGACCCTGTCACTTAAAACAAAACAAAACCAAATATCAGAACAAAACATTCTCCTAGTACCCCTACTGCTCAGGAAATTATAAGAGTTTTAGGAGCTCTATGTTAGGAACCATGGTCAATGACCAAATATGTTTCTTATTATATCATGGTATCACAACAACCAAATTCCAAGAATGTATTACTTACACAATTGGTTATTTCTGAAAGGAAAGTAAGAAGGTATTCTTCTATCTCAATTTAGGATTCAGTAAGAAGAAATGAGGCAGAACAGAAGTAGGAAATACTAAAGTTTGAATCAATGAAAAATACCTCCCAGTCTCATATCAGAGTTATGAAAACATCATTACCTATGGAAATCCTTCCATAAACAGTTGTTATTTGCTTAGGGCAGTTTGCTTAAAGTATCCCAAAACAGGCAAATTAATTCATGTTAAATGAAATGATTAAAGTAGGCTGGGCGCGGTGGCTCACGCCTGTAATCCCAGCACTTTGGGAGGCTGAGGTGGGTGGCTCATGAGGTCAGGAGATTGAGGCCACCCTGGCCAACACAGTGAAACCCCATCTCTACTAAAAACACAAAAAATTAGCTGGGCGTGGTGGCGCGTGCCTGTAGTCCCAGCTAGTCGGGAGACTGAGGCAGGAGAATTGCTTGAACCTTGGAGGCGGAGGTTGCAGTGAGCCAAGATTATGCCACTGCACTTCAGCCTGGGTGACAGAGCGAGACTCTGTCTCAAAAAAAAAAAAAAAAAAAAAAAAAGAAATGATTAAAGTAGTCCTGACTGAAAGGCTCTTTCCAGCTCCAACACATGAAGGTTCCATAATTTTCCCCAAATGTCTGCCGCTCTGAAAACTTCAACTATCTTAATATTTGTGACATTTATGCCTGTGTATGGCAATCTGATGGTAAAAGGAGCCATATGTAAATAATAACTGAAACTTTGTCAAAATAATGTTAAGGAAACATAATTAGCAAAGCAATATATAATTACAAGTCCACTGATTTAGAGAATCAGAAGTAACAATTAGAATCAGAAATAACAACTATCTGGCAGGGATGGAAAAATGAGAGCAGATATAAAAGTGTACCCCAACCCTGACCCCACTGCCATTTGGTGTGCAACTATGTATTTCAATATTAATATCTTTCTTCAAACCAAAATGGAGTTAAGAGATCCTTAGATTCCCAGTTTTAACAAAGCTGGTCAGATAACTATCTTAAGGAGCAGAAAAATGGTCTGTCTCTTTCTCATATTTTAGAACACCACAGTGACTCTCATATAATAGCCTTCTTTCCCTCCAGATACAGACGTAGAGAAGGGAATTGTTCTTCAGACTTCAATAATGTTTGAATTCCAGGCTACAGAATTATTTTCATTGATTTTCTGAATTTCTAGGTGTCTTAATACCTGAGACATCTTTTAGGAAATTATTTCTTATTTGCATTATTATTTTTATTTAAAAACGGGCCAGGTTCAGTGGTTCACACCTGTAATCTCAGCACTTTGGGAGGTCGAGGCAGGAGGATCACTTGAGGACAGGAGTTTGAGATCAGCCTGGGCAACATAGCAAGACCCTATCTCTTAAAAAAAAAATTTTTTTTTTCCAGTTAGGTGTGGTGCTACATGCCTGTAGTCCCAGTGACTCAGGAGGCTGAGGCAGGAGGATCACTTGGGCTCAGTGGAATGAGCTATGATGGGCCACTGCACTCTGGCCTGTGCGGCAGAGCAAGACCCTGTCTCTAAAAAAAAAAATAACAAAATTTTAAAAAAGATTCTTTCTCTTTAGTAGTAATCAGAATTTAAAACGTATAGTAGTCACCCCATATTCGCGGTTTCAGCTACCTGTGGTCAACCACAGTACAAAAATAGGCCAAGGTAGTACAATAAGATATTCAGAGAGAGAGAGAGACCACATTCACACAACTTTCATTGCAGTATATTGTTATAATTGTTAATTGTATTATTATTGTTGTTAATCTCTTACTGTGTCTAATTTATAAATTAAACTTTATCGTAGGTATGTATGTATAGGAAAAAATAGAGTATATAAAGAATTCAGTACCATCTGTGATTTCAGGCATCTACTGGGGTTTTTGGAACATATTCCTCCTGGGTAAGGGAGGATTACTGTACAGATGTTTGTCACATAATATTAAACAAGCAGAATGGGGTGGCAACTCTAAAAACGCTATCCATGAGAAATTTCAGTTGAATGTACCTTTCCACTTGGTATCAATGACTTGGTCAGCTATGTGAATTCTGATGGGGTAGTCTAATTACTTTAAGCCAGAGGTTCTCATAATTTCTTGGTTCACAGTGTGCCCTTAGTATCTCAGCAATGTTTGCATGACACCCCAGGCCAACAAATACATAACCATTCTGTTTAGTAAGTAGTCAGGTCCAAACAACCTAGTAAGTATTTGTGTCCTTACATCTTGTAGTTGTTTTAAAAAATAATACACATAACATGAAATAAAAAATATTTAATTTCATTTTTAAATAACCACAATTAATTACTTACTAATGGATGTGTGCCTGGGCTATGTATCACTTTTCAAACCTTGGAATCAGTTCAGACACCACCAATCCTCATTCCCTGTTCCACACTGATTTTCACACAGTAGTTGTTGGTTATCAAAGCAATTGCTAAAAACCTAACTTTGCAAAGATATGATGTCATTGAAAGGAATGGAGTGCACTGTTGAAACTGTGAACTATCTCAAACTACTTCATGTGGTGTCCAACTAGTATAGGTAGTTCTGTGTTTGCTTTCAAAACAATTTTCCATGAGGCCCCTGGGATTTTTCCATGGGGTGCTAGGATGCCATGGTGTATAGTTCACAAACCACAGCTTTAGATCTTTTCTTCAACCACTACCCAAGCAACTGAATGACAATTTCTCTCCCATTTTATCAGGGCCATCTCCAAAAAGACTTATAAATTAGGTATATATAATATATATATATATTATATATACCTAATTATATTATATAATATATAATATAAAGAATATTATATAAACATAACTACTACAATTTTTAGGCATTAAGTTAAAACTGCCTATATTTGACGATTTTCTACCTACAAAAACAATTTTATAAGATTCATCAACTTTTTAAAAAATTACATACTTGTATGTCTTGATTGGCTTGGTCAAGAAGGAAGAGCCTCACTTTCAAAAACTTCATGCATGTTTGACAATCAGAGCATAGGTAGGTATAGTAACCTCCCTGTTTCCATGGAAATCAAAGGTGGAAATCTGTAACTATAGGCTCCAAACTAACATTAATATAGTTCCTGGCCAAGAGTGGTGAGCTATGCAGTGAGCTATTTTTGCACCACTGCATTCCAACCTGCGCAAAAGAGAGAGACCCTGTCTCAAAAAGAAAAAACAGAAAACAGATATATATATATAAAATTTCCTTTGACTGTTAGTCAACTATATATTAATATGGTTATAAAAGCAGCCCACTGGCCAGGAACGGTGGCTCATGCCTGTAATCCTAGCACTTTGGGAGGCTGAGATGGGCAGTTCGAGACCAGCCTGGGCAACATGATGAAACCCCGTCTCTACTAAAACACAAAAAATCAGTCAGGTGTGGTGGCAGGCACCTGTAATTCCAGGTACTCAGGAGGCTGAGGCATAAGAATTGCTTGAACTGGGAGGTGGAGGTTGCAGTGAAGCCAAGATCGTGCCACTGCACTCCAGCCTGGGCAACAAGGCAAAACTCTGTCTCAAAAAACAAAAATAAAAGCAGTCCACTAAGGAGAGTTATGTTGTTCTCATATATTGCTCTATTTACTACTTCACAGTGAGCCTGTTACCCAAATAAGCAAACAAATCATGCTCTTACAATGAATCAGATGGAAAGGTGTAAATACAGGTATTATTGATTTTATACAACAGACGTTTCCCTAAAAGTTACATAATACGAATTAAGGTAAGATAATTATGGGAAGACGTGTTTAAGTATACTGGAATGTCTCATTTAGAGGAATCCAAAGGTGAGTTCTTTGTAAAGTGAAGAATGTTTTCCAAGGGAAATTGGCACTCTCCCATTTGTATATATACAAATTGCACATGCTTATTGTCAACTAAAGGACAAGACTTGTTTTTCTCAGTGGAGGCTACTACATTTTTAGAAGATAATTATGTGGTTCCATCTTTTTAGCGATTAAGAGATACTATAAATATAAAATAGGGCCAGGTGGCTCACATTTGTAATCCTAGTGCTTTGGGAAGTTGAGGCAGGAGGATCACCTGAGGCCAGGAGTTCAAGATCAGCCTGGGCAACACAGCGAGACCTTGTCTGTACAAAAAAAAAAAAAATTTTTTTAATTTAGCAGGGCATGATGGTGTGTGCCTACAGTCCCAACTACTTGGGAGGATGAGGCAGGAGGATTGCTTGAATCTAGGAGTTCAAGGTGCAGTTAGCCATGACTGGACTGTGCCACTGCACTACAGCCTGGGCAACAGAGTGAAACTGTCTCAAAAATATATATATACACATACACACACACACACACATAATTCTTGAAAAGCAAATTTTAAACTCTGATAATGTCTAAATTTTGTCATGAGCAAAGTAAATGGCCACATTGGAAAATCCTGATCTGTTGTTTGCAGCAGTATCAATTTCCCTCAAGATTAACTTGTTCACACAAAAATATTTTGGGGTCACTGTCAGTAATTATACATATATAAAAATTATATGAAGTACAGCCAACAATGGAAAAAGCATTAAAAAGCCTATAAAGATAATCTGATCAATAATGTTCATATGACTAGGAGCACAACTGAGTTTTTCAATGCCCTTCAACATACATAAACTTCTATAAATTATTTTTTAAAGTGTACAGTCTGATTAGTAATATTGAAAATTACAATCGCACAAGAATATTTTTGTTTTCAAAGTACATGAGAGTGAGGGTGGCATGGGAAAGAGAAAAGTTGTGCAAAACGCTCATGTTCCAAGTAATGTAAGAATTTTTTTATTATTTATTTATTTTTTTTAGACGGAGTCTCGCTCTGTCGCCAGGCTGGAGTGCAGTGGCACGATCTCAGCTCATTGCAACCTCTGCCTCCCAGGTTCAAGCGATTCTCCTGCCTCAGCCTCCCAAGTAGCTGGGACTACAGGCACGTGCCACCACACCTGGCTAATTTTTGTATTTTTAATAGAAACGGAGTTTCAACATGTTGGCCAGGATGGTCTTGATCTCTTGACCTTGTGATCTGCCCACCTCAGCCTCCCAAAGTGCTGGGATTACAGGCATGAGACACTGTCCCCGGATGAAAAATTTATAAATGCTAAGAGTATGATGTAAATATAATTTGACAAATGATTTTCAAATATAACACCAAGCTGACAGGATAGCTTGATTCAATATTGTTTGTATGAATTTTTTTTTTTAGTGGAAGAAAATGAATTCAACAAAAATACTGCAAGATATCAGAAGAATATTCAATTGCTCTGGTTTTGTTTAACATTTCTGAACTAGGTTGAGCTTTAAATGAAATTCATTCTACCCCCTCCTCCTCTCATTTTACTTGGCCAAGAACTTTGCCAACTAGTGAAAAGGGGTGAGAGGAAGCATTCCATGGCAGAGGGATCTTCATACAGAAAGTTATATGCCAATATGATAGTGTTCATGGTCAATGCAACCTTATAATAAAGAAAAATGGTGAGATAGAAAAAGATTTAGTAATGTTAAACTGGACTGACATTATTAACATATGCTCTAAGAGAAACATGGTCTCCTGCTCTGTCACTACAGTGGCCAGCAAAAATGCCTCCCTCCTTATCCTCAACTCCATGTTGAACAGATTTTGGTCTCTAATACTATTCTCCATTAAGAAGGAACCAGAGGCCAGACATGGTGGCTCACATGTGTAATACCAGCACTTTCGGAGGCTGAAGTGGGAGGATCATTTGAGGCCAGGAATTTGAGACCAGCCTGGGCAACACAGTGAGACCCTGTCTCTTTAAAAACAAAACAAAACAACAACAACAAGGGAGAGTACTAGTTCCATGTCTTAGGGCAGGAAAAAAATATCAAAATCGATTGGACTATCTTGCTTCTGACAAGATCCTGAACTCCTGGTCTCAAGTAATCCTTCCACCTCAGCCTCCCAAATGCTGGGATTACAGGCGTGAGCCACTGTGCCCAGCCGAGAAGAATTTTTAAAAAACGTCCAAGGGTAAGTGCTAAAAGGACAAAGAAGCCAGTTTGAGGTTAGCCAGGCTGTCACAATTTGAACATTAGAAAGAGAATAATAATTACAGCTAAGTGGAATAAATTAAGTCTGTGATAAGCCATGAATTCATAATGAGATGCAAAAGGGAAAGCTAAGATACATAAAAAGATAGTTGTAAAAAAGGGTGAAAATAATAGGGTATCCAATGTCTTATTATATTAATAACTAGGTTGGTGTTAATACTTAGGTGTTTTGTTTCTCCTGTTAAGTATATGTCTATTTATGAAGTATAGCCGTATACTTTTTTGTTTCAGTACAAGGAGGGTAGGGTAGTTACAAAGAATTGTGTGCGACTAAGCCAAACAGTTCCAAAAAAAGTAGGTCACATACCAAAAACAAGAAATTCAGATCAGCACAGGCCCTAACACATACAGCAATATGTATTTTTAAAGAAGACGCAGTGGCTGATGAGTTTGATCACACACAATGACCGAGTAGACATTGTGAGTTCTAAAACGGTGAATTAGTCCAATATCCTAGAGAGCTCACAGTACAGACCGGAACCCTGATTGCTCAGGAAAGGAAACATCTATAATTCCTAGCACCACTGCTACCAGAAAAGGGCAAGTTATAATGACAACAGAGCACTGAGCTATGAAACACTGATCACACAAAAAATAAAGAATATTTCAATTAATGGAATAACTCTAGGCTGCAAGAAACTAACAGTCTATGAGAAAGGCATGAACTTAAAAAAAAATCCTCCTGAGCAGGTAACATTCAATTATAGAGGGGAACTAATGCACACCAACACTTTAGGTTGCCCATCAACACAGTTTGGGTAAGCTTTAGGCATAACCAAACCTTGTGTTTTAATTAAGAATCAAATCCATCAACAACTCTGAACTCTCAGTAATTTGAAATTTTGCTTTGTTTTGGTAGTGGTAAGATTACTGTAACCTACAAAGGTATAGAAAAATTACTATAATTCTGGAAAGTATAGAAATAGAAATCTGGAAGAGTATTATAACTCTAGGGAAATATAAAAATGCAAATATATCAGCTGAATGCAGTGGTTCATGCCTATAATCCCAGCACCTTGGGAGGCCAAGGCAGGAGGTTCACTTGAGCCCAGGAATTCAAGACCAGCCTGGGCAACATAGTGAGACCTCGTTTCTACTAAAAATAAGAAAAATTAGCTGGATGTGGTGGTGCACACTTGTGGTCCCAGTTACTCAGGAGGCTTAGGCAGGAGGATGGCTTGAACCTGGGAGGTCAAAGCTGCAGTGAGCCATGACTGTGCCATTGCATTCCACCCTGGGTAACAGAGTGAGACCCTGTCTCAAAAAAAAAAAAAAAAAAAAAAAAGTATAGAATGAATAAATTAAACCAACAGGTTAATATTTTAAAATACATTTAAGTAAATTTTTGACCACTATATAAAGTGAAGTTTAACAGACAGTATAATTAATTATAATTGTAACTTAAACTGGTATTAAACATAATTTAACTAAATAAGCTTATAAACAATGTCTAAATGTTTTTAAAAAAATTTTTTTTGAGACAAGGTCTCGCTCTGTTGCCCAGGCTGGAGTGCAGGTGGCATAATCAAGGCTCACTGTAGCCTTGACATCCCCGGCTCAAGGCATCCTCCTGCTTCAGCCTCCCAAGTAGCTGGGACCACAGGCATGTGCCACCATACCTGACTAATTTTTAAAAGTTTTTATACAAATGGGGTCCCCTTGTGTTGCCCATGCTGGTCTCAAACTCCTGGGCTCAAGTGATTCTCCCACTTTGGCCTCCCAAAGTGCTGGAATTACACGCATAAGCCACCACACCCAGCCTAAATGTTTAAAAAAATTTTATTTTAGAACTTTAGTGTATTAGATAAGTAGGTTTACTAAACTGAGTATTAAATTATGAGCAGTGATGAGTATTTTTCTCCATGCCCCAAATATCTTCAGACATTAAAGAATGAAATGGAACAGAATGCTTGGGAATTGGCAAATAAATACAAGTGACTCTAGCCCAAATTATGTGTGGAAAAAGCAGTGAAAGAAGCAGCTGGGAAGGTTAAGAAGGAGCCATATATTTAGGGACCTTGTATTACATGTAGATTCTTAGTTTGATCAAATAGGCAATGGGGAGCTACTCAGAGTATTTAGAAAAGGACGAGGCAGAGATCAGTCTTGGCACGGTTACGAACACCCTCTGGTGGTAAGAGAGAATAGATTACAGGGTAGAAGAGACCTGCCGCAGGGAAAAGTTAATCCAGGATCGGAGACAGGCAGTGAGATAGAGACTTGTTCAAGAAATAATGCAATATGAAAAAGGTGCTCAATGCCATTGATCATTAGAGAAATGCAAATCAAAACTACAGTGAGATATCATCTCACCTCAGTCAAAATGGCTTTTATCCAAATGTCAGGCAATAACAAACATTGGCAAGGATGTGGAGAAAAGGGAACCCTTGCACACTGTTAGTGGGAATGTAAATTAATACAACCACAATGGAGAACAGTTTGGAGGTTCCTCAAAAAACTAAAAATAGAGCTCACTGAAGCCTCAAATCCCTGGGCTCAAGCGATCCTCCTGCCTCAGCCTCCAAAGCAGCTAAGACTATAGGTGTGCACTAGCACACCTGGCTAATTTTTTTTTTCAATTTTGTGTAGAGACAGGGCCTCACTATGTTGCCCAGGCTCATCTTAAACTCCTGGCTTCAAGCAATCCTCCTGCCTCAGACTCCCAAAGTAGTGGGATTACAGGCATGAGCCACCACACCCAGCCCATAATTTTCTATGGTAAGATTCTCTTAATTTCAGGGTTCAAACTTACTCTAACTAGGGCATCAATATATAACTTTTAACAATGTTATACTCACTACATGAGGGTTTCTTTTTAACCCATATAGTCTCCTGATATAATTCAATGCATCTCTTTTTAGTCTCAGAAGCACAAAGATGTTTAATATATTATCTCATGTACGGTAAGAACTATTACTTTAATTTTTAAAAATAGTATAGAAACAGGGTTCTTGCTGTGTTGCCCAGGCTGGTCTTGATGGCCTCAAGTGATCCTTCCACCTCAGCCTCCCAAAGTACCAGGATTACAAGTGTGAACCACCAAACCTGGCAGAAACTATTTATTTATTTATTTATTTTTGAGATGGAGTTTCACTCATGTCGCCCAGGCTGGAGTGCAATGGCGTGATCTCGGCTCACCACAACCTCCACCTCCCAGGTTCAAGCGATTCTCCTGCCTCAGCCTCCCGAGTAGCTGGGATTGCAAGCATGCGTAATCATGCCAGCATAATTACGCATTAGCCACCATGCCTGGCTAATTTTGTATTTTTAGTAGAGATGGGGTTTCTCCATGTTGGTCAGGCCGGTCTCGAACTCCCGACCTCAGGTGATCCGCCCACTTTGGCCTCCCAAAGTGCTGGGATTACAGGCATGAGCCACTGTGCCCGGCCTCTTTTTTTTTTTTTTTTTTTAAACCAAGCCATGTTTAATATCCCTTTATAACTAACCTTTTTAAAAAACAAATAAAAAATCTGTTTCAAACTTTTTTTTTTTTTAAGAGACAGGATCTTGTTCTGTTGCCTGGTTTTTGTTTGAAAAAACATTTCCACTTTTGGAACTATAACACTATCTCCATTCATAATCACGTATGTTCTCATTTTCTCATTCATTCATAGAAACATTTTGACTCCCACACGTTTCTTTTTTTTCCTCCCGCACATTTCTTTTTTTTCCTCCCGCACATTTCTTTGTCACTAAAAACATTCTCAAGTAACTAGCATTACATCAGATTGCATTTAAAATCTAAGAGCTGATACTCATTTTCCTTTAACAGCTCTATCACACTTAAAGACTAACTGAAATTCTTCTTATTGTAAAAAAAATCTAAAGCTAAAAGTGAAAATTATTTTGATTATGCAGTTATGGACAATCTACTACACTTTCATAACAATAATTTTTAAAAGATTACTTAAATCCTGTCAAGTGGTTATCCTACAAGCTATATACTCTTCACAACTATATAGTACATTAAAGTACCATAGTTGAGACACCTATGTTTAGTACTAGAGCAACGTCACTGTGGCACTATTAACATGTTTAACATGTTTTCAGTTATTTATTGATTCAACAAATATTTATTGTGTTGGGGACTAAGCCCTCTTTCAGATCTAGCAGTCTTTCATGCTATCACATACAGGCACAAAGTTAGGTTCTAAGGATGCAATGATAAGGCAAAACTTGACATGATTCTAGCTTTCATGGTTTTCAAACTGTCCAGTGAAAATAGAGATCAATCAAATAATCACATGAATGAATGTGTAATTAAAATCTAACATGAGTAGTCTGAAATAAAGAAACCATTTGATGAGCATTTATAACAATCATTATTGTAGGAATGAATGCTAAATAAACTTGACCTAGCGTGAAAGCGGGGGGAGCAGTGTCAGAGAAGGCTTTCAAAGGAAGTGATGCTTGAACTGAAATCTAAGGCATAAAAGTAGGGGTGAGGAACAAAATAAACTTTCCCCCTTTAAAAAGATCACTCTAACTGCAATGTTGAGAATAGACAAGAGAAAATAGTCAGGAAACTATCACAGTAGAAAGAGCTAGAGATAATAAAAGTTTTTAGTGGATGGAAATGCAGAGATACAAACGGATCCAATAGCTATTTAGGAAGTTAAATCAGGAGGAGAGTGATGGATTCAATATGAAGGAATGAGGAAGAAGGTGTCATGGAGGGTTCCTAGATTTTTTTGGTTCTTGCAGTTAAATATGCATTAGTTTTCTATGGCTGCTGTAACAAATTACCCAAAATTCGTGGCTTAAAACGTCACAAATCTATTTTCTTATGGATCTATAGGTCAGAGGTCTCACTGGGCTAAAATCAAGATGTTGACAGGGCTGCATTCATTTTCTTTATTTTTTTTGAGACAGGGTCTCACTCTGTTGTGCAGGCTAGAGTGCGGTGGTATGATCAGGGCTCACAGCAGCCTCAACCTCCCATACTCAAGCGATCCTCCCACCTCAGCCCCATGCCCAGCTAATTTTTTTTATTAACTTTTTTTTTTTTTCAAAGACAGGGTCTCTAAATGGATTCTAGGAAAGAATCCATTTTCTTGCTCTGTCCTAAATCTAGTTAATGACGAATGTTTCCTATATCTTGCAAGATTAAAAAATTACTCAATCATTAGCCACCTTTCAGAGTTTACCAAAAATACGTAACAAAGAAAAGGAATCAAGCCCTAATGTCTGCTCAGGTGATCTGTGTTCACATTCTCTTTCACCTAGACCTAAGGACTTACTTCTTTAAAACTACTGCCACTTTTTCTACCCATTGAGGTTTGTAAGATGATGATGTATCTTCTGCTTGAATCAACCTTTCTTCCCCACTTATTTTTCTTTTCTTCTCACATATAAACTCACAGGCCCTTTTCATTTAAAGCATTTTCTGCTTAATAACCAATGTAGACGATTAGATTAATCCCAATAAAGATCAAGAAGAGGTCTTTTGCCCCTTGTCTCAAGCGCCCAGTGGTTTCCTATCAGATCTATCATCAGAATGTTGTAATTCCCCCTACTGAAGGGCGGTATGGGAAAACAGAATGAATAAGGAACGTGGGACATGGAATCAACGTGGGTTCTCACCTCAGCACTACCACTTACTACTGAATATTAGGAAAACTACCTCACCATGCCTCAGGACCAAAGGGGATAACAGTAACACTTCAAAGGGTGGTTACAGGAAATACAGAAAAATATAAGTAAAAGACCTAGAACACTGCCTGCCACATGGTAGTTGCTTAATAAATACACACTATTATTGTTATTATTATCTAGCATTCTTTCTCCCTAGTCATCAGGTTAACATCACTAGATTCCTGTCATCCCACATTGACAATTCTCTGTCAGTGAAGTTTTTCATTAGATAGGCCACAACTAATTGGCATGCAGCTTTCTAATTACATTCACATTTCAGAACTCCCAGGCCAGTCTGAGTGCATGTGTGGATCCTATACTCTCTCCTAACTACACAAACAGTCTCAGATTACTTTACATAATATTCTTCCCAGTTACAATTTCAATCTGGAGCCTACAGGTCAAGCCTAGCATCAGAAATCTAATTCATTCTCTTTGCCATAGCAATTAAAATGCAACAAAAAGAGATTTAGCCTTCAGAAACCTACTCCAAATTGTGTCTTTGCATACAAACTCTCATCTTTAAAAAGGTACAAATAGAAGAATTTTCAGATGCTATTTATGCATCACTGCACTGGGACAAACTCTTAATTGAGAGGTGGCATACTTTAGTATAAACGTGAAGAATAAACTTGCTTTCCTTCTGGACCATATATGGTTTAGGTGAAGACTTGTACTTGGGTCTGAGGTCAAACAAGACACTTCCCAGGAGCCTTGCCATTCTACTCCTATGCAGCATGCTGAAATCACAGCTGAGAGCACCTGGACTGGCCCAAAATCAATAGTTCCTACTACCTGATCTGCAGATCTTATAGTTACTACTATAAGCATTTTCAGATATCTGTAAAATTGAAAAAAATAAAAGAATTCATGTTCCTTACTCAGTATTTCACCAGGTCTCTCTAAAATCAGGCTGAACCAATCCAATGCCATCACATCATCATAGGACCTTGATATTTACCAATAATGAAAGACTCTGTGCTGCTTTTGGTACCTTGTCCAAACCCCAGGTTGACAATCTGCCTCTGCATACTAAAATTCTCATGATTGAAAGCCTACCAAATGTTCTACACTACATTGGACAGTATGAAGAACATGGGACTGCAGTGACTGTCAAGGGCGTATGAAATTTAGCAGTCCTGATTACTATGACGGCATGAAAGACTGCTAGATCTGAAAGAGGGCTTAGTCCCCAACACAACGGAATTGTTCTCTACACCAGACATAATAAGTAAAATCTATTTATTTACATTAATAAATTACAACACATAAAGATTTTTTTTAAATCATGGTTCTTTCAGTTATCATTTTAAGATAATTAAGGCCCTTGGTATTAATCTCCATATTAAGTAATTCTTATACATACAAACAGTACAGAAATGATTTACTACAGAAAGTAAAATACAGCCGGGCATGGTGGCTCACACTTGTAATTCCAATGCTTTGGGAAGCCAAGGTGAGAGAACTGCTTGAGAACAGGAGTTCAGGAGTTCAAGACCAGCCTGGGCAACAAAGCGAGACCCTGTTTCTACAGGAAAAAAAAAAAGAAAAAAAATTAGCCAGGCGTGGTAGCATGTGCCTATAGTCTCAGCTACTTGGGATGCTGAGCTCAGGAGTTGGAGGCTGCACGGAGCTACAATCACAACACTGCTCTCCAGCCTGGGCAACAGAGCGAGACCCTGCCTCTTAAAAAAAAATTAAATTAAAGAGAGAGAGAAAAATACAATAGATCTGAATAAATAAGAATTTTAAAATTTCACTGGAGTCCGGGAGTCTCTAGAACATGATGTGGACTCCCTCTGCTGGTTCCTAGTAGCAGCAGTTCCATGACATCAACAAAAATCCCTGACAAAGGAGCAACGGAAGCCAAAGGGCTAATCTAAATTCATTTCTATTTAGATTAGGGGATGTTTCATAGTGGATCTGACTATGGGTCAGTCAAAGGCAATACTAAAAATGATTGCGTTTTTACTACAACTACGAAAAAAGTAACCAGCATATTGTAAATCTCTGTGCGAATAGTGGGATAATTTAAAATTTATTTTCATTTGCAGTGCATTGTGTGGTTTTTAGCAGCATGTTATCTTTCCAAAATAGTCTTCTCTTAGTTTTCATCTGAGCTCAAATTAAGTTATTTTTAATATGGGCCCTTATAATTTAATGGAAAAATAAAGAGGTCAACAACCACAAGGGAATGTGGACCTATGATTAGTCCACAGAGCACACAAATCGCACATGGCTATGTGAGAGGAGAACAGAATGGTATTAGCTGGTTACTGCTGGGAAAGCTGTCACCACAACTTGCTTTTTACAATACTATAATTCTACGAAACTCATGTAACCTTTAGTTTGTCCTAAATATAACTAATAAACTAAAACAGAATCAGCAAGCTTTCAATTTCCAGTACTGGCAGAGTAGTCTGGTTGGTCTAATCCTGCCACAAATATAATACTAAAATATTAAAAATTCACTACTTAAAGGCACTGGAGTCTGACCAGTATCAGGCAGAAACTGCAACTGGTGAGATTTGGGAACTTGTGGCCTTTTGCCTGAAGCATTCCCCAATCCACTAACAGCTTGGTTAGCCTCACCTTACTAGCTTGAGGTGTCAGAGGAGAACTCAAGTTTAGGGCTGACAGAGTAGCAAAAAAATTAGGGGCAAGGCTTGAGGGAGAGGCAGAAGGAATAAAGCCCAATTCATGCATATAAAATCCACTCAAAGTTTCACTCACTGCTGAACTACACATATCCAGGGGAGATCCCAGGCAGCCCATCAATAAAGCAGCAGGTGGAAGCTGAAAAACACTGCAAGATTTCTGCCCAACACAGGAGAGACAAGAGTTTGGAGTTGAGTATGAGTTGAGTCAAGCTGTCTGCTAGAACAAAAATCACAATTTCAGAAGAATATAACAGAATCCAGAGTTTCCACAATGTCCAGTACCCAATAACAAATCACAACTTATAAGAAGAAAAAGGAAAACGTGATGCATATGCACCAAAATGCTGTCAACAAAAACCAACTCCAAGATAACCCCAATGATATAATTAGCAGTCAAGGATTTAAAATCAGCCATTATAAATATGTTCAAAGACTTAAGGGAAAAAGACATAATAAATAAAAGGGGTATTTTAGCAAAGAAGTATAACTATGGAAAAGGACCAAGTGGAAATTCTAGAGCTAAAAAGTAAATTGAAACAAAATGTTCACTGGATTGAATGAACAGCAGATTGGAGATGGCAGAAGTTATTAAAGTTAGAGCATTAGAAATTATCCAATCAGAAAAACACAGAAAAAAATATTGAGGAAAAATAAGCAGAGCCTTGGAGTATTTGAATAATGGATGGAAACATCCCAAATTTAGTGAAAGACATCAACCTACAGATCCAAAAAGCTCAACAAACCCCAAACAAGAAAACCACCTCTAGGCATACCATAGTCAGACCACTGAAATACAAAGAGATAATCCTAAAAGCAGCCAGAGAAAAATAACACATTACATACAGGATAAGAACACCACCATTAAGAACACGAAAAGGCAAGCGAGACTGGGAGGAAATACGTGCAAAACATATCTGACAAAGGACTTGTATCCAGACCGAAGAATGAAAACAAAACAACTTGCTAATAAAAGAAATAACCCAATTTTTAAAAAATGAGTAAAAGATTTGAACAAATACTTCATAAAGGAAGATTTACAATGGCCAATAAGTACAACGAAAGTGCTCAGCATTTGTCATCAAGGAAATGCATTTTAATACTACAATGAGATACTACTTCATACATTCTAGAATGGCTAAAATTAACGACTGACAACACTAAATGTGAATCAACCAGAATATTCACATATTGCTGGAGAGAATATAAAACAGTACAAAGAGAGCTCTCTTCAGAAGCGCATATACTAAAATAATAAAATGGTACAAGTGGCCCAGCATGGTGGCTCATGCCTGTAATCCCAACATTTTGGGAGGCCGAGGTGGGAGGATTTCTTGAGGCCAGGAGTTCAAGACCAGCCCAGCCAACAAAGCAAGACCCTCTCTCTACAAAAAATAAAAACATTAGCCAGGCATGGTGATGCATGCATGCAGTCCCACCACTTTGGAAGGTAGAGGTGGGAGGATCACTTGAGCCCAGGAGTTTGAGGCTGCAGTGAGCTTCATCCACCTCAGAGCCCAGCCTGAGCAACAGAACAAGACCCTGTCTCTTAAAAAAAAGGTATCTGAGGCCGGGCACAGTGGCTCATGCCTGTAATTCCAGCACTTTGGGAGGCCGAGGCAGGCGGATCACCTGAGGTCAGGAGTTCGAGACCAGACTGGCTAACATGGTGAAACCCCGTTTCTACAAAAAAATTAGCCAGGCGCAGTGGCACGCGCCTGTAATCCCAGCTACTCAGGAGGCTGAGGCAGGAGAATCGCTTGAACCCAGGAGGTGGAGGTTGCAGTGAGCTGAGATCACGCTATTGCACTCCAGCTTGGGCAACAAGAGCAAAACTCCATCTCAAAAAAAAAAAAAAAAGTACCTGCAAAAGAGACTTATAAATGCTCATAGCAGCTTTATTCACAACAGCCAAAACTGAGACAACCCCAAAGTTTACAAACAGAAGAATGAATAAACAAAATGTGATAAAGTCATACCATGGAATACTACCCCACAATAACAAGGAATGAACTACTGATCCATGCACAATATGGATGAATCTCACAGACAGTATGGTCAATGAAAGAAGCTGGACCAAATGAGTATACACTTTAAGAGTCCATAAGTTTAAGACAAAACCAAGATTAAAAAAATCAGAACAGAGATGAGTAATTTAAAAATATGAAGATGGGTCAAACATACATAGAGTCAAACAGGAATTCAGACTTGATACAGAACGGAAATAGAGGCGTCCTTCAAGTAGTTAAGTGGTTAACTACTTGCCAAGTGAGATTCAATACTTTATAGAGAGTAAATTTTACTTTTATACAAATTTTAAAATAAAAACTCCTTGATAGCAGCAAATGTGTCTGACTTGATTTGTTTTGGAGCTATCTTAACACAGGTGAAATGTGTACAAAAGTTTTTACAGCAATGAAGATAAAGGCACAGATAATGTGTGATGACAATAAAACTTCTTTAAAAGTGGTTCTGATTTCAAGTAAAAGAGCAAGCGAACATAGATGTCAGAAGAGGCCATAAGGTGAATAATGTGAATACAATTTCAATGTAAATAATCTTAAAATAGATTAAAATATAAGATTAATAATATAAAGGATGTTGTATATCTGATCCAATGTCAGATCTACCATCATATGTTGCTTAACAACAGGGATACATTCTGAGAAATTCATTGTTAGGTGATTTTGTGTTATGCAAACATCAGAGTGTACTTACACAAACACAGATGGTATAGCCTACTACACAACCTAGGCTGTACGGTACAGTCTGTTGCTCCAAGGCTACAAACGTGTACAGCATGTTACTGTACTGAATAGTGTAGGCAACTGTAATACAATGCTAAATATTTGTGTATCTCAACATAGAAAAGGTACAGTAAAAATATGGTTTAGGGAACACTTATTCTATTTTATGAAATGAAGTGTTGCCTGATTCTAGAATCACAAATAAAGCCAATTGAGATCTTAAAATACACACATACATACATACATACACACACACACACACACACACACACACACACACACACACACACACGGTTTAAAAGACAAAAAATGGTATACCTGTATAGGGCATTTACCATGCATGGATGCATGGAGCTTTCAGGACTGAAGCTGCTCTGGGTGAGTCAGTGAGTGAGTTGTGAGTGAATGTGAAAGTCTAGGACATTACTATATAGTACTGTATACTTATAAACACTGTACACTTAGGCTGCACTAAATTTATTCAATTTTTCTTTCTTCAATAATACATTAACCTTAGCTTACTGTAACTTTACTTTATAAACTTTTAAATTTTTTTAACTTTTTGACTTTTGTAATAACACTTAGCTTAAAACACAAAACACTGGGCCAGGCACAGTGGCTCATGCCTGTAATCCCAGCACTTTGGGAGGCCAAGGCGGGCGGATCACCTGAGGTCAGGAGTTTGAGACCAGCCTGACCAACATGGAAAAACCCAGTCTCTACTAAAAATACAAAATTAGCTGAGCGTGATGGCGTGTGCCTGTAATCCCAGCTACTCGGGAGGTTGAGGCAGGAGGATTGCTTGAACCTGGGAGGCAGAGGTTGCAGTGAGCCAAGATCATGCCATTGCACTCCAGCCTGGGCAACAAGAGCGAAATTCCATCTCAAAAAAAAAAAAAAAGTATTTTATTTATATCTTTATTCTAAAAGTTTTCTATTTTTAAAATTTTTAATTTTTTTTACTTTTTAAACTTCTTGTTAAAAATGAAGACACAAACAAACACATTAGCCTAGGCTTACACAGGGTCAGGATTATCAAGATGTCACTTAGGCGATTGAAATTTTTCAGCTCCATTACCATCTTATGGGACCACCATCCTATAAGCAGTCTGTCATTGACCTAAACATCATTATTCAGCACAAGTGTATTTCAAATTTAGAGTTTTACTTTGATGTTCTTCTTTTTTTCTTTTTCTTTTTTTTGAGACGGAGTCTCACTCTGTCGCCCAGGCTGCAGTGCAGTGGTGCAATCTCGGCTCACTGCAACCTCCGCCTCCTGGGTTCAAGAAATTCTCCTGCCTCAGCCTCCCTAGTAGCTGGGATTACAGGTGCCCGCCACCATGCCCAGCTAATTTTTGTATTTTAGTAGAGACGGGGTTCCTGACCTCAAGCAGTCCACCCGACTTGGCCTCCCAAAGTACTGGGATTACAGGCGTGAGCCACCGCTCCCGGCCTGCTATTCATTTTTTAAATTCTGGCTACAGTAACTGCCCTATGCTAAATTTTCTCTTATTCAAATACATTTACTATATTGGGGAAATGTTCATAGTAAAGAAATTCCTGCTGTCATTACCTTGTCCTGAAGAGTTTGCTGCCATTTTCCTATTTTGTTTCAAGTATGTCCAGTGGCAATTGGTCAGCACTTCACAATCACCTATAAAATATGTGTACACACATATACAATGCACCATATTTTAATCACAAACTAAAAGGAACAGCTAGCCTCCTTACAATGAAATGTTTGCTGTTTCTTAATCTCTTCAGAAAGATACATTTGTGCCGGGCGCGGTGGCTCACGCCTGTAATCCCAGCACTTTGGGAGGCCGAGGCGGGCGGATCACGAGGTCAGCAGATCGAGACCATCCTGGCTAACATGGTGAAACCCAGTCTCTACTAAAAATAAAATTAAAAAAAAAAATCAGCCGGGTGTGGTGGCAAGCGCCTGCAGTCCCAGCTACTCGGGAGGGCGAGACGGGAGAATCACTTGAACCCGGGTGGCGGAGGTTGCAGTGAGCCGAGATCGCGCCACTGCACTCCAGTTTGGGCCACAGAGCGAGACAGCGAGACTCGGTCTCAAAAAAAAAAAAAAAGAAAAGAAAGAAAGATACATTTGAAATGTACACAGACTGAAACAAATGTAAACTCTGCTAGTGCCTCAAGCATTTAATTAAATACGGCATTGTTTATTCTTGCAGATGTTCATACCATTTAGCATTACTGTCTTTAATAAACGTCATTAGGTTGTATTTACCAAATATATCAACCAATTGATAGAGTCAATATAATCATGGTGCTAGGAAGAAAAATCATTCATCTATGGTGTCTCTGCATTCGTCTAAAACACATACCCAAAAACTACTGTGTACACTGAAAGCTAAAAAAGGTAAAGGAGTACTGTATCTGCTCTGCACCATACACTGTGTAACATGCTCGAAATTAGTTCCTTTATTTATTTATCACCATTTTATAGATGAGGAAACCGTACCCAGGGTCATAGAGCTAGTAGGAATTATTTGGGCTGCTGGTTTCCAAACTTCGTGCTTTCGTACTAAATCCTGGGGAGATCCAAGATGAGCAAGACCCTAATCCTGCTTTCAGAAGGGAAAATAAAGTCTTATTCAAGCAACCATACTATTAATTAAAAAAAAAAAAAGCTTAACAAACCCGCTCTTTAAAAGGTGGGCACAGTGCCGGAGGCAAAGAATTGATTTCATTGGCAGCAAAGAGTGATGCCTTAGTCTAGGGAGCCCGGGAAAGACACAAGGGATAGAAAACAGACACCGGTTTTTAGTAAATGAATCGTTAGGTGTCTCCAGCGGCTGAAACACAGAGCGAGCAATGCGGGGTTAGGACTGGAGGACAACAGGGCCATCTTGTGACAGGGTAGACTGGCGTGCCAGAAAGGTCCCTGCCTACGGATGTGCAGAGCCGGCTGGGCCCGGGCTGTGAACGAGACGAAGGAAGCAAGTAGGAGCCAGAAATGTTAGGTGGCAAGGTCGGAAGGGAGGTCGCTGCCTGTAGCAACAAAGACGGCGGCGACAGGTTAGCACCGGAGCCACACTTTTCTATTGCCCGGTGCCTCCAGACTGTCGTACTTACCTGGGACCCGAGGACACCGGGACCGCCTCTCCTTACAATCGCTGCTCTTAAAGGGGGCGCGACCACTTAGGCAAGAGGAGCTCAACTCGCGGCACTACAACCTTCCCGCCCCCGCTGCGCTTCCGCCTCCTGACTGACGTGCGCCCCAGGGAGCGGAAACCCCGCCTCCCGCCGGGACCCAACGGCCACCGCCCGTCGTGATTCGCACTTTAGCGGCCACCTCAGTGCAGACGTCACTTTTTTTTCCAAAGAGTGACAGTCGAAGAGGCTCACGGGAGATGCAAACGGTACTTTTGGGGGCTGGGCCAGGGTGGGGCGTGGCCCGGGGCGGGGGAGGGGCGGGGCTGCCAGGCAGGGGCGGGACGGAGAACACCTGGGTCCCTAGCACCAAGACTGGCTTTTTATTCATTGCCACCGCCTGGCCGGTCTTGCGACGGTGCGAGTCCACCTCGGCTGGGCCTCGGAGGAGGGGCGACTCTAGAAGCTAAACTCGCTTTCGAGCTTTAACAACCATCTCGGATTGCGCATCCGCACACACACACACACACACACACACACACACACAAATTCAGGAATATTTTTTGTCTACAGTTTACATAATTATACACAATGAAAGCACTGAATATGGAGGATTTTTATTACAGTGCAATAATCTGCATTTAAGAAGTGGATGTGCCACATCGCAGAACACCAAGTTGCCACTAGTGGGATCACCTGCTGCCCACCTGATTCCAGCACAGTAGATAGCTACACATTTGAATTAAAAGGTAATCGTATATTGACATGTGTTCAAATTGCACTCTTTTTAATTTAAAAAAATATTTTTTATGGTGACAGTGTCTCGCTTTGTTGCCCAGGCTGGTCTTGAACTCCTGGCCTCAAGGGATCTGCCCACCTCAGCCTCCCAAAGTGCTGGGATTACAGGCGTGAGCCACCTGCCCTGCTTAAAATTGCAGTGTCTTAATCTCTTCCGAAAGATACATTTGAAAAACGCACAGACTTAAATCACAAATGTAAGCTCCCCAAGCGCCTCAAGCATTTAATTAAATAGAATGGATAATGAATTTGAACATATGTTTTTAATAATTGATGTTTGCTCAAGAGTAAAATGTTTATGATGCACAATTTTCTTGTGCATGGATCAATGACTGAAATAATCGTTTCAATATCAAGTATTTATTTACTGAAAACCAAGCATGTATTTACTCTATACCAAGCAGCTATTGAGTGCCTTCTACAATGCGAGGTGCTTCCTGTGCATCAGCTCTGGTCCTGCTGTTCCCTGATTTATATTTGAGACTCATGTTTCTTGCTCTATGTCAAGTAGCGAGCTAAGATTCAAATTTAAAGATCTGCCAGATGCTAAGGCCTGAGTTCTTAAATCTCACACATTGCCTCTGCTCTGGAGGAATGAATTCCTCTGAGACCAGTTCTTGCTGACTTGACTTTAATCCAGATATAAAGCCTAACACATGAGCATTTTGATGGTAGGCCAGGAGTCCTTTCAGTTAAGAGGACTTGGTGAGTTCTAGTATGACTAAAAAGATGACTGAGATCTATATGGCTGATAGAACCTTAGAATTTTTTTTTGTTTTGTGGCCTAGCTAATATAGAAACTAGGGCACAGAAAGTTCCAGTCTAAGTTTCAAATGGACATTCTGAACAAAGCTTATTTAAGGAGGTGGGAGTAAAAACAGTTCTAACCCTAAACAACATTTTATAATTTCTTAGCAAATTCAGCCTCTGAGAGTTGAAAGAACATTATCAGGAGAAAGATAAATTTAACTTGCTGCCAATTCTTTTGCCTTTTACTTGGTAGGTCATAGCCCTTGAAACCCTTCTGTCTTCTCCTAGAGTTTTTGGAACTTCTGCCTCATTGTGTTAACCTCTAACACAGTGGTTAATAGTGAGTCAGTTTACTTGAATGCAAATTCGAGCTTTGCCACTTAATGATGGTGAGCCCTGGTTTAACCTTTTGGTGCCTCTGTTTTGTCATCTATAAAATGGGAATAAAAATAAGTGATTGGGTATACGTAAATCACTTAGAATAGCACCTGGCACATAATAAGAACTCAATAAATGTTGACTATTAGAATATAAACAATGAACAATCTGTTTTACTGGGTGTCTTGGCAAGTGGTCAGTAGATCAGCTGAGCCTGGGTGTGGTGGCTCATGCCTGTAATCACAGCACTTTGGGAGGCCAAGGCAGGAGGATTGCTTGAGACCAGCCTGGGCAATATAGTGAGACCTCATCTCTAGAAAAAAATCTAAAAAATTTGCCAGGTACGGTGGTGGGTGCCTGTGGTCCCAGCTACTTAGGAGGCTGAGGTAGGAGGATTGCTTGAGCCCGGGAGGTCAAGGCTACAGTGAGCTATGATTGCGCCACTGCAGTCCAGCCAGGGCAACAGAGCAATAGACCCTGTCTCCAAAAAAAAAAAAAAAAAAAAGAAAAAGAAAAAAAAAAAAGAAAAAAAACGTCAGCTGAGAAATATACTAGGGGAAAGTCCAAGACAGAAGGAGTGCATGTTATAGCCCCTTGGCTCTATTAACTGATAGCTGTCTGTGAATTACTTTATCCTGAAACCACTGTGGTTACAGACCTTCAGTATCAAGGTAGAGTTGACAGTAGTTCCTAATTTCCAACTGAAACCACTCTAACCTCCTTTTCTGGTATTTTGTGATAAAGTATTTGGGGATCTGCATGAGGCTAGACAACCTTTAAAATCAAGTGTGTAGCAGTTTGAGACAATTACTGTATTAGTTATCTATTGCTGTGTAACAAATTACCCTGAATCTTGGCAGTTTAGAACTTGGGTTTAGAACCTGGCCCTGCACTTACTGGGTGAACACTTAGACAAGTTATTTGTCTGTTCCTCAACCTCCTTATCTGTGGAAAGGGGTATTAAAAGCACCTACCTTATGCCATTGTTTTAAAGATTAAATAAAATCAAACCAGATGCCTCATACCTATAAGCTATTATTTTCTATTAAACATTAACTCATTAGAGTATTAAAACAATATGAAACATCATGAAGATTTTGTACAACCAAATGTGGTGGCCTCCAAGATGGCCCTCCTGTTGTCATCCCTTCCCACATTGAATAAACTTGACCCAAGTAACCAATGGGATATTGTGGAAGTGTCAGTATGTGACACTGATTGCAGTTGCTACCTTGGCCTCTTTTGGGTCACTTGCTCTAAGGAAGCCATGTATATGTCATGAGGTCACTAAAGCAGTCCATTTGGAGAGCCCAATAAAGAGGAACTGAGGCAAGCCTTCCACCAACAAACCAGCACCAAGTTGCCAGTCAAGTAGTGTTCCACCTTGGAAGTGGATCTTCCAGCCCCAGGCAGGCCTTCAGATGACTGCAGCTCTGGCTGACATCTTGATTGCAGCCTCGAAAGCAATCCTGAGCCAGAACCACCGAGCTAAGCTGTTCACAAATTTCTAATCCACAGAAACTATGTAGGATAGTAAATATGGCTTGTTTGTAGTTGTTTTTGTTGGTTTTTGAGACAGAGTCTCACTCTGTCACCCAGGCTGGAGTGCAGTAGTGTGGTCTTGGCTCACTGCAACCTCTGCCTCCGGGTTCAAGCGATTCTCCCGCCTCAGCCTCCCAAGTAGCTGCGACTACAGGCACATGCCACCACACCCAGCTAATTTTTGCATTTTTAGTAGAAACGGGGTTTCACTATGTTGGCTAGGCTGATCTCGAACTCCTGACCTCGTGACCTGCCCACCTTGGCCCGGCAAAGTGCTGGGATTACAGGTGTGAAGCACCGCGCCCGTCCAGACTAGCCTTTTTAAAAATAAACATTCAAGAATGTTCTAAAATAGGCCGGGCACGGTGACTCACACCTGTAATCCCAGCACTTTGGGAGGCTGAGGCAAGCAAATCACCTGAGGTCGGGAGTTCGAGACCAGCCTGACCAACATGGAGAAACCCCATCTCTACTAAAAATGCAAAATTAGCCAGGCGTGGTGACACATACCCGTAACCCAGCTACTCAGGAGTCTGAGGCAGGAGAATTGCTTGAACCCAGGAGTCGGAGGTTTCGGTGAGCCAAGATTGCACCATTGTACTCCAGCCTGGGCAACAAGAGGGAAACTCTTGTCTCAAAAAAAAAAAAAAGTTCTAAAATAAAATGTAAAAAACACCACAATGCCTTTTACCCCTCTCTGTACCACTACCTTCTATGCAGAAGATTTCTGACCATTATTAGCCTTGGAGGATTATCTAATTAAGGGAGATGGTAGGATTCATTTAGAATGAATTCTCCACATGGGCAATGATATTATCTAGAATGATAAGAAGAAAGACTGAGCCAGGGGCCAAAGTCCTCCATGAATATGTCAGTAGATGACAGCAATGAGAAGAGGATAAAGATGGTATAACCAGATGTACCTGCTTCTAAAGATTTGGAGTTTTTACATGATGGAGGAAGATGTATAGTTTGGAATTGAGAGTGTGGATTCTGGAAATACTGAAGCACCCTTCCCCTAACCCCATGCCATGATGTATGTGGTTGGACACAAGAGGATTTTCCACCTTACATGAACACAAGGGAAGCTATCCTTGAAGGAGAAGTGGGTTTTAGTTAAATCAGGAGGTAGACAGATGGTCTAATGGTACAGTGAAGAGGAACTTACTTATCATGGAAGGAAGACTTCTAGCAACTTTGGGGGAATGTTGTTTTGAGGCTGAGGGGGGTGGATCACTTGAGGCCAGGAGTTCGAGACCAGCCTGGATAACATGGCGAAACCCCATCTCTACTAAAAATACAAAAATTATCCGGGTGTGGTGGTGTATGCCTGTGGTCCCAGCTACTTGGGAGGCTGAGGCACGAGAATTGATGGAACTCAGGAGGCAAAGGTTGCAGTGAGCTGATATTGCACCACTGGACTCCAGCCTGAGCAACAGAGTGAGACTCTGTCTCAAAATAAATAAATAAATAAATAAATAAATAAATAAATAAATTAAATTAAATTAAATTAAATAAAAAGTAAGGGTTTTCGCTGGGTACAGTGGCTAACACCTGTAATCCCTGGGAGGCTGAGATGAAAAGATCCCTTGAAGCCAGGAGTTCAGGACCAGCCTAGGCAACAAGGCAAGATCCTGTCTCTACAAAATGTTAAAAATATGTTTAAAGATTAAAAAAAGAGAAAAGAAAAGTATTTTATTTTGCCACTGTTTTTTTTTTTCATTAAATAGATTGGGACTGGGCACAGCGGTTCACGCCTATAATCCCAATGCTTTAGGAGACCAAGGTGGGAGGATCACTTGAGACCAGGAGTTCAATACTTAGCCTACTCAACACAGCGAGAACATGTCTCTACAAAAACTAAAAAAATAGCTGGGTATGGTGGCGGGGGCCTGTCATCCCATCTGTGCTAGAGAGGCTGAGGTGGGAGGATAGCTTGGGCCCAGGAATTCAAGGCTGCAATGAGCTATGTTTGTGCCAATGCACTCCAGCCCAGGTGACAGAGCAAAACCGCAACTCATAAATAAATGAATATTAATAATAAATAAATAAGTAAATAGATCAAACCCTAGTGTTTTCAATGAACTATGAAAAGGACTCACTAAACTGCACTAAGCTGCTTGTGGAAAATGGCTGCAGGAGTGAAGTGTAATCCTTTATGTCATCTACTTCTAATTTGGTCACTTCTAAGGGACCAGGTTGCCAATAATGTTTTAGTATCCTCAAAGTACCTAGAAGAGTGCTAAGCAGGTATACCTGATGATTGGTCTTTAATGTAAACCTAATTAAAGCTGAAATGTGCCCTTTCATTCATTTATTCAATAAACAATGCTATGTCAGGCACTGAAAATACAAACAAAATGATCTGTCCTTGTCTAGGGGATGCTTTGGATTGTGCAGGCCAGAATCCCACTTTTGCTTTTTCACTGCTTTAAAAGCTGATCTAGGCCGGGCACAGTGGCTCACACCTGTAATCCCAGCACTTTGGGAGGCTGAGGCAGGTGGATCACCTGAGGTCAGGAGTTCAAGACCAGCCTGGCCAACATGGTGAAACCCTGTCTCTACTAAAAATACAAAAATTAGCTGGACGTGGTGGTGCGTACCTGTTGTCCCAGCTACTCGGACGGCTGAGGTGGGAGAATCGCTTGAACACAGGAGGTGGAGGTTGCATTCAGCCAAGATCACGCCACTACACTCCAGCCTGGCGACACAACGAGACTCCGTATCAAAAATAAAAAGCTGATCTAATCTTTTAGTCAAGTAATGCATTGTGGGTTCCCACTGTGTCTTAATCTGTTTTGTGCTGCTATAACAGTATAGCCAAGACTGCCTAATTTTATAAAGAACAGAAATTTATTTCTCATGGTCTGGAGGCTGGAAGTACAAGATCAAGATGCCAGCATCTGGCAAGAGCTTTCTTTCTTGCTGCATCCTCGTGGCAGAAGGACAAGAAGGAATGAAACTGTGTACTCATATAGCAGAAGAGCAGAAGAGAGCAAGGGCTTGCTCCCAGAAGCCTTTTTTTTTTTTTTTTTTTTTTTTTGACGGAGTCTTGCTCTGTCGCCAGGCTGGAGTGCAGTGGCGCGATCTCAGCTCACTGCAATCTCTGCCTCCTGGGTTCAAGCAATTCTCCTGCCTCGGCCTCCCGAGTAGCTGGGATTATAGGCTGGCACCACCACACCCAGCTAATTTTTTTGTATTTTTAGTACAGATTGTGTTTCACTGTGTTGGCCAAGATGGCCTCGATCTCCTGACCTTGTGATCCGCCTGCCTCAGCCTCTCAAAAGTGCTGGGATTACAGGAGTGAGCCACCACGCCTGGCCCACAAGCCATTTTTATAATGGCATTCATCCATTCACTACCACATCTGGCTAAATTCTGTATTTTTAGTAGAGAAGGGGTTTCACCATGTTGGCCAGGCTGGTCTCAAACTCCTGACCTCACATGATCTGCCCACCTCGGCCTCCCAAAGTGCTGGGATTACAGGCATGAGCCACCACGCCTAGCCGGGATTCAGTTTTAACATGAATTTTTGGAGGGAATGAAAACATTCATACCATAGCATTCTTCCCCTGATCCCCCATAATTCATGTCCTTCTCACATACAAAATACATTTATTCCATCCCAGTAGCCCCAAGTCATAACTCATTCCAGCGCTAACCCAAAAGTTTAAGTCCAGAGTCTCGGCTGGGTGCGGTGGCTCATGCCTGTAATCCCATCACTTTGAGAGGCCATGGCAGGTGGATTATCTGAGGTGGGGACTTCGAGACCCGCCCGCCTAACATGGAGAAACCCCGTGTCTACTAAAAATACAAAATTAGCCGGGCGTGGTGGTGCATGGCTGTAATCCCAGTTACTAGGGAGGCTGAGGCAGGAAAATCGCTTGAACCCGGGAGGTGGAGGTTGCGGTGAGCCGAGATCGTGCCATTGCACTCCGGCCTGGGCAACAAGAGCAAAATTCCATCTAAAAATAAAATGAAATAAAATAAAATCCGGAGTCTCACCTAAATCACATATGGGTGAGACTCAAAGTATAATTCATCTTGAGGTAAATTTCCCTCCAGCTGTGATCCTGTGAAATCAAACAAGTTATTTACTTCCAAAATATGATGATGGAACAGATAATAGGATAGACATTCCCTTCCCAAAAGGGAGAAATAGGAAAGAAGAAAAGATCAACAGGCCCCAAGTAAGTCCAAAACCCAACAGGGCAAACAACATTAAATCTTAAGGCTTGGGAATAATCTTTGTTGACACCATGTCCCACCACCTGGACACACTGGAGTGGGGTTTGGGTGCCCAAGGCCCTGGGCAGGCCTGCCCCCATGGCTTTCCTGGGCACAGCCCATGCTTCAGCCCTTATGCATTGAAATAGCATGCCTGTGGCTCTCACAGGCTGACACTGCATACTAGTGGCTCTACAGTTCTGGGGTCTTGGGGTGGCCTCACTCCCACTAGGCATTGCCCTAGTGGGTACTCTCTGCCACATGGCTTCCAGCATGGCTCTGCTGCTGGGGCAGGTGTCTGCCTGGGTCCCTGGGCTCTCTAAGGCAGCCTTTGAAATCAGGATGAAGGAAGCCCTGCCACCACAGTTCTTGCACTCTGCACTCCTGTACAATTAGCACCACGTGGACACCAGCAAGGCTTACTGCTTGAGTGGCCTGGAGCAGTGGCCTGAGCCACACCTGGGCCCACTTGAGCTACAGCTGGGGCAGCAAAAAGTACTGCATCTGAAACTCTGCACAGTGAGCCTTCAGCCCGTATGGGTTCCCCAGGCCTTCTCCCCAAACTCTTCGGCCCTCAGTGTCCTAGCACTCTGGGCTTATGGTGGGAGGAGCAGCCTAAAAATTATCAGCAATGCTTTCAGGGTGATTCTCCCATTGTCTTGATGAATAGCACCTGGCTCCTTTCTGTTCCTACTAATCTTGTTACCAAAGGTAGCTTGGCCACATCCTTGGTTTTTTTTCTCCTAAATATATTTTTTTATTCTTTACTTGGCCAGGCTGAGAATTTTCCCTATCTTTATATTATACTTCCCTTTTGATGATAAATTCCATTTTTAAATTGTTTCTGTCTTCTTGCATTTTACTATAAACAGTTAAGA
This sequence comes from Homo sapiens, assembly GCF_000001405.40. Classification (NCBI taxonomy): domain Eukaryota; kingdom Metazoa; phylum Chordata; class Mammalia; order Primates; family Hominidae; genus Homo; species Homo sapiens. The sequence continues at coordinate 112,726,578 of NC_000009.12, forward strand.
GAAGCCACACAGCACCCTGAAATGAATGCTCTGCTGCATAGATATTTCTTCTGCCAAATATTGTAGTTCATCACTTCCTTTTTTGTTTTTGAGATGGAGTTTCACTCTTGTTGCCCAGGCTGGAGTGCAATGGTGTTATCTCGGCTCACTGCAACCTCTGCCTCCGAGGTTCAAGCGATTCTCCTGCTTCAGCCTCCCAAGTAGCTGCGATTATAGGTGCCCACCACCATGCCCAGCTAATTTTTGAATTTTTAGTAGAGAAGGGGTTTCACCATGTTGGCCGGGCTGGTCTCGAACTCCTGACCTCAGTTGATCCACCTGCCTTGGCCTCCCAAAGTGCTGGGATTACAGGTGTGAGCTACCATGCCTGGCCTCATCACTCTTAAGTTCTGCCTTCCATGAAGTCCTGGGACACAAATATAATTCAGCCAAGTTCTTTGCCGTGTTGTAACAAGGATGACCTTTCCTCCAGTTTCCAATACTTTGTTCCTCATTTCCATCTGAGACTTCATCTGAGTGGCCTTCACATCCGTATTTTTACCAACGTTCTGTTCACAACAACTTAAATAATATTTTATAAGATTCAGACTCTCCTACAGCTCTCCCCTTCTTCTAAACCCTCACCAGAGTCACTCTTAAGGCTCTGTTCATGGCAATACAAGCTTTTTCTTCAGCATTCACTTCAAAACTGTTGAAAGCCACTTCCACATTTTTAGGTCTTTGTTACAGCAACACCTCACTCCTCTGGTATCAATTTCTGCCTTAGTCCATTTTGTGCTGCTATAACAGAATATCTGAGACTAGGTAATTTATTATTATTTTTTTTTAGACTGTGTCTCACTCTGTTGCTCAGGCCAGAGTGCAGTGGCACAATCTTGGCTCACTGCAACCTCCGCCTCCCAGGTTCAAGGGATTCTCATGCCTCAGCCTCCCAAGCAGCTAGGACAATAGGCGTGTGCCACTACACCCAGCTAATTTTTTAATATTTTTAGTAGACACAGGGTTTCCCGGTGTTGGCCAGACTGGCCTCAAACTCCTGGCCTCAAGTGATCCACCCACCTTGGCCTCCCAAAGTCCTGGGATTACAGGCGTGAGCCACCGCGCCCGGCCGGGATTGGGTAATTTATTAGGAAGAGAAGTTTCTTTCTCACAGTCTGGAGGCTGGGAAGTTCAAAATCAGGGCACCAGCATCTGGTGTTGAGGGAGGGCCTTCCTGCTGTTAACTCATGTAGGAGAAGAGCAGAAGAGAGTAAACCCATTCCCACAAGCCCCTTTATATAGTGGCATTAATTCGTTCATGACGGCAGAGCACCTGTGACCTAAACATCTCCCATTAGGCCCCACCTCCTAACACTGTTACATTGGGGACTAAGTCTCAACATGAACTTTTGGAGGGGACAAAAACATTCAAACCATAGCACACTGTGCAGCTAATATGCCCTTTAGCATTACTGATCTATCAAAGTGTTTGGTCTTCTGAAACTGTTGCACCGGCATTGTTAACAGTTCTTCTACGACTGGGCGTGGTGGCTCACACCTGTAATTCCAGCACTTTGGTGAGGCTGAGGCTGGCAGATCGCCTGAGGTCGGGAGTTCAAGACCAGCCTGACCAACATGGAGAAACCCCATCTCTACTAAAAATACAAAATTAGCCAGGCATGGTGGTGCATGCCTGTAATCCCAGCTACTCGAAAGGCTGAGGCTGGAGAATCGCTTGAACCTGGGAGGCGGAGGTTGTGGTGAGCTGAGATCGCACCATTGCACTCCAGCCTGGGCAACAAGAGTGAAACTCCATATCAAAAAGCAAACAGAAAAAACCAAACAAACAAACAAAAAAAACAGTTCTTCTAGGCTTGCTGCCATTTATAAATTTAACAAATTTGCTAAAAGGCTCTTATTTAAGATTAATGACAAAATATCAGCCCTATGCTGCATGTTCCAAATCCCTGAGCATTCTTGAAGTTCCTCGATAGTTAATCAGTATCTTTTATTTAATACCCTTGAGCTAATTTTATTCAACCTGAACCTTAGGAAAGGACTGCGTACCTATGGTGACTAAAACTAAAGGTACTTGTGGCCAGGTCCTAATCCCTGGAACCTGTCATTATTACCTTATATGGAAAAAGCATCTTTGCACATGTGATTAAATTAGAGGTCTTGAGATAGGGAGATGATCCTGGATTATCCAGGTGGGCCCTCACTGCAATCATAAGTGCACAGGTGTCTTTTTTTTTTTTTTTTTGGAGACAGAGTCTTGCTCTGTCACCCAGGCTGAAGTGCAGTGGTGCGAACTTGGCACACTGCAACCTCCACCTCCCAGGTTCAAGTGATTCTCCTGTTTCAGCCTCCCGAGTACGAGTAGCTGGGATTACAGGCACTGGCCACCACGCCCAGCTAATTTTTGTATTTTTAGTAGTGACAGGGTTTCACCACGTTGGCCAGGCTGGTCTCAAACTGGTGACCTCAAGCGATTCTTCTACCTCAGCCTCTGAAAATGCTGGGATTTACAGGCATGAGCCATTGCGCCTGGCCACAAATGTCTGTACAAGAGAGAAGAGAGGGAGATTTGACATAGGAGAAGGCAACGTGACCACAGAGGCAGAGATTAGAGTGATGTAGCTACAAACCAAGGGATGCTGGCAGCTGTCAGAAGCTTGAAGAAGCAAGGAAGGGACGCTGTCCTAGAGCCTCTGGAGAAAGTGTGGCCCTGCTGACACTTTGATTTTGGCTTATGAAATTGGTTTGGACTTCTGGCCTCCAGAATAGTGAAAGGATAAATTTCTGTTGTTTTAAGGCACCAAGTTTATGGTAATTCATTACAGTGCCTGTAGCTCAGAGCACATTAATTTTTTTTTCTTTTTTTTTTTGAGATAGAGTCTTGTTCTGTCACCCAGGCAGGAGTGCCGTGGTGCAATCCCAGCTCACTGCAGCCTCCACCTCCCAGACTCAAGCTATCCTCCCATTCAGCTTCCAGAGTAGCTAGGATTACAGGCGTGTGCCAACACGCCTGGCTAATTTTTGTATTTTTTGTAGAGACAGAGTTTTGCTATGTTGCCCAGGCTGGTCTAGAACTCCTGGACTCAAGCGATCCACCTACCTTGGCCTCCCAAATTGCTAGGATTACAGGCATGAGCCACCATGCCTGGCAACATGTGAAAGTCTTTGAGAAACAAATGTTGGAATGACTTTTTTTTTAATTGGGGTTGCATTTTAATGAAATATTTCAGACTTATAAAAATACATAGCTAGCAATATAATAGACACCCTTGAACATACTGCCTAGCCTAAGAAATAAAACATTCCAAATCCATTGGAATCCTCCTGGACATCATTTCTCCATTGTGTTCCTCTCCCTCCACCTGGGAGGTAACCACTTCGCTGAATTTAGTTTTCATTGTTCCAATACATATCTTTACATTTGTACTACATTTGGCTGGGTGCAGTGCCTCATACCTGTATTCCCAGCACTTTGGGAGGCCGAGGCAGACAGATCACTTGAAGTCGGGAGTTTGAGACCAGCCTGGCCAACATGGCAAAACCTCGTTTCTACTAAAAATACAAAAAACTAGTCAGGCATGGTGGCAGACGCCTGTAATCCCAGCTACTTGGGGGTTGTGGCAGAAGAATCGCTTGAACCCAGGAGGCAGAGGTTGTAGTGAGCCGAGATCGTGCCACTGCACTACTGCACTCCAACCTGGGCAACAGAGTGAGACCCTGTCTCAAAAAAAAAAAAGAAAAATTTGTACTACATTAAATCCCTTAAAATTACATTGTTGTAAATGTTTTAAAACTTTATAAAAATGCTGACATAATATATACATATAAATACTATATACATATATACACCATATATATATATATATAGAGAGAGAGAGAGCTATTTATCTATCTATATATATATACATAGTCATCTCTTGGTACATGTGGGAGATTGATTCAAGGAGCCTCTCGTATACCAAAATCCGAGTATATTCAAGTCTGTTAGTCAGCCCTGAAGAACTCACGTATAGAAGTCAGCCCTCTGTATATACACGCGGGTTTTGCATACTATGAACACTGTAGCATCAATCTGCAGTTGGTTGTAAAACAATCCCTGTATAAGTGGACTTACATGGTTCAAGCCCATGATGTTCAAGGGTCAACCGTATATCCTTTTGCAATTTGCTTTCTTATTAAGGGCTTTCTACGTGCAAGGCACCATGTTGGGCAGTGTGGATGAAAAGACAAGTTAGATAACATTTTGCATTGACATTAGCTAATATTGCCTCTTAGAAGAGCTTAAAATGCAGTATTTTACAGGTATTTTCCCTTTATTTTTAAATTTTAAAAAAATCTTTAGTTTTGTATTGGGCAGCCCCTGAATCAGAATAGGTTCAGAGAGGCCCCCTCACCATTGTTGGAAAGGAAGCTTCCTGCTCAGTATCTACCTTCTAATACTTAAATGTGGGACTGTAGCTCTGAATTAATAACATGCTTGTCTCTCTTGCTGCCACTTATGTAGCTTCTTTTTAGTATGTAGTTCTCCTAGAACATTTTAAAAGAAATCATCTATTTTGATAAATTTTTTTATTTTATCTTTAATTTTTTTGGGACAGGGTCTCGCTGTGTCACCTAGTCTGGAATGCAGTGGTGCAATCTTGGCTCTCTGCAGCCTCCGCCTTCTGGGTTCAAGCGATTCTTCTGCTTCAGCCTCCCTAGTAGCTGGGATTACAGGTATGCAACACCACGTCCAGCTAGTTTTTGTATTTGTTAGTAGAGATGGAATTTCACCATGTTGGCCAAGCTGGTCTTGAACTCTCAACCTCAGGTGATCTGCCTGCCTCAGCCTCCCAAAGGGCTGGGATTACAGGCGTGAGCCACCATGCCCGGCTTTATTTTGAGAAATCTTTTAGTAATTGGCAACAGAAATGATAAGTTTTGATCATCCATTTCTAACAGTTGTCAGTCAACACTAGTCCTGTGTCTGCATATGAAGATTATTCACCTTTATAAGATTTCCAAAATAAATATGATGATGTTTCTCAAAATTAAGAATTGTTTGGAATTTAGGTTTACAACTTAAACACAACCAAACCCACAAAACAGACACATTCTAGCTAATACATTTTATGTGACAATTGATGTTTTGGCAAATGCAATCGCTATTCACAGTGTAAAGAGGATGCCCTTAGCGACGGCATGCATTTCTTTGGGTTTGCTTGCCTATATCACTGCATGCCCCATGGTACCTCAGTTCTCCCACCAGATTCCTCTATTCAAAAGATTATAAACTCTTCATTTATATAGCACAGTATGAAGTCATTTGGGCTTCATTAGGCTCAGTATTGCCCATAGACCTAAGCAAACAGGAGGGACTCTTGCCGCCACATTTTAGAGGATCCAGTACACACACGCGAGCACATAAATTTGTTAAAGGACAGATGAGAACTTCTGTGCTTGGGATCTGGCATTTGGCTCTGGCACAGAACAACCTGGAACTTTGAACGTCTGCTTCTGTGACTAACACCATTTATACCCTGTGGAAACACCTCTTGCCCTGTGTTCTTGAAAGAAAGGCGGCTGGGTTGGACTGCTGTGAAGGTTTACGAGTTATGCCTCTGTCGAGGTCAGAAATGGACAGTGCATTTTAGTGCCGGGAATTGTTGAGCAGCAGAACTTAGGTAAGAGAAAAGGCAAATTATTAACTTCCAAATACCTCCTCTCAGATCAGAGGAATTCAGTGGAATTGTGCACAACCGAGAATTGTTTCCCTTTAGTGAGAGTCCATTTTCCTGTTTTCCTTATTCTCATTTGTGATTCTGGAGCTCGTCAGAATTAGTTCACTATTCACAACAGTTGCACTGTTGGCTAAGGAACTATTTCTGCAATATTAAATATTTGATAATTCCTGTTATATTTGTGTGTATATATATATAGGTTTATAAGTAACATAAGTGAAGCTTGATACTGATTCTCTAGTAACAAATATATTGTATTAAGATAATACAATTTGCAATACATATAATTTATGACAAAGTTAAAAATATCCTACTATTCTGTGATAATTGATCTTATGTATTATGGACTGAATGTGTATGGGATCTTTGGGGTGTCAATTTTCTGGCCAGAAACCTCTGTGGTCACAGCACCTTTGCCCGAGTTCTTGTCCTGTGTCCAGGTAGAAGAAGGTACACAGACAAGTGAAAGGTGAACAAGACAAAGAGCTTTATTTAGTGTTACAACAGCTTGGAGGAGACCCAGAGTGGGCAGCTCCTCTCTGTAGGCAGGTCATGTGTCCAGTGTTCAGTTCTCAGTAGAGAGGAGGCCCTGGAGAGGGTGGCTCCCCTCTGCAGACAGGTTGTCTCTGCAGCTCTCAGTGGAGAAGGTAGCTTCTCATGCCTGTAATCCCAGCACTTTGGGAGGCCGAGGTGGGTGGATCAGCTAAGGTCAGGAGTTCGAGACCAGCCTGGCCAACCTGGTGAAACCCCGTCACTACTAAAAACACAAAAATTAGCTGGGTGTGGTGGTGGGCGACTATAATCCCAGCTACTCAGGAGGCTGAGGCAGGAGAATCACTTGAACCTGGGAGGCAGAGGTTGCAGTGAGCCAAGATCACGCCACTGCACTCCAGCCTGGGTGACAGAGTGAGACTCTGTCTCAAAAAATAAATCAAGAAAGAAAGAAAAAAAGAAGAGACACCAGAGAGCTTGCTGGCTCTCTCTCCTAGAACACACTCAAGAGGTCACATGAGCTCATAGCTAGATGATGGTCATCTGTCAGCCAAGAGAACAGGCCGTAGAATGAAACCTGCCTTGCTGGACCCTTGATCTTTGACTTCCAAGTCTCCAGAACTGTAAGAAAAAAATTTCTGTTGTTTAAGTCACCAAATCTGTGGTCTTTTGTTATGGCGGCCTGAGCGGACCAAGACAGTGTATTTTTTAATACAGTGTGTAAAATTTGTGATTCACTTCTGAATCTAAATATTGCTTTAAGAATTTCATTAGCAGCCAGGTGCAGTGGCTCAGGCTTGTAATTTTAGCACTTTGGGAAGCCAAGGCAGGAGGATCGCTTGAGCTCAGGAGTTTGAGACCAGCTTGGGTGACATGGCAAAACCCCATCTCTACCAAAAAATACAAAAAATTAGCCTAGTGTTGGGGCATGTGCCTGTGGTCCCAGCTACTTGGGAGGCTGAGGTGGGAGGATCACCTGAGCCTGGGAGGTGGAGGTTGCAGTGAGCTGAGATCCCACCACTGCACTCCAGCCTGGGTGACAGAGCCAGACTCCGTCTCAAAAAAAAAAAAAAAAAAAAAGAATTTCATTAGCAGTTTCAACTGTTGCTTCCTTACCAGAGAACATGTTTTCTCCAAGTAGAAATTAATAGAAAACTAAGAACAATAATAATGTGAGAAAGTTTGTCCAATTGGTATTATTGTCATAGAACATAATTTATGTGAAAAATCTTACACTCATAATAATGTAATTAATTTTTTTGCTGATATAAAGGCAAAAAAAGAAATTTTATGGTATAAACTAATTTATGAGCTACTTGTATATTTATTTTATTACTCATATCAAATGTCAATAGAACACCCAGATATAAAAAGTCATAAAGTTAGTTGTCTTTGATATTTAGTCAACTTTCAGTCATTCCAAAACCATAGTCTTAATATATATTTGTTACCTGGATTCATAACTTTTAAATATTTAGACATATAGAATGTGAGCCTTCATCTGTATTCTTGCCTCAGGCCCCAAAAACGTTCAGATGAACCTGACTGGGCGAAGGTTTACACATGTTAAGCCTGCCACTGTTCTTTTCTCAATAGCAAAAGGAAATTAAAGTTGAAATATTTGCTAATTTATTGATCTTAAACAGATGTAAATGTAGGAGCTAATATTCATTTCATTAGCTAAATAGTGGCCATCCAGAAAATTTGTTATATTTTATATTGAGAATATTAGAAAATCTTTTAAGAGTATAATCAAAATGAAGATGCTGAGAATATATCAACTCAAGGCTGGGCATGGTGGCTCATGCTTGTAATCCCAGCACTTTGGGAGGCCAAGGCAGGCAGATAACTTGAGCCGAGGAGTTCAAGACCAGCCTGGCCAACATGGCAAAACCCCGTTTCTACTAAAAATACAAAAATTAGCGGGGTCTGGTGGCCCACGCCTGTGGTCCCAGCTACTCAGGAGGCTGAAGTATGAGAAGCACTTGAACCTGGGAGGCAGAAGTTGCAGTGAGCCAAGATTGTGCCATTGCACTCCAGCCTGGGCAACAGAGCAAGACTCCATCTCAAAAAAAAAAAAAAAGGAATATACCTCTTCAGTTATAAATATACATATTACATCCTTAATAGCAAAAAGACACAGAACTCTGAAGTGTAAAAAAAATTCTAATCAGAAGTAAAATTGAATTTTTTTCTAAAATTGGAAATGATTCTGTAGTGTACCTCAAATTGTATGACGTTAATGCAACCTTGCTTTTTAACACGTTTCAAGATACATCTGATAAAAATGAGGTGGGACAGGAAGGAGTGTGTCTGTAAAGTGGAGGAGAGAGGTGGGACACAGCTGAAAGGCAGAAGTCTAAGATTGTGCAAGGAAATTGTCTTTGTTGCTATTGAGTAGCAGATAAATATAATTTTTTTTTTTTGAGACAGAGTTTTGCTCTGTTCCCCAGGCTGAGTGCAGTGGCATGATCTCTGCTCACTGCAACCTCTGCCTCCTGGGTCCAAGTGATTCTCTTGCCTCAGCCTCCTGAGTAGCTGGGATTACAGGCTCGCACCACCACACCCGACTAATTTTTGTATTTTTAGCAGAGACGGTGTTTCACCATGTTGGCCAGGCTGGTGTTGAACTCCCAACCTCAGGTGATCCGCCTGCCTCGGCCTCCTAAAGTGCTGGGATTAGATAGATATAATTTAAAGTAGAAAGTGATACATGTCATAGAGGCTTTTAAAAAGTACCATGGACATGAACTTTTATACCATGGGGTACAGTGGAGATTTCTCAAAGCTCTTCATATAATTCTATTACTTTAGGAGTGGAGAAAGGTAAGCATAGGGTTGGCTTTACAAAGAATATTGGTAATCCTTGGAAAAGAAGTGGGAGGCACTGTAAATATGTTTAGCTCAGACGTTTCTTTTTTTTTTTTTTTTGAGATGGAGTCTCGCTGTGTCACCCCAGGCTGGAGTGCAGTGGCACAATCTCGGCTCACTGCAACCTCCACCTCCCAGGTTCAAGCAATTCTCCTGCCTCAGCCTCCTGAGTAGCTGGGACTACAGGTGCCCACCACCACACCTGGCTAATTTTTTGTATTTTTAGTGGAGACAGGGTTTCACTGTGTTAGCCAGGATGGTCTCAATCTCCTGACCTCGTGATCTGCCCGCCTCGGCCTCCCAAAGTGCTGAGATTACAGGCGTCAGCCATTGTGTCCGGCCCCAGATGTTTCATATGTTTTGATTTTTTAAAATTTTATTCTAATGTTTAAATTGCAAAATAAATAAATGCCTGTTGTACTCTGTGAAAGTGAACAACATAAAGTTGTAGAAAGCAAACATTAATCTGGTCTGTCCCCTCCACTAATCTCTGCTCCCTGACCCTCACCAAGTTGAAAACCTTAAGTCTGGCTGCATATTCTTTTGTTCTCATAGAAAATCTATACATATATATTCATATATCTATATATATTTACACACACACACACATATGTGGAGGAGTTTTCTTCTTTACAAAAATGTGATCCCAGCATGCATATTACTTTACTGTTTGCCATTGTAAATGTATTACAGACCTTCCCATACATAAAGCTCAAATTTATCCTTTTTTAATGCTGCATAATACAGTGTGGATGCATCAGAATTTTTTTTGTTTTGTTTTGTTTTTTAGATGGAGTCTCGCTCTGTCGCCTAGGCTGGAATGCAGTGGCGCAATCTCGGCTCACTGCAACCTCCCCCTCCCGGGTTCAAGCGATTCTCCTGCCTCAGCCTCCTGAGTAGCTGGGACTACAGGTGCATGCCACTACGCCCGGCTAATTTTTGTGTTTTTAGTGGAGACAAGGTTTCACTACGTTGGCCAGGCTGGTCTGGAACTCCTGACCTCATGATCTGCCTGCCTCAGCCTCCCAAAGTGCTGGGATTACAGGCGTGAGCCATCACGACCGGCCGGATGTATCATAATTTATTCAACCTTTTCCCTAGTGATGTATATGAGATTATTTCCACTTTTGTTGCCTCTATGAATAATGCTGCAAAAAATGTCTTTGCACATATTTCCTTAGGTATTAGTACTTTATTATTTATTTTTTATTTTTTTGAGACAGAGTCTCTCCCTGTCGCCAGGCTGGAGTGCAGTGGCATGATCTCGGCTCACTGTAACCTCCACCTCCCGGGTTCAAGTGATTCTCCCACCTCACCCTCCCAAGTAGTTGGGACTATAGGTACGTGCCACCACACCCAGCTAATTTTTTTGTATTTTTAGTAGAGACAGGGTTTCACCATGTTGGTCTGGATGGTCTTGAACTCCTGACCTCATGATCTGCCCGCCTTAGCCTCCTAAAGTGCTGGGATTACAGGTGTAAGCCACCGTGCCCAGCCAGTGCTTTTATTTTTATTTATTGATTGACTGATTGATTGAGACAAGGTCTTACTCTGTTGCCCAGGCTATAGTGTAGTGTTGTGATCATGGCTCACTGGCTGCCTCGACCTCCCGGGGTCAGGTGATCCTCCCATTTCAGCCTCCTAGGTAGCTGAGACTACAGGCACATGCCACCATGCCCGGCTAATTTTTGTTTCACCACGTTTCCTACACTGGTCTTAAACTCCTGGGCTCAGGCAATCTGCCCACCTTGGCCTCCCAAAGTCTAGTGCTTTTATTTTGATAGCACTTCATGTTTTTGCCAACACCATTTGAGAGTACCTGTTTCTCAGTATTCTCACTAGCAGTGGATGTGGAGGCTGATTGCTTCTGAACCTGAAGCTTACATTTCAGGGCGTTTTTTTTTGCTTGAACATGTGAGTCCCCTTTCCCCTAGCCCTGGGACAAGCCTTAGCAATGTGCTCACAGGGTCAAAACTTGACAAAGTAAGTTATTTTTATGGCAGCCAGATAAGACAACTGTACCTCTCCGGTCCAAATTCCCCTTCCCTTACTCTTGCCCTTGGGTTTTATGGCTTGCAGTGGCTGCCGGTTGAAAGTTGAGCTGGGATACATTTATTTGAGTCTAGCAGGATGTATTTACAAGGTTCGCCGTCACTTCTGTGCATGGATACATTACTGCTGGACATCCTGGTATGCTTCTATGAAGATGCAGGGCCAGAGGTCACATCATGAAATGAATGTGTCTTGAGGCACCAGCACCAGATGAATGAGAGTACTAGAGAAGAACAAAGTTTGAAATGTAGAGCCAGAAGCTAGTCTGTAAAAAATTCTTCCCGTTGTCAAAGTTATATAATTGTAAATGAATGAATCACTCCTCACTGATGACTAACAAAACCAAAAGTTCTCTTCTATCAGGAATATCCTTGATAATGCAACATACACTCACCATATAGATTTTTTTTTTTTTTTTGAGACAGAGTCTCGCTGTGTCCCACAGGCTGGAGTGCAGTGGCGCGATCTCAGCTCACTGCAGGCTCCGCCTCCCGGGTTCACACCATTCTCCCGCCTCAGCCTCCCAAGTAGCTGGGACTACAGGCACCTGCCACCACACCTGGCTAATTTTTTGTATTTTCAGTAGGGATGGGGTTTCACCGTGTTAGCCAGGATGATCTCGATCTCCTGACCTTGTGATCTGCCTGCCTCAGCCTCCCAAAGTGCTGGGATTACAGGCGTGAGCCACTGTGCCTGGGCCTAGATTTTTTTTTTCTTTCTTTCTTTTAGGTGGAACTTACCTGAAACAGAATAAGAATTCCTGGGTTTGTAGGCCAAAAATCTGTAACAGTACTATAAATAGCAAGAATGTCCGGTGGTAAGCCTGCTGAGGTATCAGGGGGCATTTTCGTACATTACCAACAACAAATTTGAAGTTGAAAAAAAGTTTTGTAAACTACTAATAATAAAAAAGCAAAGCAAATTTCAATCAGCCATGCTAGAAGAAAGACTTCATTATCTTTCTATTCTCTTTGGAATACTATAAAATAGTTGTCATATGAAGAATTTAGTAAAGAATATGCATTCAAAGACTATGGAAAATAGTATGATAGAGGTGTGCCAGGCAGCTAATAATTTTAATACGTTTGTGATGTTTGCGGTATTTATCAGTTTTGTAAAATTTATAATTGTGGCGATTTATTTTCCAAATTAATATTCAGCTTTGTATCAGGGTTTTTTGTTTGTTTGTTTCTTTGTTTTTTGAGATAGGGTCTCTCTCTGCCTCCCAAGCTGGAGTGCAGTGGCATGATCATAGCTCACTGTAGCCTTGAACTCCTGGGTCAAGTCATCCTCCCACTTCAGCCTCCTGAGTAGATGGAACTACAGGTGTGCATCACCATGCCCAGCTAATTTTTAAAATTTTTCGTAAAGACAAGGTCTCATTATATTGCCCACGCTGGTCTCCAACTCTTGGGCTCAAGCAATCCTCCTGCCTCGGCCTATGAAAGTGCTGGGATTACAGATATGAGCCACAGTGCCTGGCCTTGTACTAATTTTTATATTTGAAATTTTGAATTCTTTTTCTTGAGGAAGGCCCCCCAAATTGTTTAAATCTCATAAAGCATGATTCCTTACCTTTTATTGGTCTTTTAACATTTGCTGGTAGGACAAGCAAAAATTGTATCTTTTTGTTTTCATCAACATTTTATTGATCTCTAGTGAGACTGAATACATATTTTGATAATTTGTATTTTTTGGGCCGGGCGCGGTGGCTCACGCCTGTAATCCCAGCACTTTGGGAGGCCAAGGCGGGCGGATCACGAGGTCAGGAGATCAAGACCATCCTGGCTAACACGGTGAAACCCCGTCTCTACTAAAAATACAAAAAAAAAATTAGCCGGGCGTGATGGCGGGTGCCTGTAGTCCCAGCTACTCAGGAGGCTGAGGCAGGAGAATGGTGTGAACCCGGGAGGTGGAGCTTGCAGTGAGCCGAGATCGCACCACTGCACTCCAGCCTGGGCGACAGAGCGAGACTCCGTCTCAAAAAAAAAAAAGAAAGATATTAATACCTTGTGAGTCATTTGTGTTCCAAATAACTTTCTCCAGATTATCATTCATCTTTTCTTGTAACAGCTTTATTGATGTCTAATTCATTATGCCATATCGGGGAGGGGAGTAACTTTACAGTGGAGAAACCTGGCAAACACTACCTTGACCAGGCAATTAAGTTTAACACCCTCAGTGATAAGCCATGTTGACAGTATGTGCCCTTGATATGATGATCTAGTTTGGATGTTTGTCCCCTCCAATCTCATATTGAAATGTGATCCCCAGTGTTGGAGGTGGCGCCTTGTTGGAGGTGTTTGGGTCATGGGGGTGGATCCCTTATGAATGGCTTGGTACTTTCCCCATGGTAATGAGTGAGTTCTCACTCTGTTAGTTCACAAGACAGGTGGTTGTTGTTGTTGTTTTTGAGACAGGGTCTCACTCTGTCACCCAGGCAGGAGTGCAGTGGTGCAATCTCAGCTCACTGCAGCCTCCACTTCCTGGGTTCAAATGATTCTCATGCCTCAGCCTCCTGAGTAGCTGGGATTACAGGCATGCACCACCACGCCCAGCTAATTTTTGTATTTTTAGTAGAGATGAGGTTTCACCATGTTGGCCAGGCTGGTCTCCAACTCCTGGCCTCAGGTGATCTGCCTGCCTTGGCCTCCGAAAGTATTGGGATTACAGGCATGAGCCACCACACCTGGCAAGAGAGCTGGTTGTTTAAATGAGCCTGGGACCTCCTCCTCTCTCTTGCTTCCTCTCTTGCCACGTAATAGGCTGGCTTCTCCTTTGCCTTCTGTCATGACTTTATAAGCTTCCTGAGGCCTCACTAGAAGCAGATGTTGGCACTGTGCTTCTTGTACAGCCTGCAAACTGTGAGCCAAATAAACCTCTTTTCTTTATAAATTATCCAGTCTCAAGTATTCCTTTACAGCAATGCAACACAGATTAACATATATGATGTGATTAGAATGGCACTTTACTGGCCGGGTGTGGTGGCTCACACCTGGAATCCCAGCACTTTGGGAGGCCGAGGCAGGTGGAGCACCTGAGGTCAGGAGTTTGAGACCAGCCTGGCCAACATAGTGAAACTCCATCTCTACTAAAAATACAAATAATTAGCCAGGCATGGTGGTGCATGCCTGTAATCCCAGCTACTCTGGAGGCCAAGGCAGGAGAATTGCTTGAGCCCGGGAGGTGGAGGTTGCAGTGAGCCGAGATTGTGCCATTGCACTCCAGCCTGGGCAACAAGAGCAAAACTCCATCTCAAAAAAAAAAAAAAAAAAAAAAAAGGCACCTTACCTCGATAGTCTTCCTCCCAAAAACCCCTGAACTCCACGTTATCCATGAGGACAACAACAGACAAAACCAAACTGAGGGGCAATCTACAAAGTACCTGATGAATACTTTTCAAGACTGTCATAAGCAAGTAAAGTCCGAGAAACTGTCACAGACCAGAGGAGGCTAATGAGACATGACTGCAAAATGTAATGTGGTATCCTGGGTGGGATTTCGGGATAAAAAAAATAACTTTGGGGAAAATCTAGTTAAATAAGAATAAAGTATACAGTTTAGTTAACAGCAATGTGCCAATATTGACTCCTTAGTTGTGACAAATGTACAAGAATGATACAGGATGTTAACAACGGAGACACGGCGTAAGGAGTACGCAAAAACTCTGTACTATCTTTGCAACTTTTCTGGAAATCCAAACTATTCTAAAATTAAAAGTTTAAATTAAAAGAGGAGAGGACAATTATTGCTAGCCACATCCTTCCTCAGGGTGTATATCTATGCCAAGAAAGCATCCTGCCTCCGGAAACAAAGAATTGGTACCTCTACAGCCTAGTGCTTAATTTGAACCAATTATGTGGGTGGTCAGGAAGGAGTTGTGAGAAATCAGTTCCCCTGTCCAAATCTTCCTGCTAGCTCAGCGAAGCCTTCCAAAGGAAGCCTTCCATTCTGGCTGTCCTGGCCACGCCATGCATCCCACCCCAGCAAGCACCATGGTTCATAATGACAACAGTGCCCACCCAGATGCTGCTGAGGATTACCAGAAGGCTTATTCTCTGGACCTGTTCCTTCTGGGTCTTGAACCCTGGCTCTGTTCTTGACCTTCGTCATTTGCTTTTGCCACCACCACCATTCACCTTGTTTTAGTGACTAATTCAGACCCCTGACTCTGGTTCTCTGGTCTCGGGTCTTCTCTTTACTCAGCTCTGCACAATCAATCCCTTAATTTCTGTACCACCTAGAGCTGCAGGTGGGAGATATTCCTTCCATCCTTCTTTACTTTTTCAACTAGCCCAAGCCCAGCTGGGTCTCAGCTGGAAGGAGAAGGAGTGGACACTGTGTAGCATTTTTTTTTTCTTTTGAGACAGCGTCTCGCTCTGTCACCCAGGCTGGAGTGCAGCGGCACGATCTTGGCCCACTGCAACCTCTACCTCCCGGATTCAAGCGATTCTTGTGCCTCAGCCTCCCGAGTATCTGGGATTACAGATGTGCACCACCATGCCTGAGTAATTTTTGTATTTTTTTTTTTTTAGTAGAGACAGGGTTTCACCATGTTGGCTAAGCTGGTCTGGAACTCCTGGCCTCATGTGATCCACCTGCCTCAGCATCCCAAAGTGCTGGGATTACGGGTGTGAGCCACTGTGCCCGGCCCGTCTCCCATTTTCATGAGTGGTCATGGTGGTGGTTTTCCGCCTGCCATATCACAGGAAGCCCTGAGTGGGAGCAGAGGGGGAAAACCAAGCCTCCTACCCTGCCAATCAGGAAATCCTGAAACCCTAGCATAATTCATTACCTTATATAGCTGGGGGGAATGGGGAAGCCCTTTCTCTAGCAAGTCACCTCACCTGGATCTATAATCTGGGCACGAAGTGTAATTTTATTGCTGTGCCCCCAGCACTGTCTTGCTACATTGCTAGCAGGTTATGCATAAAGACAAGGCCTCCTGCATACACTCTCTCACTACCTCTGTGTAGTGAGGACTTGTCTGCAGGCCTGGGTTACAAAGCACAGGAAGGGTTGCACAGAGCTGGCATGGCTGGAGCTACCACAGTGGCAGAACCTGGGGCAAGGATCTGGAAGTCAGTGGAATTCCAAGGTTTTCGGAAGGATTAAGAGGTCTACCTTAGGAAGCCAGGAAATCTATTCTTTTTCTGTTTTAGAGCTTGCCCTCCATCTCTATAAAGCAGTGTTTCTCAATTTGTTTTTTGTTATCACTGCCCCTAAAGGGGAAGAGTTAATTAGGTTTAAATGCTCCCTAAAAGAAAAATTAAATACTAAGGAATAGGGCTGAACTTTGTGGGGGCCACAGACCACTATAATATTTAAGATTTTTTTTTGGCCTCCCTACCCCAAGAAGCAATTTACGTCCTTTTGAAGGTGATATTGGCTCTTTTGAGAATGCATGTTACAGAAGGATGGTACTCTTGCTGTGAACGTTGCCACCCACCAGGTGAACTCTCTTCTTAGACTTTCTCCTGCTTGCTTGTATTCTTTGTCTTCTTAATCCATAAGGATGAGTTCATCTGCAAGTCACAGGGATTCAAATTAAACTGCCTGACACCATAAGGATGTTTATATTCTACAAAAGAAGTCTGGATTTAGATGCAGTGGCTCGGTGATGCCACCAAAGACACAGGCTCTTTCCATTTATCCACTCAGCTATCCTCAGGGTAACCGGAATGTCTCCACTCATGGCCACAAGATGGCTGCAGCAGCTCCAGGCATTGGTCCACACATGATTGCATTTGAAAGGAAGGGAAAAGAGACAAGCAATGAACAATGAAGAAGGAGCAAATGACTCTCTGGTAGGCAACTGATAGTGGCTGACACTTCTCTCTCTTTTTGCTTATTTCCTCCTTTCTTTGTCATTAAACTAGCATCCCCCAAATCCACGTGTACATCAATGTGCATCAAAGTGGAAAGGATCATTGCCAGGAGCACTCTTGGTTGACCTCATGCAAATTACTACCTCTGGGCCTCAGCTTCCTCACTTTTGAAGCAAGGGTGGAAGACTAGATGCCCTTTTTAATGTAAACTTCCTATTGAAGTAGAACATAAAGGCTCACAAACCATAAATATACTGCTTGAAGAATTTTTTTTTTTTTTTTTTTTGAGACAGGGTCTCACTCTGTCACCCATGGTGGAGTGCAGTAGCATGATCTCTGCTCACTGCAACCTCTGCCTCCTGGGCTCAAATGATCCTCCCACCTCAGCCTCCTGGGTAGCTGAGACTACAGGCACACACCACTACGCCCAGCTAAGTTTTTGTAGAAACAAGGTTTCACTATGTTACCCAGGCTGGTCTTGAATTCCTAGGCTCATGCAATCTGCCCACCTTGGCCTCCAAAAGTATTGGGATTACAGGCATGAGCCACTGCACCCGGCCTGCTTGATGAATTTTTACAAAATAAAACAAAAAACAAACAAACAAACAAACAAACAAGCCCACAGATCAAAAAACAAATACCCCAGAACTCACTACCATTCTGTTTTCTCACACTGCACGTTAGTTTTGCCTGTTTTTTAGCTTTATATAAATGGAGTCATACAGCAGATATTCTTTTATATCTAGCTTGTTTCACTCACTATTGTATTTGTGAGATGCATTCACCATGTTGTTCCTTCATTCTGTTGTGCAATATTCCATTGTGTGAATGTATCACATTTATTCACGCATTACACTGTTGACAGCCATGTGACTGGTTTCCAGTTTTCGCTCTTACAAATAGCACTGCTGAGGAGATTCTTGGATCAATCTTTTGGTAAATGTATGCACGCATTTCTACTGTGTTCTGAAAGTAGAACTGCTGGGCCATATCATGTGTGAATGTCCATGTTCCAGATGCCTTTTTTTTTTTTTTTAAGATGGAGTTTCACCCTTGTTTCCCAGTCTGGAGTGAAATGGCGCAATCTGGGCTCACTGCAACCTCCACCTCCCGGGTTCAAGCAATTCTCGTGCCTCAGCCTCCCGTGTAGCTGGGATTACAGGCATGTGCCACCTCACCTGGCTAATTTTTGTATTTTCAGTGGTGATGGGGTTTCACTATGTTGGTCAGGCCAGTCTCAAACTCCTGACCTCAGGTGATCCACCCGCCTTGGCCTCTCAAAGTGTTGGGATTACAGGCATGAGCCACCGCACCCAGCCTTCAGATGCCTTTTAAGGATCACTCCTCGTGATGGAATCAAACACTCTCATGGAGGCACACAGCCAGTAAGTAGGTTTTCCATTCTATCCAAAGAATCACTGTTAATAAGACTCAGTGCCCGTGGTTCCAGTACTTGTCAGTTCCATATCTTCTCCAGCCCAACCTCTCTAATGGGTAGCCCTCACAAAGGAATACACATCCATGCCCAAACTCCATACACCTGTGCCTGCTTGTAAAGAAAGCCAGGTAGCACGTATCCTTCAGTGATGGCAGTGAAAGGTGTTTCTATAGCCAGATGTGGCCCAGCTACTAGGAGCCTTCAGGGTAGGCCAAGGTTTTGAGGGCTCTGGAAAGTATCCACTCCTCTGTGATCTACTTCATGACCAGACTTATGAAATGAAACTATTGGCCGGGCACGGTGGCTCACGCCTGTAATCCCAGCACTTTGGGAGGTCGAGGCAGGTGGATCACGAGGTCAGGAGATCAAGACCATCCTGGCTAACACGGTGAAACCCCGTCTCTACTAAAAATACAAAAACAAAATTAGCCGGGTGCGGTGGTGGGTGCCTGTAGTCTCAGCTACTCAGGAGGCTGAGGCAGGAGAATGGCATGAACCCAAGAGGTGGAGCTTGCAGTGAGCTGAGATCGCGCCACTGCACTCCAGCCTGGGTGACAGAGCGAGACTCCGTTTAAAAACAACAACAATAACAACAATAAAAAAAAATTATCAACAAATAGGTTAGTTCATCTGAGCTCTTTTCTTAAAATTTTTTTTTAATTTAATATTTTTTGTGGGCACATAGTAGGCATATATATTTATGGGGTACATGAAATACTTTGATACAGGTATACAATGCATAATAACACATCAGGGTAAATGGGATATCCATCACCTCAATCTTCCCTTATATTTTAAGCGCCTGGTAGATGCTCACTAAAATAATCATAAAAGTTTAGGAGCAAAAGGACCTTGTAATGTAATTTTCTAATAGAAAATTGCTTTCTAAGCAAGTTTTCAAACAGGATATTTATTTAAAGTAAGCACTTAAAGGTTTGGAATGTCAATTTATAGTTTAGAAAAATGGAAGGATCTTGGCTGGGAGTGGTGGCTCACGCCTGTAATCCCAGCACTTTGGGAGGCCAAAGTGGGCAGATCACTTGAGGTCAGGAGTTCAAGACAAGCCTGGCCAACATGGTGAAACCCTGTCTTTACTAAATATACAAAAATTAGCTGGGCGTGGTGGTGCGCGCCTATAATCCCAGCTACTCGGGAGGCTGAGGCAGGAGAATCGCTTGAACCCAGGAGGCAGTGGCGACAGTGAGCTGAGATTGCACCACTGCACTCCAGCCTGGGCGACAGGGCGAGACTCTGTCTCAAAAAAAAAGAAAAAAAAAAGAAAAGAAAAATGGAAGGATTTGGATGGATTCATGCTAGGTTAAAAGAGAGAGAGAAAGGCTGGCACGGTGGTTCACACCTGTAATCCCGGCACTTTGGGAGGCCAAAGTAGGCGGATCACCTGAGGTCAGGAGTTTAGACCAGCCTGGCCAACATGGCGAAACACCATCTCTACTAAAAACACAAAAATTAGCTGGGCATGCTGGTGTGCGCCTGTAATCCCAGCTACTCCGGAAGCTGAGGCAGGTGAATTGCTTGAACCTAGGAGGTGGAGGTTGCAGTGAGCCGAGATTGCACCACTGCACTCCGACCTGGGTGACACAGTGAGACTCTGTCTCAAAAAAAAAAAAAAAAAACAACGAAAAGAAAAATGGAAGGATCTTGATGGATTGATGCTAGGTTAAAAGAGAGAGAGCGAGCAAGAGAAATGGAAGGAGCTAAGAGAACAGTGTTTCTCAAAATATAGTCTATAGACCAGCATCAGCGTAAGCATCACCTAGGAGATTAACACTTTTTAAATTAAAAATTAATTTAAATTAAAAATTATTCCAGGCCTCACTCCAGAAGCAGAATCTCTTGATGTGGGGCCCAGAAGTTTGCATTTTTACAAGCTCACAATTGATTGTTAGGCACCCAAAGTTTGAGATTTGGAACACTAACTCCATGACTGTACTGTATAACTCACTGCATCAGGGTCTCCATGCTTTGCAAGCCAGGAGCTCTTCTATATGGAGAGATAAAATGATGCTATCATTCACCCACAAGCCCCTCTGCTGGTTCAGTAGCAAGTTCCAATTTCTTGTTAGCAAAACTGTTCAGATCCTGGACTCAAGTGGACCTTGTTTCTTTCCTGGGACATCATTGGCTGAATTAAATTGTCCACACAATTTTGTCTCTGTTGGGGATTGTGCCTTCTCACTTGCCCCCCTTGTTTGATACAGCCCTCTGTGGCTTGCGACATGTCATCCTGAATGCTCTCTGAAAACGTCCTTTGTCCTCACCAGCCGTCCACTTCAGAAGTGGTGGTGTTATTCTGAGGCAGGGCTTGGGATGCCATATAGAATAAAGCTATGATTGTACTAAAAACCACCAGAGGATAAGCGGCTAACACAAACATGAAGAAGGCCTAAGCACATGCTGTACCAGGGGAAAGAATGAGCGAATGATGCATTGAGACTGCTTTGTTTCTGAGGTCTGGGTGCTCACAGGCAGCCCCAATACGCTTGCTAGTGAGGTCGATAGGATTTGTTTGGTAAGCGTACTAAATTCTGGGGCCCAAAGCCCTGTCTCCTGAAAGGTGCCAGCCTAAGTGTCTAAGATTCCTTATGAATTGGGAGGGCTCCATGCTGTGTTCTTGGGTTCTGGTGGCATTGGGGACCTCCCTCGCCCCTCATGCACACACATACATCTACTATCTTCCTCAGAGCTCAACCCTAGAAATCCAAGCTTCCCTCCATAAGTTCCAACAAACACCACAGCCTTCTGCTCTGATGGAGAAACGTTACACGTTTCCTCCTTACCACCATGCTGCTTTTAAAACTTTTAGTAGCCTGTAATCCCAGCACTTTGGGAGGCCAAGGCAGGCAGATCACTTGAGGTCATGAGTTTGAGACCAGCCTGGACAACATGGTGAAACCCTGTCTCTACTAAAAATACAAAAATTAGCCGGGCATGGTGGCACACACCTGTAATCCCAGCTACTGTGGAGGCTGAGGCAGGAGAATCGCTTGAACCTGGGAGGCGGAGGTTGCAGTGAGCTGAGATTGCGCCACTGCACTCCAGCCTGGGCGACAGAGCAAGGCCCTGTCTCCAAGAAAAAAAAAAAAAAAAAACAAAACCTTTTAGTAGAAGCAAAGTCACATGCTCTGGGACACTTATATTATTTCAGTGACAATTTCCCACCACAAGGAACACTGAAATACCACAGGAAATGGTGAATATGAATGGGCAGGGCTGGGCTAAATTTCATCGTGGAAACTTTCTACCAAAATACTTTCCATACAAATTCACTTTCTTTAGTTTTGATGACTACCCACTGGATATTGTGGCCAGCTGCTATCGACCAACCAGGAAACTGGAAAATAAATAAATAAACTGTAATCAACTATTTCATATGGCCTTTTAGGAACTCTGGGTCTGGGTCCTTTTTTTGGTGGGAGCATAGAAAAGTGGTACTCCAATCTAAACTGAGCAAATGGAGGACTTTGGAGGTCAATACACACACACACACACACACACACATATACACACATATATATGTACACACACATATATATGTATATATATATATATTTTTTTTTATTTTGAGACAAGGTCTCCTTCTGTTGCCCAGGCTGAAGTACAGTGGTGCAATCTCAGCTCATTGCACCCTCAACCTCCCAGGCTCAAGCAATCCTTCCACCTCAGCCTCTTGGGTAGCTGGGACTACAGGTATGTGCCACCATGCCGGACTAATTTTTACATTTTTTATAGAGATGGGGCTCTCACTATGTTGCCCAAGCTGGTCTTGAACTTATGGGCTCAAGTGATCCTCCCACCTTGGCCTCCCAAAGTGCTGGGATTACAGGTGTGAGGCACCCTACCTGGTGTGTATGTGTGTGTATATATATGTATATTCAACCAGACCCTACTCAGAATAGTAAAGCATATTTAATTACAAAAACTCTTTATTATTTCATAAGAATAGTAGAGAAAATCTGACAGAAAGGGAAAGGAAGGTAGGTAATTAACATTTAGGGAGCACCTATTTTATGCCAGCACTTTGCTAGGACTATGACATAAAGAATGCTATATAACTCTCACAACCATCTCATAAGGTATTATTACCTGCTCTCCATTCTCCTCCTTTTTAGGTTAGGAACAGGTTCACTGAGGTTAGTAACTTGCTCATGGTCACCCACTTGTAGTGACAAAGCCGAATTCAAATGTGGTTCTTTTTTCACTTTCCCCTGGTGTACTAAAGAGAAAGCTTGTATAGAGTCTTAATCCATACGGATGTCCATTATATTTAAGGCAGCCTGGTTGTTAAAATAAGTAGCACCATTCAATAAGAAAAACCGATGTTATACATCTATAGATGTATATACTCATTTCTAGAAATACTCATTTCTAGTTATATTGTGCTATTCATTTTCATGCTAATTCAGAAGAACAGATAATAGGGTCTGTAGTAGTTGTAAGCAGCCCTTGAATGTGAAAGTGTTAACAATTTTAATCCAACTCCAAGAGGACCAGAACTTGGCATTCCTTAGATGCAGCATTTAAAATTGTTCCCAGTGCCCTTTGAATGCTACTTTTCCCAGCCAAGGCAGGCTTATGTGGAGGAGATAAAGATGATAGCTTGAGGACTAAGGGTCCAACCCTATATAAATTACATTGGGGGAAATAGGGGAAGGTCTTTGAAGCTCAGAGTCTCTGACTGATATTTTGGGTAGATTTCAACCCTCTGCATTCTCTTCTATTTGTTTCTAGAGAAAACTGTGGTAGAGGCCTTAGTGAATCCCAGAGTCAACATCTGTCATCACCTTTTAGCAGGTAAGGCTAGGCAAACCTTTGAGTTTGGAATGGGTAGGGAAAATGTGGTCCCTCACGATGAGCCTCCCTACCCATTACTTTGCTAGAGGGACTGAAAACCCTTTAAAGACTTGGCCTTGGAAACAGAAGATCTAGGGACAGGTAAGGTGGAAAAAGGAGGTGAACCTACACCCCAAAGGGCTGGAAGTAACACCTTGACTATTTGCACCACGCCAGCAAATAAAGCTGAGAATCAGCTCAGCCCAAGGCCTGGAAAGGAAGCACAAATGCATGAAGAATAACTTGAACCTCATGGTTCTTTCAAAAGTCTCTTCGGCCAAAGTGTGAGTTGAAGAGTCGCATATCATTTGAGACTCTCTACTCATGCTCGCTGTTCTGAGGTTTGACTTTACACAAATCCAGCTCAGCTGCAGAAGCAAGCCACAATGGGGACCTCAGAGTGAGCCTGAAGACTCCCCACACCGCCTCTTTGAAGTCCCTTCCAGGTTCCCCACCCGATGTCCTCTAGCTCATTTGAGCCTTGTCGCCCTTTATGCTATTCTTCCGATATGGGTCGTAATTCCGTCTATCTAGGGTTCTTCCTGCGCGTGCCTTAGAGGCCAGAAGACCCTGACTCACGTGCGTGTCCTCAAAGCCCCCAGCCCCAAGCGTGGCTGCTGGTGGGCGCATCAGTAAACGCGGGTGGAACGGAACAGGCTCCTCCAACCTCTTTTCCACCTCTGATTTCCGTTAGACATTTGCTCCGCACGGCGGCCTCCGCGAGGCAACGTTGGACACTGGGAGGACAGCCGCAGAGGCCCAGGGCGCACTTCCTGCCGGGCGGGGGCGGGGCCGCGCCTCCTCCCTCCCTCCCTCCGTCCTTCCTTCCCCACGTGCCCCTTCCCCGCCCTCCCCGCCCCCTCCCGGGCGGCCGCGGCGCCTCGGGGGCGGGGCCGGAGCGGGTGGGCGGTGTGGCTGTGTGGGCTGGGCGCCGCGGCCGTGCTGCCAGCGGACCCGCGGCGGGCTCGGGCGCGGAGCGGGGGCGCGCGGCGCGGAGCGGAGCGTCTGAGCGCCGGCAGAGACCAGCCGGCGGGTGGCGGCGGCCCCCAGCACGGCCGGTGCAAGGCCTCGGGTTAAGCGGCGGCCGAGCGGGGCTCGGCCCGGGGTGCTCGGGGAGCTCGCCGCGGCGGGCAGCAGGAGGAAGCGGCGGCGGCGCGTCCCGAGCGGTGCGCGCCATGGCGGGCGGGCCCCCCAAGGCCCTGCCGTCCACGGGGCCCCACTCCCTGCGCGACATGCCGCACCCGCTGGCCGGCTCCAGCAGCGAGGAGGCCGTGGGTGGTGACAGCACGCCCAGCCCGGACCTGCTGATGGCCCGCAGCTTCGGTGACAAGGTGGGGCGCCTGGGGCCGGGGAGTGGGAGGCTTATTTCGCTCCCCGTGGGGGGGATGATGGATCCGGAGCCTTCGTGGGCCTGGGGCCGCGCCCACCCTGCCGCCCCTTCCCGGGGGACGGGCGTGTCCTGGCCCCGGAGCCCTCGGCGAAGCGTCTCCTCTGCCGCCTCCGCGGGGTCGCAGCCGCAGAGGGACAGGCTTCGCTGCCTGTGACTGGTCGCAAGCACCGGTGACAGCTGGTGGGGAGGGGTCCAGCCTGCGTGTTGGAGCGGGAGGCGTGTGTTCAGGGCAGGGCGCCTGTGTCCTCGGATGGGGTTCCGAGTTCCTCCAGGTGCATCCCTGCAGGCTGAGCTGCTGCATAACTTGTAGCTCCTCCAGTTTCCGAGACTGCACAGAAAGCAGGAGTTCCTGGCTTTCCGTGCTGGGACCGGGCAGCCCTGGGCTTACAGCGAGAGTCTTCTTCCCCCTAGTCAGTCATGTGGGGAGTGATCTTTGTTTAGGTTTGCTGTTTGTCCTGAGGAGTCACCTGACTCAGACCCCAGCCGGCGGCGGGAGGAGAGCCTCGTTGTGGTTTTCTGTCTGGGGCTCCATTCACCTCCGACGGCCTACCACTCTGTTTAGGTTTGGCAGAGGCTGGTTTTGTGGTTGATGGAAAGAAAGCTCGCCCTTTGACCTTCTTTGTACGGAGGGAGGCTCCAGATTTTCTTAGAGCAGCACAACCCTCCTGCTGCTTGGAGAGACAGCAGAGTCCAGGCAGGGGTAAGGGACGACCTCCTCCCTACCCCCATGGCCATTTCAGCTGTGAAGGAGACTTGAGCAGTGATTGTATCCCCGCTCCTGCCGTCACTTAGTCACTAACTGCAGAAATTAGAATTGTTCTCAGGTCTTGTGATCAAGATTTTCTCTCCCTAGTAAAATACTAAATGAATTCCCCCTTGTCCCAATATTAATGGGAGCAGGGGACCTAACTTTCTTCTCCCGTTAGAGGGGACACCATGTGGTACAGTGAAAAAGGAGTATGAGAAAATATAACCTGCCCTCCTTGCAGTCAGAAGGTCACTGAGCACTTAAAATCACTAGAGAGTGCGACTTGATGTACCTTCTGCAGAGGGTTTGTGAAAGCAGGGAGTGAAGTTCCAAAGCATTAGGAACAGGAAAATTAAAAAAGCTAATGGAGGCCAGGTGCAGTGGCTCACACCTGTAATACCAGCACTTTGGGAGGCTGAAGTGGGATGATTGCTCTGAACCAAAAGTTTGAGACCAGCCTGGGCAACATATCGAGACCCCGTTTCCACATACGCACACAGCATGGTGGCATGCACCTGTAATCCAGGCTACTCAGGAGGCTGAGGCGGGAGGATTGCTTGAGCCTGGGAGTTCAAGGCTGCAGTGAGCTATGATTGCACCGCTGTACTCCAGCCTGGGCAAGAGAGTGAGACCCTGTCTCCAAAAAATGTTGAATAACTGAATAAATTTGCTTTCTTATCGACAAAAATTGGTCTTAAAATAGTGTAGGAACTGGGGGTTAAACCTCATTTCCTTCTCAGTTCTGTGTGGGACACTGAATTAATTATCTATTGCTGTGTAGCAAATTACCCCAAAACTTATCACCTGGAAATAGTGTCTGTGGGACAATCTGAGTGGTTCTGAATTAGGCCTTTCTTGAGGTTGCAGTCAAGTTGTTGGCTTGGGCTGCAGTCATCTGAAGGCTGGATTAGGGGAGGATCCACTTCTAAGCTCACTCACATGGCTGTTGGCAGGTCTTAGTTACTCTCCATAGGGCTGTTTGATGTGGCAACTGGTTTTTCCCCCCAGAGCAAGTGATCCAAGAGAGCTCAAGACTCTAGCCAGTCTTGTATAACTTATCTTGGAAATGACATGCCTCTGCTGTATTCTGTTGGTCACACAGATTGACACTGGTACAATGTGGGGAGAGGGTGTGAATATCAGGGTGTGTATACCAAGAGGTGGGGATCATTGGGCCATCTTGGAGACTGGCTACTACAGATAGCCATTTAAAATATTTACCTAACGATTCACTCATGGATGATACCTGACTCAGAAGTATGAGCATTTTACTAATAAGCACTTGGAAGACAAATTCCCCGTACCACCAAGATCTGGTTAGTGGTGAAGAAGTCAGTCTCAAGTCTAATTACCGATGGCTTCCTTTAAAGGGTCTGTTCTGTGTAGGAGGGAGAGTCTTGAAGGCATTATTAATTATTGAATATATATGTATTTTTTTGAGCAGAGACTTACTCTGTCACCCAGGCTGGAGCGCAGTGGCCTGATCCTGACTCACTGCAACCTCCACCTCCCTGGTCAAAGTGATTCTCGTGTCTCAGCTCCCGTATAGCTGTGATTACAGGCGTGTGCTACCTTGACCAGGTAATTTGTGTATTTTTAGTAGAGACGAGGTTTCGCCATGTTGGCCAGGCTAGTCTCGAACTCCTGGCTTCAAGTGATCTGCCCTCCTCGGCCTCCCAAAGTGCTGGGATTACAAACATGAGCCACTGTGCCTGGCCTAATTATTGAATATTTAATGAATCTCCTAACAGCTGTGGGGAGCATCTAAATGACACCATTCTCAAGGGCCTGATTTATAGTAAGCCACTTTTCCTTAGAGGCTAAGCATTGTAATTTCTTTCTCTGACTAGGAGTAACATTTTCCTTGAATCTTGGCATACACGTATGGTCTCATAACTCTGAAGAAATTTCTGTAGAGAGAAGCTAGCAAGCCACAGAGGTGAGTCAGAGCCAGAAGAAGGAAGCCTTCCCTGTGGCTGGCTTTCTCCTACCTCAGCAGCATGAGGGTCATCAGAGGGGTGTTAGGACAGTTCAGTGCTATGGTCTGTCTTTGAAAAGAAGCCAGTTTTGTCTTGTTAGATACTGGGGTTGTGATCCTGGATGACAGGGATTCTGCGTCAGTTCTGGGCCAGGGGAATGAAGGTTTGACAGGCTGGTCATAGTACAGGGTTATTATGCAAAGGGGAATTGCTTTCTGAGGGCCCAAGATGGTGCGATGAACAGGGTAGCCTGGTGTCTTGGTCCAGCTGACGCTTGTGAATGAACTCTGTAGTGCTTGGGTAGAAGAGAAAGACTGAATATGATGGACTCTCCACCAATTTCTCAAATTGTTCAAATCATGGTGTGATGCCTCCCTTCATAGGCTCCCAAAGGAGGAATCCTTTCTATCTACCAGAGGTTGCCAGGACTAATTCTTTTGATGCCTGCTAAACTCACTGGGCCTTTTTTTTTTTTTTTTTTTTTTGAGATGGAGTCTCACTCTGTTGCCTAGGCTAGAGTGCAGTGGTGCAGTCTCACTGCAACCTTTCCCTCCTGGGTTCATGTGATTCTCCTGCCTCAGCCTCCTGAGTAGCTGAGATTACAGGTGACTGCCACCACACCTGGCTAATTTTTTTATTTTTAGTAGTGATGGGGTTTTACCATGTTAGCCTGGCTGGTCTCGAACTTCTGACCTCAGATGATCTGCCCACCTCTGCCTCCCAAAGTTCTGGGATTACAGGCGTGAGCCTCACTGGACCTTATATGGCTATCTCCATCTAAAATGTAAATACATCACTTAGCCTTACTCTCCTTTTTTAACTTTCATCTGTAAATTGCTCCAGGCTGCTTCTCCTCTGACTCAGCCTCTAACTTCTGTACCCCTCCCAAAACTTAATACTGGATTCTTAAGCCCCATTGTGTGGCTAACACCTCCTCCCACATCCTCAATCTCTTCTCTGAACTCTTCATCTACTTCCTGCCTCCTTAGGTCACTTAGACGTCCTCTGAAGTCTTCAAAATAGAGAAGGCTTTTCCTCCATCACCTTTTACAAACCAGGCTCTGCTCCTTTGAGGCTCCTGTCATTCTTTTTGTTCATTTGATACATATTTGAGGGCCTACTATGAGCCAGGCACTGTTCTAGGAACTTGAATAAATTAGCTGAAAACCCTGCCCTCACTGGATACATTTCAGCAAGTTTGTACTGTATTACACCATAAATGCCATGGAAGGAGGAAAAAGGAGAACTGGCCGCGAGGAAGAGGATTTGGCAGGCCTTGTTGAGTACTTGATATTTGAGCAGACTGGAAGGAGGTGAGGGAGTTAGTGGGTGAGTATCTGAAGAAGACTGTCCGGGGAGGGACTGCCTGAAGCAGAGGCCGGAAGGCACAGGGCTGGTGTGTCGGGGAGCAGCCTAGAGGCCAGTGTGGCCAGGTAGAGTGAGCATTGGAGAGTTAAAGGCTGGGGGCAGAGAAGGGAGGGGTCAGATTATATTGAATGTGGCCGGTCACCCTGAGGACTTTGGCCTTTATTGCTAGGGCCATGGGGTGGGAAGTTAACATGGGCAGGGGACATTTCAGGGTCTTGAGCAGGAGGGGGGCATAGTTTGATTATATATTGAAAAGGATCACATAGGCTGTTCAATTGAGACTACCTTGAGCATTCCCCTGAATTAGTTAGGATTCTTTATTAGTTAAAAAGACATGAGCTGAATGCAAACTAGATAGAGGAAAATAAAAATCTACTGGCTCACGTTGCTGAAAAGGCCCAGGTATTTTGGCTTCAGGGATGGCTGGAGCAAGGTATTCCAGTGATGTCGGGGATCTGTCACTTTCCATCTCTTGGCTCTGCTTTCTTCTGTGTCAGCCTTGTTCTCATGCCAGTGAAGGGATATGTTCTATAAACAAGCTTCCCAGCTCCAGCAGAAGGAGAGCACTCCTTTCCTGATAGTTCTGGCCAAAGCTCTGGGCTGGTGTCTCATTGGTCTAAATTGGGTCAGGCGCCTAAACCAGTCTCTGATTCTGATTGCGCAGACTTGAATCAGGTACTTATCTTTGGAATGAGGAAAGGAATTTTTTTAAAATTGGGGAATATATACATGAAGTTTATAACAATGTGTGTATATAAAGAGTAAAAGTTATCTGTACAGTTTAAAGACTAATAAAATGTTCCTACCCCCAGATTAAGATACAGAATATTACAAATATTTTGGAAGCCCCCTCTGTGCCTGGGAAGGGAGGAGGTGGTTGCCAGAGCAAAATCAAGAAATGTTAGACAAGCAGGAAACAAATATCCACTACAGACCTTCCAATACTGTTTTCTTTGTCATTTTCCAACTTCACACCTTCTCACTCTCATTCATTAAATCTTTAGACCCCAACTTACTGTCTTCTGAAATCATGTCCTCACCACGGGGCTTTAATCATTCACATGGCTGATCTGTCCAACTCTCCAAAATTACCAGTTTCTTGACCTCCTTATCTGTAATCATCCTTTTTTTTTTTTTTTTTTTTTTTTTTTGGGATGGAGTCTTGCCCTGTTGCCCAGGCTGTGGTGCAATGGCACGATCTCAGCTCACTGCGATCTCAGCTCACTGTAACCTCTGCCTCCAGGGTTCAAGCGATTTTCCTGCCTCAGCCTCCTGAGTAGCTGGGACTACAGGTGCCCACCACCACGCCCAGCTAATTTTTGTATTTTTAGTAGAGACGGGGTTTCACCATATTGGCCAGGCTGGTCTCGAACTCCTGACCTCAGGTGATCCGCCTGCCTCGGCCTCTGAAAGTGCTGGGATCACAGGCGTGAGCCACTGCGCTCGGCTCCTTCACCTTTTTAACAGTTCATCTGCTCTCTCCCACGGCCGCACCCTGCGTTGTAATACCTAGAAGCATTCCAGCTCTGAAATAGTGCCACTGGATATTATCACATTTTATTGTGTTTATTTAAGGTATACAACTTGATGTTATGGGATACACATAGATAGTAAAAGTTTACTATAGTGGAGCAAATGAACACAGTCATCATCTCATAGTTAACTCATTTTGTTTTTGTGGCAAGAGCATCTAAATTGACTCATTTAGCATGATTGTCAAGTACAGTACAATTTTATTATTAATAACTCTAGTCCTCATGTTCTACATTAGATCTCCAGACTTGTACACTCCTCCATATCTGCTATTTTGTATCCGTTTACCTACATCTTCCCATTTCCTCTCCCACCTGCCCTTGGTAGCCACTATTTTGTGTTCTTTCTCTATATATTTGAATTTTTTTAAAGATTCCATATGTAAGTGAGATCACTCAGTGTTTTTCTTTCTGTGTCCGGCTTGTTGCACTTAGCATAATTTCCTTCAGGCTCATTCACGTTATGGCAAATGACAAGATGTCATTCTTTTCTGGGGCTGAATAATATTCAGTTTTGTGTGTACACACACAGTACAGTTTCTCTATCTGTTCGTCCATTGAGGCCTGCTTAGGTTGTTTCTATATCTTGGCTATTGTGAATAATGCTGCAGTGAATGTGGGAGTGCAGATATCTTTATGAGGTGTTGATTTCAGTTCCTTTGGGTATGTGCCCAGAAGAGGGATTGCTGGGTCATATGGTGGTTCTATTTTTAATGTCTTTAGAAACCTCCATACTGTTTTCCATAATGGCTGTACCAATCTACATTCCTAACAGCGTTGTACAAAAGTTCCCTTTTCCCCGCGTATATCATTTTGTCTTGCTTTCCCGTCCTGGCTTTCCAGGTCTCTGAGTCATTAACAACTGACTATACCTGTTCTGTTCTGTGACCTCTTGGATTCCCCTACCTCCTTTAGATTCTGTGGCCCATCTCCGTGGTTGCTCCTGCCTCTATATTCAGTTCCCTTGCTCTCTTCTTTTTATACCCAGCTTGGATCATTCCATTTGTTCATGTCTTTCATCTACAACCAGGGTTCTCAGGAAGCTCAAGGGTTGCTGCCAATGTAAGTTCACAGGTTTCAGCCACAGCTGGGGCTTCAGTGGTCCTGGACACTCCTTCTTTTCCACAGACCCTCCGTCTGCACAGTGGCTTATCTGAAACTTTTCTCTGCTCCTCATACCCTCTACCCTTCTACTCCACCCTTCCTTCTGCTGATTGCCTCACCTTCCACCTTAGAGAAGATGGAAGCCACCAGAAAGGAACTTCCCTTCTTCAAATTTCAGAATGATCTGACTCCATAGCCATGTTTTCTTTCTGGCCCTTGTTCCAAGGAGAGAGTCTAAGGCTGACTGAGGGTGTAGACCCACCTGCCACCCCCCATCCTCTTGGAGACCCTGCTCTGTTTGGCCTCCTGACTTACCCCTGTATCTTTGGACTCCCTCTCAACCAGCTCACTCCCATCAATATTTAAACATGCTCAAGTTGCGCTCTCTCTTTTTTTTTTTGAGACAGTATCTGGCTTTGTCACCCAGACTGGAGTGCAGTGGCACGATCTTGGCTCGCTGCAACCTCTGCCTCCTGGGCTCAAGAGATTCTCCTGCCTCAGCCTCCTGAGTAGCTGGGACCACAGACGCGCATCACCATGCCTGGCTAATTTTTGTGTTTTTGGTAGAGATGGGGTTTCGCCATGTTGGCCAGGCTGGTCTTGACGCCTGGCTAATTTTTGTGTTTTTGGTAGAGACGGGGTTTCGCCATGTTGGCCAGGTTGGTCTCGAACTCCTGAGCTCAAGCGATCTGCCCGCATCAGCCTTTCAAAATGCTGAGGTTACAGTTGTGAGCCACCATGCCTGGCCAAGTTGCTCTGATTTTTAAAACACAGAAAGAGTGGCTGGGCGTGGTGGCTCTTGCCTGTAATCTCAGCACTTTGGGAGGCCAAGGCAGGAACATTGCTGGAGGCCAGGAGTTTGAGACCAGCCTGGGCAATATAGTGAGACCTTGTCTCTGTTAAACACACACACACACACACACATACACACACAATCGCTTGAGCCCAGGAGTTTAAGACCAGCCCGGGCAATATAGTGAGAACTTGTCTCTATTAAACACACACACACGCGCGCACGTGCACACACAGAGAGAAAGAGTAAAGGAAGCTCTGCTATGATGTTCTTTTCTCCTCCATCTGGTGCCTTTTTTTTGTGGGGGTGGAGATAAGGTCTTGCTTTGTTGCCCAGGCTGGTCTCGAACTCCTGGCCTCAAGTGATCTTCCTGCCTCAACTTCCCAAAATGCTTGGATTATAGGCCTGAGTCACTGTGCCTGGTCTTGTGCCCTATTTTGTGACTCCTCTTTACAATACACTTTTCTGAAGAGAAGGTTTGCGGCCCTTGCTTCCACTTCCTGACCTCTGACATACTCCTCAGCCTCCTGCTGCCTAGTTTCTGACTCTGTTCTTCAGGGTCCTCAGTGATCTCATTATTGCTAAATCCAGTAGATGCTTTATAGTCCTTATTTTGCCTGACCCCTTGGTAGGTAACACTTGATCCTGTTGTTAACCTCCTGCTTGAAATGCTTCCCCTCCACTTCCTGTTTTAAGGTGTGCACACGGGCCAGGCATGGTGGCTCACGCTTGTAATCCTAGCACTTTGGGAGGCCGAGGCAGGCAGATCACAAGGTCAAGAGATCAAGACCATCCTGGCCAACATGGCGAAACCCTGTCTCTACTAAAAATACAAAAAGTTAGCTGGGCATGGTGGCGCACACCTGTAGTCCCAGCTACTTGGGAGGCTGAGGCAGGAGAATCGCTTGAACCGGGGAGGTGGAGGTTGCAGTGAGCTGAGATTGCGCCACTGCACTCTAGCCTGGCGACAGAGCAAGACTCCATCTCAAAAAAAAAAAAAAAAGTTGTTCATGCTGGAATCATGTTGTCTGGATTTGAATCTCAGCCCCACCACTTAGAGTCTTGGTAACAGCAAGTTGTTTAACGTCTCTGAGCCTCAGTTTTCTCATCTGTGAAAAGGGGATAACAGATGTGCCCATGTCACTGGGTTGATAGGAAGACCCAGCGAGTTCGTAGAGTAGTGGGTGATGTATATAGCGAACCTTTAAGAAATGGGAGGTGTTGGTGGTTGTTATTCCTTGATATTGTACTCTCCACATTTCTTTCTACATTTTGGCCTATGCTTTGTCGATTTCTATATTAGTTGAGGTCTGATCAGGGAATAAAAGCCAGTGAAGTTATTTCAAACAGAGAGACTATAATACAAGGAGTTAGTTGCATAGGTGATGGGTGGTAAATTGACCCAGAGAGTAGCAGTAGCAGGAAGTTGCTGTTACCCTCAGGACTGGAGGGTTAGGGGAAGAGGCGAAGTTAAGTAGAACCCAGGAGCTTCTGTGAGAACTAGACCTGTGGCAGGGTCATTGAGCAGGAGCTGGGACCTTAGAGGAAGGGGGCCCTGGAGGGGAGGCAGCCGCTGCCAGTGGCACGATCTGAGGCAGAGAGCAGGTTGGGACAGAAATACCCTGGCTTGTCTCCTCATCCTTCCCATTCTGGTCTAACATCAATATCTTTTATTAGCCAAAATAGCATCCCTGGTGGATGTGTGACCCTAACAGAGCCAGGCAGTCTTTCCTGAGATTTATGAGATGGATGATGGGGGAAAGAATGTCTTGCCTTTCTACTAGATTGTGAATGGTCGTGTCCTTCAATGCAGAGAGTGCTTGGCTTAAGAATGAAGCCAGAGGGAAGTAGAGCTAGGAGAGGAAGAGGGGCAAGATCATTTGAGTTCAGGATCCGACTGTGCCAGCTGTGCCTGAAGTTAGAACGGGTTCCTGGTTATAGGGGGTCATAAATTCCCTTTTGTTAATACTGTTTTCAATTTGGTTTGCCACTTGAAACTTAAATTACCAATACCGTGACCTTAAAATATGACTTGAAAATTGGGTTTTACCTGAGGAGTAGGGAGAATGGGGTGTTTATTCCTATTGGCAGCCCCACTAGCTGGGGGTATGTCTGCAGATCAGCTGAGGTCGCAGAGGTTGTGTTTTCACCAGGTCCGTGAAGTTGGAGGGGGCTTTCAGATGTGGGGTGGGAAAAGCCCCAAGGTGAAGGGCAGAGACAGGAAAGACCTGTGGCCGCTGGAGGAGGACTGAATTGGGTCATGCGTTGGGAGTGGGTTTTGAGAGTCTAGAGGTGGAGATTAGTGAGAGACGAGGTGGGTAGACAGGTCAGGAGGTTAATGAGACTGTTTTGAGTGCTGTGATGTGGAGGTTAGCTTTTATTCTTTCAGCAGTAGCTAGTCCTAGAGGGCGTGGTTTTGTTTGTTTGTTTGTTTGTTTTTGAGACGGAGTCTCGCTCTGTCATCCAGGCTGGAGTGCAGTGGTGTTACCTTGACTCACTGCAACCTCCGTCTCCTGTGTTCAAGCGATTCTCCTGCCTCAGCCTCCCGAGTAGCTGGGATTACAGGTGCATGCCACCACGCCAGGCTAATTTTAGTATTTTTAGTAGAGATGGGGTTTCACCATGTTGGCTAGGCTGGTCTCAAACTCCTGACTTCAGGTGATCCACCCTCCTTGGCCTCCCAGAGTGCTAGGATTACAGGTGTGAGCCACTGCTCCCGGCCCCAAGAGGGTTTTTGAGCAGGGGGATGTGTGATCAGGGCTTGGGATGGGGAAAGACCAGCCGTGAAAGAGGTAAGATAGGAAGAATTAACCTGGTTTTGGTTGGACTTGTTGCCTGACAAGAGAAAGATTAGAAAATATAAAGATGACAGATTTTGGTGTAGTGGGGGTGACTGACTAGAAAGTCCAGGAGATTGATGCTGAACAGTGGTGCCGTCTTTGAGAGGGGGGCGCAGACCGGGAAGCACATGTGCGAGTGAAGTGTAAAGATGACGTGGACACGGTTTCAAGTCAGGCATTCAGGACAGAGGATGCCTGAAGGCCACTGTTGCAAGCCTACTCAAACTTCAAGGCTCAAACAAATGCTGCCTCCAGGAAGCTCTTTTTTATTAAATAGATGTATAATCCCAGTAGATCCAAATAGAGACTGGAATAGAAGATGGAGAGGTTTGAGGTCAGAATTTAGACAAAGTGCATATTGACAATAAAGTAGGGGGTAGGATGTCATCGCAGTTTGAAAATCAGGTGTTAGTGAAGGCCACTGGGAGGAAGGCCGGTGTTCCACGATAAATGAGAGCCTCTCAAAGTAAAATAAGTACATAAACAACAGCCTGGCCAACAGGCGCTGATGCATGTATGAGCAATGGGGTTTGTTTACTAGACATTAGAGGACTCATATGCTGTCTTATGTCTGCCTTGCCCCATAGAATTCTTCATTTTGGCAGCCAGCGCAGGGATCAGGAATTGTTGTTTGTGTGAATTTTTGTGTGTGTGTTGGTGGGGGGGAAGTGGGATAGTGGAAAAGGTGTTTGGGGGTTCCTGCTTGAGAAGGGGCACAGAGGCGGGAAGAGCACACAGCGTGTTTGGGTGGCCGAGTGCAGGCGCTTTTCAAAACCCCTATAGCTCGTGAGCATATGCTACATACCTGGCTCTGTGCTACATGCTGGGGCTGTAGAGAAAGATAAAGAAGATCTCTCCCCCGAGAGGTTAATGGTCCAGTGAAGAAGAGAGACACATCAACAGATGGTTGCGGTAGCATGTGAAAAATGCTGCATGTATTTACTTAGCTCTGTGGCCTTGGGCAAGTTTCTTAACCTTGTAATGCCTCTGTTTCCCCTATCTAAAATTGGGATTATCTTACAGGGGGATTCTGAAGCTTAGCTGGGTGTTTAGTGTCTGGGGCACAGTAAAGGCCACAGCAGTGCTAAGTCTTGTCGTTGCCTTAGAAGCAGACCCTGAGAAAGCATTTAATCGCCCATAGTTCGCTTGAGAGCTGAAGGAACTGGCATTAGAGGAGCAAGGCAGCGAGACAGGGAAGGGAAGGCAATCAGCAGAGGCGACGTTACCAAGCCAGTTTCCACTGAGCAGAGCTGGAGCTTTACCCCACGGAGGAAGCCGCTGGGAGCCAGCATGGAGCACGAGCCTCGGTTATTCCCACTCCAGGTGAGGAAGCTGGGGTCTTCAAACAGCAGCTCTCTTTACTCATTGGTTGACGGCTGCTTGGGTGGGGTGTTTGGACGTGAATCACCAGGTGCTTTCTAGCCTGCCCCATGGGTGGGCAGAGGAGGTTCAGTGGCCAGGGGAAGCGGTCAGGCCAAGACATGCAGATGCTGGTAGGTGGAAGTCAGACCAGTGGGCACTGAAGTGTGATCAGGGTGAGGGGTTGTATGGGTGGGGCACTGACAGCATCTGCTACAGTTTATATATGTATATATATATTTTTTAGAGATGGGGCCTTGCTCTGTTGCCCAGGCTGGAGTATAGTGGCATAATCTTGGCTCCTACAGCCTCAAAATCCTCCTGAGCTTAAGTGATCCTTCTGCCTCAGCCTCCTGAGTAGTCCTCAGCTCCTGACCAGTCTTAGCTCCTAGTGGTGTATGGTGTGCCTTGCTATTTAAACTTTTTTTTTTTTTTTTTTTTTTTTTTTTGGTGTGTGTGTGTGTAGAGAGAGGCGTCTCACTATGTTGCCCAGGCTGGTCTTGAGCTTCTGGCTTCAAGCGATCCTGCTACCTCGGCCTCCCAAAGTGCTGGGATTATAGATGTGAGCCACTATACCTGGCCCAGTTATTATGTTTTTTAAAAGAATTATTTGTTAAACCTGAGTGACAGGCCGGGCGCCGTGGCTCATGCCTGTAATCCCAGCATTTTGGGAGGCCGAGGAGGGTGGATCACGAGGTCAGGAGATCGAGACCATCCTGGCCAACATGGTGAAACCACGTCTCTACTAAAAATACAAAAATTAGCTGGGCATGGCGGCGCGTGCCTGTAATCCCAGCTACTTGGGAGGCTGAGGCAGGAGAATCGCTTGAACCAGGGAGTTGGAGATTGCAGTGAGCCAAGATTGTGCCACTG
Organism: Homo sapiens; assembly: GCF_000001405.40. NCBI lineage: Eukaryota > Metazoa > Chordata > Mammalia > Primates > Hominidae > Homo > Homo sapiens. The sequence continues at coordinate 112,763,813 of NC_000009.12, forward strand.
CACTCCAGCCTGGTGACAGAGTGAGACTCTGACTAAAAAAAAAAAAAAAAAAATTATTTGTTTAAATTTACGGGGTACCTATGTAATTTTGTTACATGGATAGATTGTGTAGTGAAATCCAGTGCTTTTAGGGTACCCATCACCCAAATAATGTATATTGTACTCAATAATTTCACATCACCCACCCCTCTTCCATTTCCTCCACCCTTTCGAGTCTCCTTTGTCATTCCATGCCCTATGTCCATGTAGATGATGAAAGTTATGTATAGGGAATAAAGTAGGGTGAGACCTTGCTTTGGAGGATGGTGGCTTTTCCAAAGAAGATGATGTTTGAGCTGGAGAATGAAGGAATACATGTCTTACAAATGGACAGAAGGAAGAGCAACTCAGGCGGAAGAACCAGCACATACTAAAGCTTAGCAGTGTCAAGTGATGCACGCACAGCGAGCAAGGGGATTGATGAGGCTGGAAAGGTTGGTAGGGTCCTGGCTGTGGTCTGTAGTGGCAAATAGTAAGGACTTTAACCTGAGTAATTGGGAGACCAATTAAGTGTTTGTCGTCGTTGTTGTTGTTGCTGTTTTTTAAAGAGATGGGGTCTCACTCTTTTGGCCAGGGTGGAGGAGGGCAGTGGCACAATCATAGTTTACTAGAACTCCAGGGCTTAAGCAATCCTCCTACCTCAGCCTACTGAGTAGCTTGGACTGTGGGCATGTGTCACTGTGCCTGGCTAATCTTTTCATTCCAATCAAGTGTTTTAAGCGGGGGAGGAACAGGGCCGTGTTTGGGGTTAGAGTCACTGATCAAGAACTAGCTGGGATTGGGTGGGTGGAGCCTGGCGGCAAGGAGTCCAAGAAGAAGGCTGTTGCAGTGGGAGGTTGGGGGAGGCAGTTTCAGTAGGGCTTTGGCTCACTGGATTCAGAGAGTGTACTGGTTAGTGGTTTGCTTGCAAATAATAGATATCTAGCTTGCATTAACTTAGCAAAAAGGTGAGCCTATAGACAGGCTTGCTTTAACGTAGGAGTAAGCTGGAACCAGGGGTCTGAATGCTACTGAGGGTCGGCTTTATTCTCTCAGACTAACATCATCGACGCAGGGGGAGTTGTGGCAGCGCGCCTCCCTCACATTGCACAGCTGTGCCTCCAGAAAGGGAGTGAGTCTATCTTCCCAGGGGAAAAGGTCAGGGAGACCTGGCTTGGGTCACGTGCCTACCTTTAGGCTGATCAACTGAGCTCAACCTGGGCCAATCAACAGTGGCTTGGGGAGGAGACTGAAACAGTAAGGAAGTCCCAATTCCAGCTACCGGGTTCAGAAGCAGCTGTGAGGTGTGCAGGACAAACAGTGAAAGATCACTGTGGAAGAGACTCTAGGGTCACTGGCTTTAGGAACTGGCTGAATGATGGCAAGAATAGAACAGGAATTTGAGGAAAAGTAGGTCAAAAATTATAGATTTTCTAAGGCATGTATGCCTTTTACAAATTGTGATATACTTCACATACCATAAAATTCACCCTTTTAAAGCATACATTTTAGTGGTTTTGAATATATTCACAAGATAATGCAATGGTCACTGCTATCTAATTCCAGAACATTTTCATCATCTCAAAAAGATACCCCATACCTGTGAGCAAACACTGTCCATTTTCCCTATTCCCAGCCCCTGGCAACTGCTAATCTGCCATCTGTCTCTGGAGTTTTCCTATTCTGGACATTTCATATAAATGGAATCATACAATATGTGTGGCCTTTCGTGCCTGGCTTCTTTCAGTTAATCTAGTGTCTGAAAGCCTCCTCCATGTTGTATGTATCAGTACTTCATTCCTTTCCCTTTCCAGCTTTATTGAAGTATGATTGACAAAAATTGTATAGACTTAAGATGTACAACATGTTTTGATACACTTAAATATTGTGAAATGATTACCACAATTAAGCTAGCTAAACATATCCATCACCTCACATAATTGCCTTTTTGTGGTGAGAACACTTTAGATCTATTTTCTTTTTTTCTTTTTGAGATGGAGTCTCACTCTGTTGCCCAGGCTGGAGTGCAGTGGCGCGATCTCAGCTCACTGCAACCTCTGCCTCCTGGGTTCAAGTGATTCTCCTGCCTCAGCCTCCCGAGTAGCTGGGAATACAGGTGCACGCCACCATGTCTGGCTGATTTTTGTATTTTTAGTAGAGATGGGGTTTCACCATGTTAGCTAGGATGGTCTTGATCTCCTGACCTCGTAATCCACCTGCCTCGGCCTCCCAAAGTGCTGGGATTACGGGTGTGAGCCACCACGCCCAGCCTAGATCTATTTTCTTAGCAGATTTTAAGTATAAAATACATTATAGTCACCATGCCGTATATTAGGTCTCCAGAACTTATTCATCCTGTCATGGAAAATTCACACTTCTTGACCAGTATCTCTCCTTTTCCTCCACCCCTCCAGTGTTACTTCATTCCTTTTTATGGGTGAATAATACTTCATTTTATGGATATACCACATTTTGTTTATTCATCCATTGATGGACATTGGGTTGTTTCCTAAGCACATGTACTTTTTTTTTTCCCAAAGAAAAGACATTAAATACAATTTATGACTTTTCTACAATAATTTTGACATTTGAGGTTAATGGTAATTTTAGATATGAATGTACAATACGATGGCGTTAAGTACCCTGGCTTGTTTTTAATCATCTTAACCATTTTTAAGTATACAGTTGAGTAGTGTTAAGTATATTCACATTGTTGTGCAACAGATCTCCAGAACTTTTTCATCTTGCAAAACTGAAATTCTATACCCATTAAATGACTGCTGCCATTCTCTGTCTTCCCCAGCCCTAGGTCACTACCTTTCCACTTTGTTTCTATTGTTTTTGAATACTTTAGATTCCTCCTGTAAATAGAATTGTCAATATTTGTCTTTTGGTGACTGGCTTATTTCACTTAGCATAACATCCTTAAGGCTCATCCATGCTGTAGCATGTGACAGGATTTCCATCTTTTTTAAGGCTGTATAGTATTTCATTGTGTATATGTATCACATTTTCTTAACCCATTTTTCTGATGGACATTAGGTTGCTTTTGCCTCTTGGCCATTGTGAACAATGCTGCAATGAACATGGTTATGCAAATATCTCTTTGAGACCTTCTTTTGGATATGGATATATACCTAGAAGGGGATTGGCAGATCATGTGATAACCTGTTTTTAATTTTTTGAGGACTCGTCATACTGTTTTCCAAAGCAGTTGCACCATTTTACAATCCTGCCAACAGTGTATACAAGGCTTCTGTTTTCTCCATGTCTTTGCCAACACTAATTATTTTATTTTTTTTTTTTGATAGTAGTTATTCTAGAAAGTGTGGGGTTATAGCTCATTGCAGTTTTGGTTTGCAGTTTTCTGATGTTCAATATATTTTCATACGCTTATTGGCCATTTATATGTCATCTTTGGAGAAGTGTCCATTCAAGTCCCCTGCCCATTTTAAAATTGGGTCTTTTAAAACTGTTATTGAAGTTGTTTATATATTCTTAGTATTAGCCCCTTCTCAGATATATGTTTTGCAAGCATTTTCTCCCATTCTGTAAGTGCCTTTTTACTCTGTTGGTTGTGTCCTTCGGACAAAACATAAGTTTTTAGGTTAGCCTGTTTTTGCTTTTGCTGTCTGTGCTTTTGATATCATATCTATTGCCAACTTCAGTGTCATGAAGCTTTTCCCCTATGTTTTTTTTCCTAGGAGTTTTATGGTTTTGGGTCTGATGTTTAGGTCTTTATTTTAAGTTACTTTTTATTTTATTTTTTACTTTTTTGAGACAGAGTCTCACTCTGTCGCCCAGGCTGGAGTGCAGTGATGCGATCTCGGCTCACTGCAGCCTCAACCTCCCAGGCTCAAGTGATCCTCCCATCTCAGCCTCCTGAGTAGCTGGGACCACAGGCTTATGCCACCATGTCCAGCTAATTTTTTTTATTTATTTATTTATTTGTAGAGACAGGGTTTCCCTATGTTGTCCATGCTGGTCTCAAACTCCTGAACTCACGCGATCCTCCCACCCTGGCCTCCCAAAGTATTGAGATTACAGATGTGAGCCATTTTGTCTGGCCAGCCACTGTTCTTTAATGTTGCTCTTCATTTCCGTTGTTGATATCCTAATTGGATGTATGATTATCTAAATGGTTTTCCTGGCTTTCATTCATTCAGGCCCTCCTCTCCCATCCAGTCTGTTCTGAGTACTGTAGCCAGAATCCACCTTCATAAAGTGCTGCCTTGTATGGATCATTCCCATCTTTGGAGATCTGCATTGACTCCCCATTGCTTACGCAGTAATGGTCCAAGTCCTTAGCCTGGCCTTCTGTGATCAGGTACCTGTTTACCTCCCTGGTGCCCTCCTGGGAAGTTACGTCTCTGCCAAGTGATTTTCCTCGTGAGCTGCCTGGAATGTCATGCGAATTCTTGCTTTCCCACCCGTGCTAAGCTCATCCTCCTCTCGATGTTTCCAGCCGACATCTATTGCTTTAGAACCTCGCTACTTAATGTGTGGCTCATAGGTGAGTGGCATTGACATCACCTGAGAGCTCATAGAAACTGCAGACTCTCAGACCTAATTCCAGATACAGAGATTCAGAATCTGCATTTTGACATGATCCCTAAGTGATTTGTATGCACATTAAACATTGAGAAACACTGTCTTAGAACAAGGTTATCAGTCTTGGCTAAGCATTCAGATCCTCCAAAGATCTCTTAGACAATACTGATGCCTGGTCCCTATCTCAAGAAATTTAGATCTAATAGGATGGCCCAGGGAGCAGTATTTTTTTTTTTTGTAAAGTTTCTCTAGATAATTCTTTCTTCTTTTTTTTTTTTTTTTTTTTTTTTTTTTGAGACGGTCTTGCTCTTGTCGCTTAGGCTAGAGTGCAATGGTACGATCTTGGCTCGCTGCAGCCTCTGTCTCCCAGGTTCAAGTGATTCTCCTGCCTCAGCATCCCAAGTAGCTGGGATTACGGGCACCTGCCACCACGCTGGCTAATTTTTTTGTATTTTTAGTAGAGATGGGTTTCACCATGTTGGCCAGGCTGGTCTCGAACTCCCAACCTCGTGATCCGCCCACTTCAGCCTCCCAAAGTGCTGGGACTACAGGCGTGAGCCACCATGATAATTCTAACGGGCAGCCAAGATTGAGATCAGTTGACTTAGGAGAATTCTCTAATTCACTCAGAGGAAGTTCACTATCAGACAAGCATGCTTTCAGCTTTTCTCATTCAGCCTTGCCCAGTAGGTGTAGTTTCATATATGGCTAATGGTACAAACACCTGTGGAGGCAATTTGGCAACATATATCAAAATTACAAATACGTATGTTTCTTTTGATTCAACAAGTTCTTTTCTGTTTGTGTCTGTCCTGCGGATAAACTAGCATGTGAAGGGAGAAGGCTTTCTTTCCTCTCCACCTCTAGTTAACATCATTCAAGACCTCTACATTGAGGTCGTTTCTGTCTTTTGATCCTCCCTTCACTTGCAGAAGTGCTTGGCCGCATAGCATCCTGGGCTGTGGGGCTGGCACTTGGCATCACTTCTCCATCACTGCAGTGCCATCCTGCAGGAAAGTGTCCACTTCCCCAAGAGCTTGATGCCAGGAGTCTCCACTACTGTGGGTGCAGCCATGTCCATGCAGTCATCCTGAGGGCACAACTAAGGCATCTCTGTAGCTTGGCATGGACCAGGCACCACCCTGGCACAGACAGGAAGAGCTGAATCTTCACTTGGCTTCTGGGATTCCACTCACTGTTGGTTCCTTATGTACCTTACTGGCTGTTCCTCCTCTGTCTCCTTGGCTGGTTCCGTCTCATCTCCCTAGCTCTAAATGTTGGACTGCTGTAGGACTCCATTCTGATATGGCCTCTCTTCATCTGCATGGTGTCCCTAAGCAATCTCATCCAGCCTCACACATCTACACACTGATAACTCCAGGCCAGAAACCTCTCTCCTGAATTCCAAATTCCTGTCTCCCACTGCCTTCTTGATGTTTAACCCTGCATCTCCAACAGGCATGTCAAGCTAGTTATCTAGCTCACTCTTAATTCCAAGGATAAGCCTTGGAATTAGCCTCGGCTCTTCCCTTTTTCATCCCATACCTAAGCCATCAGCAAGTGCTTCTGAAATACCATGTCCAGAATCTCATCACTTCTCACTCTCTCCACTGCTGCTACCCTGACTGCTGTCATCCCCTCTTGCCTGCATTACTGTACCAGCCGCCTGACTCGTCTTCCTGCTTCCACCTTCCCACCTTCAGTCATATATCCAGGCAGCAACCGGAGGGATTATTTAAAACATAAGAAACATCAGTCGCATCATGTCTCTTGCTTTTTAAATTTAATTAATTAATTAATTAATTTTTGAGATGGAGTCTCACTCTGTTGGCCAGGCTGGAGTGTTGTGGTGCGGTTTCGACTCACTGCAACCTCTGTTTCCTGGGTGCAAGCAATTCTCCTGCCTCAGCCTCCCGAGTAGCTGGGATTACAGGCACCTGCCACCACACCCGACTAATTTTTTGTATTTTTAGTAGAGATGGGGTTTCACCATGTTGGCCAGGCTGGTCTCGAACTCCCGACCTTGTGATCTGCCCACCTCGTCCCCCCAAAGTGCTGGGATTACAGGTATGAGCCACCGCGCCTGGCCTCTTTTTTGCTTTTGCTTGAAACCATCCAGAGACTTCTCAGTTCTCACACATTCCCCTCAAATCCTCCATGGGCTCCAAGTACATGGGTAATCTGGCTCTGCTGCTTCTCTGGCCTCCGTCCACTTCTCTCTCCCCCTGCCCACTCCCTTGCCTCACGCCTTTTGGCCCAGACAGCCTGCAGGCTTGTTCATCTATTTCATTCAGGCCTCCCCCAACCTCCCTGTATAAACTAGTAGCAGCCCCTGGCCGGGCGCGGTGGCTCACGCCTGTAATCCCAGCACTTTGGGAGGCCGAGGCAGGCGGATCACGAGGTCAAGAGATAGAGACCATCCTGGCCAACATGGTGAAACCCCATCTCTACTAAAAATACAAAAATTAGCTGGGCGTGGTGGCGCGTGCCTGTAGTCCCAGCTACTCAGGAGGCTGAGGCAGGAGAATCTCTTGAACCCAGGAGGCAGAAGTTGCAGTGAGCCGAGATCGGGCCACTGCACTCCAGCCTGGTGACAGAGTGAGACTCTGTGTCAAAAACAAACAAATAAACAAACAAACAAAAAACAAACTAGTAGCAGACCCCTCCCTGCCCAGTTATTCTCCCCCTTTACCTGGCTTTAATCTTGCTTCGCAGAACTTAAACCACCAGACATACTTGGTTTACTTTCTCCAGTACTGTGCTGTAAACTTCTTGAAGGCAAGGGGCCTGATCTGGTTTGCTTATTGCTAAATTTCCATGCATGAACCAAACCTGGTATGGGTGGAGTATACAGATATTTGGTGACTCAATAAATGGACCCGTGCTAAATGCTGTGTGTATAAGGATACCTGTTGCAGTATTATTTTTAATAGCAAAAGATAAAAGCTTATATGGCTATTAGTAGGGTGCTGGTTTTGTAAACTATGGTAGTTTTTGAAATGTGGTATTAAAAGGAATAAGGCAGCCCTGTATATACTTATATGCAACAATGGAAAAAAACGTTAAGTTGAAAAAATGTATAAATCGTGTATAGTCTGTCTTGCGTGTGTGTGAAAGAATTTATGTCAGTATGTCTGCCAGCCTTGGAAGGATGCAGCATTGCTGTGTCAGAAGGGTCCTTCTCCCAGCCTTCAAGAGTATAGTCTCCCCGGGTGGCTATTTGACCAAATTAGGGAGAAAGAATCTTCCCTCTCTCTTTCTAATTTGGTTAATAATGGTTGATACCAAACAAACTCTGATCATGCTTCAAAAAAAGGGGCCAGTGAGGGCTCTCACTCATAGTCCTGTTGAGCAGTTATGACTGTTTTTGAGAAGGGATAACAGCCACATTTTCATAACTGCTCAAAACCCCAAAGAGATAAGGCTAAACTGTGACAAAGGGAAAAAAGAGACAGTGCTTTTCTGGTAGTTTTTCAAATCTGTTCAGGTCAAATATGGGTGAATGTTGGCTTGTGGTGAGTTTTACCCTTTCCCTCTGTGGTCAATTTTGTGAACTTTTTGTTCTGGCTTGAGACATTCTTTTTTTTCCTGGTTCAAGTCATGGAGCAGGGGCAAACCTTCGGTTGTTTCACAGTTGTCCAGACTTTATTGGACCCCATTTCATGCCCTTGCCCTCATCCTTCCTGGCAGAGGACTTTCCTTGCCTAGAACATTGCCAGTCTCCGTGAAAGAGGAAGAGGTGTTTTCAGCCCGGTGACGTTAGCTCTGTTCTGGTTTCCTTTAGAACAATCCTTATTCTAGTGAGGGGTTACTCTAGCTTCATTTCAGTTTCTCCCCAGAGAGAGGAACGACCAACTTGTCAACAAGTGGAAATGGAAGAAGTGTTTCTGGGAGGTGGCTCTGTTGGGGATTAGACTGACACCTCTTTGTAAGAGGATGCAGTTGAGTTGCCTTCACTCTTCTGCTGTAACCAGATCCTCCTCTCCAGGTGTGCTGGGAGACCTGGCACATTATTTTAGGTATTCTTGAAGCTTTTTGAGTAACCTAGAAAGTATCTCATATAGTATGATAGGCTAGACATTGTTTAGATTTGTGGATTGACAGGTGTGGGGCTGTGGTACTCGTGTGTGCGTGTGGAGATATCTAGGCGTGTCTCCCCTGCCATGGTTTGAGCAAAATGGTCACATCTTCACTTCCAGTCTGACTCTGAAGAACAAGGTAGCCACTGTATTTTGCTTTTCTCAAATCATTCAAATTCTCTTAGATTTTGCTGTACCCAGTACTGAGTGTGAGTAGAAAGGGTAATGTTTATTAAAGATACATTGCAGTATCCCAAGATCGTAAGTTATGAAAGCAATGTTTGCATTTCACATAAACCAGTTTTGTTACTACATAAACGAATATGTCTTCAAGTGTTGATCCTGGCGTGTTTGCTCCTTGATTTAAAACAAAAACACATTTCCCATTTTAAATTCTCCTTGTGTTTAAATTATGAAAAGGCTACTTGAAAAGTCTTGCTATTGATTTATTCGTGAATCAAGGAACTTCCCAGCTATCTGTAGATTTGTGGTGTTGCAGTAAATGGGTCAAGAGAATCTGTTAATCTGTTAATTGTGAGAAACAATGTTGCCAGAAGCTAAATGAATAAAGCATACTTACCACCTCTTGTTCCAAAGCAAGGAAGCACACTGTGTAAAGAAGTTGAGAATTGTTAGAGAGGTTGGTTAGAGCAATGTAGGTGTGAGGCCGTTGCAGCTGCGTAGAGAGAATAGAGCCTTTAGAGTTGGCCAAGGGAGTTCTAATATAATCACTTACTGGCTGGCAATCACTTACCTCCTCTGAACCCTGTTGTCCCATCCATAAAATGGGGTTAATAATAGTACCTGTCTCATAAGGTTGTTTTGATAGCTTAATAAGGTTATGTACAATAGGGTCCAAAATCTCTTCTCATAACTGATAGTCATAACTCATATGAACAACATACTTTATATGGCTACAAAGAAGATTATTTGCTTTTTTTTTTTAAGAGATAGGATCTCGCTTTGTCATTCAAGCTGGAGTGCAGTGGCGTGATTGTGGCTCACTGCAGCTTTGAACTCCTGGGCTCAAGCAATCTTCCCAAGTAGCTAAGACTTACATATATTTTGATAGATACTGATAGTAGGAATAGGTGCATCTTGAGGTGTGTGGTGTACCTTAAATATTCAGAAAGTAAAAGATGAAAGAAAAGGAAGAATGCTTTCTAGAATAGTAAGATTATATAGTGAGACTATGATAAAACTCAAGGCATATGGGGAAGGGGAAACAACCAGTTCTGCAGAAAGAGTACATAAATTGTGGAGAAGAAAATCCTGAGTGAGCTAGGATTCATTTACTATAAATTATGACTTCAAGGCCAAATTACAGATAGCCTTAACAAATAAGCAGCTCACAATAAATATTCACAATTATGTTATATTTATATTACCATGGATCTGATTATAGTAGAAATGTTCACGTCTTCTCCTTAATTTGATTTTCATTTTGTTTCAATAAGTAAATTACTCTTGGCTCATTCAACATGATGATGCTGAAAAGAAAAGAGGAATCTTTCTATGTGACCTGTTTGTCTTCAGAAGAAAGGTTTATTTCACTGGCCAGAAAACAGAATTCTCTCCCAGAGGAAATGGATGAGAGAAACTGGACTTAGGAAGTTCATATTCCATTCATTTATTCATCAAATATTTATCAAGTGTCGGGCACTGTGCTAGGTGCTGCTAGCCAAATCCCCACTGGAGAGTCTGTTGCATTTCAGGGCTTTTCAGGTTTCTGTTTCTCTTCTTCTACCCCAAGATTAAAAAGAGCAGTCTAAAACAGTGGAGAAAAACCTGAAACCAAAATTGGCTCTTTGAAAAAGAAATCAAGAAAAATGACAGACCTTTAGCTAGATTGACTAAGAAAAAAAGAAGATTCAAATTACTAAAATGAGAAATGAAAGAGTGGGTCTGTAAGGTCATGTTACTAATGACCTTACAGAAAGGAAAAAGGATTGCAAGGAGGACTGTGAACCTGTGCCAATAAATTATGTAATTTAGACAGAATAGACAAATTCCTAGAAAGACACAAATAAAGCTGCCGTGATCATTCATGTGCAAGTCTTTGGTTGACGTGTTTTCATTTCTCTTGAGTAAATATCTAAGAGTCAAGTTACAATGTAATGTGTGAGAGTTGGGTAGCTCCACATTCTTGTCAAGACTTGGTATTGTCAACTTTTTTAGTTTTAGCCATTCTAGTGAGTATGTAGTGATATCTCATTGTGGTTATAATTTGTGTTTACATGATTACTAATGATGCTGAGCCTCTTTCACATGCAAATTGGCTATTCTGTATCCTCTTTTGTGAAGTCTTTGTTCAAATCTTTTGCCTTTGGGTTGTTTTTGTTACTCAGTTCTATATATATATATGTTCTGAGTTATTTATATGCTTTTTTTTTTTTTTTTTGAGACAGTGTCTTGCTCTGTTGCCCAGGCGTGGAGTGCAGTGGCGCCGTCTCGACTCACTGCAACCTCTGCCTCCTGGGTTCAAGCGATTCTCATGCCTCAGCCTCCCCAGTAGCTGGAATTACAGACGTGTGCCACCACGCCTGGCTCATTTTTTGTATTTTTAGTAGAGATGGGGTTTCACTGTGTTGGTCAGCCTGGTCTCAAACTCCTGACCTCAAATGATATGCCTGCCTCCCAAAGTGCTGTGATTACAGGTATGAGCCCCTGTGCCCAGCCTAAATTTTTTCTTTCTTTTTTTTTTTTTTTTTTGAGACGGAGTTTTACTCTTGTTGCCCAGGCTGGAGTGCAATGGTGTGATCTCAGCTCACTGCAACCTCCACCTCCCAGGTTCAAGTGATTCTCCTGCCTTAGCCTCCCAAGTGGCTGGGATTACAGGCATGCACCACCACACTTGGCTAATTTTGTCTTTTTAGTAGAGATGGGGTTTCTCCATGTTGGTCAGGCTGGTCTCGACCTCCCGACCTCAGGCCCACCTTGGCCTCCCAAAGTGCTGGGATTACAGGTGTGAGCCACTGTGCCCGGCCTAAATTTTCTTTATATATTCTTATCAGGAGTTCTTTATATATTCTGGATATCGTATATTCTCCCATTCTGTGGCTTGTCCTTTTTATTTTAAATTTGTGTGTGTGTGTGTGTGTGTGTGTGTGTGTGTGTGTGTGTGTGTAGGCAATGCATTCTCTTCACACAGAATTTAGAAGTTACAAAAATTTGGTGAAAAATCTTCCTTTTGCCCAGGGCCTAGCATCCCCTTTCCCTGTCAGCAGGTTTCCCTCCTCAGAGGCAACCAGTGTTACCAATTTATGGGGAAACTTTATAAAGATATGCTATGCATAAATATAAAAATGCCTATGTGTAGTCTTTTTTTTTTTTTTTTTTTTAAAGATGGTAGCATACCTTACTTTTTTGTACCACGCTTTACACATAACCTTAGTTCTTGGCGATTGTTCCATATTAGCACATAGAGATCTTCCTCCCCACTAGTTGCCTCAACACTCTTCCTTCATTTTTAATGATTACATAGTATTCCATTGTTTCAATTAGTTCAGCACTTACTATTCCAGATGAGAAGTCTGTGCAAGTGATTCTTTTTCTTCTTCATGTAGTCTTCTACATATCCTTAGATTTTTCTTCTTCTGAAATTTAGAAATCTCACCATTCTTCTGGTATTTTATGTTTTTTGTTTTTTAATCCCCACTCAAAATCCAGTGGGCCCTTTTAGTTTTACTGCTTCATCTGCATCCTTTTTTGTTCTTGATTCTCTTTTTCTGGAGAAAGCACTTATGGATATCTGAGTTTTGGTCTGTCCTTTTTTAGGTTCACCTTTTCTTGTCTCATTTTATTGCATTTTATTTTCACTGTGTCTCCTGAGAGAATTCCTTGGTTTGATGTTCTATATGATGCATTTATTTTTCATTTCATTCTATCCTGGTGTTTCTACTTTTCTGTTTAATTTAAAGTTAAACCCACTTATGTTTGTTTAGTGTTCCCATGTTTTTGGACCTCCTCTGACTGTGATATCTAGATGATGATCTTGGCCAAGGACAAGAGCTGATTAGACTTGAGCATGCCGAGTTTCCAGTCTGCAGATGTGCGGATCTTCTGCTTCTACCTTCTTGGTGATGCACATGCTGTTCCTCCTGCCCAGCACTGAGACTTGCTCTTCTGCTACCACTGGGGTGCATATTTGTGTAGCCACACGCTCATGTCTATGTGTGTGTAAACATGTACATGTATGTATAGGCAGTGCACAGAGACTCTGCAGTCAGCCTTTGCCCTGGCTGTGGTGAGTGGATAGGGGTGGGGTAAGTCTGAGACGGGAGCAGATAGAGTCTAGGTCTTTGGAACTGCTCCTAGGCAGGCCTCCTTTCAGGATGTGTGGCTGATAACAGGACAGCAGGCTGGATGGACCCTTCTGAACTAAGGAAGTGGGGAAGAGTTTACCCTGCAGGTAGAGAATTTCATGCTCTTCCCACAATACCCTTCCTCTTTTCCTTCTTCCAGTTGCGTTAGCAACTTGGCACTCCACAGTCCTTTGCTCACCGCCCCCTGCCTTCCCAGTGCCTACTTCTGTTCTCAGTCTCTGTGGTCTCTGATTTTGAGTATTTTTCCAGACCCTATATAGCAAATCCCATGTCTTCCCAGATTTAGCATTTCCCACTGACCTTTTAGGTTTTGGTTCCTCAATTCTGGCTAAATCTGATTTTTCTGTAAATTTGATCCTGTTTGCTGTATCTCTTCCAGAAATTCCTCAAAATTTCTTATTGATTGATGGCATCCGTTCCTGTTTTCTGGCTTTTTAATGGGTTTATTTTTATTTTTATATTCCTTTTGTCATTCCCTTGGAACTTGGAGTGACACAAGAATCAAACACTTGAGCTCAGCCCGTCACCATTGTGGACTCAGTGTATCTCATTACTTTTCACTGGCGGGATTCTGTAACACCCTCTTTAACCAGTTTCCTAGTTTGTTCGTCTTCCATATAATCTTTTTAAAGATATTTATTTATTTATTTATTTATTTAGAGACAGAGTCTTGCTCTGTTGCTCAGGCTGGAGTGCAGTGGTGCAGTCATGGCTCACTGCAGCCTCAAACTCCTGGGATCAAGCAGTCATCCCACCTCAGTTTCCAGAGTAGCTGGGACTACAGGTGCATACCACCACACCCAGCTAGTTTTTAATTTTTTTTTTTTTTTTTTTTTTTTTTTTGTGGAGATGGGTCTCACTATGTTGCCCAGACTGGTCTTAATACTCCTAGCCTCAAGTGATCCTCCCGCCTCAACCTCCCAAAGCTTTGGGATTACAGGTGTGAGCCACCACACTTGGCCTCCATGTAATCTTAATAGTATTAACAGCAACAGCTTTTAAACTGAGTGGTTGCTATGTGCCACGCATTGTATCATACCCAATTTAATTGTTCCTTTATCTTTTACCCCTCATTTGCTAGGCAGACATTGTTTTGGTTATGTACTATTGCTTAACCACCCCAAAACTAAGTAGGTTAAAACACAAATGTACTGTGATCTTTTAGGGTTCTGTGGGTTGACTACCCTCAAGTATGTGTTTTTTGCTCTAGGTGTCTCTTGTATTTGGAGTCAGAAGTTGGCTGGGGCTGCAGTCAACTGGAGGTTCATTGGACTGGTTGCCTAAGGTGACTCACTTGTGGCCACAGTTGACTGGAGTGCCTATGTGTGACATCACCATGTGGCTTGGGCTACTCAAAGTGTTGTGGATGGGTACCTGGAGGGCATGTCCCAAGAATGAGCATTCTAAGAGTCAGGGAAGTGGAAATTGCTGGGCCATATAAGGGCTATGCCTGAAATTGGCACAGGATCAGTTTGGCCATATTCCTTTTTTTTTTTTTTTTTTTTGAGATGGAGTCTTGCTCTGTCACCCGGGCTGGAGTACAGTGGTGCGATCCCGGCTCACTGCAACCTACGCCTCCCGGGTTCAAGTGATTCTCCTGCCTCAGCCTCTCGAGTAGCTGGGATTTCGGGCACCTGCCACCAGCCCAGCACATTTTTGTATTTTTAGTAGAGAGGGGGTTTCGCCATGTTGGCCAGGCTGGTCGCGAACTCCTGACCTTAGGTGATCCGCCAGCCTCGGCCTCCCAAAATGCTGGGATTATAGGCGTGAGCCACTGCGCCCGGCCCGGCCATATTCTTTTGGTCAAAATAGTCAGAGGGTCTACCCAGATTCACCAGGATGGGTTGATAGACATCATCTCTTGATGGGGAAGTGGCCAGGTCACATGACAGATAAGCATGTAAGACCAGAGATATAGTTAGGACCTTCCTTTGAAAAATACCAACTGCCACAGATACCATGCTGGAGATAGAATAACAGCTACCAGGTCCATGCTTTCTCACACCTTATGGTTCAGTGCCAGAGGCAGGTGGATGAACAGGCAATGACAGCACAGATCATAAGTGTTATGAAAGAGCTAGGTACAGGGGCATGATGAGAGAACTTGGGGGGGGGGGATTTGCACAGCCCAGACTGGGCAAGTACTGGTGGGTGGGGAAGTTGGTTGAGAAAGAACACATCTTAGAGGAGGTATCTTTGGAGCTGAGTCTTGAAGCACAAATGGGCATTAGCTAGGTGAGTAAGGCATCCCATACAAAGTGCTCGTGGCACTTGGGGGAATTACTGATGGTCTGAGGATTGGCAGGGAATTGGGTGCTGCTGGCACGTGTGATGTGAGGTGGCGAAAGTGTGTTCTCCCTTTAGATTCTCTTCATCTGTGGCCTTGCCTGTGAGGGCTCTAGCTGGTCCTGTATGCAATGTATTAGCGGGACATTTAGGTGTCTCCTTAGGAGGTGACGGATAGACTGTGTGAGTGGGAAGAGAAGAGTGAGCCTCATTAGCTTCACTGTGGTGAGCTTTTTGTGGATTCTCTTCACTCTCCATCATTCATTTCTCCTTCTGTTTCATATTCTCTTTTTTTCCTTCCCGGTCTGTTGCTCAAGTGAACACATAGAAGAGGGTTATGTTGGACCAGGCATGGTGGCGCATGCCTGTAATCCCAGCACTTTGGGAGGCTGAGGTGGGCAGATCACTTGAGGTCAGGAGTTTGAGACCAGCTGGCCAACATGGTGAAACCCGTCTCTACTAAAAATACAAAAATTAGCTAGGCATCGTGGGAGGTGCCTGTAGTCCCAGCTACTTAAGAGGCTGAGGCAGGAGAATTGCTTGAACCTGGGAGGCGGAGGTTGCAATGAGCCAAGATCGCGCCACTGCACCCTAGCCTGGGTGACACAGTGAGACTCTGTCTCAAAAAACAAACCAAAAAGAGAGCTGCATTCATTGCTGAAGGGTGAGGGCAGGTGAGGGAAGGGAGCTGGTGTTGGAGGAGCTACTCCATGCAGGGCGCACTTGGCTGAGTGCTCCACTAGTTTTCTCTCATTCATACTGTACGAGAGAGGCACTTTATCCCTATTTTACACGTGACGAAATGGGAGCTCTGAGGGGACGTGGGGAATCTCTCAGCTGGTGAGGAGCAACGACAGGCTGTCACTGTACCCCACCAATGCTTTTGACATGTGCTCATCTCAGGATATGTGTGCAAGGGTGAGGATCTTGGCCTAGGACGGGGCTGACTGCTGTTAGACTAGGGTGTACTCAGATTCCAGTCTGCAACTGTGGGGACCAACGTGCTGCTTCTACCTTTTGGAGGAGGCACCTGCTGTTCTTCTAAGCAGTGAGCTTTGTTCTGGTGCCACTGCTGGGGTGCGTGTTTTTGTGGCCATGCATACATGTCTGTATTTTTCTGTTTAAACATGTACATGTATGTATATGAGCAGGCAGAATTGGGGTGAGAGGGCAAACCCAATCACAGCCAAAAGTCCCTTGGTTAAAAAGGGCATGAACAGAGTTTTGGAGATTGTTTCCTTCAACATTGTGAATGTATTTAACACTAGTGAACTGTATACTTAAAAATCGTTAAGATGGTAAGTTTTATTTTATGTGTATTTTACTACGGTTAAAAAAGAGAGAAAGAAAGTTGTAATTCCTGCTTGGCACAGCCTAAGGAAATCATTCTAGAGTCCTCAAAATTCTTGATGTGGGTTTGCTGATGGCAGCTGGAAGGGGATCTCTAAGCCTTCTATTTGCACTTCTGGAAGCTGTTTTCTTTGCACCAAAATCCAAGAAGAATGGGTTTTTTGCTTTCTCTATGTGGGCTCCTCCCTTGGTGTGGTAGCGCCATCATGCATAGAATTTAAAATGTTCCTTACATCTACCATCTGCACAGCATTTGTCTGACTGCCACTTGTGTCTTCTGCTACCTTGGGTGATTTTGAGGACTGTCTGCTTTCCCGGGGCTTGAATTTCATAGTAAGATGAAATTCACTAGGTATAAATATTACCATCTGTCATTAGTCACCACTGACAGAGGAAAAGCACTTGGGTCATTGAAAACAAATGGATACGGTAATGTGCTCTGAATCTTTGTCCCCGGCTTAGACATTGATGACGCTTAGCCATGGCTGAAAATTGAAGGTGGGGATGCCAGTTCTGTTATCAACATTTTCTCTTTAGCCAAGATGATTCAGCCCGTCACAGAGTCCCCTAACCATAGTATTGTCATCCAGCCTACATTCTCTCTTGTTTGCAAAGTCCTTCCCTTGCTCTTTTGGCACTGAATGGAGCTTTGAAAAAGCCATTTTATTTTGGTGGTGGTGTCCTGAATATATTTTTAGTGTGTTGTAGTAGAAACAATGTGGCTTTGCAATCAGAGGTAATCTTTTTAATCTTTGTCACTTTGGTGGGAGAAACAATATCTTGTTTTCATTTTCATTTTGTATGCTATTGATGATGAATGATTATTGTTTATTGGCTATATTTACATAATTTGTTCATTTTTGTAGTGGAATCTGCCTTTTAAATACTGATTTTTCAAAACCCTTAATATGTTAAAGCAAACAACCTATTTTCATGTATGTTCAAATCCTTTCCCCAGTTTGTTATTTATATTTTAATCTTTGTTATGTCTTCTTGACATAGAAAAAAAATTGCTGTCTATTATGCTTTTCCTTTATGGATTCTGCTTTTTGTTGGGGTTTAGAAAGCCTTTCCAACCACAGGATTTTATATACTATTCATCGAAATCAGAAATTGGCAGACTAAGGCCAAAAGGGTGTATCTGTCCAGCTGCCTGTTTTAGTATAACCCATGGGTTAAGAATGCTTTTTTATTGTCTTGTTTAATTTTATTAAAACTTTTTTTTTTTAAGACAGATTCTTGCTCTGTTGCCCAGGCTGGAGTGCAGTGGCGTGATCTGGGCTCACTGTAATGTCCACCTCTCAGGTTCAGGGGATTCCCATGCCTCAGCCTCCTGAGTAGCTGGGATTACAGGTGCCCACCACCACGCTTGGCTAATTTTTTTTTTTTTTTGTATATTTAGTAGAGACGGGGTTTTGCCATGTTGGTCAGGCTGGTCTTAAACTCCTGAAATCAGGTGATCCACCCGCCTTATCCTCCCAAAGTGCTGGGATTACAGGCATGAGCCACTGCGCCCCGCCCACCATTAGTTTTAAAAGTGATTTTTACATTTCTAAGTGGCTGATGAAATAAAAAGAATTATATTCTGTGCCATGTGAAAATTAGTGAAATTAAAATTTCAGTCTTTGTTAGTAAAGGTTTTTTATTTTTTATTGTTTTTTTGAGACGGAGTTTTGCTCTTATTGTCCAGGCTGGAGTGCAATGGTGCAACCTCGGCTCACTGCACCCTCTACCTTCCGGGTTCAAGAGATTCTCCTGCCTCAGCCTCCCGAGTAGCTGGAGTTACAGGCATGTGCCACCATGCCTGTTTAATTTTGTATTTTTATTAGAGATGGGGTTTCACCATGTTGGTCAGGCTGGTCTCTAACTCCTGACCTCAGGTGGTCCGCCTGCCTCAGCTTCCTAAAGTGCTGGGATTATAGGTGTGAGCCACCATGCCCTGCCATAAAGTTTTATTAGAACATAACCATCCTCATTTGTTTACCTACTGTCTATAGCTGCCTTTGCACTACAACAGCTGACTTGAGTTGTTGCAGGAGAGATACTGTGGCCACAGACTGTTCCTTAACAAAAAAGTTTGCTGACCCCTGGTATAAATCATCATGTAGTACTCATTTTTTTAACCTTTAAATGGCCTGACATTTATTTTTGCATTTAGCATTAGAGAAACTATTTTCTAAATAGTTAACCAAAAAATCCATCAGCATTTATTGAATAATCTATTCTGTCTTCACTCTTTGAAGTTCCATAGTTATCATTATTAAAACTCAGATCTGTTCCATCAGTTTAGGGATTGACATGGTGAGTTATCAAGCTATTTGGATAAGAGAGATGTTACTCAAGAGTTCCCTGGAGATGAGATTCCCCTTAACCTCCTGCATTAACACTGAATGTTCAAGTCAGATGTGCCCCTGCACAATGCTGTCTGACCACTCACATTTATTTCTATTGTAAGAGCAGACACTGGTGGGGCCTCGTTTTATTTTTCCGGATTCTGTTGGGGATTGCTGATGGCTAAGTGGAGCTGTGTGTTAATGGTTTCTGGTACTTTGGGTTGGATCTTCTCTGGAGCTGGCTGACTCTTCAGCTCCCTTGAGAAGAGAAGTGGCTTGATTTATTTTTCTGCCACTGGTGGTTCAGGAGTTTCATTGTTTTAAGAAACACTAATGAAGAATTGCTTACCACCAGGCACTTCTCCAGATGCCACAGATGCAAAGGTGAATGTGGTGGTAGTTGGGGGTTTCTTGTCCGGTAGGTAACTGTTTAATGAAATCTCTGGCGCCATGGAGGCAGACGGTGAAGGGCTACTAGCCTCTGCTCTGGAGTCTCCAGGCTGGGTTGTGCCTCTGCTTCTTATTAGCTGAGTGACTTCTTGTCTTTTAACTTTCCTGGTCTGTAACCTGTTCTCTTAATAAAACAGGGATAATAAAATTCCTCCCCTCTGCCACCAAGTTATTTTAAGGGTTAAGTGAGACATTTAATATGTAAAGTGACTTACACAGTGCCTGGCAGAGAGTGTGAACTTAAACATTTAATTTCTTTATCTTCCCTTCCCTTGATTTAGAGCTATATGTATAGACTGCTGTGAAAGGATGGATTTTGTCCCTAAGTCCATCTTAGCCCCAAGACTTTGCTTTCTATTTTGGGGTTTTGTTGTGGTTTTGAGTCAACTCATAGTCCAGGTTCCCGGGCAATCAGCTGTCCACCTTTTGCTGTCTGCCAAGGGTGGGTCCATATGTCCTAAGGAGAACACTCAGGCCAGGTGTCAGAGCCAGGTTGCGATGACAGTCTGTGGGCTGTTTGTGCAGCTGGCCTCCTTAAATGGACTATGGTCAAGATTCCCCATGTCAGTTTCTGTGCTGAGGGCTGCTGGTTTGTGAGAGTGGAAAAAACGGTTTGAATCAGGTATCACTGAAGCAAATTACTGAAGGTGAGTGACCTGTGAGAGGCAGCTGTCACGTGGGTAAGAATATGTTAAGGTGTACCCAGTGACCTTGGCTTGAGCCTTTGCTGAACACAGTCATTTCAGTAGGACTTGCCCTCATATCCTAAGGATGGGCTCTGTAGATGGCACACAGGGCTGTTGAACTTGGGTTTATTCAATTTTGCTAGAATAATAGCAGTTTCTAATCCTCTGTAATTTACCTGAATTGAAACATGATTCCTCCTGGTGTGGCCAGACTGTTTTTTTCCACCTAGGAAACATTCATCAGGGTATCCCAGGCCATATGATCTTAGCATTGACAACACCTCTCATCTGCCCTTGCCTCTCCTGGCACCTACCCCCTAGGTCAGGTACTACTGGGAGAGGGGTACCTGGACAGTTGGCAGCTCCCCAACTGCTCCCTCTCACGTCTCCTGTATTTCCCTCTTTATTTTTTCTGCATGCTTTTTTCTGAAGTCTTTTTGTAAAATGTGTCCATGATTGCAGCTTGCTGCTTAACAGCCGTTACCTGTGGGGTGCACCTCAGATTGTTAAGCCTGTTATTTAAGATTCCCTAGGATTCTGGAGCTAATCCACTTTCCAGGCCTTATTTCCTGCTGCTTCCCCTAGAGCAGCTCATGTCCATTCAGGATGACTGGTCCCCTGCCCGTGCCTTCTTTTTTGCCTTCTGCACTTCACCCCTTGGCGATTTTGCTGATGTGGTGTTCCGTGCCAGGAACACCTTTCTCTTCCATTGAACAGCTCTGCAGAGTTTATAGAGGACTTTCTCACACATCCCCAGTAATCTCCATGCAGCCTAGCCTGGACCAGGTTTTGCTGTTTTCCAGTGAACGTCAGTAGGTTTAAGTGGTTTTCTTATGACCTCATAGCTGGTAGGAGAACTAGAATCTAAACCCGGGTCTCTTGCCATCCTGCCAAGCCCAGGTCAAACCTCCCTCTCTGAAGCCTTCCTCGGAGAACAGAATTATTCTGGCTTTCTTCTGGGCTCTAGTACACAGGTCACCTAAACTAGATTCCTCAAGTAAATTCCTTATTGGCTCCCTTTCCTCCACATCTAGAATAGCACCTAGCAGTCCATGGGAACTTGATAAGTGTTTGGATGAATACATAAGCGAACAGATTTTGCTTTCCATATCTTCTAATACGTGGTTTGGGGGAGTATAGCACCATGTTAATTAGGCTGCTTAAAACTCCTGTGTGTTGGAAAACACCTATGTTTTGGTCTATAGAATAAATAGGGAGTGATTATTTTGTCCCACTCTTTCTGCCATCTCATAGAAACATAATCAAGTATTTCATTACTTGAAGAAGGTTGCTTACAACACATTTAACTGTATCTATATTTTGGGAATGTAATTTTTTTTTTTGAGACATGACCTCACTCTGTCACCCAGGGTGGAGTATGGTAGTGTGATCACAGCTCCCTGCAGCCTCGACCTCCTGGGCTTAAGCGATCCTCCCACCTCATCCTCCCGAGTAGCTGGGACTACAGGTGTGTACTACCATGCCTGGCTAAGTTTTTTTTTTTTTTTTTGGAGATAGAATCTCACTCTGTCACCCAGGCTGGAGTGCAGTGGCACAATCTCGGCTCACTGCAACCTCTGCCTCCCTGGTTCAAGCGATTCTCATGCCTTAGCCTCCTGAGTAGCTGGGATTACAGGCATTTGCCACCATGCCCGGCTAATTTTTGTATTTTTTGTAGAGATGGGGTTTTGCCATCTTGACCTGGCTGGTCTCAAACTCCTGGCCTCAAGTGATCTGCCTGCCTTGGCTTTCCAAAGTGCTGGGATTACAGGCATGTGCCACCACGCCTGGCCGTGCCTGGCTAAGTTTTAAATTTTTTTGTAGAGATAGGATTTCACTAGGTTGCCTAGGTTGTTGGTCTTGAACTCCTGGGCTCAAGCAATCCTCCCACCTTGGCCTCCCAAAGTGCTAGGATTACTTGCCAGCCTAGGAATGTAATTTTTAGCTAAATTTTGTCTAACAACACTATACCTAGGAGAAGCTTTGAGGAAAGCCACCTCTCCCTTAATCTATCAGCACCCTTTTCAACAATAACCTTAACTAAATAATAATAATATTCTTCAGCTGATGGTTTTCTGTATCATATGTGAAGTGGAAATAAAAGCATCTTTAGAAATCCTTACAGCTTATTGATCTCTTGCATATTGGCTTCAAGATAAGCCCCCAAGCCTCTCCATACAGATGGATACCCTGTAGTTGCTGCTGTACTAACATGTAGGAGCTGTCCTTTTTTTTTTTTTTTTTGGAGACAAGATCTCACCCTGTCACCCAGGCTGGAATGCAGTGGCACCATCTTGGCTCACCACAGCCTTGACCTCCTGGGCTTAGGTGATCCTACCACCTCAGCCTCCTGAGTAGCTGGGACTATAGCCGTGCACCATCACGCTCTGCTAATCTTTTGTATTTTTTTTGTAGAGACAGGGTTTTGTTGTGTTGCCCAGGCTGGTCTCGAACTCCTGGACTCAAGTGATCTGCCTGCTGTAGCCTCCCAAAGTGCTGGGATTATGGGCCTGAGCCACCCTGCCTGGCCTCTTGTCTCTTTTCTGACTTCATTTTACACCTCATAGTTTATAGCTAAGTAAGGCTGTAAGAGTTTTTTTTTCCTCATTCATTCCTTCACTTTCTTCCTTCTTCTGTGTCTGTCCCTCTCCTAGTAGTGCATGGCCCTTGTTTACAGAGCTCATTTCTGTCTCTGGACTCAGAATGCCCATGTGAGAGGGCAAGACTGTGTGACCAGTATTAAATTTAAGGCCCTTTTCTTTTACGTCTGTCCTTGACTTTTTTTTTTTAAACTTTTGAGATGGGGTTCCACCATGTTGCCCAGGCTCATCTCGAACTTGTGGGCTCAAGCAATCTGCCCACCTTGGCCTCCCAAGTGCTAGGATTACAGGTGTGAGCCACCACGCCTGGCCCCTTCTTGCCTTTTTAAAATTTTCTTTACCTCTCCTTGTCTGGTTACTTAGGTGTGAAACTCCTTTGAGCCATTTTGGTTTAGAATACCCTCTTCCTGTTTTTTCTCTTATTCTTTAATGTTTTAACTATGATCAGACTCTTGGTTCAGGGCCTTTTTCTTTTCCAGTGAACACGCTAACCATGGGAATAGAAATCACCCACATTCGGTCTGAGTCATGTCAGTGGGAATGTGGGAATTCGATCTGGGGCAGCCAGGTAGCCAGTCAGGTGGCGCTCCAGCCTGGAAGGCCATCTGTACTTTTGGGTTGTAGGCTAGCACACTTCAGGATTCTAAAAAGATGCTGTGTGGAAACTGTGTCTCAGGCCTCGAAAAGTTCCACGGAAAAACATCTCTTCTAGCTGCTTTGTGGTGAGATGCAGATCTAAATCAATACAACATTATTGAGTGCCACAAAACTAGTACTGTACAGGGAGAACCTGTTCTGTACGGGGAGAAAAAAATGAAGTGAAGACACTGTGGAAGGAAGTATGACCTATTTGAATGTAGTCACACGTTTCCTTCTCATTTAGCACATCCTCTTGTGTTCATTTTAGGTTTGGATTGAGGATTTAAGGACAGCCCCCAGCCCCATAGGTAGGGTATGGGTGTCACAAATCATTAAATGTGGAAGTACTATACTAGAGGGCAGTTTGAATTTGGGTAGCTCAGGTAGGTCGAAATGTATTTCTGTTTCCTATTTTTAGTTTAGAGAGACAGTTTAGAATCTGTCGTGATTTTTTTCCCTCCCTAGGTATTTTTGAGGCTCTAATAATTATAGGTTCTCTCCTAAGAAGCTTAGATGTAACATCTAAGCTCCCAAAGAAGATTGGCATTTGCATGTGCACATGCAAATGTTGGTGCATAATTTTTGGCCCCCAAGGTGCCTATGGGTTTCAGAGAGACAGTCCCTATTGTAGAGGAATGGTGAGTTTTCGGTAATTTTTGAGGCAAGGACGCTTTTTTTTTTTTTAAAGATGGAGTCTCGCTCTGTCGCCCAGGGTAGAGTACAGTGGCGCGATCTTGGCTCACTGCAACCTCTGCCTCCCGGGTTCAAGCAGTTCTTCTGTCTCAGCCTCCCGAGTAGCTGGGACTACAGACGCATGCCACCACACCTGGCTAATTTTTTTTTGTATGTTTACTAGAAACAGGGTTCTACCATATTGATCAGGCTGGTCTTGAACTCCTGACCTCAGGGGATCCACCCAAGGCAAGGACACTTTTAGTCTTGCTAAAAGTGCAAGGCTTTTGCAGCACATCTGAGAAGTGTGGGCTGTAAGAGTGGATTAACAGTAACCACTTGGCACCTGCTATTGGAAGTTGAGTCCTGCCCTGTTCCTCACTTGAGTGTTTTTTTTTGTCCTTGAGAAGGTTTGGGCTGGGGTGATGATTAATCAACAAGCACATACTCAGCTCTGTATGATATTTTGTTTCCTCTAGGCCTTTGTTCTGAAAACTCAAAATGCCGTTTTCTTGGACTTTCCTTAGGCACCTGACTTCTTAGGTCACATGCAGAGTGCACTCCGCGTGTGTAGTACCATGTCAGATGGTAGCACAGAAACATGTCAATGAGAACCAGGCTTTGTAAGATGAACAGATGGTACAGTTAAGAGGAATTGGGCGAAGGGTAGGAAAAGAACTATTGTTTATGAAGGGGTCGTTCTAGGCACCTTCTTCCTACCTAAGGAACGCCTGGATTGTGGTGTAGCACAGCCCTACCTGGGCTCCTCACACACCACTCGAGGGACCTCATGCTTGTTACGTATAAGACTTTTCCATATGTGTAATAGAGACAACTTGGATGATCTCTGGGGGCTTCTACACCCTAGACCCTTGTGTGATTTTGGTGCAGAAGTTTCAGTGGAGGAATGCCTTCCTTAGGTTTATAAGTTTTCAGTTGGCAAGATCCTGAGAATGAGGGTCAAAGTGGGCAGAAAAGAGAGCAGGATTTCAGGATTTTTTGTTTCTTTCTTGAGGCAGTGTCTTGCTCTGTGACTCAGGCTGGAGTGCAGTGGCACGATCTCGGCTCACCACAGCCTCAACCTCCTGGGCTTAGGTGATCCTCCCACCTCAGCCTCCCCAGTAGATGGGACCACAGGCATGCGCCACCACGCCCAGCTAATTTTTGTATTTTTTGTAGAGATAGGGTTTCACTATGTTGCCCAGGCTGGTCTTGAACTCCTGGGCTCAAGCAATCCTCCTGCCTTGGCCTCCCAAAATGCTGGGATTACATGAGTGCGCCACTGCACCTGGCCCCGAGAACAGGATTTTAGGTCGAGTTGTGTTCTCTTTGTTCGTGCCCTCTGGAAAGGTGCATTCTGTCTTTGTAGAAAGCTGTCTGCTTGTTCTGTTGAGTCCTCCAGGTGGCATGCACATCCTTGACCAGCAGCAGAGGAAGAATTTTTGTGTTGGGGATCTTAGTTATTGTTAGGAACAGGCTCTCGGAAATGCCTCTCGCCCTTGATTTTTGGGGATTTCTCAGCCTGGAATGTCCTGGCCAAGCTCTCCCCCAGCCTTGTTTTTCCATTTGGCAAGTCTACTTATTCTTCTCAAGTTGCCCCCATCCATTCATGGAGCTCTGTTCATAGCCACTATTGCATTGCATCAGAGTTAGAGGTCTCATGTCCATATTCCCAACTAAAGTTATTTAAACACAGATGCTATATTCTGTTTTGTTTGGTAGCACTGCATTGGGATTTTGGCCTTGTGTATTCGGTGTTTAGTATATGCTTGAAATACTGGATCTTCCTTAGAAGGAATGAACAGGAATTGTGTATGGTAAATGCAGCTGAGAGTTGGGGAAAATCTTGGCTCCTAAGAATCATAAGAATGTCTGGAGAAGTGAATGTTAGTCTGGAGATTCTTAGAAAAATCTATTAACAGACACTGGTAAGTTTGCCAAGGAATGTGGACCTGGATTCTTTCATTTTGACTTTATGATCTTGTTAAGAAGTGTTCTTTTGCATCAGGCCAATGGGTAGAATTTGCTTGAAGGGCAGATTTTCTAATAGAAAACCTATGAAAAACATTTTCAGTTTCTAAACAACTTTAGTGACAAAGCTTTGAAACAGGTGATCTCTTAAACCATGTCTAAAGAAAAAGCCTTGCCTTATGAAAAATGGTCCTGAATCCAAAGTAGAAACACATAAAACTGTTCAGGGGGGATACTAACTTAGAAACCATAGGCTATGGGCCTTGGGAACTTGGAGATACTTGTACAAGCAACCTTGGAGTTTTTGGAGAATATTTGAGATGGGAATTCCTGGGCTGTGTGGCAAGGGAAACTGAACTTCCTACTAATAAGCAAGTAGCAGTGCAGAACTTGAGACTTACTATCAATAGTTAAGATACATTTGAATAACTCTCCAAAACAAAAGATAAATCTCTATGTCTTAATATTCCCTACTTTTTATATCACTGTGTCCTATTTAGACTGTTAAAAATTATACAGACATTTTAATGATTATATGTACTAGTCAGCTTTGCTGTGGTAATAACTCCAAAAATGCTAAGGTGTGCAACAAACATGTATTTCTAGGTCATGCCGTGTGTCAGTGGCTGTGAGTCAGCTTCTCTGGCCCTCTCCTGCAAGTCTTCCCATTCCAAAGGAGCAGCCCCTGTTTGGGACACACTACTTTCAAAGTCGAGGAGCAAGGGAGCTGGTGGAAGCATGCGTTGGCTCTTAAAGGATCTGCTCTGATCCGATGTACATTCATGTACCATGTACCAGTGGCTGGAGCAAGTCACGTGTCCAAGGCCAAAGTCAGTGTGGTGGGGATGTGTCTTCCTGTGGGAAGTCACTTGGCAATAAGAAGAATATATGATCCTTTTAAAGGATGGGAAGTTCATAATTATGAACACTAATGCAATCTACCATATAGTCTTTGTCCTCCACTTCTTTCCCAGAACATTTAGTAAATATAGCAGTTCATGTTTACCATTTAAAAATGCTTTAAACACATTTGCTCCCTATTATGTATATTACAAATTTTAGATAATTTGGGAGGAGCCTGACCTATTGCCATGAACTCATGTGGCAGATCACTGTATGAGTTCAAGTATTCTTCTCTATATTATTGCGGTAACTAGACTTTCCAGAATGGTTTTGAATTATGGCAAATACTTTATATCTGAATGTAGTGGACATGGCTTTGTGATTTAAAAGGTCTTCATTTTTAAAATATGTCCACTACATTTTTTATTGTTTTATTGTTATTGGAGATAATTTACAGAGCATGAAATTCACCATTTTAAGGTATATAATTGAGTGTATATTCACAGGGTTGTGCAACCATCATCGCTATCTAATTTTAGAATATTTTGTCACCCCAAAAAGAAATTTGGTCTTTATTAAGCTGGCTCTCCCTGTTCCCCCTACCTGTAGCCCCTGGCAACCAAGTCTGCTTTCTGTCTCTCAGGATTTGCCTGTTCTGACATTTCATATAAATGGAATTATATAGCATGTGGCTTTTCTCATCTAGCTTCGTTCACTTAGAATAATGTCTTCAAGATTAATTGCTGATGTTTTCTGATAAATACTTTTAAACATATTTAGGAACTTTTTTTTTTTTTTTTTTTTTTTTTTTTTGAGACGGAGCCTTGCTCTGTCGCCAGGCTGGAGTGCAGTGGCGCAATTGCGCTGCTCACTGCAACCTCCGCCTCCTGGGTTCAAGCGATTCTCCTGCCTCAGTCTCCCAAGTAGCTGAGACTACAGGTGTGTGCCACCACGCCCAGCTAATTTTTGTATTTTTAGTAGAGATGGGGTTTCACCATGTTGGCCAGGCTGGTTTCAATCTTTGACCTCGTGATCCACCCGCCTTGGCCTCTCAAAGTACTGGGATTACAGGCATGAGCCACTGCACCTGGCCGGGAACTTTCTTTTTACTTCTTAATTTTACTTAGAGATTTAAATGGAATGGCTGATATGAGTGATGCCAGTAAATATTTTGGTAGTTTTGGACATGAGTATCTTCAACAGTGGTTGAAGTAATGTATATTAATGTAATATAGTGTAATGAAGTAATGTTATTAATGTAATAAATTGTATTGATAAATTTCCTAATGTTAAATCATTCTTGCTTCCCTGGAATACATTTGACTTGATCCTGGTATATATTTTTTTTCCAAAAATTCTTTTAGTGTACTGTTAGTTGTTACTTTATTAATGATGTTTATGCTTGTTCTCAGTTTTCTTTTTTGTCCTAATATTTTGATACCGGATATAGATAGTCATCATGAAATGATTTGAAAGGTTTCTGCATTTTAAAATTATGTCTTAGAATATTTGAATAAAGTAGGACTTACTCTTTGAAGGTTCATGAGTGCTCACTGTGAAACACTTGGGACCCAGCTTACCTCTTCGTGGATGTTCTCTGACAACAGTTTTGTGGTTATTTATCTGTTTAGGTTTTTTCTCTCTATTTAATTTCACCTTGATCACATAATTTTTCCTAGAAAGCCAGCTAGCTCATATAGATGTCCAAATTTGTTGGCATAGTTATTCACAGCACAACCTTTTAATTTACAATCATACATAGACACAAGTTCTAAATAGTTATTGCCTGTTCCCTTTTTCCATTTTCCTCTTTTTTTATTTTTTATTGAGACAGCATCTCTCTCCGTCGCCCAGCCTGGAGTACAATGGTGCGATCTCTGCTCACTGCAACCTCTGCCTCCTAGGTTCAAGCAATTCTCATGCCTCAGCCTCCTGAGTAGCTGTGACTACAGGCTTGAGCCACCACGCCTGGCTAACTTTTTGTATTTTTACTAGAGACAGGGTTTCCCCATGCTGCTCAGGCTGGTCTTGAGCTCCTGGGCTCAAGCAATCCACCTGCCTCGGTCTCCCAAAGTGCTGGGATTATAGGTTTGAGGCCACTACACCTGGGCCATTTTCCTTTTTCTATATTGTTCAGATTTCCTAAGTTTTAGTTTATCTGATTCATCTTTCAGAAGAATTAAATTTTGCTTTTGTTTATAACTTTTGTTCTTTTCTGTTTTAATTTATGCTTTCATTTTTAGATTCTCTTTCCACTTTCTTTAGGCTTTTTTTTTTCTTTTTCTTTTAATGGGAACACAGAGTAAGTCTGGCCTAAAGGGTTCTGTTTTATGGGCTTCATCTTTTTCAAATGCATGTTTATCTGTTATTGAGGACTCTTGCTTTTTTTGTGTTTTGGTTTTCTTAGGTCTGAGTGATGAGCTAATGCCATTTTGAGTTGTTTTTATGGTTTACTTGCCTCTGATGAGATAATAATTCAGACCTGCTATTTGCCCCCATCAGAACAAGTGGATTATATTGGATCCTCTGTGTTTCTACTTGATGTTGTTAGCATTGTCTTAGATCCATAGATTACTAGTTATCTGTCAGATGGGAAAGAAGCCTGGCTTTCTCTGTGTTTTAGCTGCTCCCCCCATCTCAGTAGAGCTCAGTCCCCCCAGCATTTGCAGTCTGGCCTGCTTTGGGCTTGTTGGACACACCCCAGGGCAGCCAACCCAGATGCCTTCATGTTCCTATGAGCTGCTGCTTCCATCTCTACCCATCATGCGGGGGGAGAAGGCCATGTGGGCGGGGTGCCCTCTGCTGGTGGCCCACACTTGGTGTATTTGCCTGTGCTTGGCATCCCCTTGGTCACAGTCACAGCAGCCAACTCCTTGGTGGTCCTGGATTGCCCCACTGCCAAACCTTCCATGTCCTCTACTCCCCACTGACAATCACACTTTCAAATTAGCGTGCGTGTAAAGGGGGTTCAAGGACATTTTCTACTTATTAAGTAACCTCAATAACCTGAAGTAACTTCGGTGACATGGGTTAGATTCCTCTGGGTTCTTTTTTCAGTTGTGGCCCAGGTAGAACCAGTAGACAGCCTTTGAGACCTTTGGCATTTGGATGGCACCCTTTCCTCATTTCCAGTATTGATATGACTCCAGTCACTGTTTTTCTTGTTCTTTTTACCTCCACTGTTTTTTGTTTTTTTTTTTTTCTTTCATTCTCTAGGTTAAATTAGTATCTGGAGGGTGGAAAAAGGGAGAACGCAGAGGCTTGTGTTCAACTCACTGAGTTTATCTAGAGGTCTAGCTTTCTAATTTTTTAAACAAGTGTGTCACATTACACATACAAACATGACCGCTTCCTGGTTATTGAGCCTTTGGGATTTTTCTAGGTTTCACTCTGTGTTCTTTGTATCATGAACATCTTTGAACAGAACATTTTTGAGATTATCCCTTTGAGTTTATTCTCCAAAGTGGGCTTAGCTTTAGTTTTACAACAAAATCAACAATCAAGAATATTCAGTTTGTATAGAACACATTCATTCATTTTTTTTCTTTTTTTTTGAGATGGAGTCTTGCTCTTGTCGCATAGGTTGGAGTGCAGTGGCGTGATCTCAGGTCACTGCACCCGCCGCCTCCCAAGTTCAAGCAGTTCTCCTGCCTCAGCCTCCTGAGTAGCGGGGATTACAGACGTGTGCCAACACCCCTGGCTAATTTTTGTATTTTTAGTAGAGATGGGGTTTTACCATGTTGGTCAGGTTGGTCTTGAACTCCTGACCTCGTGATCCACCCGCCTCGACCTCCCAAAGTGCTGGGATTACAGGTGTGAGCCACTGCGCGTGGCCAACACATTCTTTAAGCATCTGCTGTGTACCTGGCACGAGGGGGGTAAATTAAGAAAAGTAATATGCAGTCTGTGTATTCAGAGAGCCATCATTTTACCCTTAACGTAAAGATGCCTTGAGAGGCTTTGTCAGGCTCCTCTGAGACTAGATCATTCACTTGCCCATATTCCTCCAATAGAATCAAAAAGAGAAATTAGATTGTTTTAGCATAACTTATTTTTATTAAAACTATATTGGCTCCTAGTCTATACCACTCTCTTCATAAATCATATGTTTAATGTAATATAAAATTTTGCCAGTGATTTATGTTAATTTAATATTCTGTCTTGTGGCTGGCTGACCATAATGGTGTATCTTAAAATTGAAATTCTTTGAACCAGAGGAGTTTGTAAAGCAACCTCACTCTGCATCTGTCTTCCTAGGGTAAAGTAAAAGTGGGAAGGAGTAAGAAATGCTCTTATAATGGAAACCTACATGGTGAAAATTGGTATTTTGCAACAATGGGGAGTTTTCATTATTAATCAACTATGTAGTTGTAACTCTTCACAAAGGCTATTCTGGATATCCTTTGTTATAATAAAATCATTAAGAAAATATATTTGAGGCCCCAACTGTGGGTCTCAATGCAATTTTTATTTTTTAGCAATTATTGTGTGTCTGCTATGAACCCAGCCTCATAGTTTATAAGAGGATGCAAGAATACTTACAAGCACGTGTGTGTGTGTCTGTGTGTGTGTGTATGAGAGAGAGAGAATAGTGATACAGCACCAGCCATGTACCACACACTATTCCAACTGCTTCCATATACTAACTAACTCAATCCCACTATACCCATTTTATAAATGAGGACATCGGGGCTTAGATTAAGAAGCTTGCTTAAGTTGCACTGGTAGTAATTAGTGGTACTGGGATTCAGAACTGGGCAGTCTGGCTCAGGTTAGCCTCAGTTGCTTGTCCTTCCACAGACATTTATTGAGTACTTTTGATAGGCAAGGGATTGAATTTGGTCGTTTCTAAGATTCATTCATTCATGAAATACTGAGTACCTACCATGGGCCAGGGTAGCATAGGAGGGAAGAATCTGGAGTATGTGGCAAGGTCTGATTGACTGACTCTCCCCTCCCTCACTCCCAACAACTGATTCGAGAACTAACTTCATACTGTCTGGCCAAGACATTTCAGATCTTTATGTGGGCTGTTCCTGGAAGGTTATTGGCTGAGGTTCCCAGGGCAAATGTTAGGGGAGTTGGCTTGAAGTCACTACCCGACCTGGGGAGACAGAAAGATAATCACACACACACACTCACAGTACAGTCACACACACACACACACACACACACACACACGCACACATGATGAGCAAGGCACAGTTGCAGTCACTGGGGACTTACAGTGTTTGTGGATAAGTTTGATATATAAATAAATGATTAAAACTACAAAATGCTTCAGTGGAGGTGTCTTCAAAGTATTGAGAAGGGTGTGAGTAATTCTACCAGGGAGTGGGTCAAGGAAAGCGTTAAAGGAGAGGGGATTCAAGCAGATTCCTGGAAGATATTTGGAGATTATTATGTACAGCAGGGGAGCTTTTCCAGCAAAGATAAGGGGCATGAAACTGCTGGGTGGTTCCTGAGAACTGGTCCCTCGGATGTGGAAGGAGGTGGTAAGAAAGGAGGCTGCTGAGATCAAACCAGGCCAGATTGTGGGAAACCACTGTCTGAGCTGATTTTGGCATCTCTGCCTTAAGATTGTGAATTCTTTTTCTTTTGTGCAGTGTCTGTCCACTGACAGAGCTGTTCGGAGGCCCGGTG
Source organism: Homo sapiens (assembly GCF_000001405.40). NCBI lineage: Eukaryota > Metazoa > Chordata > Mammalia > Primates > Hominidae > Homo > Homo sapiens. The sequence goes on from NC_000009.12 coordinate 112,796,259, forward strand.
TGCTAGTGTTGATAAAATGTTAAGGGAGGGCCCCTGTGATGCCTAGCATGGCATCCTGCCTGAGGTCAGTGTTTAAATGTTTACTGAAATAACCAAGACATGATGTTTATCCTGGAGTTCCAGAGAAGATGTTGTCCCCCTACAAATCCCCAGACACTGGGGTGTGGACGCCGTGTGTCCCGTGGTACCAGTACATTGAAAAGGCAGTCCCATCAGTGGCTGCTGCTGTAGTTGGACTCTGCAGTCACGTCCACACTGAGAGGGGCTGTTGAAGGTATGACGTCCCAGCTGATGAGCTTGTCCATCTGCCCTGTAGTCAGAAGCATAACGGAAGAGAAGCGGAGGGGGGAGGTCTATTGCCATGAGTACCTTCTGTGAAAAATGGTACCCTTTTAGTAATTACAGTTTTTTTGATATTGCGTAGGTATGTGATTAAATGATCTGTGGTCAGCAGAAATGGGAGTTGAAGGTGCTTTTTCTGTGTACTTTCCATTACCCCCCAAGTTGGGTGACATTGCCCTTGACCCCAGGCCACACTTCTTCACTCCGCCGTGTCCCATTGCCCTTCCCAGATGTCCCGTCATCAGCTAGAGCTCATGGATGTGACTGCTAGGTTAACCTCTAATTTCCTGTACGTTCTCTTGCATGGGGGCTAGGTCATAACTCACCTGCAAAACTCCAAGAGGAGAGAATATAGGGAAAGCACCCCCTCCTCCCCAGCCTGTGATCTGATGGCCCACAGGTCACCCAGGCTCTTCCCATGGTGTCATGTCACTTTCTTGCCATATTCTTTAGTCTCTGTTTCCCAGTTATTCCAAAGCGATATTCAGAGGCCTTCACATCTGCTGCTAGGCAGGGCTCTGTTCTGTTACCAAACCTCCAAACCAAACAAGATAACTAACTAGGCCTTCTTAGTTTCACAGCCATTTTTTGAATACTGTAGGGACATAATTTATTCATTGGCTTCTTACCAAGACCAAAGAGCGAGGTCTGCAATTTAAAAAATCTATCTTTCCCTTCCTTTCCTGGCATTTGTCCCACTGACTACCCTCCTACCCACTACTCTCTTTTAAAAACGTCATAGAAAATTTTAAGCATATAGAAAAGGGAAGAGAATTGTATAATGAACCTGCAGGTACCAGCTTCAATGGTGATCAGCTTGGGCATCTTGTATCATTTATATCCCCACCTACTCATCCTTAATTATTTTGAAGCAAATGCCATTTTATTTTATTCATAAATATTTTAGTATATAATTTTAAAAGATGAAGATTTTGTAAAATCATACTTCCATTATCATACCCAGTGATTCCTTAATATCAATATTCAAATTTCCCTAAATATCTCAAAATCTTTATCTTTTTGTATCTTGTTTTAATGGAATTGGTTGATCTCTTAAGTTTCTTTACATTTATAGGTGCTTGCGCTCTCTCTTCTTTTCTTTTTCTTTTTCTTTTTTTTTTTTTTTTGAGATGGAGTCTTGCTCTGTCGCCCAGACTGGAGTGCAGTGGCATGATCCCGGCTCACTGCAACCTCTGCCTGCCGGGGTTCAAGCAATTCTCCTGCCTCAGCCCCCCGAGTAGGCGCACGCCACCGTGCCCAGCTAATATTGGTATTTTTTTTTTTTTTTTTTTTAGTAGAGACGATTTCACCATGTTGGCCAGGCTGGTCTTGAACTCCTGACCTCAAGTGATCTGCCTGCCTTCGCCTCCCAAAGTGCTGTAATTACAGGCGTGAGGCACTGCGCGCCCAGCCAGGTTTCTTAATGTTTACCTGGGCCCACGTGGTGGTCTTGACAAAGTGGGAAAAACGGAGTATGCTCACAGGGAGCTTTCCTTGTTGAGGTTTGTTTTTTTTTTTTTCTTTTTTTTTTTTTTTTTTTATTATACTCTAAGTTTTAGGGTACATGTGCACATTGTGCAGGTTAGTTACATATGTATACATGTGCCATGCTGGTGCACTGCACCCACTAATGTGTCATCTAGCATTAGGTATATCTCCCAATGCTATCCCTCCCCCCTCCCCCGACCCCACCACAGTCCCCAGAGTGTGATATTCCCCTTCCTGTGTCCATGTGATCTCATTGTTCAATTCCCACCTATGAGTGAGAATATGCGGTGTTTGGTTTTTTGTTCTTGCGATAGTTTACTGAGAATGATGGTTTCCAATTTCATCCATGTCCCTACAAAGGATATGAACTCATCATTTTTTATGGCTGCATAGTATTCCATGGTGTATATGTGCCACATTTTCTTAATCCAGTCTATCATTGTTGGACATTTGGGTTGGTTCCAAGTCTTTGCTATTGTGAATAGTGCCGCAATAAACATACGTGTGCATGTGTCTTTATAGCAGCATGATTTATACTCATTTGGGTATATACCCAGTAATGGGATGGCTGGGTCAAATGGTATTTCTAGTTCTAGATCCCTGAGGAATCGCCACACTGACTTCCACAATGGTTGAACTAGTTTACAGTCCCACCAACAGTGTAAAAGTGTTCCTATTTCTCCGCATCCTCTCCAGCACCTGTTGTTTCCTGACTTTTTAATGATTGCCATTCTAACTGGTGTGAGATGATATCTCATAGTGGTTTTGATTTGCATTTCTCTGATGGCCAGTGATGATGAGCATTTCTTCATGTGTTTTTTGACTGCATAAATGTCTTCTTTTGAGAAGTGTCTGTTCATGTCCTTCGCCCACTTTTTGATGGGGTTGTTTGTTTTTTTCTTGTAAATTTGTTTGAGTTCATTGTAGATTCTGGATATTAGCCCTTTGTCAGATGAGTAGGTTGCAAAAATTTTCTCCCATTCTGTAGGTTGCCTGTTCACTCTGATGGTAGTTTCTTTTGCTGTGCAGAAGCTCTTTAGTTTAATTAGATCCCATTTGTCAATTTTGTCTTTTGTTGCCATTGCTTTTGGTGTTTTGGACATGAAGTCCTTGCCCACGCCTATGTCCTGAATGGTAATGCCTAGGTTTTCTTCTAGGGTTTTTATGGTTTTAGGTTTAACGTTTAAATCTTTAATCCATCTTGAATTGATTTTTGTATAAGGTGTAAGGAAGGGATCCAGTTTCAGCTTTCTACATATGGCTAGCCAGTTTTCCCAGCACCATTTATTAAATAGGGAATCCTTTCCCCATTGCTTGTTTTTCTCAGGTTTGTCAAAGATCAGATAGTTGTAGATATGCGGCATTATTTCTGAGGGCTCTGTTCTGTTCCATTGATCTATATCTCTGTTTTGGTACCAGTACCATGCTGTTTTGGTTACTGTAGCCTTGTAGTATAGTTTGAAGTCAGGTAGTGTGATGCCTCCAGCTTTGTTCTTTTGGCTTAGGATTGACTTGGCAATGCGGGCTCTTTTTTGGTTCCATATGAACTTTAAAGTAGTTTTTTCCAATTCTGTGAAGAAAGTCATTGGTAGCTTGATGGGGATGGCATTGAATCTGTAAATTACCTTGGGCAGTATGGCCATTTTCACGATATTGATTCTTCCTACCCATGAACATGGAATGTTCTTCCATTTGTTTGTCTCCTCTTTTATTTCCTTGAGCAGTGGTTTGTAGTTCTCCTTGAAGAGGTCCTTCACATCCCTTGTAAGTTGGATTCCTAGGTATTTTATTCTCTTTGAAGCAATTGTGAATGGGAGTTCACCCATGATTTGGCTCTCTGTTTGTCTGTTGTTGGTGTATAAGAATGCTTGTGATTTTTGTACATTGATTTTGTATCCTGAGACTTTGCTGAAGTTGCTTATCAGCTTAAGGAGATTTTGGGCTGAGACGATGGGGTTTTCTAGATAAACAATCATGTCGTCTGCAAACAGGGACAATTTGACTTCCTCTTTTCCTAATTGAATACCCTTTATTTCCTTCTCCTGCCTGATTGCCCTGGCCAGAACTTCCAACACTATGTTGAATAGGAGCGGTGAGAGAGGGCATCCCTGTCTTGTGCCGGTTTTCAAAGGGAATGCTTCCAGTTTTTGCCCATTCAGTATGATATTGGCTGTGGGTTTGTCATAGATAGCTCTTATTATTTTGAAATACGTCCCATCAATACCTAATTTATTGAGAGTTTTTAGCATGAAGGGTTGTTGAATTTTGTCAAAGGCTTTTTCTGCATCTATTGAGATAATCATGTGGTTTTTGTCTTTGGCTCTGTTTATATGCTGGATTACATTTATTGATTTGCGTATATTGAACCAGCCTTGCATCCCAGGGATGAAGCCCACTTGATCATGGTGGATAAGCTTTTTGATGTGCTGCTGGATTCGGTTTGCCAGTATTTTATTGAGGATTTTTGCATCAATGTTCATCAAGGATATTGGTCTAAAATTCTCTTTTTTGGTTGTGTCTCTGCCCGGCTTTGGTATCAGAATGATGCTGGCCTCATAAAATGAGTTAGGGAGGATTCCCTCTTTTTCTATTGATTGGAATAGTTTCAGAAGGAATGGTACCAGTTCCTCCATGTACCTCTGGTAGAATTCGGCTGTGAATCCATCTGGTCCTGGACTCTTTTTGGTTGGTAAACTATTGATTATTGCCACAATTTCAGAGCCTGTTATTGGTCTATTCAGAGATTCAACTTCTTCCTGGTTTAGTCTTGGGAGAGTGTATGTGTCGAGGAATGTATCCATTTCTTCTAGATTTTCTAGTTTATTTGCGTAGAGGTGTTTGTAGTATTCTCTGATGGTAGTTTGTATTTCTGTGGGATCGGTGGTGATATCCCCTTTATCATTTTTTATTGTGTCTATTTGATTCTTCTCTCTTTTTTTCTTTATTAGTCTTGCTAGCGGTCTATCAATTTTGTTGATCCTTTCAAAAAACCAGCTCCTGGATTCATTGATTTTTTGAAGGGTTTTTTGTGTCTCTATTTCCTTCAGTTCTGCTCTGATTTTAGTTATTTCTTGCCTTCTGCTAGCTTTTGAATGTGTTTGCTCTTGCTTTTCTAGTTCTTTTAATTGTGATGTTAGGGTGGGTGTCAATTTTGGATCTTTCCTGCTTTCTCTTGTAGGCATTTAGTGCTATAAATTTCCCTCTACACACTGCTTTGAATGCGTCCCAGAGATTCTGGTATGTGGTGTCTTTGTTCTCGTTGGTTTCAAAGAACATCTTTATTTCTGCCTTCATTTCGTTATGTACCCAGTAGTCATTCAGGAGCAGGTTGTTCAGTTTCCATGTAGTTGAGCGGCTTTGAGTGAGATTCTTAATCCTGAGTTCTAGTTTGATTGCACTGTGGTCTGAGAGATAGTTTGTTATAATTTCTGTTCTTTTACATTTGCTGAGGAGAGCTTTACTTCCACCTATGTGGTCAATTTTGGAATAGGTGTGGTGTGGTGCTGAAAAAAATGTATATTCTGTTGATTTGGGGTGGAGAGTTCTGTAGATGTCTATTAGGTCTGCTTGGTGCAGAGCTGAGTTCAATTCCTGGGTATCCTTGTTGACTTTCTGTCTCGTTGATCTGTCTAATGTTGACAGTGGGGTGTTAAAGTCTCCCATTATTAATGTGTGGGAGTCTAAGTCTCTTTGTAGGTCACTGAGGACTTGCTTTATGAATCTGGGTGCTCCTGTATTGGGTGCATAAATATTTAGGATAGTTAGCTCCTCTTGTTGAATTGATCCCTTTACCATTATGTAATGGCCTTCTTTGTTTCTTTTGATCTTTGTTGGTTTAAAGTCTGTTTTATCAGAGACTAGGATTGCAACCCCTGCCTTTTTTTGTTTTCCATTGGCTTGGTAGATCTTCCTCCATCCTTTTATTTTGAGCCTATGTGTGTCTCTGCACGTGAGATGGGTTTCCTGAATACAGCACACTGATGGGTCTTGACTCTTTATCCAACTTGCCAGTCTGTGTCTTTTAATTGCAGAATTTAGTCCATTTATATTTAAAGTTAATATTGTTATGTGTGAATTTGATCCTGTCATTATGATGTTAGCTGGTGATTTTGCTCATTAGTTGATGCAGTTTCTTCCTAGTCTCGATGGTCTTTACATTTTGGCATGATTTTGCAGCGGCTGGTACCGGTTGTTCCTTTCCATGTTTAGCGCTTCCTTCAGGAGCTCTTTTAGGGCAGGCCTGGTGGTGACAAAATCTCTCAACATTTGCTTGTCTATAAAGTATTTTATTTCTCCTTCACTTATGAAGCTTAGTTTGGCTGGATATGAAATTCTGGGTTGAAAATTCTTTTCTTTAAGAATGTTGAATATTGGCCCCCACTCTCTTCTGGCTTGTAGGGTTTCTGCCGAGAGATCCGCTGTTAGTCTGATGGGCTTTCCTTTGAGGGTAACCCGACCTTTCTCTCTGGCTGCCCTTAACATTTTTTCCTTCATTTCAACTTTGGTGAATCTGACAATTATGTGTCTTGGAGTTGCTCTTCTCGAGGAGTATCTTTGTGGTGTTCTCTGTATTTCCTGAATCTGAACGTTGGCCTGCCTTGCTAGATTGGGGAAGTTCTCCTGGATAATATCCTGCAGAGTGTTTTCCAACTTGGTTCCATTCTCCACATCACTTTCAGGTACACCAATCAGACGTAGATTTGGTCTTTTCACATAGTCCCATATTTCTTGGAGGCTTTGCTCATTTCTTTTTATTCTTTTTTCTCTAAACTTCCCTTCTCGCTTCATTTCATTCATTTCATCTTCCATTGTTGATACCCTTTCTTCCAGTTGATCGCATCGGCTCCTGAGGCTTCTGCATTCTTCACGTAGTTCTCGAGCCTTGGTTTTCAGCTCCATCAGCTCCTTTAAGCACTTCTCTGTATTGGTTATTCTAGTTATACATTCTTCTAAATTTTTTTCAAAGTTTTCAACTTCTTTGCCTTTGGTTTGAATGTCCTCCCGTAGCTCAGAGTAATTTGATCGTCTGAAGCCTTCTTCTCTCAGCTCGTCAAAATCATTCTCCATCCAGCTTTGTTCTGTTGCTGGTGAGGAACTGCGTTCCTTTGGAGGAGGAGAGGCGCTCTGCGTTTTAGAGTTTCCAGTTTTTCTGTTCTGTTTTTTCCCCATCTTTGTGGTTTTATCTACTTTTGGTCTTTGATGATGGTGATGTACAGATGGGTTTTCGGTGTAGATGTCCTTTCTGGTTGTTAGTTTTCCTTCTAACAGACAGGACCCTCAGCTGCAGGTCTGTTGGAATACCCTGCCGTGTGAGGTGTCAGTGTGCCCCTGCTGGGGGGTGCCTCCCAGTTAGGCTGCTCGGGGGTCAGGAGTCAGGGACCCACTTGAGGAGGCAGTCTGCCCGTTCTCAGATCTCCAGCTGCGTGCTGGGAGAACCACTGCTCTCTTCAAAGCTGTCAGACAGGGACACTTAAGTCTGCAGAGGTTACTGCTGTCTTTTTGTTTGTCTGTGCCCTGCCCCCAGAGGTGGAGCCTACAGAGGCAGGCAGGCCTCCTTGAGCTGTGGTGGGCTCCACCCAGTTTGAGCTTCCCGGCTGCTTTGTTTACCTAAGCAAGCCTGGGCAATGGCGGGCGCCCCTCCCCCAGCCTCGTTGCCGCCTTGCAGTTTGATCTCAGACTGCTGTGCTAGCAATCAGCGAGATTCCGTGGGCGTAGGACCCTCCGAGCCAGGTGTGGGATATAGTCTCGTGGTGCGCCGTTTCTTAAGCCGGTCTGAAAAGCGCAATATTCGGGTGGGAGTGACCCGATTTTCCAGGTGCATCCGTCACCCCTTTCTTTGACTCGGAAAGGGAACTCCCTGACCCCTTGCGCTTCCCAGGTGAGGCAATGCCTCGCCCTGCTTCGGCTCGCGCACGGTGCGCACACACACTGGCCTGCGCCCACTGTCTGGCACTCCCTAGTGAGATGAACCCGGTACCTCAGATGGAAATGCAGAAATCACCGTCTTCTGCGTCGCTCACGCTGGGAGCTGTAGACCGGAGCTGTTCCTATTCGGCCATCTTGGCTCCTCCGCAGAGGTTTGTTTTTTTTTTTTAAATGGAGTTTCGCTCTTGTTGCCCAGGTTGGAGTGCAATGGCGCAGTCTCGGCTCACTGCAACCTCCGCCTCCCAGGTTCAAGCAATTCTCCTGCCTCAGCTTCCCGAGTAGCTGGGATCACAGGCATGCACCACCATGTCCAGCTAATTTTTGTATATTTAGTAGAGACGGGGTTTCACCATGTTGGCCAGGCTGGTCTCAAACTCGTGACCTCAGGTGAGCCACCTGTCTCGGCCTCCCAAAGTGCTGGGATTACAGGCGTGAGCCACTGCGCCCAGCCCCTTGTTGAGGTTTGATGATGGTGGGGCCATTATGTTCTCTGCCCTTGAACTGCTTACTTATATTGGTTTCTCCAGCACTTCCTAAAAGATGAATTGGCATGAAATTGATTCAAAGCACTACCATAGTTTGTTTCTCTTGGTCGTAAAAGATTTGTTCACTCAAGAAACACTGAGTAGGGAGAGGCTCAGGTGTTTCGAAAGTTATTTTTGGGTTTTAGAAATGTTTATTGGTTTGGCTAAACCAGCTGCTTTTGCTGATACTCTCCAGTATGTTTTCATTTAATTTTAAGGTGCTCTTTTCTTCTTTTAGGATCTCATTTTGCCCAACGGTGGTACTCCAGCAGGTACTTCAAGTCCAGCTTCTTCATCTTCCCTTCTCAACAGACTTCAGCTTGATGATGATATTGATGGTGAGACTAGAGATCTCTTCGTTATAGTTGATGATCCCAAGAAGCATGTGTGTACAATGGAGACTTACATCACCTATAGGATCACCACCAAAGTAGGTCCCTGTGTTATAGAATGCCCGTGTTGAGTGGTCTCGGGGAATTGGGGTCTACCTCAGTGAATTTTGCCTTTGCTCTCCCCCTTATTGTACAACTCTGTTCACCTTGATTGCAATTGTGAGTGTGGCTTCTTGAGAGAATAGATGTAATTCAGATGAAAAGGATTATATATAATAGTTTTTTAAATCTTAGAATGAGGAAGAAATTGTAAGATTTTTCAAATAAACATTTAATCCCTATACTTGCGCTTATTTTTTTTTTTACCATGATACTATTTAACATGTTAATATCATATTGCTTCTGAAATTTATGAATCATTGTATCAACCTAAATCACTGTGATGAGACCATGAATAAAATTTGGCCTAGGTGGGGTTGATGGTAGCAGGAGGAGGAATAATGGGAGGATAGAAACTAATACTGTCTTTCTGGTATGTGTCAGATAGGTAGTGGGCAGGTGTTGAGATTTAATTGATTAATTAAATAACTTTTAAGATCATAACAATTTTTTATTTTGAGACAGAGTCTTGCTCTGTTGCCCAGGCTGGAGTGCAGTGGTGTGATCTCAGCCCACTGCAACTTCCACCTCCTGGGTTCAAGCAATTCTCTTGCCTCAGCCTCCTGAGTAGCTGAGATTATAGGCATGTGCCACTATGCCCAGCTAATTTTTGTATTTTTAGTAGAGACAGGGTTTCACCTTATTGGCCAGGCTGGTCTCGAACTCCTGACCTCAGATGATCCACCTGCCTCGGCCTCCCAAAGTGCTGGGATTACAGGCATGAGCCACCACGCCCAGCCAAGATCATAACAATCTTAAAACTTATATCCTTTAGTTACAATTTTTCAGATGAAGAAATAGAGGTGGAAAGTTCAAATAACTCGCTCAAAGTTACAAAGTTGGTAACCAGGATTCTAATTTGAATTTGTAGGACTATACAGCCTATATTTTAATTTTTAAAAACCATACTCTTTACATAATTCCACTTATAAAAGAATAATTTTAATGTATCATTTGTTACTTATGAAAATTATTTTTTGAATATTTAAAATAGTATTAAAGTTTTAGTCTTGGAACAAGGTTTCCCAATCTTGGCAGTATTAACCTTTTGGACTGAAGAGTTCTTTGCTGTGGGGGGCTGTCTTATAGAGTGTTTATCAGCAGCCCTGTCCTCTACCCATGAGACGGCAGGAGTGTTCTCTTGGTCCCCAGTTGTGACAACCAAAAATGTCTCCAGACATTGCCAAATGTTCCCTGGGGGACAGGATTGCCACCCCACCCCCGACCAGTTGAAAGCCACATATTTAGAGGAAGAATGACAATATTGACATTATTAGGGAGAGAATTCACATTATCACTTTGTATCTTGGGATAAAAAAGTGTTTAGTTAGGAAGCTATCCTATTTCTTGGTACCCCACCCCCACCAAGTCACATAACAAAGAATGATTTACAGATATTTTTGGAACCTTTAATAGATGGTGTCTTTATGGAAGGCATTAAGAGAAGCTCTGATGAGCGTGTCCCTCGTCTTTTACTGTGTCTTTTTTCTTTTTCATTGTAGAAAAAAATCATTTTTTATTTTGAAAGTTTTGTAAGTTCTGTACCTTTTAAAATTCTTTGGAAAGACAAGCAGGGAATAAAATACTCAAGTTGTGTTTCTTCATCTCTTATTGGATGAAAATTTTATATTTGTAAAAAAATAAAAGAAGCGATGCTGAAGGCCACATGCTGAGTGGAAACAGGGAGCCTCCCTCAGCCCTTCTTACTTACCTTGTCCTTCTTGCCAAAAGCAACCATGGCTAAAATTTGCTGTGTGTCCTTCTAGTTGTTTTTCTTTGCGTTTACATTCACACACATGTATAGTTAGAATGTATATGATTTAGATTTCAGTGTAATGTTGCTTTCCAATGTTCCCTTCCATTTTATAGTATTTTTGAAGACCTTTCCATGTTCATATGACCATGTCTAGCTTACTCTTTCAATCTCTGTCTAATTATTTATGCAATAATTATATCTTTTCTCTATGGACATTTAAGCCTGCTCCAGTTTTTTGATGTTACTACTCTGTCTTTTCTTTTCTATCTTTTTTTTTTTTTTTTTTTTTTTTTTTTTTGAGACAGAGTCTCCCTCTGTCGCCCAGGATGGAGTGTAGTGGCGTGATCTCAGCTCACTGCAACCTCCGCCCTCTGGGTTCAAGGGGATTCTCCTGCCTCAGCCTCCCGAGTAGCTGGGACTACAGATGTATGCCACCATGCCCGGCTACTTTTTGTATTTTTAGTAGAGATGAGGTTTTACTATGTTGGCCAGCCTGGTCTTGAACTCCTGGTGTCAGGTGATCTGCCCGCCTGGGCCTCCCAAAGTGCTGGGATTACAAGCGTGAGCCGCTGTGTCCGGCTGCTACCCTGTGTTTTCTGCAGCAGGTTCGCATGTAAAGATATGTCTATGTAAGTACGTGTGCACATGCATAGTCTTACCCCACTACACCACTGGGCACCTAGCCCAGACATTGGGCTAGATGCTTACATATATTATTTCCTCAGAGGACCTAGATTAATATACATATTTCCAGGAATTATATCCATTTATTTATTTTTTTCTAGGGTGACCTTATTTTTTACCCTGTAGTCAGTGAAAGGTAAGCCTGTTTTTCTTGACTTAGTGCTGTAAACAGCCAAATGACAAAGTGACCGCCTTGCTGGCACAGCAGTGCTTGCCCACTGTGACATTTCCCCTCAGCTTCTTGATTTTTCTGCCCCAAAATGCAAATACTACAGGACTCCCATTAACTGATTGAGAGGCTAACGCGCAACTGCAACTCACCAGTCTTTCCTGTGCTGCTTCTCTTTCCTTCCCTACCTTTTTCCCTCTGTGTTCTTATTTCTATCCCTTCTCTTGGGCTTGATTTCCTATAAGTCATTAAATGCCTTAGAGTAACGTTTTCCAAGTTCTAGCAGCACATTTTCACTTGGCTGTGATGCCAGCACCTCAAGATAATCTTGTTGCAGAACTGAGTTTTACTTTTTATCATTTCTTTCACTTCTGATCCCAAACCAGAGTTGTCTTCTTTTCCTGTTTCTAATAGTGACACCAGGTTTATATTTTGGTGGTGCATTCAGAGGCTTCTTTCTGAAGTTGTATTGACGGATATCGTAGGGGTGTGTGAGAATGAGAGAAAGAGAACAAACAAGAGGAACACGGGATCCCAACACCTGACCCTGTCCTGGGACTTCCACTTCTGCAGAGGTCCTCAAACGAAGTTAATGGTCAGAGGACAAGGTTGTTCAAATGCTTTGCTTTATTACCTTAAGGCTTTGATGCTCTAGTCCTAATTCAGATTCCTGATGACCAGGGCTGGACAAAGTACAGAGCTCTTTTTGCCTGAGCTAAAATAAGTGAAGGCTGACAGCCAATGTAGGCAAAGAATTATCCACCCAAATCTAAGGTAAAAGTATCTTCTCTCCCCAGTGGTGGAGAGCCAGTTTAGGCCTTCTTAGGGCAGGCAGCTTCTGGCTCTTTTTTTCTGGAGACTACAAGAAAGTAACATCATAACAGCAGCTAGTTATTGGACACTTACCATGCACTGTACTTTTTTGCAGTTGAAACCCTTTTATTTTTATGTTATATAAGTAATGTATGTTCATTGTAGAAAAAAAAGAAAGTTCAAGTAAGCTAAAACACTAAAGAATGCCTATACGCTCACCAGCCAGAAATAATTGTTGCTGACTTTCTATACTACTTCATCCAGTTTTACAAAAACGAGTATTTTGTATACTGCCAATTCACTTAATACATTGTGAACATGTTTCTATGCTAGGAAATGCCAGTAAGCATGCTTTTATGCTATTGTTTATAAGACTGCAATAGCGTTCCATTGTATGGATGTGCCCTCATTTATTTTGTGCTAAATGCTTTACGTATATTATCAGTTAATCTTCACACTCAATGAAGTAGATATAAATACTATTATCTTACAAATGAGAAAATTGAGAGACAGAGATGTTAAGAAAATTGCTCAAAGACATGCAACTCATGGGTGGTGGAGCTAGAACTTGAGTCCAGGTCTCTCTGATTCTAAAGATAATAAATATTAATAATCTTGCCCAAAAGACATGATTTTCTTTCTTTTTTTTTTTTTTTGACAGAGTCTTGCTCTGTTGCCCAGGCTGGAGTGCAGTGGTATGACCTCAGCTCACTGCGGCCTCCGCCTCCCAGGTTCAAGCGATTCTCCTGCCTCAGCATCCTGAGTAGCTGGGATTACAGCACTGTGCCTGGCTAATTTTTTGTATTTTTAGTAGAGATGGGGTTTCATCATTTTGGACAGGCTGGTCTCAAACTCCTGACCTCAGGCGATCTGCCCACCTTGGTTTCCCAAAGTGCTGGGATTACAGGCGTGAGCCACTGCGCCTGGCCCAAAAGACATGATTTTCAAGAGAGGGATGGCCCCGATACCCAGCACTGTGGTCCAGTAGCATGGCCTGTGTGGTTGAAACTGACAATACAGAAGTAGGCTTGAGGGTGAGGAAACAGAGGCGAGCCTTCAATTCCCTTCAGGGTTTATTATTTTCTTGTGTTTAGCCTCATTACCAGTGGTGTGTAAAAAAAAAAAGAAAAAGAGTCATAACACCCCAACTAGTTCCTCTTTCTAAATGCCTCAGTGGTCAACAGAGTCTAAATGCTGCTCCGAGGCTGAATTATGTACAATGCAAAGTGGACGTTAGTTTAATGACACAGTTATTGCTGGTTGTGGTGTGAGCAGTTTCATTGGTGTAGTGATGCAGAACCCAAGTGGGTTAGAGTGAGCGAGGGGTAAGAGAGAGAAGAGTGTTAGAATTCTGGCAATGAAAACAAGCATAGAGAGCAGTGGTCAGAAGTGGGCATGGGTTTGAGGGAGAGGGAGGCTTTTTTTTTTGGACTGCTGCTGTTTTTAAGGATGAAAGAGACTTGTTTAACTGCCAGTTGCGCAGTATTGGTAGAGAAGAAGGCATTAGGTTGAAGATTGGAGAGTAGGATGGAGGCTCCTGGGAAGGCGGAGGAAGCTAGAATTGCCACCGAAGGGGCGGTGTACTTTTTCCATTGTTTGTGGAGAAGGAAGGGAAGTTTGTTTTGTGGCAGGAAGTTAAGGGGTTCTTTGCTTATATCTGGAGTTTTCTCTCTGAATAGATGATGAAGCCTTCTAAGGGTGGGGGTGGTTTGAAGTGGGGATTAGAAATTTTCACAACTTTTATGGGCTTTTTGATAAATGATTTGGACAGTGTGGGAGTGAGCTGACGTAAGGGAGTATGAAAAGGGTGCCTGGCAATGTTGGAGGGTCTGGTTGTAGAATGTATCGTGTCTGTCCGTGTGTTTGCTTGATTTTGTTTCTCCTCTAGCAGTGTGCTCACACACCCAGGTCTGGTAGAGCAAGTGGGTTTTTACGAGTTGGGTGAATGGGCAGTGGGGAGGGAACAACATTTAGATATTGCTGTAAGTGATTGAAGTTCTGGGCCATGGAATGGATGCTGAGTAAAGAAGGAAGGAAGTAAAGACATGAATGGATGGAATGTCAAGGAACTTTAGGTCCCAAGAGGCTGAGAAACCAAGGATGTTGGGAAGAGGAAGAGCCTGAAATATAGGGGATGCCGTTTAGAGGGAGATGTGTGGGTTTCTCCCTGGTGACGGTCTGGGAGAGGCTGTGGAATGGAAGGAAACATTGCTTGCTTAGAGGCTGGTGTTGTATGTATGAGCCACCTGGATCTCGAGGGCACTTAGGTTGTGGAAGGGCTTGGAAAGGAAGCCTGAGAGCCAGCTGCTTGAATCTTCAGGGCATCAGGAGAAATGGCAGAGCTGTCAGTGGATGACAGCTGTGCGGGAGAGATACAGGATGTATGTCACTGGATGGCACGAGCCTCAGAAGGGTTTTCACAGGGCGGTTGGGGAGTGGTGGTCAGGAGCTGTGTGGAACGAGGAGCATGTCAGCAGCAGCTCCTGGCCTTGGGGGCTGGGCGAGGCTTGTGGAATGCGAGCAGCTCACAGAGGGACCGATGGCAGGGAGGCCCGATTCTCAGGGAGAGCCAGGTTTCAGAATTTGAATGGGCAGAAGAACGACAAGACTTTATTAACTATGGCGTGGGTCTTCCAGAGAGCTTGGCAGAAAGATCTGAGAGGAACGAGATAAGTGGAAGTCCATGTTGGAAGAAAGGAAGGCAGAGGAGCGTGAGGATGAAAGGCTGGAAGCCTCTACTTGTCATTCTCAGGGCAGTGGGGTTTTGAGGCAGAATGGGACTAGCTGGTTTTTGTTTGATAAGGGAAGAGATCCCTTTGTTGGGAGATGGGGGTTGCCTAGAATTCTTAAGACCCAGCTGTGGCCTGGACAGATGGCACTTGTGATAAAGACCACGTCTCTCTGGAGTGACTCAATTGTAAATTTTGGATCAAATGGACGTTCTTCGGAACGGCCTTGGGCCACAGTTGTTGGGCATGTCAGCTCTTGGGGCATAAGGGGAGACCTTATGTGGTAGGGTGAGTGGGGCCCAGTAGGTGGAGTGCCCTGCTGGATGACCGATTAGACTGTCATTCTGTGCTGGGTCTTCTAAAATGTTGAACTTCTGAAGGAAAAAAAAATTTCCAGGGATGTCTGGAGATGACCAGGGACGTATCCACGTGGAGTGATGGTGTTACACTTCTAGCATAGCAAAAATGAGCCTTCTTGACTATGATTCTTGTGCTTGGTCACCTGTTCTTAGACCTGACTGTACATGTGCGCCCGTGACCTTGTGATCTTTGGACATTCTGCATTGTGGACACACGATGTGGAAGGACATAGAACAAAATGATGTAGTGGTTGTCTCTGATTATGGAATTGTGTGTGTATGCTTTTCGTTCTTTTAAAAAATTGTTTACTATAGGTATTCAAAAATAGAGATAAATGTATATTTTTAAATTTTCCTAAGTTAGATCCTGAATTTCATGGAGGAAAAATTTACTACAAACTTATCTTTGGAGTTTTACTGGTCTGCCTGTTTTATGAATACTGTGAGTCCTATAAATGTGTTTCTCTCCAGAAATTCCAAGTAGTGTCTCTGGCCCAGTTTCAGCTGGTGTGCAGTGTTTCATTGTGAGTGTGTTTTGCTAGCCTCATTCCTGGCTCTACTTTTTCCCTCTGTCCTTGTTTTTTCTTTCCTTTTCACCTACTTCTAATTTATGTCATTTGATTGTATTTTACCTATCACTATATCTTTTCTAGAACAAATTGTGGTAAAAATAAGTAAAATAAATACTGGGTCAGAGAGTGTGCAAGCATCCATTTATTTATTTATTTATTTTTTGAGACGGAGTCATCCTGTGTCACCCAGGCTGGAGTGTAGTGATGCGATCTCGGCTCACTGCAACCTCCGCCTCCCAGATTCAAGCAATTCTCCTGCCTCAGCCTCCCGAGTAGCTGGGACTACAGGCATGGACCACCGCACCCGGCTAATTTTTGTGTTTTTAGTAGAGATGGGGTTTCACCATGTTGGCCAGGCTGGTCTTGAACTCTTGACCAAGTGATCTGCCCACCTTGGCCTCCCAAAGTGCTGGGATTACAGGTGTGAGCCACCGTAGTGGACCTTGAGCATCCCTTTCATGATAACTTCTTACGTTATTGCTTTCCAAAGCATCAAGCAGGTTTTTCTTGCTGTATTAAGTTCCCAATGTCCTTAAAGGAGCTTTTAAAAAATGAGCATTGTGTGTGTGTGAGACTATAAAAATAGTGTATGAGAATGGTGTAAAATTTGGAAATAAGAGTGAATATAAAGAGGACAGTTCTCATTATTAGCTTTAAATTTTTCTTCTAAATTTTTTAATATCCAGATATTAATGTAAATGAAATCCTTATGTACAATTAATTTTGTATCCTCCCATTTTCCCTTAAAACAACAGGCCGGGCATGGTGCCTCATGCCTATAATCCCAGCACTTTGGGAAGCTGAGGTGGGTGGATCACTTGAGGTCAGGAATTTGAGACCAGCCTGGTCAACATGGTGAAACCCCGTCTCTACTAAAAATACAAAAATTATCTGGGTGTGGTGGCGCACGCCTGTAGTCCCAGCTACTTGGGAGGCTAAGGCAGGAGAATCACCTGAACCTGGGAGGTGTGGAGGTTGCAGTGAGCCGAGATCATGCCACTATACTCCAGCCTGGTCGACAGAGTGAGACTCCATCTCAAAAAAAACCCCCCAAAACAACAATGTCTTATACCCTGGTTGTGGTGGCTCATGCCTGTGATCCCATCACTTTGGAAGGCTGAGACAGAGGATTGCTTAAGGTCAGGAGTTAGAGACCAGCCTGGGCAACATAGTGAGACGCCTATCTCTACAAAAAAAACAAACAAAAAAACCACCAAAAATCAGCCAGATATGGTGGCATGTGCCTGTAGTCCAGGTACTTGGGAGGCTGAGGTGGGAGGATTGCCTGAGCCCAGGAGTTTGAGGCTACAGTGAGCTATGATTGTGCCACTGCCTTCCAGCCTGGGGGACTGTATTTAATTTTTTTTTTTTTTTTTGCGAGACAGTCTCACTCTGTCGCCCAGGCTGGAGTGCAGTGGCGCGATCTTGGCTCAGTGTAACCTCTGCCTCCCAGGTTCAAGCAGTTCTCCTGCCTCAGCCTCCAGAGTACAGTAGCTGAGACTACAGGTATGCACCACCATGCCTGGCTAATTTTTGTATTTTTAGTAGAGACAGGGTTTCACCATGTTGGCCAGGCTGGTCTTGAACTCCTGACTTCAAGTGATCCGCCTGCCTCGGCCTCCCGAAGTGTTGGGATTACAGGCATGAGCCACCACTCCTGGCTCTTATCTAAATTTAAAAAAAAAAAAAAAGTCTTACCAACAAAATTACTGACAGCCATAGAATAAATATGCCATAATTTCATTAATAGTTTTTAATTATTGAATATTTAGGTTGCTTTGATTCCTTGCTGATTTAAATAATATTGCAATGAAGATCATTATGCAAATATCCTTGCCACAGTTTAGACATTATTTTCCAATGGTAGATTCCTAGAAGTAGAAAAGCAGTGATTAGACATAACTAGAAAAGAAAATCATAGAGACTATAGGTGAATATTTTTATAAGCTTGCAGTGGGGATGGCCTTCTTACTGAAGACCCCAAAAGTAGCATAAAGGGCAAATATGGATGAAATCAACAATAAAACAATGGAAAGATTCTGTATCAGACAAACCATTTGGAAATTATGATAGGCAAATGGTAATAAAGAACTTACACAAATGAAAAAGACTTGACTCAATTTTTATTTTTATTTTTATTTATTTTTTGAGTTGAGGTCTTACTCTGTGGCTCACACTGGAGTGCAGTGGTGCAGTCTTGGCTAGCTGTAACCTCTGCCTCCCAGGCTCAAGCGATCCTCCCACCTCAGCGTCCTGAGTAGCAGGGACTACAGGTGCATGCCACCATGCCCGGCTAATTTTTGCATTTTTTGTAGAGACAGGGTTTTGCCATGTTGCTCAGGCTGGTCTTGAACTCCTGGACTCAAGCTATCTGCCTGCCTCGGCCTCCCAAAGTGCTAAGATTATAGGCATGAGCCACTGCGCCTGGCTGGACTTATAATTTTTAAAAAGACCCCTGATAAAAGAAGAAAAATACTTTTCTTCTTTTGGCCAATAAACATTTGAAAGGATGTTCAACCCCAATAGTAATTAAAGAAACAACTGTAAACAAAGATGATGTATTATTTTTCATTTATCAGTCCACCAAAGATAACTAGTTCCTGAGAATACGTGGTAAGAATATAAATTGCTATATTTCTGAAAGCAGTTTGTCAATTAAAAAGTATATGTACACTTTTGTCCAGCAATTCTATCTTTAGGAATTTATTTTAAGGGAATTACGAGGTGCTCAATGGTGTTTACAAAAGTATTGTTTATTGATGGAAAAATTGGAAACAACTTAAATGGGGATTTGGTTTAATTATCGTGTAACCATTCAGTGGAATACTATGTATGTGTTAAAATGACTGTACATCTGAACTTACTGCTGCAGAAAGATGTCCAAGATGTGCTAAAAGAGATACAGACAATGAGTAAATGAATGAATATGCGTAGAAAAATATGGAAACATATAAACCATGTTAATTGTGTTTTTCTGTATTTAGAGGGATTATGGCTGATCTTTTATTTTCTATTTATTTTTCTTGAAGTTTTAAAATAAGTATATAACCCGAATAAATAGAAGGAAAAAAAAAAAGCCTGTTCCCCAAAAGTGAAATTGGTTGTGGCAAAAATAAAACGTGTGTTCTATTGTGCTGTCTTTTGTAGTTACCAAAAATGATTTCAAATTAGAGTAGAAATATTACATAAACTGTAATTTATGAAATGGATCTGAAAAACATAAGAGAAATGATCAGTTAATAGTGTAACTTTTTTTTTTTTTTTTTGAGACAGGGTCTCTTGCTCTGTTTCCCAGGCTGGAGTGCAGTGGTGCAGTCTTGACTCACTGCAGCCTCCCCCTCTGGGGTTCAAGCAATTCTTATGCCTCAGCTGCCTGAGTAGCTGGGATTACAGGCACCCACCACCACAACTGGCTAATTTTTGTATTTTTAATAGAGACAGGGTTTCACCATGTTGGCCAGGCTGATCTTGAACTACCGACCCCAAATGATCAGCCCACCTCGGCCTCCCAAAGTGCTGGGATTACAGGTGTGAGCCACTGCGCCCAGCCAATAATCGTGTAACATTTAAGAAGGCAAAAAGTAGAGCCTTCCATCAGTTTGGTTTACAATGAAAACCAGTTGCTTTAATTTGTCACCTTTCAAAATATGTCTTTCATTAGCCCTTAATCATTGGCAAGTTCTCACATGGAGCCTATCGGGGGGAGATGGGAGGTCTTGAACTTCCCTTCCAACCTGCTTTTGTTTTTTTGAGACAAGGTCTCACTCTGTCGCCTAGGCTGAAGTGCAGTGGCACAGTCAGCTCACTGCAGTCGTCTCGACCTCCTGGGCTCAGACAATCCTCCTGCCTCAGCCTCTGAGTAGTAGGGACTGCAAGTATGCACTACCACACCTGGCTAATTTAAAACTTTTTTTTGCAGAGATGGGGTCTCGCTATGTTGCCCAGGCTGGTCTCAAACTCTAGGGCTCAAGCTAATCCTTCCTTCTTGGCCTCTTAAAGGGCTGGGATTACAGGCATGAGCCACCACGCCCTGCCCTAACTCTCTTCTTACTGTTGAACCTAGGGCTCAAGGAGGCTTAGTGACATGTTAGGGATCTGGTAGGGATGCAAGAACTGCATAGGCGCAGAGTCCTTCCTACTCCGCCTGTGCGGGTGGTGTGGGGATGGGAGTATCAGGCCACTTGTTCCCAATATTTCTGTCATGCTGTGCTTGAAAATTTGTCAACAATGACTTGCTCTCTGGATTTAAGTGTTGTCTTTTTTCCTCTCTCTCCAGTCCTACAATGCTAGTTCCTTTGGGAAAATCATCTGATAAGTCACAAATACCTACATTGAGTGAATTTCCCCACATCTTCACCCTTGCAAACACAGAGGAAGGTCGTGTTTCATAGGCATATGCTGGTGTGTGGGACTTGAAGAGGGGAAACAATGCAGTTAGTTGGGGGTCAGTCCAAGAATGAGTCCTTGAACTTCACCATTTTGCTAAGACAGTGAACACAGGTTTTGGGGAGGATGAAATCATAATTTTTGATGCTAGAGCTGTTCACAGCTTTTTCTTTGATGAATGACTCTCGTTCATGTGCTTAAAGATTTTCTTGGTGCTGTGAATTAAAACAGACTTTTGGCTTGAAAGAGTAAATTTATGAGATGTAGCTTGACCCATTTTTATCTTGTACTTTAATTTCTGAGAACCATGACAGTCATATAGTGTGTATCCTCATAGGGAAAAATGGCTTATGTGAGACACGGTGTAATTTGTGCCAGTAAATGAGTAAAAATCTTGTTTTGGTAAAAATCAACTCAATTTTATTTAACATTGATTTTCATTATTAAAGTGCTGCAATCACATTTCAGAAAACTTTAAAAATTGAGAAAAAGGGATGAGATTATTAATATTTTTCTGCAATGCAATGGCATTTTTGTATTATTTCTAGATTTTTTCTTATCTGTCTAAAATATAACAGTTCCAGGGTTGTGGTTTGGCAGAATGTGGCAAATTAAGCAAAACCTTTTCTATTTTCATCTAATCTGCCCCCGAAATGAGCAGTGATCTATTATCTTTACTTTTTGTTTATTTCCTCTTTGGCAAAACTTGTCAGCATATTTAGCAGAAGGTGGAGACAATTTCTTTTCACAGATTTGGATTTAGTAGCAATATCCTAAGTGGATTTTTTCTGCTAAAAGAAATTGTTAGAGTTAAGCTTGGAGGAAATGAATCAAATGTTTCTAAACAATTCTGGGGGATAGTTGAATTCTATTTCCTGACGGTAGGGAAAAAAAAAAAAACTGGCTTTTTTTTTTTTTTTTTTTTTTTTTTTTTTGAGACGGAGTCTCGCTCTGTCACCCAGGCTGGAGTGCAGTGGTGCAATCTCGGAAAACTGGCATTTTTATTCCAGCTCGTTGAATTTTTAACTGGGCTAAGTGTCCCAGACTGGTCTATTCTGTGTTGGTAAACTCTGCCATTTGGCTGTTGTGTTTGGTGGAAGGAAAATATGATCTTGCCTAGTTTGGTTATTCTAAGAGCTTTTTTCCTTCCCTTCAGCCAAGATATGCTATTCCCTTATGCTTATTTTTTTCCATTCTCTTCTTTGCAGAGTACTCGGGTGGAGTTTGACCTGCCAGAATATTCTGTTCGTCGAAGATACCAGGATTTTGACTGGTTGAGGAGCAAACTGGAAGAATCCCAGCCCACTCATCTCATTCCCGTAGGTAGTAAGTCACTACAGCTTGTTTCTCACTTGTCCTGTGTTGTCTTTCCTGAAGGGGTTCACTCAACTCTCATCCCTTAAGTTATACAGACTCACCCAGCAAACATATATAAAACATGTTAACGGACACTGTATACAATACTTCACCTATTAGGTTTTAGTTTCTGATTTGGTATATAGAAAGCCAGTTTTGCGGCTGGCTGGGCTTTCTTTAGCCACAGCGGCAGAAATCTAGCACAGAATCCATTGCCACAGTTTTTCATTTAAAAAACAAGAAACCACCTAACACTGTTTATTGAAGCAACGTGACATTTATCTACTCCAGCGCTTCCATCTGCACAGTTTTTAAAAAACAGAACCAGAGCAAAAGAAATTTAAATCTTTTTTTTTTTTTTTTTTTTGAGACAGAGTCGCACTCTCTTGCCCAGGCAGGTGCGCAATGGCATGATCGCAGCTCACTGCAACCTCCGACTCCCAGGTTCAAGTGGATCACCTGCCCCTACCAGGTTCAAGTGGATCACCTGCCCCAGCCTTCTGGGTAGCTGGGATTACAGGCGTATGCCACCACGCCCAGCTAGTTTTTGTATTTTTAGTAGAGATGGGGTTTTGCCATATTGGCCAGGCTGGTCTCGAACTCCTGATCTCAGGTGATCCACCGACCTCAGCCTCCCAAAGTGCCGGGATTACGGGTGTGAGCCACCGTGCCTGGCCTCAACATTTATATTGAGTACTTTTCTGACTACTTTTGTTAAAAGTAGAAATAATAACGGTTTGGACACCAGATGTTTCTTTGGGCCTTGGGGGCTTTAGAGCAGTTTGAGTCATAAAACTCCTCAGAGGGGCTGATTTATCTTTCAGCAAAAACCTTTGTTGAATGATAACTTCCTAGGACTACCAACTTTCTGTTACTACCGCATCTCCCAGCCTTTTTCCCCCCATGGTTAGAAGAGGCTGTGTATGTTGTGAATGCACTGGCAGTTTTCTCAGTTTTCAGGGTGAAAAGAGCCACGTTGCCAGTACTGTGATAGGAACGATGGCTCTCACCTGGGACTCAGTTCTTTCTCAGGGTATCTCCTTTTTCCTCCACATACTTTTCTGTTCTCCGAGCCTGAAGTTTTGCTTTTTCTGTCTTCTAACCACTTAAAAACATGCCTGAAGAGGAAACAGTAGTTTTTAAACAGTTGGGAATATTCCTTAAAATAGAATCTTAAGGTGGCAAAATAGGCAGTTAGTGAATAATTTTTAAAAAATAAACTGCATTTTAGAACATTATCAGAATTACAGAATTATTGTGAAGGTAGTAGAGAGAATTCTCAAGCCTCACATCCGGTATTAACATTTTATATTAGTGTGGCACTTTTGTCAAAATGAACCAGTCATTATGAAATAAACACCATTATTAACTAAAAGTCTTTTATTCCAAGTTCCTTTTTATTTTTCTTTCTTTCTTTTTTTTTTTTTTTTTTGAGATGAAGTTTACCTCTGTCACCCAGGCTGGAGTGCAGTGGCATGATCTTGGCTCACTGCAACCTCTGCCCCCGGAGTTCAAGCGATTCTTCTGCCTCAGCCTCCTGAGTAGCTGGGATTACAGGTGCACACCACCATGCCCAGCTAATTTTTGTATTTTTAGTGGAGATGAGATTTCAGCATGTTGGCCAGGCTGGTCTCAAACTCTTGATCTCAGGTAATCCTCCCACCTCGGCCTCCCAAAGTGCTGGGATTACAGGTGTGAGCCACCACGCCCGGCCCAAGTTCCTTTTTTCTGTTCCAGGATCCTACCCAGGATCCCACATTTTATTTAGCAGTCATGTCTCCTTAGGCTCTTCTTGGTTGTAACAGTTTGTCAGGCTTTCCCTTTTTTGGATGACCATGACTGTTTTGAGGAGTACTAGTCAGGAATTTTGTAGACTTGTCCCTCAGTTGACATTTGTCTGACGGCTTTCCCAATCGGGGTAATGTGTTTGGGGAGGAAACCACAGAGGCAAGCTGCCACCCTCATCACCTATCCAGGGCACGTGCTGTCAACAGTGTGCCTCACCATTGATGTGAACCTCCATCGCCTGACTTGAGGTAGTGCTGGTCAGCTTTCTTCACTGTACAATTACTCTTTCTCCCAGCCTTTTTGTACTGTACTCTTTGGAAGAAAGTCACTGTTTATTTATAGCCCACACCATGCATCAGGGAGCTGCCCTCCTGGCAGCTGGTGCCTGTGAGGTTGATACTGGAAGCGCAAAGGTAAGACAGTGACACCTGCTGGTTGAAACATAGTGTCTACTCTTCCATAGACACTAGAAGAGAATGGAAGAATTTCCGGAATGCCCAAAGTGGATCCAGAATATCTTTAAGTGTGGTTTCTGATGGTCTGGATAGAAGCAGTTGGTAGGAAGCTACTTTAGAAACAAGCAGAAACTTAATTTTTTTTCATAAATTCTTGGTACTTGCATATCTGGAGTGGAGATTTAATATGGGAGAGCCTCTCTGATTTAAGTATGAAAGTCAAACCAGCAACCAACCCCCCTCATCCGCTACAAAAAAATTTTATAGTAGCTTTGCTAGGAGGTGTCTGTCTGTTATTTAAGTGTCATCTTTGGGAGGAAGAGAGGATGGGATGAGAAGGTTATAAGGAAGACAAAGGACCCCTGCCTTGGGGAACTTATTATCAGTTGGAGACCCAGCAAACATGCAGAAATGTTCATTTCCCTTTTTAAGAAAGGATTTATTGAGATTATATAACATATAATTCACCCATTTAAAATGTACAATTCAAAGGCTTTTAGTATATTCATAAAATTGGACAACCATCAGCATTATCCATTTTCAAATCTTTTTATCACCCCAAAAAGAAACCTCACATCCCTTAGCTGTCACTTACAAACACTGTATATCTCCCAGCCCCTGGCAACCACTCATGTACTTTCTACAGATTTGCCTATTCTGGACATTTCATGTAAGTGAAATGATACACAACGTGATTTTTTTTGTTACTGGGTTTTTTCACTTAGCATATTTTCAAGGTTCATCCATGTTGTAGCATATATTAATATTTAATTCCTTTTTATTGCCATATAATATTCTAGTTTATGGATAATACCACATTTTGTCTATTCACCCTTGATGGACGTTTTGGTTGTTTCACCTTTTGGCTATTATGAGTAATGCTGCTGTGAGCGTTCATGTACAAGTTTTTCTGTGGACATGTTCCCATTTTGGGGGGGGTGTATTCTTAGGAATGTAATTGTTGAATCATACATAACTCTATAATTGGCCTTTTGAGGAACTGCCAGACTGTTTTCAAAAGTGATGACAGCAACTTACATTTCCACACGCGATGTATAGGAGTTTCTCCACATCTCCATCAATGCTGTTACTGTCTGTCTTTTGGATTGTAGCCATTCTACTGGATGTGCAGTGCTATCTCATTGTGATTTTAATTTGTATTTCCCTAATGATGTTGAGCATCTTTTCATGTGCTTTTGGGCATTTGCATATCTTCCTTGGAGAAATATCAATTAAGATCCATTGCCCATTTAAAAATTGGGGTGCCTTTTCATCCTTAAATTTTCATAGTTCTTTTTTCAAATTTTATATATATGTGTGTATATATATATGTGTGTTTGTATATATGTGTATATATGTGTGTGTGTATATGTGTGTATATATATGTGTGTGTATATAATTTTTTTTTTGAGGCGGAGTCTCGCCCTGTCACCCAGGCTGGAGTGCAGTGGTGTGATCTCGGCTCACTGCAAGCTCCGTCTCCCGGGTTCACGTCATTCTCCTGCCTCAGCCTCCCTAGTACCTGGGACTACAGGCGCCCGCCACCATGCCTGGCTAATTTTTTGTATTTTTAGTAGAAACAGGGTTTCACCATGTTAGCCAGGATGGTCTCCATCTCCTGACCTCGTGTTCCGCCTGACTTGGCTTCCCAAAGTGCTGGGATTACAGGCTTGAGCCACTGCGCCCAGCCCCATTATATGTATAAAATTTTAAGAGGCAGGAATGTTGTTTTGTCACCCAGGCTGGAGTGCAGTGGTATGATCACAGCTCACTGCAGCCTCGACCTCCCAGGATCAAGCGATTCTCCCACCTCAACCTCCTCAGGTATGTGTCACCATGCCTGGCTGGTTTTTAATTTTTTTTTGTAGAGACAAGGTGTCACTGTGTTGCCCAGGCTGGTCTTGAACTCTTGGGCTCAAGTGATCTTCCCACCTCAGCCTCTCGAATAGCTGGGACTACAGGCACCCTATGCCATCATGCCTGGCTAATTCTTTTTTTGGTAGAGACAGAGTCTTGCTATGTTGCCCAGGCTGGTCTCAAACTCCTGGCCTCAAGGGATCCTCCTGCCTTTGCCTTCTAAAGTGCTGGGATTACAGGCATGAGCCACCGCGCCTGGCCAAGAGTAACCATATGTTCTTAAAATGCCTTCTTGGAACCAGAAGTATGCTGGTTGTATATGTTTGTCATCTCATAACAGCAGTTCACTGTGTTTTTCTTCATTATGTAATAGTTGGAGCTGCCAGAAAGTCTTCATTATGACTTTTTCCCTCTGTTTTTTTTAAAGCTTTTTTGAGATATAATGGATATACAGAATAGCCTTGCACATATTTAATGCATACGATTCGATAGGCTTGTATGTACCCCTGATACCATCACCACAATCAAGGTAATAAACAGATCCATCACCTTCACAAGTTTTCTTTTGTCCCTTTGCTGTTTTGTTTTGTTTTTTTTTTTTGTAAGAACCTGTAACATAAGATGTACATAATGTGTAACATGAACATGTAACATAAGATCTCTCGTCTTATCACATTTTACAGCATGCAACACCATACAGTCATTCCCCCTTATTTGTGGTTTTGCTTTCCATGGTTTCAGTTACCTGTAGACCAAAAATATGACATGGAAAATTCCAAAAATAAACAGTTCATAAGTTTTACATTGTTTGCTGTTCTGAATAGTGTGATGAAATCTCATGCAGTCCCGCCTAGGACATAAATTATCTTTGTCCGGTGTATCCACGCTGTAGACATTGCCCACCTGTGAGTCCTTTAGTAGCCCTCTTGGTTATCAGGCTGGAGATCACAAGAAGAAGAATGAATACAGTACCATAAGATGTTTTGAGAGAGAAAGAGAAAGGCCAAATCCCCATAACACTTATTACAGAATATTGTTATAATTGTTCTGTTTTATTATTGTGAATCTCTTACTCTGCCTGATTTGCAAACTAAATTTTACTATAGGTATGTATAGGAAAAAACATATACATATATAGGTATGTATATACAGGTGGGAAGTTCACTTGAGCCCAAGAGTTCAAGACCAGCCTGGGCAACACAGTGACACCTTGTTTCTAAATTTTATTATAGGTGTGTATATATAGGAAAAACATAGTATATACAGGGTTCAATACCATCCATGGCTTCAGCATCTGCTGGGGGTCTTGGAATGTATCCCCCTAGGATAAGGGAGGATGACTGTATTGTTAACTATAGGTACCACTTTGTACAGCAGATATCTGGAACAACTTATTTATGTTTTATAACACTAGCTTTATATCCATTGAACAACTCCCCATTTCCCACTCTCCGTACCCCTGGCAACCACCATTCTATTTTCTGCTTCGGTATTTGTTCAGTGGGTTTGACACTTCTGCATTTCCTGGAGCACTAGTTACACAGCAGAGCAATTTCATGATTAGATGGGTGCCCGTATTAGATTTGGAAGATGAAGCAGATACATTGAATAAACACTTGAGTGTTTAATTTTCACTTGGAAATTTAATGTTTACCTCAGTTTTAAGGAAGAAAGCTTTCTGGAAGGATACATTTGTATTATGTCCAAGTTTTCTTTTGAGTAGTAGTAAACTCAGAGGAATTAATGAGAATAAATTTGTAATGCAACAATTTTTTTTTTAATATGAAATAATAAAAACTCCATTTTCTAGTTGGGTTCTTCTTTTTTCTACTGTTAAAAATATACCTGCGTTTAGCTTATTCAATGGATAAGTTAATAAGTATTGAAACATTGGTTCAACTTCCTAATGCTTTGCATTAAACTGGGCTTGGTGATTATTGTTTTTAATCTCTGCACTTGGTGACAAGCTTTTAATCTCTATGCTCCTTTATTTATTTGGTAGTAATTTTTGCTTAGAAGCAGTATTTTCTATTAGTTCGACAAGGGTAGGAGAAATAGGCCTCTGCCATGTAAATATTTAATGTGCACTAAATATTTGTTGAATTGCTTAGAAGAAGCAAGTCATTTGCTGACGAGGAAGTTGGACATTTCAGGATTCAGCAATTGAAAGATTTGTCTAGATTTCCTACCCAGAAATAGCAGCTTTCCATTGACAGTCTACAACAAATATGCTATTGTTTCAGATTATAAAACAGCTTTATAAACTAATATGGAATATAAATGACAGTGCTTTACTAAAGTACTAAGTACTATCTAATATCAGTATTTCAAGATTAAACCCTGAAATATTTAATGGATTATTGTAATACTTTGCAAATAGGATTTTTTTGCAGGATCCAACATATATATGTGTATATTCAGTTTCTAAAAATGTTTTCATTGTAGAAAATATTAACCATATTGAAGAGATTCAGTACGATGAGTCCCGTTGAAACTCCATCACTCAGTTTCAACATTTATCAGCTCATGGCCAATCTTGTTTCATCACTGTCCACTCCCTCACCCCTACACCCAGGTGTTTTTTTTTTTTTAAGTACCTTAAACAACAGAAATTTATTCTCTTACAGCTCTGGAGGTCAAAAGTCCAAAATCAGTTTTAGTGAGCTAATATCAACATATAGGCTAGGGCTGCATTCCACCAGAAGGCTCTAGGGGAGAATTTGTTTGCCTACCTTTTCTAGCTCTTGGGGCTGTCTGCATTCCTTGGCTCATGGCCTCTTTATTTTCAAAGCCAGCAGCATATCTGTCATCATCTCTGCTTCCACCATCACATCTCCTTTTCTTAAAAAAGGAAGTAAAATCCATATTACACATCACCATTTTAACCATTCTGAAGTGTCCAATTCAGTGACTTTTAGTACATTCACGGTGTTGTACGACCATCACCACCATTGAGTGTTGTACGACCATCACCACTATTTAATCCAGAACATTTTCATTACCCCCAAAAGAAACTTTGTACCCATTAAGGAACCACTCTCAATTCCCTCCTTTTCCCAGCCCGGCTATAATGAAGAATGCTGCTATCAACACTGGTGGTTGTCTAAGATTTTGTTTGAGCACTTATTTTCAGTTACCTTGGCTATACAACAAGAAGTGGAATTGCTGGAGCATATAGTAATTCTGTGTTTAATTTTTTGAGGAATTGTTCAAACGGTTTTCCACAGTGGCTTATAATTTTATATCTGCACTAGAAATGTATGAGGGCCCAATTTCTCCACGTATTTGCCAACATTTGCTATTTTACTTTAAAAATTCTAGTGGGTGTGAAGAAGTAGATCCCAAATGACTTGTTTTTTTGAGACAGGATCTCACTCTGTCACCCAGGCTGGAGTGCATTGGCATGACCATAGCTTACTGCAGCCTCCAACTCCTGGGTTCAAGCAATCCTCCCACCTCAGCCTCCACAGTAGCTGGGACTTCAGGCGTGCACCACCATGGCCAGCTAATTTTTTATTTTTTGTAGAGATGGGGTCTTGCTATGTTGCCCAAGCTGGTCTGGAGCTCCTAGCCTCAAGCAATCCTCCCAGCTTGACCTCCCAAAATGCTAGGATTATAGACATGAGCCACTGTGTCTGCTTCCCCCAATCGATTTTTTAAGACATTTTGGCCTAAACGTTATATAGACATTCTACCTGTAAGTCCACTCCCCTTTTTGCTTTTTGTTCTCGGTGCTTACAAATTAATAAAAATACTTGGCATTTGTTAGACATCTGCTGTGTGCCTGGAACTGTGTTGAGCTCTTTTCATTTACATGATGTGGTTTACAGACTATAGATGGACTTGATTTCACCTGCAACCCAGATTCCTATGTGTAAACAACCCAGACAGTAATAGAGGTGAGGCTGAGAGTAGGTGTGTCCCGTAAGGAATCTTGAAATAGCAAGAAATTTCTGAAGCTACATACATTTGGAAATGATAACGCTTATGACAGGAGGAAATTCTGCTTGCAGAAGGATTCTCTCTAGGGTTCCTTTAAATATCAAGTTTCCCCGATTGATGAAACATAAGTTCAATTTGCTAAATCTGAAGAATGGACCCCTATTGTAGAATGTCATCTTTATGTTAAATGAGGCACTCCTAACCACTTACTTGCGCCTCAGGCCATCCTCTCAAGTCTTATTCAGCAGAAGCAAATGAGAGTATCGTAACAGGACTCATGAAGTAAGAACAGGAAAATATCCACTGGATTTGGTAATTAGAAAGTCATTGGCACTCAATTTTAAAAGGGCCGTTTCTGCACTGGGTGGGGATAGGGCAGAGAAACCCAGCACTGAAGGCAGTATCACAGCTGGTTTTGCTTTGAGGGTTGGCAGAAGGCTGGGGGTTGAGAAATCAATGGGATACAGTGAAGTCGAGATAAGTGACTCCTTTCAAAAAGATTGAATGAGCCAGGAAGGACAAGGGAGAAGATATAAGGTCAAGGGGTGGTTGGATTCGTATTTTTTAGGAAGAAAAACCAACCATATTTTTATAGATTCTGGGAATAGAGCTGGATGAACAGGAGATGTTGAAGATACAGGGAAGAGATTAATGACAGGTGCACCCCAATGAACAAATGGGTCAAGGACACAGATGGAATGCTTAGCTTTAGGGGAGGAGGGGTTGTTTTCCACAGGGGCTAAGGAATGGAGGTGAGGGTGATGCCCAGTCAATGGGCTTCTGTGGAGGAAGCAAAATAGGAAATTTCCATCTGATGCTCTTACACCTGGTTCTCACTTCAGAAAGATAGTAATCTGCTTAGCACGAAAAGCTGGGGTATGAGAATGGCTGCCTAAAGGAACGGGGGAGAGAAGAACTGACCAGAATAAAGGAATTATCCTAAAGGACAGCCATATCCCATTAAGATAACTTCTCAGTGCTTTGGACTGGGCCAGCATCGGGCTGAGTGGCCCGTCTGTCTGATCCAGCACTGCATTTCGAATATTCTACTCAAGTGTAAGCTCTGCTGGGTGTCACACGTGGACATGTTATCCTTGTGTGGGTCTGTAATTTTATTCCTGACTCTATTCCCCTCTCTTCTTTCATTTACAAACCTTTCCACTGTGCCCTTTTTGGAACTCCTGCTCTGTCATAAAGAATCCCCCAGTATTCTTAACATCTTCTCTGAATATTCCCACCATGTCAAGGTTTAAATGAACACTGGATGTCCCTGAAGATTAGTAGTCCCCTGAAGCTGCTGCCAGTCTTACAACAAAGACACCCAAACTTGTGTGTGTTTACCCTGTGGTAGGAATCATTCAAAGCACTTTCAGCATATTAGCTAATTTAATCCTCATGACAACCCTGTGAAGTTGATGCTATTAGTTTTTACCTAGCACCAACTTCTTGAGGTACCAAGAAATGTATAGAACTTGACGGTAGGCAAACAGCTAGTAGGTGGCAAAGTCAAAAGATAAACCCAGGAAGCATGGCATCAGAATCTTTACTCTTGATAACTAAAACATACTTTCTGAAGCTCTTTCAAGTTGAGGGCACTGAATTCCCTCATACTCCAAATACTTCTTTTCCAGGGGGTGGGGTGTTGGTGTTACCAATTCCTAAATCTTTTCAAGGTTTTGTGTTCTAAATCTAGGTTTACTAGGCCTACTCCAAGTGGCCTAGTATTCCACTTTTTTGGGTTGGCTAAGTCCACTAATCCTTGTTGCTATGTCTTATTTCTGGTTTGTTTTTGTCCTTCAGGGTTTATAATTTTAAAAAATCCTCTTTATTGCCATATTATGGGGGTTTGAGGAGGTTGTGGAGTTAAATGCTTGTGTTTAATGTCTTACTTTGAACTTGAACTGCTAGGTTGGTTTAACATTAGAAAATATATTAATTTACCACTTACCGTATTAAAGGAAAAAGCATGTGATTGTCCTGATAGACCTGCTTGGCCAACGTTGTCTTGGTTTATTCCCTAAAGAGGCTTGCATTTTCTAAAGAGGCTGCATCTGCACGAGTGTTCACAGCAGCATTGTTAGTAGGGCTATAAAGCTGAAAACCATTCACATGATCATGCACACGTTCACAGGCAGGAGAGTAGGTGGACAATTTGTCACACAGTCAGTTATATAGTGCGTGACTATGGAACAGTAAAATTATTTTCCTGTAGCTAAACATACATCAATATGGATAAGTCGCAGAAAGACAATGTTGAATGACAAAAGCGAACTATACAGGTGTGTACTGCATAGTGACATTTCTGTCAATGGTGGATGGCATATAGATGGTGGTCCCATAAGATTATAATACTGTATTTTTACTGTACCTTTTCTACATTTAAATATGTTTAGGTACCCAAGTACTTGCCATTGTGTTACAATTGTCTACAGTAGTCAGCACAGTAACATGCTAGGAGCAATAGCCTATACCGTATCGCCTCGGTGTGTAGTAGCCGCACCATCTAGGTTTGTGTAGGTGCACTCTGTGATGTTCACACAATGATGAAATTGCCTGACAATGCATTTCTCAGAGTGTATCTCTGTCATTAAGTGACACATTAACTGTAATTTTATTTTTTATAAAGTTAAACAAGCTCAACGAACAGTACATGGTTTTAAAACTGAAACTTAGAGGGGAGCAATGACCAAAAAGTTGAGGATTGTTAATTCCTTCATGGGGGCAGGAATAAGCGGAGATCTGATCAGGGATCCGTTGACAGGGAACTTTGTCAATGGCAGTGTTCTCTCTGTCAAGTTGAGTGGTAGATTAATAAGTGCTGGTACTATTATTATGCTTTATGACTTTGAGGTATGTAATACGCTCTTTTATTGTGCTAAAAAACATAGCACCATTTTATAATCTACAATTCAGTGGCATCAAATACATTCACAATGTTGTGCATCTGTCACCACCTTCTGAAAAGTTTCAGAATCACCCTGGAAGGAAACCCTGTACCCATGAAGCAGTCACATCTCATTTCCCCCGATCTCTCCAGCCCCTGGCAACCACCATCTACTGTCTGTCTCTGTGGGTTTGCCTATTCTGGACATTTCACATGAATGGAATCATATATATGGACTTTTGTATCTGGCTGTTTTCATTTACCATAATGTTTCCAGGGTTTTTCCATGATGTAGCATGTTTTAGTACTTAGTTTTTATGACAAACTATTAGTCCATTGCATGGATATGCCGCATTTTGTTTGCCCATTCACATGTTGATGGACATTTGGATTGCTTCTGCCTTTTGGTCATTGTAAACAAGGCTGTTATGACTATTTGTGTACAAAATTTTGTTTGGGCACCTGCTTTCAATTTTTTTTTTAAAGTTTTAAAAAATGTTTGTTTGTTTGAGATGAAGTCTCACTCTGTAACCCAGGCTGGAGTGCAGTGGTGCAATCTCCACTCACTGCAACCTCCCCATCTTGCCAGCCTAAGCTATCCTCCCACCTCAGCCTCCTGAATAGTTGGGACTATAGGTGCAAGCCACCATGCCCAGCTAATTGTTTTTATATTTAATATTTTTGGTAGAGACGTGGTTTCACCATGTTGCCCAGGCTGGTCTCGAACTCCTGAGTTGAGGCAATCCACCTGCCTTGGCCTCCCAAAGTGCTGGGATTACAGGCATGAGCCACCACGCCCAGCCTTGCTTTCAGTTCTTTTGGGCATAAATCTGTGAGTGGAATTGGTGAGTTTTATGGTAATTCTAAATTTAACTTATTGAGGAACCACCAAACTGTTTTCCACAGTGGCTGCACATTTTACATTCCCACCAGCAATGTATAAATGTTCTGATTTCTCCACATCCTCACCAACACTTGTTTTTTTTTGTTTGTTTTGTTTTTGTTTTTTTTTAAGATTATGGCCATCTTAGCAGGTATGAAATGGCGTATCATGATGGTTTTACTGATGTTAAGCATCTTTTCATGTGCTTCTTAGCCATTTGGATATCTTCTTTAGAGAAATATCTATTAGATTTAGTTGCCTATTTTTTAAATGTACAATTTTAAAAATATTTCATAGCTCAAATATTTTAAAACATGTGCATAGCAGATACTTCTTTTCCCTGTGGTAGTAATAATGAAGAAGGCTTTTTAATCAAGCAGTTGATCAAACTACTATGGAAACAGATTAAAAGCTCAAAGATCCCTTGGTAGGCAGGTAGTTTTAAATTGCCCACAGTATTGACTCTAAGTCAGTATAATAGAGAAATGTATTTGAATAAGGGGAATAAAGGAAATTACGTTTTAAATAACTTTTGAGTATAAACCTAAACCAAAAAATTGGCCTATAAAAGGTATTTTTTTTAGATACATGAATTTACCTAATTTATTCATTCACCAAGTATGAATGGGGAATGAAGTACTGGGAGCAGAATCTTAAAATATTTAAATAAATTTTTATGTGGTTGATGCCTGCCTGCCTGCTTGCCTTCTTTCTTTTCTTTTTCTTTTTCTTCTTTTCTTTTCTTCTTGCCATAACTTTTCCATCATATCACGTGTACATCAAGCAATGTAAAAATTACTGTTGAATTTACTGGATAAATATCTACTTTTCTGTATTTCAGAGACTATAATTTAGTGTTTTATTCCTTGCATTATAAAATTGACAGGGTATTTACTCCATGTGTATTTTTCAGAAGTCTTTATATTAATGACTACATGAAGATCTGCCTGATTAAGAAATACTTTTCTTGGATAGAGGGGTAATAGAACTGTGTGCTAGCCTGGTTGTTTTTCCTTGCACCATCTCATCAATTACTCTGGTTTTTTTCTTCATGTCTTCATAGCCTCTTCCCGAGAAGTTTGTGGTAAAAGGTGTTGTGGATCGTTTTTCAGAAGAGTTTGTGGAGACCAGAAGAAAAGCTTTGGATAAATTTCTAAAAAGAATTACGGACCATCCTGTGCTGTCTTTCAATGAACACTTTAATATTTTCCTTACTGCTAAGGTAAGGGCAGAAATTTACATCCTCTTCGTCCATATTACCATTCTTGGGGCTCTTTCCTAAAAGCTGTTTTGAGCAGGACTCGGTCTCTACAAAAACTTTTAACAAATAGCCGAGTGTGATGTTGTGCGCCTGTAGTCCCAGCTACCTGGGAGGCTAAGGCAGGAGGTAGCTTGAGCCCAGGAGTTTGAGGCTTCAGTGAGCTATGATCGTGCCACTGCACTGCAGCCTGGGTGACAGAGTGAGACCCTATCTCTTTAAAAAAAAAAAAAAAAAAAGCGGTTTTGATCTTTCAGAAGCCACCTTCATGAGCAAATGGTTCACTGTAACAGGGTTGTCATAAAATTGGTCTTTTTTTGGGTGCCTGTGTCCATTAGCATGCTTTTTTGCATTAGCAAATCCATATAGATGGATTCTATGTTAGAATTTAGGAGATCTGTCCCCACCCCATCCGGGGCCCCACCCACTTGCAGCAGCAGAGGAAGTTAGAATATTTGCTCTGCCAAAAGCAGAGCTAAGTGTTTCCTTAAACACTTGGCAGTATTACTGGGTGAGGCCAGTCTGACCAACAATGGGCATGGAACAGAAGGAACATTTGAGTGTTTGGTGAGGGTTTTCTTCTTAAGGGCGCTTTGAGTGATTACTTGCAGCTGCATTTTACAGACAAGGAAACTCAAGTTCCAGGAGCTTGTCCTTGTTCAGGTAGCGTCACTAGGATCTCAAATTAGGTCTTTGTGGCTACTGAGGCCACACCGTCCCTGTGTATCAGACTGCCTGATTGTTACTTAACCTGCAACCATGTTCCTGTCAGGTGGACATTTGCCAGATAAAACATTTGGGTCCTACACAGTTGCCAGATTCTGTGTATTCAAACTCAAGTTGGTTGTCCACTGGCCTTTCTCTGCACTTCCCTGTTGGCAGAACTGGCCAGAAAACCTGAGGTGCTGTGCTCTCGCTGTCTGCAGAAATGGGGTCACATGCTCAGACCCTCCTGCTAGCTTCCCTCTAGTCCCATCTGTTTGGTTTCAGGTATCATATTCCCATGTTCAGGCCATATGTAACATGTTCCATGTTGGCAAGGGTATTGTGGTCCAGATACTTTCTAGTTTTTCAAATCTGCAAAATTGGGAAATAGCTATAGATAACATTAGGTGACATTAAAGACTTCGGAGAGTGTGCCGTTCTTCACTCAGTGGAAGCCGCATGACAGAGTCCTTTAGTTTTTATAACCTCAGTTGGCATTGAGCCTTATTGATGACATTCCAGTTCAGCATCTCTTTTTCCCAGAGGCTTTCCCCCCCTACAGGTTGGACAGGTACACTTTTTAAAACTAAGTATTTCCTGGCAAACTAAACCTCAGGTATAATTCCTTCAACTCATACTCAAAGTAGAATACATCCTATTCTCCAAAAGCACAACTCACTTTCTCCCCCAAGGTCCATTTTCCAGAAAGCCCTTAAGCACATTCATGTTTACTGAACAAAAAAGAAAAGGGAGGGAAAAGCTTGGACCCCTGGTTGTTAGGAATCTGTATGAAGAATAAGTAGGAAAGAGAGAGAGAGAGAGAGAGAGAGAGAGAGTGTGTGTGTGTGTGTGTGTGTGTGTGTGTGTGTGTGAGAGAGAGAGAGAGAGGAGATTTATCTATCTGTGGGCCAGGCAGTATGAAAATGACTTAAAAAATATAAGGTCCTTATATGAGAACACATGGACACAGGAAGGGGAACATCACACGCCGGGGACTGTTGTGGGGTTGGGGGAGGGGGGAGGGATAGCATTAGGAGATATACCTAATGCTAAATGACGAGTTAATGGGTGCAGCACACCAACATGGCACATGTATACACATGTAACAAATCTGCACGTTGTGCACATGTACCCTAAAACTTAAAGTATAATAATAAAAAATTTAAAAAAAATTAGAAAAAATATATATTATATATTAATATATAATAAATATATTAATATATAATATATAATAAATATAATATATATAAAATATCTATATATATAAGGTCCTTTACTGCCTTAATCAAAATCCGACTCCATATGAGTGAATACAGGAGAGGTGGCTTTAAACAGAACAAATTTTAGCCCTAATTCAGTATCGCTTGCTGAACAAAATGTGCTAAATGGCCTTATCTTTTCTTTAAAAATTTTTAAAATTGTGATAAAATACACCTAACATTTACTATCCTAACAATTTCTAAGTGTACAGTTCAGTAGTGTTAAGTATATTTAAATTAGTTATGCAGCTCATCTTCAGAACGTTTGCATCTTGCAGATCTGAAACTCTATGCCCATTAAATGGCAGCACCCTATTCCCCCTCTTCCAGCTGCCTCATTTTTTCCTTTAACATACCTTGAATAACTTGATCTTGTTCTGAGATGAGCCACTTACGTGTTCTGCCTTAGGGAATGCAGAGACGCTCTTCCTTTTCTTTGTGATCACATGAGTTTATCAACAAATTAGAAATGTCCTTAAGAAGAAGCCAAAAGGCTGTATGTAATGGCTCATGCCTGTAACACCCAGCGCTTTGGGAGGCCAAAGCAGGTAGACCACCTGAGCCCAGGAGTTCATGTTCAGTCTGGGCAACATGGTGAGACCCCATCTCTATATATTAAAAAGAAGCAGCAGCAGCAGCCAGTAGTAATACTGGGAGAAATGGGGACGCTCAATAGCAACTATATTCAAGTCAATATTTTCATCTTTGGCAGAGTGGGTACAGCAATCAGATGGATACTGCTGAATAACTTTATTCAACATGTAAATTAACTTGGTTAACGGGGACACGCTTTCAAAGCTCTACTTGAAGCGGAGCCTGTGCAGTCCAGCGAGCCCATTTGACTCTAGTCCCACTCGTAAAAACGCTGTCTGCAGAGGTAATTCCAAGAACTCTGAGGCTTCAGTTATAGTCTTGTGAAGGCCTTGTGCCTTTGAGGATGTTTCTTGTCTAGAATGTGGGAGGTCAGAAGGGGAGATGGAATCTTTAGGACACTCTCTCAGGCAGCCTGACTCTGAAGGAAACGAGAGAGGTGGAGAGGAACTAGAGGAGATTGCTGCTGTTTTTAAGATGGGTCAGCCTTGGGTGTATTTTACATGCTGAAGGATTAGAAGTTGAAGATACAGACAGGAGAGGGGATAATTGGTAGGGCAAGGCCCTCGGTTGGGGGAAGGTATGGATAGGTGTTCCAGAAAAACTCTCAAACCATGGTTTTCCTCTGCTCTCAGGCAACAACAGTTGTCATCAACACAGGAGAAGACTTCTGTGACCAAATTGCGGGGTGGGGGTGGGGGCGAGATTTTCCCCAAACACCAAGCAGCCATTGCCAGCTGGATGTCCACCAGTTTAATTTGCACATTATTTGCCTGGACATAGCATCAGATCCCACAGGTTGAGGACTCAGTCCTCAAGTCTGAGAGCTTCCAGATCTCGGACCTTAAGTTCAAGCCTCCAAAACTTCTGACCAGCCAGCTTCAAGTTGGGCTTCCCGTGACCTCTTCTTTGGGTTCCATTAATTTGCTAGAGCAATTCACAGAACTCAGAGAAACACATTTACCAGTTTATTATAAATGATATCACAAAGGATACAGATGAAGAGTTGCATTGGGCGAGGCGTGGGGGAAGGGGCGTGGAACTTCCATGCCCTCCCTGGGTGTAGCACCCTTCAGGAAACTCCACATGTTCAGCTCTCCAGAAGTTCTCTAAACCCAGCTCTCTTGGGTTTTTGTGGAAGCTTCGTGACAGCAGCATTCCATCCTCCAGGGTGTAGGGAGGGACCTTAGTCAGAAAGGCTGGGGAAGATTCGAGTCCTGCCTTGGGGCAGGTGAAAGGAGGGCAGGGGAAGGACAGAGAGATTCTGTTTCCTGAGGCTTAACACACCCAACATTATAGTGAAAAGACTGGAACAAGGTCTGTGGAGGTTATGAGCCAGGAACCGTGGATTAAACACACACACACACAAACACACACACACACACACACACACACACACACACACACACCTACCTCAATAGGAAAGGCTGGATCAAGAGCAAAAATGAAGGCCTAAAGAAGGAAGCGAAGAAGGAAGTGAATTCACGAGGTGCCTACACTCAGATACTATAGAGACCTCAGCCTGAAATTGTACATCAAATGCGGAGGGGCTGTTGGGCCATGTTAGCCGCACATTCCACATTCTCTGCTCTATCCTCTGCATCAGGCCACGTCACCAGAAAGCTGTGTCCTTGTTCTGGGTTCCTTTATCTCCCTCTAGTTATACCCTTCTAGGTCTGGGGATTAACATTCTGTTTGTATTGAGGGTGGATATGAGGAACAGACACCTGTACCTTCTGTAAAACCATTTTGTAAGCTACCCTTTCAGTAGGTGACACAGGACAACCTGAAGATTGTATAGATTCCTCTTAGTGTTTGATGATAGGAGGAAGCTTGTTTTATCAGGCAGGCTAATATGCTTTTCTTTTTTGCCCAGGCTGGAGTGAAGTGGCACGATCTCAATTCATTGCAACCTCTGCCTTCCAGGTTCAAATGATTCTCGTGCCTC
Source organism: Homo sapiens (assembly GCF_000001405.40). Classification (NCBI taxonomy): domain Eukaryota; kingdom Metazoa; phylum Chordata; class Mammalia; order Primates; family Hominidae; genus Homo; species Homo sapiens. The sequence continues at coordinate 112,835,423 of NC_000009.12, forward strand.
AGCCTCCTGAGTAGCTGGGACTACAGGTGCATGCCACCATGCCCAACTAATTTTTTTTTTTTTTTTGTATTTTTAGTAGAGACAGGGTTTCACCATGTTGACCAGGCTGGTCTTGAACTCCTGACCTCAAGTGATCTGCCCACCTCAGCCTCCCACAGTACTGAGATTACAGGCATGAGCCACCATGCCTAGCCTGGCTAATAAGCTTTATATTTAGATACAATGGGTTATGAAACTCAACATATTTCCAGTTTTGCCTTCAAGAAATCCAGGGTTAAAATGTTTTGCTGTTTACAGCATCCATCCTAGGCCTGAGTTTTCTAGCAATGTTTTTCTGCCACTGTTTCCTGCTTTCCACCCTTTACTCCCCTTATATGGCTTTAGTTGGGGTATAAATAAATGAGTGATGGATCTCGGAACCTCTGCTCTTCAGTTTTGCTTGTAAAGACAATATAGGGTACTTTGTATGGGAGAAACAGATACTTAAAAAAAATTATGTTAGAAACAGCATTGTGTTTAAAGGGCAGTGTGCTCAGGTGAGTGAATTTGATTAAGGATTGGCGTTCAGCTCTGCTGAAAGGGATTTAAGTGTCAACCTACAGGAGCCTGAGTCTGGTGGTTATGACGTCCAGGCCAGGTTCCTCCTGTGAATGTGATTAGAGCCTCTAACTCAGCTCCTTGTTTCCCGAGTTCTCCATTTCCAAACTGAAGCTGCTTTTAGAAGCTGTTTTATTTAGTCCTGCCCATGTGAGTGAGTGAGTGCTTTGAGCTTATTCACATATCATCCTCAGGACCTGAACGCCTACAAGAAGCAAGGGATAGCATTGCTGACCAGAATGGGCGAGTCAGTCAAGCACGTCACTGGCGGCTACAAGCTGAGGACTCGGCCGCTTGAGTTTGCTGCCATAGGTGACTACTTAGATACATTTGCACTCAAACTGGGAACCATTGATCGAATAGCCCAGCGGATCATCAAAGAAGAAATAGGTGAGCTGTCTGTTGAGGTCTCGATTATGCCCTGCAGCCACATTGGCAGAAATGCCATTCATGTGTGCTACAGAGAATCAAACTGCAAAATGCTGGAGTGACAGAACTAGGCCATCTTTTGCTTATCAAAGAAATACAAGGAGGGGAGGAGTTACTTGTGACTGGAATGTCACTTTGCACCCCGTCCTTTGTCCTGCTGTGTCAGCCTTGTGTTTGCTTTTCCCATGGCCAGCACTGCTGATTCGCCAGGTGTTTCCTCTTTTATGCTCTCTTAACTTTAGCTTTAAAAGTGGAGACATAGACTCAACTGCCCTTCATCCATAGGGAACAATAATTTAGTAAACAAACTTAGATACCTTTTCTGGCAGAAAGATGGTTCAGAAAGATAGCATGGAGACCTGTGTTTGCCAAAGTTATGACCCTGATGAATCTTCAGACTTGTAATTGACTCACCCACCCCACCGTGGTTCATTTTAAACCCACTCCTGCATGGGGGAGTTGCCAGGGCCTGTATTGATCCTTCCTCGTTTTTGCCTCCACTTCCTTCCCACCCCTCTCGGGGCCACCTGCTTTGCCACATCCCATAATGTTGGGATCTTTTATCTCCTTACATATGCATGGGGCGGACAGACGTGAGCAGTGTAAATGATCGCACTGGCATGGGAAGCACGTTGAGGATTCCCCAGCAGTTGCCATTCATCGGTCACTAAGCCATGATGACTGTGTTCTGTTGCAACAATGGCAAGACTCTTGGTGACAAATGATGGGCCAGATTTTCTTTACGGGGGAAAAAAATCAACATTTTTTTTTTCTCATTTCTTGTACTTGTTCCCTCTACTTGACCCACTGATGATACCATGTGGGGCCCATAGGTTTTGGAGATAGCTGTGGATACCATCCACACCTAAGGATCTTGCAGAGTAAATTCTGATGGGATCCAAGGGGCTGAGGTGGCCACCGAGTGATAGAGTGAGTCTGCCAGTGTAAGACCACATCTCTTGTATCAAAATGTTTCCTAAAATTCCATTGTTTATCCATTGTGACTGTTTTTGTTTTTCGTTTTTTGGTTTTTGGTTTTTTTTTTGAGACAGAGTCTTGCTCTGTCGCCCAGGCTGGAGTGCAGTGGCACCATCTCGGCTCACTGCAAGCGCCGCCTCCCGGGTTCACGCCATTCTCCTGCCTCAGCCTCCTGAGTAGCTGGGACTACAGGTGCCCGCCACCACGCCTGGCTAATTTTTTGTATTTTTAGTAGAGATTGGGTTTCACCATGTTAGTCAGGATGGTCTCGATCTCCTGACCCCATGATCCACCCACCTCGGCCTCCCAAAGTGCTGGGATTACAGGTGTGAGCCACCGTGCCTGGCCCCTGATTTTATTTTTTAACCTTTAAAAACATCTCCCTAAACCTATATGAAACTCTGCCTCCATTGCCTGTTAAAATACTGCTTCACACTATGGGTAGGCGAGTGGTTCTTTTCTTTTTTTTTTTTTTTTTTTTTTTGACGGAGTCTCGCTTTGTTGCCCAGGCTAGAGTGCAGTGGAGTGATCTTGGCTCACTGCAACCTCTGCCTCCTGGGTTCAAGCAATTCTCCTGCCTCAGCCTCCTGAGTAGTTGGGACTATAGGCGCCTGCCACCACACCCGGCTAATTTTTTTGTATTTTTAGTAGAAACGGGGTTTCACTGTGTTAGCAGGATGGTCTCGATCTCCTGACCTTGTGATCCACCCACCTTGGCCTCCTAAAGTGCTGGGATTACAGGTATGAGCCACCACCAGGCCAGCGAGTGGTTATTTTCGAAGATGTTTGGTGGATGTGGCTGCTACTGCTTTTCCCCATAAGGCCCATTATCCAGAGGGATGGCATTCCCATCACGGGATGGAATGGATTGATGTAACATGAGCTGTCAGAGGTTTTTAAGCAGTTGTGCTAGAAACAGTGTTGTGTTTAAAGAAGAGTGGGATCAGGTGAGTGAATGGCCAAAGAAACACATGTTCATGTAGAGAGCTCTTGGCTGTGGTGATTACTGAGTCAGTAATAGCAGCAACTGCTACCCAGCCAGATTTTAATTAGTTTCTGTTCCCTGTTCAGAGTACCTTGTGGAGCTGAGAGAATACGGGCCTGTGTACTCCACATGGAGCGCCTTGGAGGGTGAGCTGGCTGAACCCCTGGAGGGTGTGTCAGCTTGCATTGGGAACTGCTCTACAGCCTTAGAAGAGCTGACAGATGACATGACAGAAGACTTCCTACCTGTGCTCAGGGAATATATTTTATACTCTGACTCCATGAAGGTAAGCTGGCTTGCTTCTTGTGTATTTGCATACTTTCTTTGTAATAGCAGTTATCAGAAAGTAATGGATTATTGCCTGTTTGCATGTGATATAAGTTTCCTTCTTCCTGGGTGGGCAGGATCAGACACGTGGACTGACATCATGGACATATAAATGGAACACATGGTGAACGAAGTACGTGAATTAAACAAAAAAAAAAGTTTGGTAAGAAATTCTTACTGGTTTCTCTGAGAGTTCAAGAAGATATAATGCCTATGAAATAAGAACAAAGATGCCATGGAAAAGTAATAATTAGAGCTCTTGGAAGTTAAAACATGATTGCTGAAATAAAACTGAATAATCAAGTTGGAAGGTGAAATTGAAGAAATCTTAAAGTAAGACAAAACAAAAGTTGCTGGAAAATAGAACAAAAATGCAAAAGTACTGAAAATATGAAAGAAAAGAGACATAGGGAATTAATCCCAAAGGTTCAGCATCCGACTGATAAGAGTTCCTGAGAGAACAGGGAAGACTGAGGGAAGGAAATTGTAAAAGAAATAATACAAGAAAGTCCCCCAAAGCTGAAGACATAAATCGTCTGATTAAAAGGACATGATAATTGCCCAGCAAAAGGATTGAAAAGATCACCAGCCCAAAGCATATTATTGTGGAATTTTAGAACAAAAGTGATACGAATTTGAAAGCTTTTTAAAGCAGAGGGAGGGGCAGATGATGTATAAAAGGAACAAGAGTGAGAATGGCTTTGGTCTAGCAGCGGTGAATGAGAAGAGGAACTATGAGGACAAAAAAAATCTTTGGCCTCAAATTCTGTATGCAGAATCGGAGTAGAGTGCAGGAGGAAATGCGCCAGTGCCCACACTGGAAACTTCCCCGGCCTGCACATAGACTGGTTGGAGAACATCTCTTCAGGAGACTCCGACGATGGGGGCACTGATTAGTAGAAAGGCCCAGTCTTTATGACCAATAGAAAAAGATACGTGGTTCAGTGTTGAACATTCCCACCTCTAAATAGCACCCTCCTGCTTCTCAAAGGAGACCTCTGAATGATTAATCTGTCTTTGGGACAGGTCTAGGGCATCCCATGAGGAAAGACCTGAATAGGGACTGACCTGAATTCCAGAGAGAAACCTGTCAGTCAACATTGGGTTGTAAAAATGTTAAACCAGAAAGATCGTAGATCCAGGAAAACATTGTACAGCTTGAGAACAGGAATTAAAAAATAATGAATCAACTAGTTATAAAAACAAATTATGATGGAAAACTTTAAGCACATGCCAAAGCAGAGAGAATAGTGACAAACTGCCACATACCCATTCTCCTTGTTCCGTCTTGTCCCATCAGGTGTGAAGGGTTGATACGTACTAAACTGTGGACGGTGGAAAATGGAGCCTCTGGTGAATCCCCTTTTCATGTGTGCGTTATAAAGTTGCTAATAAAACACTTTCCAAGCCAGGATTGAATTTGGATCTCTCAGTGACCAGGGAAATGGTTTGAATTTCCTTATCTATAAGTTGGAAATGATGGTGGTGATAGGATAAAGTCAGATTTGAGATCATTAGCCTGAGACCACTAGTTGGAAATTATTGGAACTGAGGCTGTAAGCCAAAACTTCTGGCTGTGAATTTGCAGCTCATTCTCTTGTATCACATTGACTTTTATTAAAAAAAATTGGGATATACACATTGAATTTTTGATCCTATGGCCAAAACAAGTATAGAAAGACATGCTGACTTTCTTAAAATGAACTAGAATATTTCACTTATCAAACTAATGGTATCTGTGTTTTTTGTTTGTTTGTTTTTTTGAGATGGAGTCTCACTCTGTCATCACCAGGCTGGAGTGCAGTGGCACAATCGTGGCTCACTGCAACCTCTGCCTCCTGGGTTCAAGTGATTCTCGTGCCTCAGCCTCCCGAGTAGCTGGGATTACAGGCACCCGCCACCACACCCAGCTAATTTTTGTATTTTTAGTAGAGACGGGGTTTCCCCATGTTGGCCACCCTTGATCTCCTGACCTTATGATCCATCCGCCTCGGCCTCCCAAAGTGCTGGGATTACAGGTGTGAGCCACTGCGCCTGGCTGATATTTCTTTTTTTTTTTGAGACGGAGTCCTGCTCTGTCACCCAGGCTGGAGTGCAGTGGCACGATCTCAGCTCACCGCAAGCTCTGCCTCCCGGGTCCATGCCATTCTCCTGCCTCAGCCTCCTGAGCAGCTGGGACCACAGGTGCCCCCCACCACGCCTGGCTAATTTTTTGTATTTTTTTAGTGTCAGCCAGGATGGTCTCGATCTCCTGACCTCGTGATCCGCCCGCCTCGGCCTCCCAAAGTGCTGGGATTACAGGCGTGAGCCACTGCACCTAGCCCTGGTATCTGTTCTTAAAAATAAGTTTTTACAATTCCTGGAGTGTCCGTGGATTTGTCTCTTATGTATACACACCCTTCATCAAATATTCTCTTAACCTTGCCAGATGAAAAATCCAATGCATACACAGCACTGGGATACTATAGTACAAATTACTCTGTTTTTTTTCCTGTGGCAAGTATGTTAGTACTTAGTATATATTTGTATTTGAAGCACGATTTAAAAATGTCATATAGCAAGGATTTATCTGGCATCTATAAAACATTACACTGGGAGACATAGCTTGTGTAATTTAAGTTAGACATCAAAGAAACATTTGTTTGCTCTTTCTTTACCCCCCATGTGTGGGGCATATGTATGGAGTTTCTTGTTTACTGAGCCTGAAAAATCAGGTCAATCAGGCTGAGTGAATGGGATTGATTGTACACAGTCTTGTCTGGGGAAGGGCATGGAAAAGAGGAAGTGTGGACTGGCAGTCTCTGAAACCCAAGCTCTATCCCCGATAGTAGCTGAGCTGAGTCCAATTAATAAGAAACAGGGCCACTGCTCCTCCACTTTTCACCAGGAAAATGTCTCTGCAGAGTGCCCTGGGCACGATAGGAGTGATTGGATGGCAAAGCAAAGACTGTGTCTGGGATTATCAGGGTCTGTGTGGCTGGGACTAAAGACACCAGGAGAATGATAGATGTCTTAAGTGGCTTGCCCACCTTTTCACATTGCTGCTCTGTAAGAATTTTTAAGTATATTTTCTTCCTCCGAGAGAGTCATATAGTTCCATTTCCAAAATGGCTTTCTGATTTTTGAAACTTAAGTAGGGCAGACTTTGCTGTGCAGTATGGAAACTAAGCGTGGAGCAGAGGACTTGCCACAGGCCTGGCTGTGGCCTGTTCTTTATTTTTTGGAGATGGACTCTTGCTCTGTCGCCCAGGCTGGAGTGCAGTGGCACGATCTTGGCTCACTGCAACCTCCACCTCCCGGGTTCAAGTGATTCTCCTGCCTCAGGCTCCCGAGTAGCTGGGATTAGAGGTGCACATCACCACGCCTGGCTAATTTTTGTGTTTTTAATAGACACAGGTTTCACGACGTTGGCCAGGCTGGTCTCAAACTCCTGACCTCAAGTGATCTGCCTGCCCTGGCCTCCCAAAATGCTGGGATTACAGGCGTGAGCCCCCACATCAGGCCTGTGGCCCGTTCTTCATCAGCTGCTGAATGGTCCTCAGAGCTGAGAAAGTCCTGGGTTGGTTTTGGTGAGGAGTTACTGGTGTGGTGAGGTTCTGTCAGTCTATCTTCATCATGGCCTTGAGGGAACCTAATGGTGAGTGTTTGTCCTCATCATTTGGAAGTAGTGGCCTGTGCCTTAGGAATTTGAAATGGTGGATGGCTGGTCCCTCCCTGGATGGGAAAATGCCAGGGAAAAGTCCTGTCCTGATGGAGCTGTGGTGGGGGTTCCTCTCTGAGTTCGAAAGGGCCTTTAGGATCATCTTTCTCATTTGCTCATTGTTGACACGAAGAAACAGACCCTTGTGAGTAAATCTTTTCTCTGTTGCATGGCCACAGGACTATACTCCTTAGTGACCAATCAGCTTGTAGCTGTGTGTTTACTACTTGCCAAGAGGCAAACTAGGTGACTTTAGGCTTTTCAAGCCTGGCCTCCAACTGTATCTCTTTCAGGACAATTGTGGCTAGGTATGTTCTGTTCCCTTTGGAGGTAGAGAGCATAGAAAAATAGGGTCATTATCAAGGCACTCGGAACAAATGGAACAATGTGAGTTTAAGCAGTGAACAATGAGAACAGCTTGTACTAGAAAGACGGTTGAAGGCATGTGTCACAAGGATATGTGTGCGGGGACAGGAAGGTACAAAAGGTTAGTTACCCTTAAGCCCAGACTCAAGTTAAATACCTCGCAGACATCCACAGGTGAGCCCTTACATAGGATTTCACATCCTATAAACTGTGTGTGTATAATGAAATTAGGGTAGTGATGGGTTGAAAGAGGCCCTCTTGAAGTCCTCACCACTTTTCTGGCAGTGCCTTTTGAGTATTAGCATTGTCATGACTAGGCCAAATGTTGGAGAAGCTTTATTCCTGAAGGTTTGGGCAGGACTGTCTTATTTCCCACACTGCCTTATCCATAGAAGGTGGTCAGCAAGCATGTAATTGAATCGGACAATTTGGTAAATTTGCGACACTTACAAATATACAATGATTGCACATTGTACATCTTATTTTTAAGAGGTTTATCTATGTCAATACGCATGCTTATCTCAGGGGTCTTGGTGAATGACTGGGGTGGGGTGAGGGTCTGAAGTAAGAGTAGGTTGTAAGGGAAAGCCACATGGAAAAGGCTGTGGCTGGAGACTTGGAAGACATATGGGAGTGAGCTGCGCAAGGGTCGGAGGATGGAGCATTTTAGGCAGAGGGGAGCAGCCAGTGCAAAGTCCGAAAGCTGAAATGAGCTCAGAGTCTTTGCAGATCAGAAAGGCTGGGGAGTGGAACCTGGTGAGCAAAGGAGTAAGTGGTAAGCGGTGAGGTCAAAGAGAGGTAGGAGCCTGGTCCTGCAGTAGCTTTTTTTTTTTTTTTTTTTAGACAGAGTCTCACTCTGTTGCCCAGGCTGCGTGATCTCAGCTCACTGCAACCTCCACTTCCCGCTTCAAGCGATTCTCCTGCCTTAGCCTCCTGAGTAGCTGGGATTACAGGTGCGCACCACCACGCCCGGCTAATTTTTGTATTTTTAGTAAAGACGGGGTTTCACCATGTTGGTGAGGCTGGTCTCGAACTCCTGACCTCATGATCCACCCACGTTGGCCTCCCAAATGCAGTAGCGTCTTAAAGACCATCTTAAAGGCTGGTAAGAGTCTGGACTTTATTCTAAGGACTAGAAGAGAAGCCATTTGGTTTTATGCAGGGGGATGACAGGATGTGATTTTCACTTTAAGAAGACAACTAGTGCTACAGTATGGAGACTAGATTGTAGAGGATGAGAGTGGTGATTGGGAAGGCCGTTCAGAAGGCTGTCACAGGGAGCCAAGGGCAGAAAACTAGGTGGTGGAGCCTGGACTGCAGTGGTAGAGACGTGGGTGGATTTGGGGTATATTTTGGATGATGGGCCAATGGCACTTGCTGCTGTAGTGATGCAAAATAAGAAAGGAATTGGGGTTTTTGGCTTTAGCAGCTGGGTGGATCGCAGTACTGTTTATTGGGACGGGGAGGGTCCAGGGAGGAACAGGTGGAGCAGTTGGGAGTCCACTATTTTGGGCATGTGGAATTCAGAATGCCTCCTAATCATTAAAGTGGAGATGTCATGGCAGTTGGTTTTGAGTTAGTCTAGAGTGGGAATAGAAATTTGGGAGTCATTAGTGTATGAATGGTGTTTAAATCTCTGAGACCGATGGAGATTGTATGAGGAGATGTGATTGAGGTGCGTAGAGTGTGAAGGCCTGCGCCTGTGGCATGGTAATATTTATTGATCTATCACCTTAAGACGAAAGAACAAGTAGCAAAGGAGCCCACAAAGGAAGGGTTGGTGTGGCAGGAGGGAAGAAGAGGATTGCCTCCACGAAGCCAAGATAAATGTTTTAAGAAGGGGGCAAAATATATCTGTTGGATTTAATAATATAGACATCGTTGGTGATCGAGATTACAAGTGTGAAATGTGGATGCATAAGTTTTGGCTTAAAGACAAAGTTTTTCTTCCAGTTGGAGATAACTTCTACAACATTCCGGGTTAGTCCTTTTCAAAAGCCAATTTAAATTGTCAGGCGGTTTCTTCAGCCTGCCCGCCCCTTCCCCACAGGGCCACAAGGTGGCGCCAATGAGTCAAACTCCGGGAACGCGAACAGTTGGTGCTTTAGGTTGGCCATTTCCGGTGCCTTTCCAAAACTGAAATGAAGAGTTTTCTGGAAGATTGATTTGTCAGGGAAAAAATGTCCCCTTTCCTGAACAAAAGAGATTATACAGAGTGGCTAATTTCTTGCAGCTAAAATAATGTGAAGAAGCAGGATGTGAAATATGCCTGATTTCAAAGGCTTTAAAAAAATAAGAAAAATATTAAAATGAGAACTCTGAGATTCCCAGTAATGGCAGACTGAATACACATTTAAACTTCACCAAAATGACACTAAAACGATTTTGAAAAAAGTCACAAGCCCACAGACAAGAGCAACAGGCAAGGAGGCAATAGCAGTACAATTTTGGGAACGGATTGAGAGTTAATAAGTACTTTAAATGACTCAAGCTGATTTTGAAACCGACTGTGGGGGAAAAAACTGAGAAGCCACCTGGTTTACACCGCGGAACCCTCCAAAAAGGTCAAGAGTTGGCAGCACCACGCCCCTCTGGGACTGAGGTAGAGCTGAAGAGAAGAATAAATCTAGAGTCTGTTTAAGAATTCTAGCTTCTGATCCTCTCCTCCCTGCTCACACAGGGGCCACTTCCTTCTCCACTTTGGCAGAACTGGGGGTCGATTCTCTGGAGGGGGCCTCTGTGGAGCAAGAGACTCTAGGCACACTTGAGGGTGTTCAGTGAAAGATTAGTGATGTTGAGACTCTTCTCCTGCTTGACTCTCAGCCTTAGATCTTCCATGCAAGGAGGAAAAGAGCCTTTTCTAGAAAATCTGGACGGGCCAAGAGAAGTGACCCACAGATACTGATATTGGCTGGCGATGGAGAACCAGGGTGGTCCCTCAATGAAAGGACCCAGCCGAGTCTCCTATGGAGAATGTCAACAAGCCCTCTGTGCAGAGAGCTTTCAATCCATTTCCATGGAGTTTCCCTCTTGGATGAGTGGACAGACAAGGGTCACCAGATATGTAAGGGAAGATTTGAATATGAATATCAGAAGTAAAACAAAGAAGAAAAACCTATTGAATGAAACACTGATGGGGAAGAAAATTTCCAGAAAAAAATGTTAATATTTTCCAAAAGAGAAGATATCACAGCCATAAAACAGTAATTTTTAAAAATTCAGAGAACAAAGAGCTCTTGGAAATTAAAACCATAATAGGAATAAAAAAATTAATAGAAGAGTTAGAAGAAAAAGTTAAGCAAGTCACATATGAAAAGAAACCAAAAGAGAATTGGAGAAAAAAATATGAAAATTAGAGGATTAGACCATCTGAATAACAGGTGTGCAGGCAGAGAAACAGAGAAATGGGAAGCATCAAAGAAGCCATTCAAGGAAAAAGACCAGAAGGGAAGAAATAATGTATCACTGATTGTGTCTGTGTGATGAGATTATGTATGACTTCTCCCCCTCCTTTAAATTTTCCAAATTTTGTGTAAAAATATATTTTAAAATGAGGGGATAATGTGTGGTTTCAGTGTTACCAACATTGCCCCAGGACATCTAACTCGCAGGTGGTCCTGGTTTCCATAGAATGAATATGTAAAAGGAGCATGTTGAAAGGGGTAACCTGAACTCAGTCATTTAACCAGAGCTAGTGATATCACCAGTACCAGATCAGACTCATTTTCCTGCCTGCAGGAAAGTGCCCTTCTAGAGGGCTACCCTAAGCCACAGGGCTACGTGCGTATTTTATTTTTATTCTCATTTGTTCTTTATTACTGAACACCCATTACTCTACATGAATTCCACTTGGGTCTTGGGTCGTCAGCCCTGGCCTACAGGAATATGAACCATCCCATCCTGCAGTTCTCTGTGGGGGGTGAGCTGCTCCTGCTGCTTTGGTATCCTCTTCCAGCCCTGCATCCTAGCTCCCCTCTTCCACAAAGCTTTGAAGCTGAAAAACTTGGTGGGCTTGAAGAGGCTTTTTGGTAGCTGCTGACCTTTGGCGCTGGGGCTCCTTTTCTGCCTTTTCCCCTCCCATAGTTTGTGAGCCCACAGCCTTGCCAGGGTCAGACATGTGCATGAGTCTGAGGGTGGGGAAGGGATGCTGTGCTTTCCCGTAGATGCCACTGTGGTCTTTTTTGGGACAAATCCAGTGCAGATGTTGAAAGCCAAACCACAGGATGCATCTGTCATCCAACTCTTCCAAACATTTTGTCATTGTAGATAAAGGCTGTTTGATTAGTATTTCGTGGATGACATAACTATAGACCTCTTAATGACTGTTATTAATTTGTTATATTTGGATGACAGATATTGTGTTTCTATTGTTTAGCCTTTTTATTATAGAAAAATTCAAACATATCACAAAATAGAATGATAACAATAAACCCACATGTATCCCAGCCGTCCCGTGCGTATCCCAGCCGTCCCGCGCATATCCCAGCCAGCATCAGCAGTTGCCCACTCATGACTCATCTGGTTCTGTCTCTCTGTCACGCTGCTCCCAACTCCCACCCTGTGGTTTAATTTTACACAAATCCTGGAATCATATTATTTCATACAGAAACGTTTAGTACATATCTCTAAAATACAAGCATTCTTTTTTTTTTTTTTTTAAAAAGGACTACCTAATTATGTTTAAATATCCAGTTAGTGTTCAAATTTCCCCAGTTTGTCTCAGACACAGTTTCTGTTTCTTTTTCCAAATTGAGATCCAAACAGGATCTGTACATTGATTGGTATGTTTCTTAAATATTAAAAAATCCTTCTTTGTCCATTTATTTTTCCTTGTAATTTATTTGTTAAAGAATCATCTGTCTTCTCTTCATTGGAAAAGAGAGATAGTAAAGTTCCAGGTTATTAGGACCACTTGAAATCACAACAAAATGTTCTAATGTTTTAAAAAATAAGTGTCCGAGAGGAATTTATTCCATGTCTGTAATTAAAAGTCATCTTGTGAGTGTGAGGCCCTCCTTGGGCACCCTATGTATGATTTTGCCTTCCCCAAACCCTTGGTACTTTCCTTCCATTCCTGTTTTATTTTTCCTCCTAATGCCTAGAGTTACCTACTATATATTTTACTTGCTTCTTGTCTGCCTCTCCTCTAGAATGTAAGCTCCACATGGTTTTGTGATTTGTTCTCTGCTGTATCCCCGTCCCTGGCTAGATGAATGAAGATGTATGAAGGCAGGGCAGAAGCAGGGTGGGGAATGGGTGTGTAGAGGAGGGCAGGTGGCGCGAGGCATGAGGAGAAAAGTCTCACTGTGCCCTTCGCCTTTTTGATGTGTCATATCAATGGGATGCAGATCCCTATAAAGTTCTGTGAGAAGTTCAGATGATGACTCTCTTCTGCTTGTCACTCAATGATGGAGGGGCCTCTCTGCAGACGCCGGCTTGGTCTCTTGGCCTCTTTACCCCACTGCCGGCTCGGGCCTCATCTGACAGCCATAGGCTGGTTTGACCAATTTTATCAATAGAGACTGGGCTGGGGGCCCATCCTCTCAGAACATCACCAACAGCATGCAAAGGTGTCCCAATGAGGGTGGTGGTAGTCAGCAGTTTGTCTTGATTCAGAACACGTTGCCCAACCTTCAGCGTGGTTGGATTTTGGGCCAGCTGCAAAGCCACATGCTGGAAGGCAGCAGGAACAGCCTGAATGAGCCACTGCTGTGCCATGAGCCAGGTGTGGCCTTGAACAGGGCCCGCCACCGTCCCTTAGTCTCCTCATCTGTAGAATAGGGAAGATGCGCGTTCACTCTGCAGGGTTGCTGGGAGCCTTTTGTGCTGTCCAGTGATGCAGGGCTGTTAGGGCGGATCCTCCAGTCAGCCTGCGCCAGAGGGCAGCATTCTGGCCACGCTGGATAACACTGAGAGACAGAGACCCTGCCTCTCCTGTGGGCCAGGGCAGGCCCAGGCCAACTGGAGAGAGGGATATGGCTGGATCTGCAGGCCCCCTCGTCTGTTTTGGGCATGGGGAGAGGAGATGCTTTTGCACTGTTGTAGCTGAGTGGGGTTGATGCATCTCCTCCCCACCCCTCGTAGTCCCAGGGGTCTTGCAACCCCAGCAGTGCCCCCAGGAGCCCCCACGCTGTGCTGGCATTGTTCCAGGGCATTGTCTTAACAGCTTTAGTTAGGAGGCTCTTGCCACACTGACAGAGTGTGTGTCACTGGGTCAACTCAGACTCCTTCCTAGAAGCGCTAGTCTGGATATGTGGTTTTTTTTTCCAGTAAGATGCTAGGCATCCTGTGAAGGGAAGTGCACACCAGTGATAAGCATCCCACATGGCCCCTGCCCTGCTGTTCCATTGCACCTTGGGGAACCACATTTGCACGTCCATGGAGAAGAGGATTTTTACTACTGCTGTATCAGACCAATAGATTTAGATTATTTTCTGGGCTGTATGAAGTCCACAAAGGACTCTTTTTTACTTTATAGATTTATGTCATCCAGTATGGTAGCCACTAGCCATATGTGGCTATTTAAGTTTAAATTCAAATGAGTAACATTGAATAAAAATGTAAATCCAGTTCCCCAGTCCTGCTAGCTTTGTTTCATGTGCTCAGTAGGCACGTGGAGGCAGTGGCTCCTGGGTTAGTGTAGATTATAAAACGTTTCCATTATAGCAGAAAGTTCCATTGAACAGCACTGTAAATATTCCTACTCAAAGATGAATGAGTGTGGGGAGGGAATGTCAGGGCACTTAGGAGACAGCTGAGTGGCAATTGACGAAAAATTATTGCAATTTTAACCTCATTTTCATTTCATGATAAAACACTTCCTAAAGCAAACTTTTCAGAGGAAGACTTGAGGTTTCCGGTATTGACACATTCCATTAGAAGGTTGAACCCACAACACTCTCAACTCTTCAGTTGCCTGTCACCTTTAGCACAGGCAGGGATATGGGGTGCCCGTGCTTAGCCAAGGAGTGACTCCTTCCTGCCTTGACTCCTCACGCTGCTGGAAGGTCCCCTGTGGGGAAAGTGCATGATTAGAAACTTTCATAGCAATTTATTTCTTTTGAGTTAGTGGAAAAGAAAGGTCTCATCACTCTTGGTTTGCCACTTGTGATTCTATTAAAGGAAGAAGAAAGAAACTCGTTGATGAAACAGACACCTTTCTAGAAGGTCTACTGCAAGCTTTTCTGTTTTGCTTGGTGGGTTCATAGCAGCAGAGCTTGGACTAAGTGAGGGGAGCCCCAGGCACAGATTTACAGGGCATTCACTGTCAGGTGCCAACCTTGTACTCACATGGGCCAAAGAGGGAGTGTCTCCTTACATTTTGCACCCCGGGTGCCTAGCTTGCCTCACTCCTGTCCCATCCAGGGCTGGCTCTCTTGGGGCCCATTGAGCCTTCACTCTGGTGGGCTGGCTGCATGGTTCTAGGAATTCTGGACTTGCACAGGTATAGCCCCTTTAGCACATACAGGCGCATACTGTGTCTGAGCCTCTGTCACACTGAACCTCTCAGGTAGGGAGTGCATCTCTCTGCTCTTTCTATACCTGGACCAGAGTAGAGGACTAGTAAGTGGCTAATGAATGAATCATTGAACAGATCAGTCCACTAGGGGTCCAGTCAGTGAATTAAAGAGTGAAGAGTTCTCTTAGACTTTAAGATTTCAGAGAACATCCAGTGTTGTAGCCTGCAAAGCTCCGCATTTCTGCACAGCCGGGCTCTGGCTGCACACAGTGACGCGGAGAGTCCTCCCAGCAGCGTGACAATGGATGGGTGCTGTTTCCTCCACTTGCCTTTCCCTAGAATTTCTTTCCTTTCAGCGTCAGGTTTTAGTTACTTTACTAGAAACTCCAGCATCAGGAGTGGTTCTCCTCTCTTCCCTCCTTTCTCCTGCTTCCTCCAGAGTTTCTGCCATGGCCAGACTGTCCTAGGAGCACATGGCTGGGCCTGGGGTAGGCCTTGATTTGGGGAGGCGTGGGGGAAAAGAAGCAATTGCCTGGGGGTGGGAGGCCCCTTTGTGGACTCAGTGTTACATGCTTCTCTCCTCTGCCTCCCACAGAGTGTATTGAAGAAGAGGGACCAAGTTCAAGCAGAGTATGAAGCCAAACTGGAAGCTGTGGCTCTGCGGAAGGAAGACCGCCCCAAGGTCAGGGAAGCCACCTGGGAAGGGCTGCAAAGCTGTAGTCTCCCTGCTGGTGCTAAGTAAATTCTCATCTCTAGATCTGTATGACTAAGAGTGGTCAGTGCCGGCTGGGCTACGTTGATGATGTTGTCCTTTTTCACTCCCTTTTCTGTCCTATTTCTGCGAGTTCCTAGTGTTCACTTGGGATTGAGTTTTCCACTGTTTCCTGGGCCTAATTTTTGGTTTTTTAAAGACTTAACAGCTCTGCCATTCATCGGCAGTTCCTTGCTCCATAAAATGGCATTGCAGAGAGAAGGAAAGAATAGCCTAAATCAGTGCTTTCAAAGTGTGGTTCATAGGCCCACAAACTATACAATCCATGATGAGGAAAGTATAGAAGCACTTGGAAACTTCTATAGGAATTTGATGTTGCTGCAGAACCAGTTGAACACATTGTGTTGAACACTCAAGGCGAGCGTGTTAAACTCGCGTGAGGAGTTGCATGTGGAGCAAGCTGCGTGCTGGTTCTGCACGGCAGGACTACAGCTTGGTCGAATTGGGGGAAAAAAGCCAACAAAAAGTGGCCCTTTACTCCACAGAGTTCGAGCAGCACTAATCTTGCTTGTCTAGGATGCCTTCTGGCTCCAGTGTTTGTAACTGCTCGGTAGGTTCACCTCACCTGCTGCCTAGACAGAGCTGATTTATCAGGACAAAGGAATTGTAATGGAGAAAGAGTAATTCGTGCAGAACTAGCTTACTGGACACTGGAGTTTTACTGTTATTCAAATCATTCTCCCTGAGCATTTGGGGATCAGAGTTTTTAAAGATAATTTGGTGGGTAGGGGCTTAGGAAGTGAGGAGTGCTGATTGGTCAGGTAGGAGATGGAATCATAGCGGGTGGAAGTGAGGTTTTCTTGCTGTGTCTTCTGCTCCTGGGTGGGATTGCAGAACTGGTTGAGCCAGATTACCACCTTTTTACATTTGTGGGCTAAATGCAGACTTTTAAAATATATACAAACAAATCATCCTATGTCATCCCTTTAAATCCCTTTGTTGAAAGGAAACTTTTAAAATATACACAAATAAATCATCCTATGTCATCCCTTTAAGTGAGACTGAGACATGGCTCAGCAGATGGCACCATGTTCCAGAAGATCACAGGCCAGCTCGGAACTCGTCAGTGGGGCTGGCCATAGGCAGGCCTCCTCTTACTGGGGAGGTTGAGGTGGGAGGATCCCTTGAGGCCAGGAGTTAGAGGCTGCAGTGTGTTATGATTGCGCCTGTGAATGGCCACTGCACCCCAGCCTGGGCAGCATAGGGAGACCCTATCTTAAAAAAAAAAGGTTTTGGATTTTGGGGCATTTTGGGTTTTCAGACTGGGGACGCCCAACCTGTGTAACAATGATTTACAAGGTATTTATGTTGTATTAGGTATTATAAGTAATCTAGAGATGATTTAAAGTATACAGGAGGCTGTGCATCAGTTATATGTAAACACTACATGATTTTATGTAAGGGACTTGAACATTCACAGATTTTGATATCTCAGAAGTCCTGGAACTGATCCCCACCCCACCCCACCAGATAGCGAGGCGACAACTGTGTGTATGTATATGTGCATGTATGTGTAAAATTTCATTGATTCCATACCACAACCATGAGGTTTAGGTACCATTATTATCCCCATTTGAGAGATGAGCAAACCAAGGCCCACTGTCACACAGCTAGCACTGGTAGAGCTAGGATGGTACCCTGCAGTTTGACTTTAGAATTTTGCTACCTACCATTACATCACTCTGTCTCTTTTTGGTTTGTAAGTGGAACGTGTATTTGTTTTCAAAGAGAGGGGTAAGAGTGAGGAACGTTAGTAAGATAATAGCAGGGACTTGCATTTCAGGGAAATGGTTTGACATCAGAGCTGCTGGGGATTTCCTCCTTTGCCATGGTTCCTGCCGCTGCCGCCATGCCAAGACATACCTGGAAAGGAACCAGCTTTGGAATTTGAAACCCACACCTCAGAAATGACACACCTTGGCTTTTTGTAGTGTCCTTAATGTTAATTGCATCACAGGATCACTGCAGTGGTCATCTGAGGCCCGGGGGAAGGCATTGTTCTTTCCCCGTTTCGTGGGTGAGGAAATGAGGCACAAAGGAGCTGGACAAATTGCCCAGCCTCTTTGATGCCGAGTGGCTCTCCATCCTGTGCATGTTTGTTGTGTTGATTCCAGCAGGATCACCCCTAGTGATCTACACCAGAGCGTAAAGGCTGCATGTATCTATGGAAAGGCAGATGATGAGGATTGGAACTGTAGTCACTGGCCCAGCGTATGCAGCTGGCACCCTCCCTCTGGTTCCTCCTGCCACAGGCTGTCAGCCTTTTTCCATCCTGTGTGTCTGTCACAAGGGAGGCGACAACAGAAATGCAGAGCCATGTGCACACAGCTGCCCTCTGTCTGCCTATGGCCGGCCCCACTGACGAGTTCTGAGCTGGCCTGTGATCTTCTGGAACATGGTGCCATCTACTGAAGCCATGTCTCAGTCTCATTTAAAGGAATGACATAGGATGATTTATTTGTGTATATTTTTAAAGTTTCCTTTCAACAAAGGGATTTAAAGGGATGACATAGGATGATTTATTTGTATATATTTTAAAAGTTTGCATTTAGCCAGCAAATGTAAAGATAGAAGTCATTCACAGAAAACAAATAACTGCATGATTTGACTTATATGTGGAATCTAACAAAGTTGAAGTCATAGAAACAGAGAGTAGAACGGTGGTTGCCGGGACTCAGGATGGGGAAATCGTGGTCAAAAGGTACAAACTTTCAGTTACAAGGTGAACAAAATCCTGGGGCTTCCATGCAAAATGTGGGTGGTGATGGATGTGTTCATTAATTCGATTGTGATCGTCACTACACAGTGTGTACATGTATCAAATCATCACGTCATACGCCTGAAATGTATGTAATTTTATGTGTCAGTTAAATATTTAAGGAAAAATAGAAGTCACTTTTTCTGGCTAGGGAAGGAAGGAGAACCAACAAGTTCTGCCACTGGCCTAGTTTGGAAACCGAGGATCCTGCATTTTAAAGACGTCATGTATGTAGTTCTGTAAATAGCATCTGTACAAGCTCAGCACTGAATACGAGCTTTCTCAGAGGCTGATGCTGTCATTTAATATGTTCATCCCTATACAGGACACATTCCTTTCCAAAGCCAGGAGCTGAAGGTTCGGAATAATAGGCTGAGTTAAGTCTTAACCCTGCCTGGCTTGCTGGCTGCTGGAAGCACACACCAGGCTTGGAGCAGTCTCGAGCAGAGGGAGACGCTGGTTTTGTGCCCTCAGACCCCCACAGCTGCCTGCCAGGGCTCCTGGCCTCACATTCCTGCGGGTCTGGGTGATTCCTGTCCACTCCCCGTGCTGTGGAAATCTTTGGCTGCTGCTGTTGTCCGCCTTCCTGGACACTACTTACCCACATGGCTCATCCTCTCGGCCACAGGAATTCTTACCAGAGGCTAAGGGTTTGCCCCAGTCCGTGAAAATGACTAGTCCGTCCTGAACACACATCTGCGATCTCTTAGCACACTGTGGCTGGGCCATCTTCACCTTCCCTCTTCCTGGTGGGATGTTGAACCATGCCACATTCACTTTGCTGCTTCTTTAGCAATTGTGATTTTTAAAGACAAAATAGACTGTCCTGGTGGTGTGCCAGTGAATGTAATGTAACAGTGGCAGCAGCAGAAATCCTTTGCTGCCTTTGGGTCTGGGGCAGCAGCTGCGTTGGTGGGCAGAGGAGGGTGCAGTTGGCAGCCTGTCCAAGTCCAGCACGGTTGGAGCACAGGATTTAGAATGGGATGGTCCTGGGTTCAAACCCCAGCTGCGCCCTAGCTTGCACTGATCCGCTCCTCAGCCTTTGTGGGCCTCAGTTGCCTCCCACACATGAGTGTTGTGATGCCATAAAGTGCTCGGCGTAGTGTCTGACGTAGTGACAGATGCTCCGTTGGAGGAGTCTCCCGTGTCCACACTGGCTGCAGTAGGAATGTGGGCGGAGAACTTTGTTTTCTGGGTTTGCTGTCACATATTTTAAGAAGTCCCTTTTCTGACCACAGTGTTTTAGACATTGTTTCCTATGTCCTCAAGCTTCCCCTGCCTCCCTAGCCCTCCACACACCTGTCCTCCCCGACAGCCCATCAGGAGGTTTGGTGGATGCTGAGGAAATGAGCAACTTAAGGTTTTGCTGTGCTTTGCCTGATGTGGTTGTGAGCTCACGAAGCCAGAGCTGCTGTTGATGAGATTTTTTTTTTTAAAAAGCCAGGGAATTCGGAAGTGGGTTAGGGCTGATTCTATCCCAGGGCCTCGGCTAGGTCTTTTGGGAACTGATGGTGGGAGCGAGGTAGCTCAGGGGACTGTCTCAGGAGTGCCGGGGAGGAGAGGTCCCCTGGTATGGGCATGGTCAGCAGAAGATCCGAGGGAGTCTGGGGGCTTACCTCGTTATCAGGTGAAACCTTGAAAAACTTGCGCTGGATAAGGAGGGAAAGTTGATTTTTGTGGAGTCATGGAGTGGCATCAAAATCTGATCACTTTTTTGTAACCCAGGGGAAGGAAGTGGCCTCATGTCTTCACAACCTTCCCTGTGAATTTCAACGTGGGGTGATCCTCTTAGGGGAGTCCTAGGACGTCTTGTGGGGAAAGAGCACGTGCTGAGGGCAGAGGATGCGGAGGCCTCTGGAGCTGGGGAAGAATGGTGGTGTCCTAGAATGCAAAGTTTTGCATTGTGGTTGGGCTGAGGCTGGAGAAAGCTCAGCAGACACTGAGGTGGTGATTCCCAGGCAGATGGAGCTTTGGATTCTGGAGACTTGGCCTTCTCCATGTTAATTGTGAGGTTGGAGAAGCGACATGCACTTACTTAGCAGGGGCTGGCTGCCTTCTCCTGGGCCTGTTGGGCTGCAGCCTGGTGTACACCTTAGAATCTAACCCGCCATGGAAGGTGGGGGGCATCAGAGCTCTTACAGAAGATAAGGAGAAGCTGAGGAATTAGATTTTAAATGGCACCGGGAGCATCCGCACCTTCGAATGACAGTGAGGGTAACAGAGAGGGAGCTCTTGCCTTTTCCTGTCTTCTGCGTTGGACTCTTTTCAGTGCTAATACACTTGGTATAACTAGCTCCAAAAAGAACAAAGAAGGGATGCCAGGGAGAAGGCTTCACAGAATTCCTAGTTATCTTCAAAAAGTAAATAAAAAAAGCAGGGTGCTGTTTTAGGCCCTGACCCACGGGTAGCCTCATCCTGGGTGGGTGCCAGATGAAGAAGTTTAAATGGGTGGTGTCGGAGTGCAGATGAGGAGAGATGGGCCGTGTGGAGGGGACCTGGGGTGTCGGTGTTGGGGGGCTGGCCTGTGGTGTGTGTGGGGGGTGGGTGTGTGGTGTGTGTATGGGGAGGGCACGTGGCATGTAGGGAGGGCGTGTGGCGTGTAGGGAGGGCGTGTGGTGTGTGTGGGGTATGTAGTGTGTGGGGGTGGGTGTGGTGTTTTGGGGGAGCATGGGTGTGGAGGGGAGTGGGGCATTGGTGTGGGAAGTGTGGAGGTGTGTCGTGTGGAGGTGACTGGGATGGAAAGGTGCACAGAGCTGTTCCCCCTCTGGTTGAGAGAAGAGCAGAGGGAAAGTGGAAATTGGGCTCTCTGGACAAACCTCTTGAAGGCTGTAGACCTTGGACAGCTCTTAGAACCACCGGGATAGTGAATGTTCTAGAATGGGAAAGACGTGGTGGGTAGTGAAGTGAGAATCCCAATTGTAAACTGCCAGCAGGGAGACTTCTACATACAGAGCTAATGCAGACCGGAGAGTGGGGCCTCGTGTCTGTTGTTTCCAGACCCTTCTGGCAAGTGAGGACCCTCACCATGGGGCAGAAGACCAGGTGCCTCCAGCCAGAGCAGGCAGAACTCCCCCATCCCCTCAGCTGACTTAAGTCCCACCGCAGCCACCCTCTGCCAGTGCGGTGGTTTCCATGTGACAGATGGGGGCCCGGGGTCAGGGGAAGCGTGGAACTTAAGTGCCAAAGTCAACAAATGGTGGAGCCGGTATGGAGTCCAAGTGCATCTGGCTCCAAAACTGGTGCCTTTCCCCAGGGCGCGGGCCCCAGCAGCTGTGCTCCCTGAGGGGGCGCCCTGCCTTTCCCGAGGCAGGCACGGAGAGTGCGTGTGGCCTTCCCTGGGGCTTCACTCTCGTGTCATTGCGCAGGCAAGCTCGAGGATCTCTTGCTGTCAGCCTCTCTGCTCCTCATCTCATGCCCTCACCTCTCCCTCCCTCACTCCCCACTGACCATTCTCTGAAGTTTGTTTTTATCTATAATTAAAAAAGCATTCATTCAGAGAGCCACTGACTTTCTATTTGCCCAATTCCATGGCCTCTTTTCAGACTTGACCCTGTATCAGTGTTTTCTTACCTGTTTTCACCTCACAGCTCAAATAGACACTGAAAACGCAGTTGCTGGAAGCTGGAGGTGACCAGCCTGGGGGCTCTGGCTTCCCAGAGGGCAGAGGACCAATCTCTCTGCCACTCACACATTGCCAGTTAGGGAGCCCTGTCCCCTGCTCACTCAGCAGCGTGTGGCTGTCACTGGTCCTGGAGCCTGTCCTACAGCAGCCACGAGCTCCCCTTTCCTCCACACTTTGGGATTATATCTGTCTTGTGTAGTCTTTGGGGATTTTCCTAACCTACTATCATCATGAGAGCAGATAATGTGACATCTCCAACCCAGCTCCAAGAAGGAGACTTAAGTTGAGATTTCTGTTCTAGGGCCTGGAAATGCGTGGCACATGGAAGGAGCTCAGTAACGCATGCATGCATGCATCCATCCATCCATCCATCCATCCAACCATCCATCCATCCATCTATCTATTTATTTATTGCTCTGTTGCCAGGCTGGAGTGCAGTGGCTCAATCTCGGCTCACTGAGTAATGCGTTTTTAAATGAATGTTGAGTGAATTTAAGTTACTGTCCCGTTCCCCAGCACACAGAAATGCACAGTCCCATCCACGTGACTCTTCTGTCATTGCACTAACAACCTATATTCTGTAATGGAAATTCTCATGAGAGATTGGGAACCAAGGTGAAAAATGCAATTTTGTCACCTCTGTATAAATTTTTATCTTTTGAGGTCTTATCTGGTGATATTTTTCCTTGGTGTCATGATAAGCAACACCCAACCATTAGCAGTGCTGTGCCATGTCAACATCCTTCAGACGCATGGTAGCACAACCGTAACAATACCTCAGTCACGAAAATTAAAACATTGAGATAAGAGGAAATGCTGAGGGTGGTGGCCCACACCTGTTATTATCTCAGCACTCTGGGAGGCCAAGACAGGAAGATCGCCTGAGCTCAGGAGTTCGAGACCAGCCTGGGCAAGGTAGCAAGACCTCGCCTCTACTCCAGATAAAAATATTAGCTGGGTGTGATGGTGTGCATCTGTAGTTACAGCTACTCGGGAGGCTGAGGCAGGAGGATCGCTTGAACTTGGGAGATTGAGGCTACAGTGAGCTGTGATTGTGCCACTGCACTCCAGCCTGGGAAACAGAGCAAGACCTGTCTCAAAAATAAATAAAAAATAAAAGTAAAAAGAATGCTTAGTGTTACTGGTCAGTGAATTGATAGTTACAAAGACACTATCCAAAAAATCAAAGGTGGAAGAATACATGCCTGAGCATGAGTTGCCAGCGCTCCCCTTCTTCAAGTTGGGGAACTTCACAAGCTGGTCACAGACAGCTCACCCCAGTTCCTCTTTTTAATTCTTCCATCCTCTTCTAACTCCTACCACCCCTGGGCTTCTCTGGCTCTGTTCTCTCTGATTCACCACCTCCTCTTTCTGTGCCCGCCTTTCTGCCTTCCCGAGTGACTTTTGCTGAGTCCTTTATTAACCCTACACATGCTGGCTTCTCTGTGAGTTCAAACCTTGGGCCCTGCCTCCCTCAGCCCCACCTTTCCCTCCATATATTTAAACAAGATTATACTGTGGTAAAATATACAGAATATAAAATTTGCCATCTTAACCATTTAAAAGTGTACAGCTTAGTCGTGTTAAGCACATTTACATTGTTGTGCAATCGATATCTGGAACTCTTTTCATCTTGCAGAACTGAAACTCTGACCCATTAAACAACTCTCCATTCCCCCTCCTGCCGGCCTCTAGAAACCCCTGTTCTACTTTCTGTCTCTATGACTTTGACCATTCTAGATACCTCGTATCTAGAATAATATAATATTTATCCTGTGACTGGCTTATTTCACTCAGTGTAATGTCCTTGGTTTATCCATGTTGTAATGTGTTAGAATTCCCTTCCTTTTTGAGGCTGAATAATATCCCATATATATGGGACATACACACACATACATACATACACATACATATACATACCACATTTTGTTTATCCATTCATCAGTGGACATCTGTGTTGCTTTCATCTTTGGGCTACTGTGAATAATGCTGCTATAAACATGTGTATACAAGTATCTCTGAGACCCTGCTTTCAATTTCTTTGGATATGTACTCAGAAGTGGAATCCAGCAGGATCATATAGTAGTTCTATTTTAAAATTTTTGAGGAATCTCCATACTGTTTTCCATAGCAGCTATACTGTTTTACAATCCACCAACAATGTACAAGGGTTCTAGTTTCCCTATGTTCTTACCAACGCTTATCTATTTTTTTGAGACAGAGTCTTTCTCTGTCGCCCAGGCTAGAGTGCAGTGGCGTGATCTTGGCTCACTGCAATCTCCGCCTCCCGGAGACCAGCCAGGCTGGTCTCGAACTCCTGACCTCAGGTGATCCACTTGCCTTGGCCTCCTGAAGTGCTGGGATTACAGGTGTGAGCCGCTGCACCTGGCCTATTTTCTGTTTTTGTTATTTTTTTTAATAGTAGCCATCCTGATGAGTGTGAGGTGCTATCTCACTGTGGCTTTGATTAGCATTTCACTAGTGATTATGATGTTGAGCATCTTTTCATGTCCTTGTTGACTGTTTATCTTCTTTATTTTTATTTTTTTGAGATGGAGTCTCGCTCTGTCGCCAGGCTGGAGTGCAGTGGCGTGATCTCGGCTCACTGCAACCTCCACCTCCCTGGATCAAGCAATTCTCCTGCCTCAGCCTCCTAAGTAGTTGAGACTACAGGAGCACACCACCATGCCCAGCTAATTTTATTGTATTTTCAGTACAGACAGGGTTTCACCGTGTTGGCCAGGGTGGTCTCGATCTCTTGACCTTGTGATCTGCCCGCCTCAGGCTCCCAAAGTGCTGGGATTACAGGCGTGAGCCACTGCGCCCAGCTGACTGTTTATCTTCTTTGGAGATACGTTTAAGTCCTTTGCTCATTTTTAAATTTGGTTGTGTATTCTTTTCCATAAGCCTTTATAAAAGAGCTGTGTTTGGTTTTCTTGTTATCTCACCCCGCTTTGTGGAGGGAGGCATCACTCTTCCCCTGGCTGCAACTCCCTCCTTTCTGTGATCTGTGGACCTGTCCTTCATTCTGAGCCTTTGGTGGCATTAGTGCCACCCTAGTCATCCAGACTAGAAACTTCAGGCTTCTCTCGGACTCCCTGTATTTTATTTCTCATGGGCAGCCAGTTGCCAAATCTGTCAGTTCTGTCTCCACCAGGTTGGTTTACTCCATCCTCTCCCTTCTGGTGTTAGAGCCACAACCCCAGTTCCAGGATGCCCAGTGCAATCTCATGCTAATATGTAGTTTGGAGATGATTCATCTCTGGTGTCTAATGAAATCTCAGGGTGGAGTAGCATTGGCAAAGGGTGGCATAATGTTTGGGAGAACATATAATAATATAGTTTGTATTTGGAAGATGAAAACCTGTTTTATAACACATGGAATAAAGCTTGAGGAGCTGTGCAAGGGATAGATTATCTTTTGTGAACAGCAAATTATAATATTGATACTGATATGAGCTAACAAATGTTTATTGAGCACTTACTATATGCCAGGCACAAGTGTGTCACAGGTGTGCAATGACTCTCTGGAACCAGTGTTGCAGGGGTAAGAAGAA
Organism: Homo sapiens; assembly: GCF_000001405.40. Lineage (NCBI taxonomy): Eukaryota > Metazoa > Chordata > Mammalia > Primates > Hominidae > Homo > Homo sapiens. The sequence continues at coordinate 112,860,973 of NC_000009.12, forward strand.
TTTACCAAGACAATTATAGGTAAAGAAAAACAGATTTATTAGAAAAAGTAGGAAAATACATTGCAAGAGTGCAACAGGCAGATCAGCAGGAAGGGAGCTGACTGCCCAGAAACAAAGGCTTGCTGGGGATTTCATAGAATGGTGCTCGTGCTGTGTACTGAAGAGGGCTTCATGCAGTGCTGATAACTCCAAGGTCGCAGTGAGCAAACTTGCATTTTTCTATTAACTGAGGGTCTGGTGATAGCTGGGTGCAGGAAGATTGTGTTATTAATATTTGTGCAGGAAGGCTATGTGTCCTGGACCATGAAGAAAAGCAGAAGTATAGCTTAATCTGCCTTCTCTTTTTGCTTTCCCTTGGTCCTGTCAGCCCAACTCCCCCTTCCTAATTAGGACGCTGTAAAGCACTTAACACATATTAGCCTGTCTGGCCTCATGACAGCCTAGTGAGGCGGAGGATATTATTAGCCAGACAGAGAAGCTGAGGCCAGGTCCCAGGCCACACACCTGGTAAGTGGCAGGTGGGGTGTGCAAGCTAAGCTCTGGAAGTTTGGTTCTAGAGCTGTCCACTGCAGCTGGAGGAAGTGTGGGGCTTTTTCTATTCTCCAAGAGTGGGCATGAGTTAACTGGGCCTCAGGAAAGCAGGACTTTGGGACGAGCCTCAGGTTCCTCATCCCCTGCCACCCTCTGCCAGTCTTGCGAGCTGCAGTTCCCTCTCCGTGCCGCTGTGGGCCCTGTGGCCTGTGCACAATTCCTGCGGTGGGTCCTGGTGTCTTCTCTCCTCTGTCCCTTGTGTGTACCGCCACTCTGGAGTGCCTTCCAAGTGGTCAAACATCTCACATCTGTCATCTTTAAAGAGCCGCCTCAGTGCTGTTTCCTCCATGAGGCCCGATCTTCCCAGGTTGGCCGCCCCCTCCATCCTCCTCAGCGTGCTTATCACGGGGGCTGCAGGGGAAGCGACAACACTTACGATATCTTGCCTCAGTGTCTAGGCATGTTCCTGTTTCTTCCCAACTAGACTGTAGGTTACGGGAGACAAGATTTGTCTGTTGAGACCCAAGCACTTTTGTATTCCTCAGTGCCAAGCACAGAATGTGTTGTGAAACTGAGAAGCCAAATATTTCCCAGACCGAGGCTCAGGCAGTCCTAAAACCCACAGCCGTGGTTTAGACCCTGATTTTTCTGGGTCAGTCAGAGTTCCCATCTCCAGAACACACCTGGGAATCTTTAAACCTGGGAATCTTTCCTCTGTGAACAGTCCTGATTCAGAGACCCTGGCTGCCCTCCTCTCCACGTGTCCTGGTGAGGTTCTCTTTCCAGGGCTTTCCATTTTCTCCTCACAGCAGAAGTTTCGTTAAGCAAACAGGAAGTTGCTCATAGGCACCCTCACCCCAATGCAAGTGTGAGCAGTGGCCAGGAGACGGGTAAGGGAACTGGCCTGTGCCTGTGGGGAGGTGAGGCCAGCCAGAGACACTGGCTCGCTGGGCATCTTTCCATTGAGGCTGATTCCTGGAGTGACTCTGGAGAGGCAAGACTGGGATACTCTGGTTTTTATTTCAGTTTTTCCTGAGGTAACCAATAGTAATGGGTGGTCTTGGGAGGAGGCAAAAGAGACTTAAATCATGGCATCAGAAGAAAAAGTCAGTCTCTGACCTGGTATGGTGGCTCAAACCTGTAATTCCAGTGCTTTGGGGGACCGAGGTGGGAGGATCACTGGAGGCCAGGAGTTCGAGACCAGCCTGGACAACATAGCGCCACCACATCCTACTTATTGTAGAGATGGGGGTCTTACTATGTTGCCCAGGCTGGTCTCAAATTCCTGACCTCCAGTGATCTTCTGCCTTGGCCTCCCAAAGTGCTGGGAGGCATGAACCACTGCACTCAGCCCAGTATTTTTTTTTTCCCTCTTCCAGAAGCTTATGTGCTTTGAAGAAGGCCTCTTTCCCCATCTTAACAGAAAAATTCCTTGCTTTTAAATTTCCAGAGTGTCTAGTTATCTCTCTCTCCAGCTCATCCTGGTTTCACCCATGTCTAGTTCCCGTGTCAGGCACATTCAAATTCACTTGCCTTGGCCATGTCTCTTCCCTGACTCCTGTGTTCTACAACCATCTCCACGTGGTCTGTGGAGAAGATGGCTGAGTACCCTGAAGGTGTCCAGCTCCCTCAGGCCTGTCTTTCTCATTGGCATCATTCTGGGTCAGCTCCTTGTCCACGAGGCTTGGGTATAAACCTCCTCGATTGGTGGAAGTGGACTCCCAGGGGTGAGCCATGGCTTGGAGACAGTTTGGTTCATGGGCCCCAGCACACCAAACATAAAAGGCCTCACTTGTGGTTGGGATACATTTGGCAGGTCGGGGGTTTGACCTGGCTTTGGGCCTGTCGGCTCCCTGGCCGCCATCAGGGCTCAGTGAAGTGCTTGAGTTAGGAGAGAGAAGCCAGCTTTGGGAAGCGCTGCAGCCACAAAGCCCAAACTCCAGCTGCACAGGATGGTGAAATTCACCAAAGCAAAGTGAAAGTTGTGAAACTTCAAGTGACATAGTTCCCTTTTGAGAAAGTCTTCTAAACCTCTTTAAGAAAAACTTGAAATAGCCTGCTGTATATTTCTTCTTTGAATTTCAAATTTTTTTGACATGCATAAGTAACTTTCCTCCTGTTTTCTCAGACTTCTCTAACTCTCCATTTAAAAGTATCTGCTATTGGGAAAAGCATAAACAAGCCTCCAGTTTATTTATGATGTGGGGTTCAGAGGAGGCAGCTGGCCAGTAGTTGTCTTATTGCAATTCTCTGATTAATGAGGAAAGGCATCATCAAATGTCACAGCAATGGAATAGTTCATGTGATCTGGGAGAACCTACCTCTTCTCTAGTTCCAATATGGGACACAGGAGAATAGCAGGGCAATACAAATGCTGTATATTTGCAAAGTCTGCACACACTTTCAAGTGTGGATGAGTAAATCCTAAAAGGAACCAAAGACATATGAGTCTGAATTGCAATGTTTCTTCTTCCTGTGTGTAAATGGGGGTGTTTCCCCCACGAGTCTCTGTTGTGTTTGGATGGGTTTGAAGATCTGGGTTAGGAGAGCCCCTTTTCAGAGCTCCTCCTTAGACCTGAAAACCCAAGGTTTTGCTTTCAAATAAATGCCTCCAGAGGAGGGAGCGTGTTGATAGCATTTTAATGTAGGGCTTTGGCCTTTGACAAATGTGTGCTCAGAGGAGCTCAAGGCAAGAGATGCCAGTTTTGTGTGCAGGGCACCCATGTGTGCCTCCCTTTTCCAGGTACCGGCGGACGTCGAGAAATGTCAGGATCGGATGGAGTGTTTCAATGCTGACCTGAAAGCTGACATGGAGAGGTGGCAGAACAACAAGAGGCAGGACTTCCGGCAGCTACTCATGGGGATGGCTGACAAGAACATCCAGTATTATGAGAAGGTAATGAGTGTGCCCAACAAGACTGGTTTCTAATGGCCAGAGCCTTTCACATGGGCCTACCAGAAATCCACAAGCTGGGAATCCTGCTAGTCTCATCTCCTTCCCTTATTTTAGCTGCTTAGTCTTGGCTCCCGCTTCATGCCCTTGCCCAACCATGTGGCTGCAGTGCTGGGTTTGGCAGCAGAGGGGGTGCTCACAGGGGTTTCCCTTGCACATGCTGCTGGGGAAGCAGCCCATTCGTCTTCCATGCTTTCTGGGCCTGGCACTGGTTGCTTCCCAGAGCCAGTCAGACCTTCAGCACAGTGATGCTGCCACCGAATGGAGGCTTTGGGGTTACTTTACTCTGTGTTGGGGTTCTGTACACAGGGTCCCTTCAGTTTGGTTGTGCAGTGAACCCCTTTGGTCATCTGGTGAAGCCTATAGACCCCTCACCAAAATACTGTGCATTTGTTTTTTAAATAGACTTCAAAATATTGATTTTAAATACGTAAAATAAAGGGATGTAGGATTACAAAGGAAAGCAATTCTATTAAAAACTTTTACTCATGGATCCCCTTGACCAGGTTAAGCAGCGCACGCACATGCGCGTGCACACACACACACACCCACACACCCCACTACCACCACCACACCCCACACACACACTACACACACACCACACCCCCCCACACTACACACACACCACACATACACCACACACCCCCCATACTACATGCACACCACACACCCCCTACACATACACCCCACATACACACCCCACACACAACCCCCCCACACACGACACCCACACACCACACCCACATACCTCACACAACCCTCACACACAACCCCCACACACACCATACACACACCACACACACATAGAGATGACTCTTATCAGGCTACAGCCCAGTCCCCTCAATCAAGGTTTGCTTGATTCGTATGTCCAGCAAACCAGTGCGAGGCCAGGTGCAGTGGCTCACGCCCGTAATCCCAGCACTTGAAGAGTCCGAGGTGGGAGGATCACTTGAGCCCAGCTCAAGACCAGCCTAGGCAATGTAGTGGGACTGTCGTTACAAAAGATACAAAATGAGCCAGGTGTGGTGGCGTGTGCCTATAGTTCCAGCTACTCGGGAGGCTGTGGCAGGAGGATGGCTTGAGCCAGGAGTTCAAGGCTACAGTGAGTCATGATTGTGCACTACTGTACTCCAACCTGGGTAACAGAGTTTTTTGATCCTGTCACGCCATATATATATATATATATATATATATATATATATATATGTATGTATGTATGCACACACACACACACGTATACACACATATATATACACACATATACATACATACATACACACATGAGTGAGTGTGTGTGTGTGTGTATGTATGTATGTATGTATATATATATATATATTGCGATAGGGTCAAAAACTCTGTTACCCAGGTTGGAGTGCAGTAGTGCAGTCTGTTACCCAGAGTTCCTTTCTTCTGTAACTCCCACACCTTCCCTCTGCTGTTCAGCGGCCTTCCTACTACTACAAAACCAACTATGTCAAATGTCTCTGTTGCTCCCTTTGGTAATTAATCCCAGCGTTCCTAAAGTCCTGGTCCCAGGAGGACCCAACCCTGGTCTTAAGTACGTGTTTATCTGTCTTCCCACTATATCACAGGCAGGGCCACTGTCTTGGGGCCTGGTATTGCTTCTATACATATTTAACAAATGCTTTTTGTGCACTTGCTGTGTGCAAGGGGCAGTGTGTACCAAATTGATAAACAGCAGGATTCCTGCCCTGTGGAGGGTATGTGTTCATCAAAGGAGCCCACAGCTTCAGAGTGAGATAAGGAAAAGAACGGGAAACTGGGGGAGAAAATACTAGGGGGCATAATGCAGACTAAGGGTGGGAGGGGCAAGTGGAGTGGTCAGGAAAGGCCAGTCTGAGGAAATGACATTTCATCCGAGTCTCAGAGACAGAGGCTTGGAAAACATATATTCCAGGTATAGGAGACAACATACGCAAAGTCCCTGGGGCAGGAAAGAGTTTGGTACATTTGAGGACCAAATAGAAAACTGGTATGGCCTTGGTTTATCATGGCTGACATACAAAGTCCATTGCAGATCTGAAGTGATGGCCTAGGGAGAGAGCAGGACCTGGAATGCCACAGACCCCAGATCATCTTCCGTATATAAGGTGGGCTTCAGAGTTTAGCTTCCTCTCTAACCTCAGAGTCACCAAGGAGGAATCAGGAAGCAATTTCACCACTCTTCTTTCTGGCTTGACCTAGGATGCCTCTCTCCTCCTCCCTCCTCAGAACTTCTCCCACCTCCTGGGAATTCCTCCCACCTCCTCAGAACTCCTCCCACATCCTCAGAACTCCTCCTGCCTCCTCAGAACTCCTCCTACCTCCTCAGAATTCCTCCCCCTCCTCAGAACTCCCCCCATTAGAATTCCTCCCACCTCCTCAGAACTCCTCCCACCTCCTCAGAACTCCTCCCACCTCCTCAGAACTCCTCCTCCCTCCTCAGAATTCCTCCTGCCTCCTCAGAACTCCTCCCACCTCCTCAGAATTCCTCCTCCCTCCTCAGAACTCCTCCTCCTTCCTCAGAATTCCTTCTCCCTCCTCAGAACTCCTCCCCCCTCCTCAGAATTCCTCCCACCTCCTCAGAATTCTTTCTCCCTCCTCAGAACTATTCCCACCTCCTCAGAATTCCTTCTCCCTCCTCAGAACTCCTCCCACCTCCTCAGAACTCCCCACCCCCTCGGAACTCCTCCTACCTCAGGATTCCTTCTCAGGATTCCTCCTCCCTCCTCACAACTCCTGCCTCCTCAGGATTCCTCCTCCCTCCTCAGAACTCCTGCCTCCTCAGGATTTTTCCTCCCTCCTCAGAACTCCTGCCTCCTCAGGATTCCTCCTCCCTCCTCAGAACTCCTCCCACCTCCTCAGAATTCCTCCTCCCTCCTCAGAACTCTTCCCACCTCCTCAGAATTCCTCCTCCCTCCTCAGAACTCTTCCCACCTCCTCAGAATTCCTCCTCCCTCCTCAGAACTCCTCCTCCTTCCTCAGAACTCCTCCTCCATCCTCAGAACTCCTCCCACCTCAGTATTCCTCCTCCCTCCTCAGAACTCCTCCTCCTTCCTCAGAACTCCTCCCACCTCCTCAGAATTCCTCCTTCCTCCTCAGAACTCCTTTCACTTCCTCAGAATTCCTCCTGGCTCCTCAGGATTCCTCTTCAGAGCTCCTCCCACCTCCTCAGAACTCCTCCCGCCTCCTCAGAACTCCTTTCACCTTCTCACAATTTCTCCCACCTCTTCAGAACTCCCGCTCCTCACACCTCTCCCACCCCCTCAGAACTCCTCCCCACCTCTTCAGAACCTCTCCCCACCTCCCCCAAACCCCTCCTGCCTTCTCAGAACCCCTCTCCACTTCCCCAAAACTCCTCCCACCTCCTCAGAACTCCTCCCTAAATGACTCAGTACAAAGTCCTCCTCCACCCCTGGGGCTGCTACTGAGAAGCCTTATGTGATTAACTTGCCCTCTTTATGCAAGAGACTTTCCAAAGGGCGAATCATTTCTGCTCTCAGAGGACAATGCCAGAGTGTTCTGAGTTCTTGGCCTTTCACAAGGATCTGGGATGAAAAGAGGTTGGTGTAGTGGAGAGAACATCAGCGTGGGAACCATGAGCTCTACCATGGACAAGCTGTGTGTCTGGGCCAGTTATTTAACCTGAGTCTTGTCTTCCCCATCCATGAAATCAGTGTGTATGTGTCGAGTAATAATTCTCCTTCATAGAGGAGCTGTGAGGACTGGTGATAACTAATGTAAAGTATGTCACCATGTTTGGACATAATAAAACTCAATAAACACTGGCTTCCCTCTTCCATATTCCCTTTTGAGAGATTCAGGTGTGGCCCAAACAAGCAAACTTGAGGTTGGTGAGGAAGAGTGGGCTTTCCACCCGCTCCAAGTCAGGTGCCTGGCCTGCTCCAACTATGATTTCCATCCTGCATAAGCGCCACCCACACCTGGAGCAGTGTCTCCATCCCTGCCGAGATTCTAGGGACTCTTCAGGGGTTTCCTGCTTGGGCTTTTTTCTGCTTTTTTGAAAGGAAAAGAACTTCCTCCAGTAAATCCATTTCCATTCACTGGATCTGAGCTTTACAGACTAACATGAATGCATTTAAGCCTTGCAGAGATATTGCTGTCTTTCATAAAGATGGGGTGACGCATTCAAAACAAACACCTGTTACCTCCCCGTTTGTAATAGTTATGGATGACACATGCAGGCATCATTAGACAAAGGTAACCCAGCAGGATCGACAACGAAAGGGTAGGTCAGAGCAGAATTGAAGCTGACCCGAAATCGGAAACTCAAAGCTGATACTGTGTGTGTATGTTGTCGTTCCAGTGCCTCATGGCGTGGGAGTCGATTATTCCACTACTGCAGGAGAAACAAGAGGCCAAGTAAAGTTCTTTCTTGGGACGGAGACTCTTCTACCTACACAGGGCCTGGCACCCTATACCGGAATGTCCCTGCAGTGCCAGAGACGCAGTGCTGGGAAAACAACCACAGAAACATCTCTCCTTTGTGTATTTTTCCCTCCCCCACCTTTCACCCCACAGTGGTTTTCAATTAGTATTTATTCCATGGTGGAGTCTGTGAGGCTAGAATATCTCTCAGCAAGAGCAGCATACCTCCATGTTGTGAAGGCATCTGTTCAGTGAAGCACTACGAAAATTTGAAACCAAGGGACAAGACAACCTGCAGCTGACGCTCTGACATTTCATGACAGTTTCCTCTTTAGGGACAGCTGAGTTGCCAGTTGTGGGAGAGAACCCGGGGCCTGCTTTTCAAGGATGAGGAGGAGGCAGGAACAGAAGGCAGCTGCTGCTTTCTGTGGAAACCTGGCCCCTCTGGAATTGGCCTCTGTGGGCATTGACTCGTCTTGGCCTAGGAGGCATTGGTGCCTCCCTGGCAAGTCCTTAACGTACAGTACCTGTAGCTGTGAGTGTGGCCTGCTGCCTGCTTGTGATGAGTGATACCGTCTTACTGTTTCTGTTTCACATAGGGACATTTAAATCAATGTCAATGTGCGTCCATGCTTGAGTGAGCAAGCCAGCGTCCTTGTCCTCCTGCAATGCCTTTGGGAAGCTCAGGGGAATGCTCCCCAAGCTTGTTTCTGACACTAGAATGCAACAGATTGGAAACTTTTTGTGTAAAATGAAAAAAACAAAGTGCTGGTTTTTTTTTTTTTTCTGTGAAGGTCTTCAGTGTTTTGCTTGTTCACTGTCATCAGAGCAGGGATTAGACCTGTTAGGGAATATCTATTGTCTTGAAGTCAGAGTAGCTCCCCATTGTTGAGATCAGTGGGCATATACCAAGCTCCACCCCCAGTGTCAGCTTTGTGCAATTTGCCTTTACCTCACCAAAAATACCTACTTTAATATTTCCTCCTGTGTCCTCTGAATGTCTGGGCGAGCTTTTGGTGAGAGGGCTGGTATGTCATGTTGTTATGATACAGTCGAAATTTGTCAATGCAGTGTGAATGTTCTACATAAAGTGCTTTAACCCTTAACATTTCCTGGTCAGGAAGGAAAATCAGTACCTGGACGGGCCTCGAAAATGACAAATGCAACAGCGAGCCCTTTGTGTCCAGCTAAGCTAAAGTCTCCTCAGTGTGCAGCCAGATTCCTGGGGACTGCTGAGTGTGGTTACAGGCTGCATTTCAGACAATGACCAGGTTTACTTTTCAGATCACAAAGCAAACAGTCACCAAGGATCTGTCTTCCAACTCTTTTTTTTTTCTGCTGAAATGAAGCTACATGTCATGTTTGTGTTCTTTCATCTGTGGCTCATCCCTGTAAAACTACGAATCTGAGCCTCAAATAAGCAGTAGTTTTTTTGTTGTTTATTTTTAATGAAACAGCTGTGTTAAGGCGCTGCTTCAGATGCAAGTTCACCTGGAAATACTGGTCAGCGGGCAGCACGTCAAGGTCACTTAAGCCCACTTTTAACTGCAGGTCATCCTCGCATCAGCCAAGGCTGTGGTGCTGTTGATGCCGCAGTTGGACAGCATAGGACGGCTTGGTTCTGTTTCATTGTGTTTGACAATGTTGCAGTTTAAATGATAATGTTTAAATCAATTGGTACTTGCCTGTAGTGTTAAACCCTATTTGTGCCATTCTCAAGTCCTTTGATGTGAATTTTCAGTTTGGTACAGTTAGAAATGACTCATTGATGCGGACAGGTAAGAACAACCCATGTACCCCCGAGTGATTGCATGCTTTATTCTACCTCTAAGCCATCGTGTTGACGTGGGTATGGACGCCTGGGTCTGACCTGACACTGTGCTGGGAGAATCAGGATGTGTGTCTAATGGCGAGCTGACAGCCCTCTGCTGATATTTGGCAGAAGGCACCAGACCAGCCCAGCAGCAAATGCTCATCTTTGGGAACATAGGAAGCTTTACCTTGGGGAAGGTATGCTTTACAAATGTCCAGTGTAATGAATGTTTGGAAAAAACTGGAGTTACAGGAAAATGAAATCTGACTATCTGCTAGTTGCCAAAACCCAGAAACATTCCTGTGTAATGGTTAGTTGGGAAAGAAGGCAGCACTTGAAAAAATTTACCAGGTTCCTCACTGGGAGATGTGGGAAGGGGCGTGGGACGCACGCGGTCACTCCCTCTCCTAGTGAGAGGCAGATGGCTGGCTCTGAAGGGAGGCAGGCACCGTGGGATTTGGGCTTGCTCTGCTTGGTCCCCATGTGATGCCCTGTGCTGTAAGATATCAGAAAGACCTGGAACAAGGCAAACTTTATGTCCTCCTGGCATGTTATTGATAACAGAGCCAGGAAGTCCAGTGTACATTACAGATTTTCTGGGAGAAATAGTCCTTCCAGAGAAAGGATTCCTTCCCAGCCTCCAGGCTGGTGTCTCATGAGGTGAGGAGGCTGGCCCAGAAGGAAGGGGACGTTAGGTGGTGAAGCAGGCTCCCCTGGGCCTCTGAGGGCCAGCAGTCCCAACCATTTGCCTCTTCGTTTTGACCAAGCACAAAAGAGATATTCCCTAGAAGTGTCACACGGAGGCTTCTGTGCCAAAGACTGCCTTGTAGAGGTCTCATCACCTCACACTTCTTGACTTCACAAAATTGTGGCCCTGAGATCAGTACTCCTCTCTTAAGTATTTATTATTATTATTATTTACTTTACCTCAAGCAGACAGACATAGGTTTTGAGGCTTGAATACATGGCAGTGGAATACAAGGCCCTCCCTAGCAGCCGCCCCAGGCCTGGAAAGTGGGAGATTTCATTCGCCCGGGTTAAAAATCCAGAGGAAGACAGAAGAGAGGAGTCCTAGGAACTGAGCAGATTTTAGAGACGCAAATGATGTTTAAGAGAGCCTTGTGATTTGTAGCAAGCATGGGCACTGCTTTTTCTTACTAATGTGGTAGATCTACACGAACATTCTAGGCTGTTCTGCTCAGAGCGAGGAACCACTGCTCCTCAATGGGGAGGGAACATACCACCCAGCCAGGCTTAGCATTGGGTTTTATCCTTTAATAAAAGTTTTATAATGAATCCTGTTCACCTTAAAGTGTGATTATGGAGATGATTGGCTCCATATTCCACCACGTCATTCCTTCAACTCACCAGACACCTTTCTTTAGTTGAAATAAACCAGCATGACCTGGAGATCATGGTGACTGTAAGCTAAGTCTGTTTTCATGCCAGATTTCAGCCCCACCCAGAGTGTGCTCTAGATGTTGTTGATTTGAATGGTTTTCCCAGTTCCCACTCCACATGGGGAAGTTGAATGAATGCACACCTGCTGCTCACTTCTTGTGAGGCTGCCTTTTGTGATCAAATAACAGGAAGTTCTGCTTTAGAGGAGGGCACGATGACCATGTGGCAGTCTGCAAGTGGAATTTTGGGATGGCAGCCCGAGGAACATCCAGAGTTACTGTGTGACTTGGTCCTGCCATCGTTAGCTTTGAAATCACAGGCATTGGGCTCTGTTTTGACACCATTCATTGGACTGCGGGACAGTCATTCTTTACGTTCTCTCTTGAGCTGGTGAGAGAGGAGGAAGAGGGAAGTCAAGAGCAACCTCCAAGGCCTATGTCAGCCTCTTCTCCTTGGGTCTTGGGGTGGGTTAGAACTGGGTTCCAGTCTGGCCAGATGGGTTGCTGGCTGCACTGAGGGTGATTCTTCTCAGAAGATGGGCTGCCTGTGGTCAGGACAGGGCATACCAGTCTGGACTCCACCTTCCCAGACACCTACTTTAAGGACCTGTGGAAACTGGGTGATCCAATTATAGGGCTGGGGCAACCCTGCTTTGGCCACCCTCATTTACAAACTTAGGTTGGGAGCTTGGGTTTCCTGTCTCACTTCCAAAAGCCTTCAAGATGGCAGCAGATGGACACACCCTCTCATTTCTTGTGTCTTGTCTGTCAGATGGCAGGAGGCCTGTATCAGTAAATTTGAGGAAAATGTTCTCTCCTGGGCCAGCCTCACAGCTTGCGTTGGGTGTGTTGGAATTGTTCTCTTCGGCCTTGTTCTGCCTTGTGATCTTTTCAATTCAGTGAATAAACCAGGAATCCATTTTTTCACCAACCCACCCTGTAGATTGTCAGCTTTTTGTTTGAGAGATGCCTGGTCTCACAGTTACATGTATCAGAGTGTGTGTAAGTTGTCTGTGTTAGAAAGGTTGGGGTGGGGGCTTTGTTGCAGGGGATTAGACTGTTCTTTCTTCATCATAATTTGAGATACATCCTGAGTATGACTGTCTAACCCTTTCTGTGTGGCAGAAAAATATGTTTTCCAGGTAGTTTTTACTACTACAGAGAGTCTGTAAATAAGTGCTTTAAAAAAATAACAAACCAATAAGATATTTGTCTCCTATATAAACATTCTGTGTATTTAGCACTTGAAAATCAACAAATCCAGAATTTAAAAAAATGCCACAGACTTTTCAAAGCCCAACTCTACTTTTTTGAGAATTTGTCCGTACCTACTAATATGCCTTATTCTTCTTCACCTAGTGTTTTAAAAGTCCTGGGTAGAAAGAGTTTTAGAAATGTAATCAGTTGTTCAGCTTCAATAATATAGAGATCTAACATAGTCAGTCCTCAGGCCCCCTAAAGAAACAAGCAAGAAAGTGAGGGCCATCACTAGGGTTGGCTTTGGGGAGGGGAAAACTAAGGACTGCTTTTGCCAAATGATATTTTTGATAATGTAAGGAAACACAGGGACCACAAAACCTTTTTTTTTTTTTTAAGTGTGAAAGATTAGTGCCTTTTGGCATACTTTTGATTTTAGAGGATATAGTATCGGCATTGACAAATCACGTAGAAACAAAGAATGCTATAGATGACAACAGTATTAAATGTTACTCCTGATTCTGCAGAACAGCTTTTGAAGATACTGGGGGGTATCTTCAAGCCTCAGAGCAGCTTGTTTCAGATAGAAATTCTCTATGGGTTGAAATGCCAAAAACAGAAAACATGATGTTGACTCATGTAATTTAGTCCATTTTAGCAGAGCCTTTAGTGTTAACACCAGTGGCGAGGAGCATTGCATATTCTCTGTCAGCAGCAGCACTCCCACACCAGGTGGTTCTGGGCTCTCTGTAGGCTGGTCCTAGTAGGTGACACCCAGCAACACCCCTGTTGGACAGGATTGATTGTTCGCAGTCTTAGACCAACACTTCAGTCAGAAATGTTACTGGGAGGAGGAAAGGAAAATCACTTTTTTTCCTCCATGTGGAAATGAGGAGAGAGGAAAGTGGATTGCAAACCAAAATGTGAGTCAGTGTGATGAAGCAGTGGCTCTGTCATCTCGGCCTTTATCCAATAACAAACCAGCATCTCTTAAAGGCGCTTTTGGCCTAGACACCCCTGAAGTTTGGATGAAGTCTGGTGGATTCCCTGTCTGTTGTATTTCTGTGTGCCTGTTCCCTTCATTGCTGTGAGTTGGGAGTGCATTGAGAGATGATGTCCATCTGATATATTCCTGTGAAATAAACTGCCAGCAAACTTTCTAACTTGTATTTTAACTGTTAAAGAAGAGATTAAAAACTTCGGCTTTGGACATGTCCACATTATGGACTGTCATCTTATTTTTAAAAGTCATTCTTTACGTTTAAAATTTTAAAATAAAAACCTTCTGAGGTATTGATGTAGTCCACCGTGTAAATGTTACCTTCTCTCCATGCTGCCATTATGCCAAAACAAAAGCTGTGATAAAAAAAGTGCTTGAGAGAGTGTGTTGATAAGAAAGTGATTTATTTACAGATGGAAGTCTTTGTTTCATGAAGCTACCAAACTTTAAAAAGAATGTCACCCTTTTTTTTGTTTGTTATGGAAACCAGAGATTGTAAAATGGAAAAAGAATCGTTTTTTTGTTGACTTTTTGATGCTGGCACGAGGTTTTTGTCCACTTTTTTCATATATCTGTGTATAAAAAAATTGTTGTTTACTATGGAATTAGTATTACATTTTGAGGTAAACAAAAGAATTTGTATTGCTTGATAAATATTAGCTTGTAAATTTAAAGTTTCTTTACTTCAATTAACTTAAAGGACCAATAAACCCATAAAAGATGCTTTCTTTATCTGGAGTCATGTCCTCATTTGTACCTTTTTGTAAGGCAGAAAAACATGTGTGCCTATTTTTCTGTTTTCTTATTTTCTCTTTACAAGTTTTCAGTTTGCCTGTAAGAATCAAGACATACAGAGCGACAGGAAAAAATATATATAATTGAACTATTTTTATTCTTCTTCACTTCTTTATAGGCCCAGTTTACCCTCAATTTACCCTCTTCTACATCTTCCACATCTGCACCAATCTGGGGAGATGAAGAAACTTCCTAGTGTAGTAGCCATCATGACTGGCAGGCAGGCCGACAGCCAGCTGAGGTATTTACTACATGAAAGATTTCCTGTGTTATCCCATAGCAAAGCACAACATTATATTCTGCATCAGGGCCAGTTAAGTTGACCTGATGATGGTAATGCATTGAACTTGAGTATATTTAAAATAGTGCTCAACTTGACTTACTTTAAGACTGCAGTCATACAAAATAAGGCAGCAAGCTGAATAAGACGTGGATCATGGATCAAATCTCAGCTTTTCCACTTACTAGCTATGTGGCTTTAGGCAAGTCACACTTGGCTGAATATTTAGTATTACGATCTTTGAGATGAAAACAAGACTTCCACATGGGGTTGTCGATAGGACTAGCAATATGGTATGCAAAGCACTTAAATGTCAGGCAGCTTCTCACTGTGATAGCCCCTTTCTAAAGACTTCCTAATTTAAATATTAAGGCTATTAGGATATTATCCTTAAGGATATGGCCAATTTAAATATTAAGGATAACAATCCTTCATGTATGCTTTGCCAGTTTTTTTGTTTAACAGGATATTCTTTTTTTTTTCTTTTGCTTTGTCACCCAGGCTGAAGTGCAGTGGCATGATCTCAGCTCACTGCAACCTCTGCCTTCCAGGCCCAAGCAGTCCCCCCGCCTCAGTCTCCCGAGTAGCTGGTGCTACAGGTACGTGCCACCATGCCCGGCTAATTTTTTTATTTTTCGCAGAGACGGGGTTTTGCCATGTTGCCCAGGCTGGTATTGAACTCCTGAGCTCAAGCAATTCGCTTGCCTTGGCCTCCCAAAGTGCTGGGATTACAGGCATAAGCCACTGTGCCTGGCCCTGTTTTCTTTTTAACAAGGTGATGGAAATAAAATACTGAAGGACGGTGTCAGATTGAAGGCCTGAAGAATGGGGAGGAATAAATTCCAAAAGCCATGGCAAGAAGTGATAAAGGGAGGTGAAAATAGCCGATTTAAGAGATTCTTGGGGGGAGGAGAATGGACCGGAGATGACTGGAAGATTGCCAGCCTGGGATTTGGAGGCGATGCCATTAGCTAAAATTAGGAGAGAAAGACAGAATATGGAGGCTGGGCGTGGTGGCTCATTCCTGTAATCCCAGCACTTTGGGAGGCCACAGCAGGAGATCACTTGAGCCCAAGAGTTAAAGACCAGCCTGAGCAACGTAGACCCCGTCTCTACAAAAATTAAAAATCAAAAAAGATGGAATGAGCTTAGGTGGTGGGGTGTGAGAAGGAGAACTTGGTTTCGCTTTAGGTTTGAGGAAATCCAGGTGGAGATGTTGACTTGGCTGTTGGAAATGAAGTTCTGGAGTCCATGGGGGTGGACTAGATTGCATGGGAAGAGAACCAAGGACAGGACCTTGGAGGCCTCAAGAATTAAGAATACAGGCAGGGTGCAATGGCTCATACCTGTAATCCCAGCACTTTGGGAGGTCGAGGCAGGTGGATCATTTGAAGCCAGGAGTTCGAGACCGGCCTAGCCAACATGGCGAAACCTGTCTCTATCAAAAATACAAAAATTAGCCAGACATGGTGGTGCGTGCTTGTATTCCCAGCTGCTCAGGTGGCTGAGGCAGGAGAATTGCTTGAACTCTGGAGGTGGAGGTTGCAGTGAGCTGCGATTGCACCACTGCACTACAGCCTGGGCAAAAGAGTAAGACTGTCAAAAAAAAAAAAAAAGGATGCAGGGAGACAAGGAGGACTCAGGGAAAATTCTTGAGAAAAAATCGGGCCCCATAGGTGAGAATGGTGATTCTTAAATGAGGGCTTGTGAGACACCAATTGTTGAGCCCCAGTCCTAGAGTTTGACTTGGGTGAGATCCCAGAATTTTCATTTCTAACCGGTTCCCAGGTGATGCTGCTGCTGCTGGCCCAAGAACCCCTGGGTTAGAACATCTGTTAGAAGAAATGGTGACCCTGGAAAAGCTGACAAGGTTTGAAACTCCTACCCTGGTGACAGCTGGAGTTGAAAAGGAGCCAATACTTGGGCTTTGAGAGCTCAGCTCAGGTTAAAAAACACAAGTTTATATAGCACGGTCAATGTGGACAAGGAATGACATTTCTCTAAACAGTAAGAGGCTTTTCAGGAGTAGGAACGATTAGATTCATTCAGGCTGAGGAGCTGGTCAAGAGGCTGGACCAGAAGGTAAGGAGTTGGGGAATGAGCATATTGATGAGTAAGGGTGGAGAGGTTGAACATGGTCTTGACCTCATCTTTCCCATCCTATCTGCTCTGCTCATGCTGCCAGACTCTTGGGGTTGGAGGGGGGCGCTACCTTTTTCCCAGTGGCCTGAGCCCCAAATCTGAGTCATTCTGGCCTCCATCTACCTCACCCTCTACCATCCATCCATTAACCAACTCCTGTAGCCTCTAACTCCCAAATATTTTTCCATATCCATCTACTTTTCTCCATGCTTGTAGCTTCCTACCCTACGTCTGCTATTATTTTTTTACTTTAATTTTTTTTTTTAAGAGGCAATCTTGCTCTCTCACCCAGGCAGGGGTATAGTGGCCCAGTCATAGCTCACTGCAGCCTTGAACTCGGGCTCAAGCGATCCTGTCGTTTTAGCCTCCTGAGTAGCTGGGATTATAGGTGCACACCACCATACCCAGGTAATTTTAATTTTTTTTGTAGAGATAGTGGTCTCGCTATTTGCTCAGGCTAGTGCTGGATTCCTGGCCTCAAGTGATCTTCCTAGCTTGGCCTCCCAGAGTGCTGGGATTATAGGCCTGAGCCACCAAGGCTGGCCAGTCAGTCTGCCATTATCCTTCACCTGGTTTACTGCAAGGGCTTCACAGCTCATCTCCTTTCTTCAAGCTTGCTCACTCCTTCCACCAATTCATTGTCCTCAGTGTTGCCAGGGAGCTGTTTCTAAGATGCAAATTTAAGCACTCTGTGTTCCTGCTTAACACCTTCCAACAGCTATCCCCATTTACTCTGAAGAGAAACATCTTTTTCTTTTGAAAGGATATTTTATGTTATTCCTCCTTACCACCCCAGTCTCATCTTACTGTCCTCCGTAATACTTGTCCTTCCGTCTGCTGCCTTCACACTGAATTCCTAAACCTTTGATATATTTTCACCTTCAGGCCTTCCAGCAAGTTGTTCCTTCTGCCTGGAATGTCCCCCAACATCTGGCCTTAGTAACTGCTACTTACCCTTCCAGCCTTGTCATAGAAGTCATTTCTGGGATGCCCTTCCTGCTCTCCCAAATCTGGATTCCGTGCTCCCTTATATTAGTGAGGTTGGAGAGGTTGAACGTGATCTTGAACTTCTTGAACTCATCTTTCCCATCCCATCTGCTCTGCTCATGTTGCCTGACTCAGTGCAAGGGTGCTGGCTCCTTCCCAGTGGAAGGAGACATCCCTATCTGCTGTTCTGTCTGCTTCACCTGATAGACAGTACACTGTGCTAGGGCAGACACAGTCACGTGCTATTCTTTCTGTATCTCAGCACCTAGCATGGGGCCTGGACCTTATTAGATGTGTCATAGAGTTTTGTTCATTCCCTGCAAGAGGATTAGAGATACAAACTCTCAGAGCCCAAATACCTTGAATGTATTCTGCAGCCGTGTATTTTATCCTGTATAAGAACATCAAGTCTGTAGTCACAGACAGAATCTGACCTGGGAAGGAACGATTCACACACTCATACAATGAATGTTGATTTTATTAGGTGAGTCTGCTTTTATAAATCCAAGTAAACAAGGTTATAAAAATGACTACCTCAAATAAAATAGCTCTTAATGTACCTCCTCTTCCTTCACACCACCCACTTTGGGAAGCACTGTTGACTGGAAGTACTCAATTGAACATCCCATTGAAGAAAGCCTTGTGACATTTGCTTCTTAAAAGCAACAGTAGTAACAAAACTACCCAGAAGACAAGGGCCTGAGCTCCATCCCCCTCCTGAGTGTTTGTAGGTAAGGAAGACTCAGGAAAGAAAGCTGACTTTTTTCAAGGTTTTATTTTAATTTAAAAGACATTGTTCGTGCAAAACTGTTGGTAGTTCTTACAAAACATCCCTTCCACATTCCCCTCAGGCTGTGATAATGCACGCTTTGAGTTCTCCCATGGGACTTTCAGCACAGCACCCAGGTGACTAGTTAGCTATACTTTGGAGCCCTCAAGACAGTCCCTTGAAGAAAAGGGGCAGGCTCGCTGTAGCTGGAGTCTGAAGCCCCTCACAGGGCCTGGGACTGCTGTGTGCAGCCTGCCTGTAACCCTTAAGGTCATGCTCTGCTGTCACAGAACCCAGTGTCTGCCTAATGGGGGTGTCTTAAAGCTGAGAACGTTTTTCCATCACCAGGAAAGTGCTTTTCCCCATCCACCAGGGATCCCTGAGCCAGAGCAGGTCATTCTGAGGCCAACTCTGGCTGGAACGCAGGTTTCTTAAGCAGTGGGTTGCTTAGGTCACCAGTTCCCTGGTCCCTTCTTTTGTCTTCTGGGGGCCTGGCCATGGCTGATGTTTTCAGTTCCTGCAGGTAAGCATCTTCATTTCTCTATGATGTCTCCATATGGTGACAATGGGACTTGTTTATAGGCCACGATGCTGTAAGAATTGACCATAGAGAGTTACAAGAGAACAGCTGGAATGGGGTAAAGGTGAAACTGCCCTCACAGGGTTAATGATAATTACAAGCCAGGCTTTAGGCAAAATCATAGGTAGGCATTGACCAAGGTGTGCTGGTGCACTGTGACCCATCTCCCTGCAGCTGCTAGCTAAAAGGAGCATGTTGACCATTTGCTTCCCCATTGTTCCTTTAGATAGAATCTCTGGGGGCCAGGCATGGTGGCTTATGCCTGTAATCCCAACAGTTTGGGAGGTTGAGGCAGGTGGATCACCTGAAGTCAGGAGTTCGAGACCAGCCTGGCCAACCTGGTGAAACCCCAACTCTACTAAAAATACAAAAATTAGCTGGGCATGGTGGCAGGCGCTTGTAATCCCAGCTACTCGGGATGCTCAGGCAGGAGAATCACTTGAACCTGGGAGGCGGAGGTTGCAGTGAGCCAAGATTGCGCCATTGCACTCCAGTCTGGGTGACAGACTGAGATTCTGTCTCAAAAAAAAAAAAAAAAAGAATCTCTGATACTGGACCTTTTTACTTAAGAATTGCTTAAGGTGTTTTTCAGATCCTGAATTCCAGCAGAATGGCTAGTGCCAACCAGCCTGAAGACCCTCACCAAGGAACCAACTCAGCACAGGAATGCCATTTCTTCATCTCCCTGTCCCATGATTTCACCCCTCACTTCTTGACCAATCAGCGATCCCTACACTAGCTCATCACCCATCCAGACCCCTTGGAAGCCCATCCCCAACCTCCCTGGTAGGTGGGTTTAAGGTTTCCCTCCATCTCCTTGTTCAGGTGCTGTATATCGTTAAACACTTTTTTCTGCTGCAACTCCTGCTCTTTCGGAGTCTGTTACTGTGCAATGGGCAATTGAACTTGGTGGTCCTGTAACAAAGGGTGTGCCTTTTCCTCTCCATCCATTAGGCCATCTCTTTATCACTGGTAGACTGAAATTTTTTTATCCATTTATGGCATCAGAATGGAATTTATGGCACTGAGTGGGGAGAGATTGTCTGAAGGAACTTCTCTTACTCCAGGTTCATTCCAGTCTTGCAAGTACTGAACTTCTCCATTTCCCATAACATCATGAGCCCTTTGCATCCACATTTTCTTTTTCCTGGAATCTCTTTCCATCTCACTTCTGCCTGAGGATGAACTCCCATCTATATCTCAAGATCAAGATTAAGCCTTTGCTAATTGCAAGCAGAATTAGCTGCCTCATCGTCTGCCTTTCCATAGGTCCTTTATCCATTACATTGTTTAAAATTATCTTAATAAATGGATGCGCAGCAATTAGGTCTGAACTGAAGTCCTGGATCAGTGTGACTTAGGCATGTCCTTCAACCTCTGGCACCCTGGGCTTTCTCATCTGCTGGAGCTCCAGAATCCTCAGGTTCTAAGCTACAGCGCAGCACTTCTTGATGGATGAACAACACCTGGAGTTGCTAAAATGGGTTGTGCGCTTAGATCCAAGCCTTTTAAGGGAAACTTTGTAGACACTTCCCAACGCTTAGATTTCCCGCCTTCTATGAGTGCTAGTGCACTACTGGGAGGGGCACTGACTGTACTTAAGACTCATTGTATTACAGGGCTGGCAAGTGGAGAGTGAAGACTTGGAAGCAGCCAGCACAGGGCCACATGATCCTTGACCCCTGCTGTGGACCACTACAGCACAGGCACAAGGCGATGGCCAGCATCTGACTTCATGGGCAGCCCCAGGCAGCTCTGGGGTGTGGGCGGTCAGCAGTGCTGACTTATTAGTCAGCGTAAGTCAGCGCTGAGAGATGCTACACCCTCTGACAGGGCATGCATTCATTAAACGAATTCTTTTTGACTGCTGCTTATATGCTAGGATCTGTGCTGAACACAGAAGATACAGGGAGAGCCAAATAGCCATGGTCTCTGCCCTCAGGGAGCCTTCAGTCTAGTGGGCAAGTGTAATTAAACAGCTAATCATGAAATCATCATCACTGCATTCTACCAAGGAGAATATAGGAAGCTCTGGGAGCATGTAATAGAAGGATCTAATTTAGATTGAGAAGGGTTAGGAAAATTCTCTTTGAGAAAATGGTGTTTCAGTTAAGACCACAACTAGTTGGGTGGGAAAAAGTTGTGGATGGAGAAGGGAGAAGAGTGGGAGGGGAGGCGACTGTGGCTGAGGGTTGGGGAGGGTGGTCAATGGCAGGAATAGGAGGTGAGAGAGGGTGGCCAGGCCAGCTTATGCAGGGCTTTGTTGCCCATAGTAAGACATTCATTTTTTGTTGTTGTTGTTTTTGTTTCTTTTTTGAGACAGAGTCTTGCTCTGTCACCCAGGCTGAAGCACAGTGTCATGATCTTTGCTCATTGCAGCCTCAACCTCCTGGGCTCAAGCAATCCTCGCACATCAGCCTCCCAACTAGCTGGGACTACAGGCATGCACCACAATGCCTAGCTGATTTATTAATTTTTTGTAGAGTTGGGGTCTCACTATATTGCCCAGGCTGGTCTCAAGCTTCTAAGCTCAAGCAATTCCCCCACCTCAGCCTCCCAAAGTGCTGGGATTACAGGTGTGAGCCACTGCACCCAGCCAAACATTTGGGTTTTATCCTAAGAGCAATGAAAGCCAAGTGCAGGGCTTTCAGCAGGTGAGGACATGACCTGATTCACACTTTAAGGACCTTGCTCTGGCCACCTGCTGGAGAGAGGATGGGAGTGGAGAACAAGAGTGGCTGTATGGAGAATGGTTCAGAGGCTAACTCAGTCATCCAGGTGCTCTGGATTAGGGGGTAGCAGTAGAGATAAAAAGAAAAGCATAAGTTTGAGACATATTTTGGAGGTAGAATCAATATATTAGGCCTGATTGATTGGAGGTGGGGGGAGATGAAGGACAGGTTTCTACCCTCGGTGGGTGGTGCCGCCGTTTAATGAGATCATGAGATTGGAAAGACAGGAGTGTTAGC
Organism: Homo sapiens; assembly: GCF_000001405.40. NCBI lineage: Eukaryota > Metazoa > Chordata > Mammalia > Primates > Hominidae > Homo > Homo sapiens. The sequence continues at coordinate 112,882,778 of NC_000009.12, forward strand.
AGGCTTAGGAGGGTATCAAGAACCCTATTTTGGAAGTTTAAATGGTAATATGAACCTTTGGAAGTACTTTAGGTTGCTTAGAAAATGTAAAGTGAGAAGACAGCCCAGAATAGAACCCCAAACAATTCCTACATGGGAGGTTTGTAGAGAAGAAGCTATCAGATAAATGGGAGAAAAGCCAGAAGAATGAGGTGTTTTGAAAGCCATGTGACAAATATCTCCTGAGGAAAGAGTGATCAACAGCATTAGATGTCGCCAAGAAATCATATGAGATGAAGGTGGCAGCAGGTCAACGGATGCAGCTAATAAGTCATTAGTGGCTTTAGTGAGAGCAGCTCTGGTGGAGTTGAGCAGGGGGAACCAATTGAGTCAGACTGGAGTGAGAAGAAAGTGAATGGGAGTGGGGGAGTGAGACAGCACGTGCAGACCTGCCTTGGGATAACTTGACTATGAAGAGAAGGAGAGACGGAGGAAGAGCATATGTCAGCTCTGGTAGAAGAATTCAGGAGAGAATGAAGCAGTGGAATGAGCTTTCTCAGGAGGTAGGAGAGGCCGCACCCAGATACCAGGTGCAATGCATGTAGTGGATGGGAAAGACAGTCTGGCTTCCTTCAAATCCTGTCTCTGCCACTTCCTAGCTGTGTACCCTTTGGCAAGTTATTTAATACCTTGGAGGCTGTTTCCTCACCTGCAAAATAGGGAGAATAATAGTAATTACCATAAAGGATTGTTTGGGAAGATTAGTTTAAAAATATGAAATAAAGTAGTGCCTGGCACATAGGGCTGTTTAAGAGTTTGCTGTTATTATCATTAAAAAAAAGAAGATGGATGCAAATGAACATAGGGCTGTGGACTGGAGAAGACAGGGAGATTCTGTTGGGATAGCTTGGCTTCTCTTTTCTGTTTTTTTCTTTTTTCTTTTCTTTTTTTTTTTTTTTGAGATGGAGTCTAGCTCTGTCACCCAGGCTGGAGTGCAGTGGCACGATCTCAGCTCACTGCAACTACCACCTCCTGGGTTCAAGCGATTCTCCTGCCTCAGCCTCCCGAATAACTGGGACTGCAGGCGCATGTTGCCAAGCCCGGCTAATTTTTGTATTTTATTGGAGACATGGTTTCACTATGTTGGCCAGGCTGGTCTCAAACTCCTGACCTTATGATCCATCCGCCTTGGCCTCCCAAAGTGCTGGGATTACAGGCATGAGCCATCGTGCCCAGCCTGGCTTCTGTTTATGAAGAATGAGGCATTAGTTAAGTGCATGTATATTGGAGGGCATGAGGGGAGAGGGTTGTAGATAAGCAGAACCTCACAATTATTTCCTCAGCATCTCCCTATTGCATCTAAAGAGCAAACAAGAGAGGGCAAGTTCTTACGGTGGCATGAAATCGGCTCACTTTGGTACCAGGAAGAGGTGCAGCCACAGCCCCCTGGGATTGCAAACAGGCTGGGATCTCTCCTGGCATCGAGGAAGGGGATGCTGACTGTGATCCAGTCCAGCCTCTGCCCTCTGAGTCCTCCCCTGCTCTGGCATGCCTGCCTGGGTTTTTATGTCATTGGAATGTAGCTTTTCTTCCTGTGGTTCGAAAGCTTTACTGGTCTTTCCTGTTGCTCTCCCTGAAGATTGATGGTACAGCCTTGGCCCCTCCTAGCTGTGAAACTTTTTCAGGATCTCGTTTCTTTAGTGACTTTGCGGAAAGGAAAGTAATGGAAACACTCCCTTTACACCAGAGATTCTCAATCTTGGTTGTACATTTGAATCACCTGGAGAGCTTTTAAAATTTCCTATGCCCAGGCTGCACCGCAGATTAATTGAGTCAGAATCTCTGGTGGGTGGGATCCTGATAGCAGTCAATTTAAAATCTGGCTTTGTTTGCACGTGTCTCTCTATTGCTAAATGTCTACAACAGAGGGAAACAGTGTGCCTAAGTGCCTTACCTGCATAAGCGCTCAATCAGTTGCTTACTTGTATCTTCCCATTGCTTTCATTTGTCTCTTGATGTCTTTATGACACACATGAACTAGTAAGACTCCTTTCCTTTTGTTGATTTTTGGGTTTTGTTTAGGTTAAAGAGACTACATTAACCAACTGCCAATAAAATTGGACTGGATAATTTTCAAGCGGGCAAAAACTACTCATCCTTTACTCATTTGGCCAGAGGCTGGGACTCCTGAGGAGTGTGCACTGCATGGTAGCTAAAATCCAACCCATTCAGCCAGGACTCATACGAAAACAGGAACACACGAAAAGTCCTTAGGGTCGGACAGTTCGAAGACAGAGCTAGCTCAGTTTGCACCTTAGGAATGAGACCTGGTCATGCCTGCTGATCCATACTTTAATGTGTCTCAGCTATTTGGTCTTCCTATCTTATTTTTCTCAATTATGAAATAATGCAAAGAGCCCTAATGATTGACGGCTCTTGTCCTAGGAAGCTCAACTTTCCATTCAGGCCGAGATTTGTAATATGATGTGATGTGAGAATTCCAAAAAAGCTTTATCACTGTCCCCTTGAACAAGCCTTCCTTTATTTTCTACTCTGCTGCCTACTATACCACCATTACTGATCTGTAGAGTCCTCATGTGCTACTAGGCAGGTCCCTTGAAAATGCAAATCTATATCAAATCCTGTGGATACATGTATTCTGTGTGTGTATATATATATATGTGTATATATATATATATATTCCTTTCTCATGTGGCAGCAGTGGTAGGAGCATGAGAGAACCTCACTTCAAAGGAAGTGGTAAAAGGGCCTAACAGTCTAAAGAGAACAGTGCTGTTCCATATGGGAACCTCAACCCACATGTGGGTTACTGAATACTTGAAATGTGACGTCCAAATCTAGATGTACTGTAAGTGTAAAATACATACTGGATTTCAAAGAGTTAGTGTAAATAAGAAGTGAAATACCTCATTGACACATTTTGTAAATGGATTAGATGTGGAGATGATATTTTGCATGTCAAATATGTTATTAAAATTAATTTCACCTGTCACTTTTCTCTTTTTAAAATGTGGCTACTAGAAAATTGAAAATCACACACATGGCTTGCATTTGTGGCTGCTACTGTATTTGTGTGGGACAGGGCTGAAGACAGAACTATTCAGTGCTGTCTTTCCATTTTGTTGATGACCTAGTCTAGTGGTCTCCATAGAGTGCTCTGATTTTACAAATGAGACAATTCCCCCAGAGAAGTCAAGGGAATTGTCTGAGGCCCTGTCTGGAGCTCACACAGTCCAGCGGCTGGGAGATTTCAGCCGCACTGAGCACAGAGCCCTGTGAGGGCACGGGGAAGAAACTGTGCTCTGAAATGAGGCCTGATGACTTTCACCTAAAGGCAGCTGAACAAAAGAGGTCTGATGGTTCATGAAGGTTTCCAATCACAGCCTCTAATTATAAGGAAGTATACGGAACTCATGTAAATAGTCACTATAAAACTGCCAAAGAGTGAGCCAGTGCCTAATGACCCTGTTTCTTACTTGTGATTTTGAGGAATTCTGAAATGGCCACATTTTTAGTGTTGGGAAACAGGAGGACTTTTTCTTTGTGAGAGAGCCTACTCAGGACCCACTGCATAAATGCTGAAAATAAATAATGCAGTGATGGTGGGCTGGAGAAGGTCCAACATTCCTTGACCTAAGCATCAGGGTCCCAGCCCAAGCAGCAGATGCTGCTCCCATCCTACCTAATTGGAATGATGGCCAGGAAGGAGAGAAAGGAGGAGAGAGCAAAGCAGGAGCCCACAAACATGTCCATGGTGAGCTGGTAGATCTTGTTGTACAAGGTGGATGTCACCACGCCGGTCAGAGCCAAGGACAGCTGCAGTATGACGAACACCTTTCCTGTGGAAGGGACAGAGGTTACTCCGGAGTGCCTTGCTGTCCCTGCCTCACTCCCCATTAGCTGAGTCTCTGGAGAGTTCTTAGGGGACCCTTCCTTCTTACTCTCTCTCTCTCTCTCTTTTTTTAGAGACAGAGTCTTACTCTGTTGCCCAGGCTGGAGTGTAGTGCCACAATCCTGGCTCACTGCAGCCTTAAACTCCTGGGCTCAGGCAATCCTCCTGCCTCAGCCTCCCGAGTAGCTGGGACTACAGGCATGTGCCACCATGCCCTGCTAATTTTTAATTTTTTTTGTTTAGAGATGGGGGTCTCACTATGTTGTCCAGGCTGGTCTTGAACTCCCAGCCTCATGCGATCCTCTCACCTCGGCCTCCCAAAGCACTGGGATTACAGGAATTGAGCCACTGCACCTGGTGCCTTCTCAGTCTTTGTGTGGCTCAATTCACTAGGAATCCTGCCTCTATCTAGTTGAATCTTCCCAAGGCCTGTGGACGATAGAATCCTTCTTTGACTGTGGCTTTTCAGTGCCTGACTTTCTAAGTCACTCCTATACCCGTCTCCACTCTCTGTGCCCTGGATGGAAACCAGTGTTTCTAGTGTCTTCAAAGATGCTTCTGGAACTGTCTCAAGTGCCTTCTGCAGGTCTGTGCCTCATGCTTAGCAGCTCTGAAACAGCCCGGGCAGAAGATTCCAGAGAGATTCTGTTCACTACTCACCATAAGAGGAGCCCTTTATGAGTTTGGACATAGCTGATCGGATGGTTGTGACGGGGATGAGAGCAAACAGCATGACGGCTCGAGCTGAAAGAGATCACACAAGAACACTCCTTGCTGTAGCCCAGCCTGGGCCAAGGAGGAAATTATCAAAAGCCTCTCTTAGAACCCCCATCTCCCCACAATCCGAATGTGGCTTGACCTGGAGGAAGTCATTTCTCTGCTGGCACACTAGCGCCCTCCCTTGACCAGTCTGTGACCCTCTGAGCTCTGATGCTGCTGTGTATGCTGCATATCAGTCTGCAAGGTGGCTGGGCACAGTTGACATGGTGACAGATGGTGAAATGTGTCTTTACTGGTGGAGTTGAGTGATTACTAGGGAAGTGGAACTGGTACCACCAAAGTGACACAAGGCCCCTTTCTTTGTTTCTCCAGGAGAGAAGTGTCTGTCCTTGACATTAATGAACATCTCTGGGAGATAGTCCCGGGAGCTTTGGCAAATTGCCTCCAGCAATGTGTCCCATGAACGCATCCACTGCATAGCTCTCAAGCTCTATTCTCAAGCTCTATTGATTATCCAGATGCAGTGTGTGTGTGTGTGTGTGTGTGTGTGTGTGTGTGAGAGAGAGAGAGAGAGAGAACGCACAAGAGAGACAGATAGAGACAGACAGCCAGGCGTGGCGGCTCACGCCTGTAATCCTAGCACTCTGGGAGGCCGAGGCGGGTGGATCATCTGAGGTCAGGAGTTCGAGACCAGCCTGAACAACATGGTGAAACCCTGTCTCTACTAGAAATACAAAATTAGCTGGGTGTGGTGGTGCATGCCTATAATTCCAGCTACTTGGGAGGCTGAGGCAGGGGAATCACTTGAACCCAGGAGGTGGAAGTTGCAGTGAGCCGAGATCGTACCATCGCACTCCAGCCTGGGCAACAAGAGTGAAACTCCATCTCAAAAACAAAACAAAACAAAACAAAACCCAAAGAGAGACACAGAGAGAGGTGGTGGGCAAAAGGGGAAGGGGGTACTCTGTCCTATGCTGTTTAATTGAGAAGTGACCAGAGGTTACCTTGCCATTTTGTTAGGTGTTTCTAAGATGTGTGACCTGCCTGGGCCAAGAGCCAGCCTCAGATAACTGTCTGAAGTTGTTTTTTTGATATGATAGCCACTAGCCCCATATAACTATTTAAATTAAATACAATGACATAAAATTTAAAAATCTGTTCTTTAGTTGCGCTAGCTACATTTCAACGGCTCAATAGCCACATGGAGCCAGTGGCTTCTGTATTGGACAGAATGGATAGCAACTATTTCCATCATTCTAGAAAGTTCTATTGGAGCATTCATCTCGAGCTTTCTGCTTATAGTTGTCTGACTTGTGCCCTCAGATGGAAACTTAATGCTGCTTCCTTGGGGAATTTATTACATTGGTTGTGGAAGGCATTTACCGAGTATTTTAATGCATTTTTAAAAAGCCCTTGCTTGACTCCAAATGATTTTAATTAAGGGATCTTTTCAGTAGAATTACTTGAAATTCCACTCCTCCACGTTTTTTTTTTTTTGTTTGTTTGTTTTTTTTTTTTTGAGACAGAGTCTTGCTCTATCACCCAGGCTAGAGTGCAGTGGCACAATCTCGGCTCACTACAACCGCTGCCTCTTGGGTTCAAGTGATTCTTGTGCCTCAGCTTCCTGAGTAGCTAGGACTACAGGTGTGCACCACCACACCTGGCTAATTTTTATGCTTTTGGTAGAGATGAGGTTTTGCTATATTGGCCAGGCTGGTCTTGAACTCCTGGCCTCAAGTGATCCTCCCACCTCCCGCCCAAAGTGCTGGGATTACAGGCGAGAGCCTCTGCGCTCGGCCTTTGAAATTCCATCCCTTTAAAATGGCAAGGGGGTGTGGGGGAAGAAACCCAATTCCATCTCCTCTGTTGAAGGCCATCCTGAAGCCTCCCCTACTGACTCCAGGTACCACTGACCACACCTCCTTGACTGCCCAGAACCATGAACACCACTCTGGTAACATTTCATTCTCAATATAGATAATTAATTAACAATACATTACAGATAAACTCAGGGGCATATAATCTTGTGTCCCTTGTGCCTCCTAGGTAGCAGGTTCAATCCCTGGTGCTGAGCTAGGACACCCAGACCATGGCATCCCTGGTGTCAGCCCCATGATGCAGAGGGCTAGCAATGTCCTGCCTCCTCAAGAATGACAGACTCACCAATATAGAACATGTATGTCTCTTTCACAAAAGCCAAGAGGAGGGCTCCTGACCCAAAGGAGACCATCCCAATCATGATCATGGTGGTGTCCCGAAAGCAGCGGGAGAAGACCAGGACACCCAGGAAGCTGGTGATGAAGATGGTGTACCCTGCAGCCATACCATAGCCCACCTGCACTTGGTTCCAACCGAGAGGCTCCCTCAGCACAAAAAGAGGGATCACGTCCACTGTGCCCACCACCGCCAGGTCATATATGATAGCACCCACAAAGAGCAAGGCAATGGTGGTTTTATGGGGTTTTGCTTTTCCAGGAGATGGAGGGTGCCCCACTGCATACTGTTGGTCCAACTGATCAGGATCCAGAGTGCGGTATGTGCCAACCGTGCCAGACACGGTATCCACGGCGGGGAGCTCCTGGCTGGGTTTGGCCACCGACTCAGGGACCTTTAGCACCAAAAGGCTGTAGAGCAGGGCAAACGAGGCACAGCTCACGCTGCAGGCCGTCAGTATCAGGCCCTGCCCAGAGTGCCCAGCCATCTGCTTGAAGAGATGCCCGGAAGCCATGCTCCCGCAGAACCCCGCCAAGCCCAGCATCAGGTCAATGAGGATGAGGCGCACAGAGCGGCGGCCCTCGGAGGAGCCCAGCGATCCCAGCGCCATGACCCCGGACCAGAAGGCGGAGAAGCCGCCGAATAGCCCGTTCAGCGCCGCCGCCCCGTACAGCACCTCCACTGGCCAGTCCAGCAGCACCTTGAGCAGCAGCCCGAGGCGGGAGAGCAGGAAGCCCAGCAGCGACATGCAGATGGAGATCTTTCGGTGGTAGCGGTCGCTGAGCCATCCCAGCCCGTAGGCGGACAGCAGGGGGGACAGGCCCACCACAAGGTTGTAGATAATGTAGAAATTGGAGATGGCTCTCTGCTGTTGGTCCTCTAGAGCCCCCCGGGGCGATGGGCTGGCACTGTGGTTGGAGGAGCCTCCGGTTCCGTAGGACGCCTTCACCACGAGGAGTAGCCCCGCATCGTAGAGGGAGGCAGCCACCTGGGACGAGGCCACCACGGGCTCAACCCAGGTCCTCGGGTGGAAGCGAGGCAGGTGGCCCCTCCGCGGGCAGGTGACCTCGGGGCTCATGTGACCTCTCTGATGGGGATCGAAGGGCTTTCTGGCTGCAGTGACAAGGATATGCTCCCAAATTCGGCTGCTACGGCTGCTCAGGTTTCAGTCCCGGAGCGCGAGTGTGCTCCGTGCGCCGGGAGCGCGAGTGTGCTCCGTGCGCCGGGAGCGCGCCGGCCAGTGGCGAGCAGAGCCAGGGCACGCAGCGCCTGTGACAGCAGCCCGCCCAGCAGCCGAGTGACCTCCCGAGTGACTCCTCCTCAGGCCAGAAAAGGCCGCGCTCCACCCTGCCCTCGCCACCTCAGGCAGAGTAGGACTGGCGACAGTCCAGGGAAGCCAGGCGCGGGGGAGCGCACCGCGAGTGCTGGCTCCTGGCGCCAGCACCCCCGGGGCCGACGGGTCACGCTGCTCCTGTGAGCGCGGCCGCCTGACGGGGCCGAATTTCCCCACAGCCAGGCGTGCGTGCCCGGACCTCCCGCGGATCTCTGCGGACCCCCCACCACCGGGGCAGGGGCTGGAAGGAAGCTCCCCAGGACTGGCTCAGGGAGCGTTTCCAAATTCTCCCATCCCAGGAAGGCAGGTTTGCGCGAGGGGTGGGACGCCTAGGATTCTGCCTAGGATAAGTATTGGGGTGTGAAGTTTTATTTATAGATTTAATGCAACAGGGGCCCATGTGCTATAGGCAGCTGGGTAGCACTTTGAGAGAAGTAAAAACTTGGGAGCCGCCAGGTCCAGGCTCTTCTCCAAGCCAAAGGCCTCTTAGAGAAGAGTCCTGTTTGGTACACCTGCATTGGTGGGCCTAGTGCCTGGGCCTTGTCTAGAAGGCTCCTGCCCCAAACCCCAGGGCCAAGGGAGAGACGGCAAGATCCTGCCAGCCCTAGATGTCCCCCTAGATGATAAAACTGGACTCTTGGGCAGGGGCTTGAGCCCACTGGAAGGGGCAGAGTCACCAGGGTCCTCATCTGAATCAAGTGCCCAGGTCCCTTTCTGCTTGTTAGTAGTCACTCTTCTTCTGTCTGTGGGCTCACTCCCCTGGGCTGGGCTGAGACCTCCACTTCCCAGGTGGCCTCGCTTCTTGTTTAGGTACATACTTCTGCAAAGAAAACCAGGGTGATGGATGGTGCAGGGGCCAAAATGTACCACAGAGCATGACCTGTTCCATGGTCAGCCCCAGGGATGGAGACTCAAAGCACACAGCCTTCCTGTCCCTCTACCCACAATCCACTATAGCTCTGGCAGCGTGGATGATCAGGAACCCAAAGACATGAAAGGGAGACGCAGGTATGCAGGGAGAGCTTAAAATGCCACATGGATAATATACTCATGTAGGGAGTAGGGACTGGATTCCAAATGATTTAGTGTATCTATGTGCTCTTTTGGTAGTGTTTAGGTGGGCTATAATCTCCTCCCCTGCCACCCTCAACCTCCAGCATGGCCCAGCCTCCTCGTGTCTAGGCCCAGACGACTCTGCCTTCTGCAAAGAGAAAGACACACCTAGTCTTGCCCTTCAAGATGTGCCCCATGGATCTGGCCCAGCAGCCCATTTCCTTCTTCCTCCCCCTCACCTAGGGTCACCTTGGGAGATACATGTTTCACCCAACCCAAGCCTGGCTCTCCCACTCCATTCTTAATTTTTCCAGAGGCTACAGCAAACAGTCCAAACACCTTGATCCTATGAGGGGTGGAGACTCCAGTGAATGAGTAGGTTATGGGGCCAGGTGGTATTCCACAATCAAATATGGCCATGAGAACAACCTGACCCAGATGGACCACTCTGGCCACTTGATCAAGGAGTCTGTGCATTCTAGGGCTCTAGACTGTAGGGGGCAGCCCTTGTCATCTCTGGGAGGGTCTGTGGTATTTCAGTTCTTCCCATTGTCTTGGGAAACCAGGGACATTTGAAGGGTCTCTGAGAGAGTCACATCAGATCTAGAACAGATCTAGTAGGAGCTGGGTTATTAGGATGCTAGTCAGCCCTAGGAACCCCCAGGCTTCTGAGTTCTCTGGCCTGGAAATGAACAAGACTCAGGGTAGTCAGTGTCTCTCCCAGTTTAGGCTACTGTGGGTTGGATTATATTCTCATCATGTCCCCACTTCTTGCTCCATCTCTGAATGCAGGCCCCAGGTGAGCTAGCACCTGGTCATCCTCTGCAGCCCAGGCTACCAGCAAGTAGAGCCCTGACCTTGCCACTTCAAGATAGAATCTAGTCTCCAGTGCAAGGTTGGCTTCATTAAAGTGCAAGTACTAAATCTCTGATGTTTAGATTGATAAAATCACACTATTCCAGAAGAAAGGAACTAAGAAAAAAAACAGTAGCAACTAATATTTTTTGAGCCCTTATTATGTACTAAGCATTTTACGTGAATGAATTTAATCCTCCCGAGAAGTCTGTGAGCTGATCTATCACCCCATTTTTACAGACTGAGATACTGAAACCAGAGAGGTTAGGAAATTTGCACAAGATCACAAGGCCAGTAAATCAGGAAACTAGTATTTGGCATCAGACAGTCTTTGCAAGCCTACAGCTATGGGGAAAATACAGTTGCCAGAAATTTTTATTTGAGGATGTCCTCTTAACCCACATTGGAATGTGGAGAGGAGTAGAAACAACACAATCATGTTGTGATTATTGTTGATCAACAATGTATTGCATAAATAGGAACAAGAGAGTGGATAGATTATCTGTTGAACCTATATCCCAGGCACTTTACACTCAGGCAAGGAATACTTTTGTTTTCTTAACAAAATTCATAGCCCCTAAATTCATCTTAGAAAGGAACAGTCTTTGAAAAACACCTTTGGTCAGTGTTAGAGAGTGAAATTCTCAGGTCTGAGGATTCCAGCTGTGGAGGAGGTTCCAGAGAGGGGGCGGAACCTTTATGCTTGAGTCAACGAGAGGGAAGGGTGAGAGAGAGAACCAAGGAGGGAGAAGAGAGGGGAAAGAAGTTCAGGGAGGAAGTAAGATCAGCAGGTATTGGTGAGAAGGGTCAGGACTAGAACTCTTGGCGTCAGGGTGGTCTGAAGGAACTTTTGAAGAATAAGAATGTCTAGTGTGGATTTTAAACATCTTACTGTATCATGTACATGTGAATCCTTAGTGTGACCTCCCTTTGCTCCTCAGTTCTTAATTTCTTTTTCTTTCTTTTTTTCTTTTCTTTCTTTTTTTTTTTTAGACAGGGTCTTGCTTCTGTTGCTCAGGCTGGAGTGCAGTGTTGCGATCAAAGCTCACTAGAACCTCAAATTCCCGGGCTCAGCCAATCCTCCTGCTCCAGCCTCCCAAGTAATTGGGGCTACAGGCATGCACCACTGCACCCAGTTAATTTTAATTTTAATTTTTTTTCTGGTAAAAACAGCATCTCACTATGTTATCCAGGTTGCTCAGATTGGTCTCAAACCCTTGGCTTCAAGCGATCCTCCCACATCAGCCTCCCAAAGTGCTGGGATTACAGGTGTGAATCACTGCACCTGGCCTTCCTGAGTTCTTTAGAAAAGTTTATTCATAAATGTTTTGTGCAAGTGGCATTTTTTTTTTGTTTTTTATTTTGGTAGAAACTGCTGAGGAAGCTATGATTCATCTCTGGATTGACATAATGCTGAGCAGAGACCACAAGGGAGGAAAAGGAAGCCATGAGAACACAAATCTCCCAAGGATTCACTGAAATCTGGAATAGGCTTTGGACTTTCACAGGCTATGAGATTGGGGAGTTAAGCCATCTGACCCAGATCCTGAGGGGCAGAGAGACCCTTCAGCTAATGTGCAGACTACACTGATGGGGAAGGCCAAGGCAGGAGGAGTGCCTGAAGCCAGGAGTTTGAGACCAGGCTAGGCATCCTGGGCAATGCAGTGAGACCGTCTCTACAGAAAAAACTTAAAAATTAGCTGGGCATAGTGGTGCATACCTGTAGTCCCAGGTATTTGGGAGGCTGGGGTGGAAGGATAGCTTGAGCCCGGGAGTTTGAGGCTCCAGTGAGCTATGATTGCACCACTTCACTCCAGCCTGGGCAACAGAAAGAGACCGTCTCTCTTTATTGTTAATATTTCAGGGGCTGTGGTAAGCCTTTCCCTCAAAAATTGGGAGCAAGGAAAATAAGATACCCCCTCAAGCATTAATATATAGTAGAAAAAAGTAAAGATGTATAAACTCATTCAAGAAGACAGAGACAAATCTTGTCAGTGACCACCAAGGACTTTATTTCAAGTGTTTCCCAATGACTGTCTCATCACTACATGCAAGATGTTGCCCAAGTCTCTTTGCCTGACCTTGAGAACTTTCTGATTGTGGTTTTACTTCCCCATTATAGTTGCAAACAGGGAGAAAATGTGCTAGTTACTTTGAGTCTCCAAATAATTTCCCCTGATAAATTAATAAATTAGCGTTCTAGTTTATGTATCAGCCTTTCTGGGTCTGAATCTGGGAAATGGCTTCCCTCCCCGTATACTGATGAAATGAAGTATATTACGGTTAGACTGAGAGTCAGGCCCTGTCCACAGTAAATTCATCAAAATAATGACTGCCACCCATGGATGCCCTTGGAATATTGTTTCATTGGGCTTTTCCCTCAGAGGTGGCACCCTAACATTGCCCAGTTTTATAGAAACTTTGACTTAGGGTAGCTAAATCACTTGCACAAGGTCACACAGAGCCAGGTACTTAGGGTTGTGTGACTTCAGAATCTATCTATTTTCACAGTGCTTCATTTCTGAGGTAATTGAGTAGAAGGGGTGCATTTTAAGAAGGTGTTTGGTTGTTGAATGTTTCCCACCAAATATTGTGAGCCTATATTTCTATCTAAGATATTTTCAAACTCAGTGGTTAGTTTGTTCGTTTACTCATTCATCATCTGTCCATCCACCCATTTACCCACCCATCATCCATCCATCTACCCACACATCTATCCATCCATCCACCCACCCACCCATCATCCATCCATCTATCTACCCATCCATCCACCCACCCACCCATCATTCATCCATCCATCCATCTACCCATTCACCCTTCTACCCTTCCATCCACCCACCCACCCATCATCCATCTGTCTATTCATCCACCAACCCATTATTAATCCATCCATCCACCCACCCATTATCCATCTACCCATCCACCCACCCATCCACCCATCCATCCATCCACCCACCCATCATCCATCCATCTACCCATCAACCCACCCATCATCCATCCATCCACCCACCCATCATCCATTCATCTGTCCACCACCCACACGTTATCCATCCATCCATCTATCCATCTACCCACCTATCACCCATCCATCCATCCATCCACCCATTCACCCATCCATCCATCCATCCATCCATCCATCCATCCATCCACCCATCATCCATCCAATGCATCATCTATCCATCCATCCCTTTGTTAATCTTTAAGCACTTATTGAGTATCAGGCCCACCAATAGGTATGAGGGATGCAAATTCCTTTGCCCTTAAGGATCTTTTAGTCTGAAGAGTTATCAAAAGGCACTCAAGTTAACACTATATGCTCTGTTTTACACACGAAGTCACTGAAGCCAGGCCATGTCTCCTCTTTTATCAAGGAATTTCTCTCCACCCCAGGCTCTGCTATCAACCTGAATGACCTTACTAGCCTATGTTTTTTTGTGTGGTTTCCCTTCCCTACAAGGAAATAACTCTAATGCAAATCAGGACGCAGATAGAGGAAACTTTGGTTTTCTTTTCTTTTTTTCAATTTCTTACTTTCTTTTTAAACTCATCTAAGTGGGCTCAAAAGTCTTACCAAAATCCTGCTCTACAAGGTGTTAATGAGGTATAGTGTGTGGTATATGGTATGTGAAAGAGCAGTTTTTTTTTTCTTTTTTGTCTGTGGGGTCTTTGTCCACGTTTCACACTGTTTTTAAAGAGTTCTGAAATGAATTAAAGTTAACTATTTTTGTGGCATAAGTTTTGATACCAGCCCTTTTCTTTAAAGAAAGCATTATGAGATAAAGTCTTGCTTTGTCGCCCAGGCTGGAGTGCAGTGGCACGATCATGGCTCACTGCTGCAACCTCGATCTCCCAGCCTCAAGCAATCCTCCCACCTCAGCCTCTCGAGTAGTTAGGACCACAGAGCATGCCACCACGCCCAGCGAATTTTCAATTTTTTTTTTTTTTTTTTAATAAAGATAGAGTCTCACCATGCTGCCCAGGCTGGTTTCAAACTCCTGGCTCAAGCAATTCTCCCACCTTGGCCTCCCAAAGTGTTGGGATTACAGGAGTAAGCCACTGCACCTGGTCACTTTTTTTTTTTTTTAAACAAGAGAAGTGAAGTCTTTCTTGGAGTCAACGATTGATGTGGCCCTATCAGTCTAAATGCCAACAGAGGACCCAAAACAGACCTTTTGTTTCCAAATATGCAGAACAAGTTACTAAATACATCTTGTCTTTCCTTCTTTAGGATAGCCCCTTGAAGCAGAAGTTTTCTTGAATTTATCATCATTTATTAATTTTACAAATGCATAAAATTTATTAGTGAAATCTGTTGACTCATCAGCCCAGGTAGAGAAGCTGGTATTTAACAGTTAATTACACAAAACCTCTTCAGCATTATGTATGCCATCAATACATCATTTTATCACACTGTTTGAGAGTAGAAACTTTTCAATTTCTCTTACTGCATTTTGCTCACTGTAAATTCACATGCTGGTATTATTAGGTTCTTGCTACTGTCGCTTTTCATTTCATTGAAATCTTTTCTCTTTCATGTGTTTACACAAGTGCAAAATAATATTCACAGCATCTTCTAAATTTTAACCATGAATTTAAAACTGCTTTAAAGCTTTGGAATAGCTGGGTGCAGTGGCTCACATCTATAATCTCAGCACTTTGGTAGGCTGAGGTGGGAGGATTGCTTGAGGCCAGGAGTTGCTCGAGACTAGCCTGGGCAACATAGTGAGACCCTCGTCTTTACCAAAAAAAAAAAAAAAAGGCCAGGCATAGTGGTGCACATCTGTAGTCCAAGCTACTCTGGAGTCTGTTGGAGGATCATTTGAACCCAGGAGCTCGAGGCTGCAGTGAGCTATGATCATGCTACTGTACTCTAGCCTGAGAAACAGACCGAGACCTCATGTCAAAAAACACATTTTTAAAAATTGAAAAAGAATACAATGCCTAGAAACAAACAAAAAAACTTGGAACATGCCCATGTGGATCGGAAACTTGCCCTCAACAGTAGAGATGGCAGTTTCCTGAGAACCAAAGGGCTGGAAAAGTGCAGAAGAGATGAAAGGACTGATGTATCACCATCGGGATTCTGTACTCACTAAAGAATCCCCCCTTTCAGGAGCTGATACACTTGAGGTCCTTTCATTTGGGGAGTGAGGCTCTGAGCTATCCTCCTTACCTAACACATGATCAGCTATATCAAAGTGAAAATCTCCACTAAGTTAAAAAAATGAAGACATAAGAAAAAAATTTCTGAGTACCTGAAGCTTTGTCTCAACAACTGCCCTGTGTAACAAGCAGAGCAAAGGGGACTTTTAGGGCAGTGGAACTCATCTTTCTGATGCTATAATGGCAGATATATGTCATTACAAATTTGCTTTAACCCATATAAAGTGCAACACCAAGAGTGAATGAACTCTGGTGTACACTATGGACTCTGGGTGATAATGATATGTCAATGAAGGTTCATTGATTGTGACGAATGTACCACTCTGGTAGGAGATATTGATAGTGGAGGAGGCTATGTAGGTGTGGGAACCTGGGAAATTTTAACACCTTCTGCTCAATTTTACTGTGAACCTAAAACTGCACCAAAAAATATGTCTTAAAAAACAAACTGCACTGTGTAAATTAGGAAGCAAAGGAGGCAAGAAAAAAAAGGGCAGCATTTCTACTATTTAAAAACTGAAATATATTTATACGAGTCACCCCAACTCTGTATTTGCTTGTCTGCACATCATTTTATCAGTCACATTTTGCTTTGTGGAACTGAAAAAAAAATAGAGCTTGGAGAGATGTGGTTGGCATAGGCCTGAAAACAAATCTGTAATAAGCAAAATAAAGTCAGGCAGAACATAATCACGTTCTGATTTCAGGGAGTGAAAAGGGTCAGGGAAGCACAAACTGTGAAAAAGGCTAAAACTAGGAGGCCAGGAGTTCAAGACCAGCGTAGGCAACGTAGTAAGACACTGTATCCACCAGTGTTTTTTTGTTTTTGTTTTTTGTTTTTGCCGGGCTTGGTAGCATGCACCTGTAGTTATAGCTACTCAGGAAGCTGAAGTGGGAGGATCGCTTGCGCTCAGGAGGTCAAGGTTGCAGTGAGCTGTGATCACATCACTGTGCTCCAGTGACGGAGGGAGATCTTATCTCATAAAACAAACGAAACAACAAAAAAATCTAGTGTAGAGGAATAAAAGAAACAGTCAAAGTCATTTTCACATGTAGATATTGCTCAACTTGTAGAATCACAGAAGGACTGAGGAGAAAACAAAATACATCTGCTTCCCCTTCTGGAAATCAAGTTAATATTTTGAAGATTTAGATTGTGTCATCATATGTTGGGGCTGGTGTTTACTCCACATCACCTCCCTTTCATAAGGGAGGAGAACGGTGTCATTTCCTCTTTCCACTGGGTTGTGTTTTGGGACTTCTTGGTCTCATGGATTTCGCCTTCAATCTGATTCTGTCTGCATAGCATCTTCCAGAAGTTCATTGATGGTTCAAATGGAATCATTTGATGGTTCAGTGATGGAATCTATCCTGTTTGCCTTTTTTTTCAATGCAGTTATTCTTATTTATACTTATTTACATTCCCTCCACATTCAATAATATTTTGAGAAGAAGAAGAGGTACTTCATATATTCACCCACCATCTTGAGATAAAGCCACATTTTATCTGAGTGTGTTCAGGCTCTTAGATAGTAAAGATAGTCTGTAGTTCACTGGGCATAAATCTGCATTTATGATTATAATGCCTAGCTCCTAAATCTGGAAATTAAATAAAAAACACAAAATTAATGTAGTCTATTGTGCTCATATTTAATGCATGTAAAACTGTGTCTGCTTGGCTAGCCACTTAGAAAATTATGGTATGAAATATAGTCTGTTGATTATGAATTCTTTTCATGATTATTTACAGACATTATTAGAATGGAAGATAAAAGTATAGAAAATGAAAGACATCATTCATGCTGGAATTTTTCTAATAATAAACACATGTAAATGTCATTTGTTTTTTCTGTCTTTATATTTATTTATTTCAGAGACAGGATCTCGCTCTGTCACCCAGTCTGGAGGGAGCACAATCATAGCTCACTCAGCCTCAAACTCCTGGGCTCAAGTGATCTTCCTGCCTCAGCCTCTCGAGTAGCTGGGACTACTGGCATTGAGCCACCTTGCCTGGCTTATAAATGCCATTTCTGAGGTGGAAATACATTTCTAAATAAGCGACTATTGTTTTATAAAATAAATGTAAAGACAGTGACAAGCTCTGCAACAAGGAGGCATAACCACTGTAAATATTTAGCACTTTGTCTTTAAATTTAACCCCCAACCCTTAATATAACATGGGCATTTTCCCATATCATGAAATGACTCTTTGAAATTCTTGACTGAATATGGAAAAGGTATAAAGTGCTCCATAGTACATGGAACTGAAATTTTAAACTCTAAACTGGTTTACTTTTCAAAGTGTTTTAGTTTTTATTTGATAATATTCTGACAACCAATGAAGTTATAAAAGATGTGCTTATCAGTCATGACAGACTTGGTTGTGCTGTGGTAACAACAACAACAACCCAAATTTCAGTGGCTTAAAACAACCAAGAATTAGTTCTCTCTCAGGCCACATGTCTATTATAGGTTGGGGAGTGGGGGCTGGAGTCTGCTCATTGTAATCATTCAGAGACCCAAATTGACAAAACTACTGCCATCTTGAACATTTCTGGTCACCAGTTAAAGAGAGAGCTCTAGAAGTCTCACACTGGCAATTAGATGCTTCGCCCAGGAAGTGACGTCCACTACTTCTGCTCAAACCCACTGGACAAGTGGACTGCCTCAAAATTAGAAACTTTTGTGGGGCAGCGGACACCATCAAGACAGTGACAAAAATAACTCACAGAATGAAAAAAAAATTGCAAATCATAAATATAAGGAACTTGTGTCTAGACTATATAAAGAACGCTTACAACTCAATAATAAAAGGATAGATAAGCAAATTTAAAAATGGGCAAAGGATATAAATAGGCATTTCTCCAGAGAACATACATAAATGATCACTCAGCACAACAAAAGGTTGCTTGGCATGACTGGGCATCAGAGAAACACAAATCAAAACACAAAACCACTTCACATCCACTAGGATGGCTAAAATAAAAAAAGACAATAATAAATGTTGCCTTGTACATTGCTGGTGGAATGTAAAATGGTGCAGTCACTTTGGAAAACATTCTGACAATTCCTCCAAAGGTTAAACATAGTTATCACGTGACCCAGCAATTCCATTCCTGTGTATGCACCCAAGAAAATGGAAACTGTGTATCCATACAAAAACTTGAGCATAACTTCTTAGCAGGCTGCTAAGCCTTATTCATAATAGCCAAAAAATGGAAACAACCCAAATATCCATCAATTGATGAATAGATAAACAAAATGTGATATATTCATAGAATGGAATATTATTTCACATATCATTCCATAAAAAGGAATGACGTACTGAAACATGCTACAACATGGATGAACTTTGAAAACATCATCCTAGCCGAGAGAAGTCAGACACAAAAGGCTTCATCATCTATTATTCCATTTCTACAAAATGTGCAGAATAGGAAAATCCATAGAGACAGGAAGTAGATTTCTAGGGGCTTTGGGGATGACCAACTGATGTTTGGGGCTATGTCTGACTGTTCCTTCAGTATCTTAAAATATTTTTCATCTGGGCTTTAGACTAGAATTAAATCAAGCAATTAGCAGTTCTCTGGTTATCTTCTCTATTTGGGGCTTTTATGCCTTTTCATCATGTTTATTTTTTCTTTCTAAGTTTAAAGATAATTCTCCTTTCCCTTGAACACAGTGTAGTGTGGTGGCTAAGAGTGCAGGCTCTGAAATCAGACTAGAACTTGAGTCCTATCCTGATGCTTACTAGCTGTGTGACCTTAAGGTCTCTCGTATCATATTTTCTCATCTGTAAAACGGGAATCATATTAGGACTTACCTTGAGAATTGCGAAAACTAAATGAGTTAATGCATGCAAGAGTTAATGCATGTAATATGTTTAAAATAGTCTCAATGAATTTTAGTTTCTGTTATTATTAGCCTGATGAAGATGTCAAATGTAAAATTATAATTTTCTAATTGTCAGGTTGTAGGTTTTACTATTTTTAGTTTGTTTTCTTGCTGTAATTATGACTTTAAAATATCAATCCTATTTTCTGTGTTCATTTTAATCTCCAGGAGCTTTGGTTTACTGAAGGATTTAGTCTTCATTGGCCAATTGAGATTGTCCTGAGAAGGGGCAGTGAAGGGAATTCATATACAGGTTATCTGAGATCCTGTTTAAAGACTTGTGCTTTTTAAACCCAAGAAAGGAGGATTAAGTAATGGGGGCAAGGTGGGGTAGAGTGGAAGAGGTGGAAGCACAATACATTCCTTAAGCTACTTAAATACTGCCACATTGATGTGGAATTGACTGGTTCTTTGTGGTCCCAGAGCAAAGAGCTGGGACCACTGGATGTAAGTTTTGGTTTGGTGTAAGGAAGGAATTTTTAATAGTCAGAGCTTTCCAAACCTACCTTAGTACAAGCCACCAGCTTCTCTCTCCTGCTTCACTACAATCATCTCCTAACTTGTTTGTCCATCCCTAAGGCCCTCTCCAATGCGTTAGCCATATGGCAGCCAAAATGATCTTTTCAAAGCACAGATATGATTGTCATTTCTCTGCTTATAACCTTTCAATGACTTCCAGCTACTCTTGGAATAAAGACCAAAATCCGAATTATGATGGGCTTACCGGCTCTGACCCTCCCTAACTCTTCAGCCTCATCTCACATGACATGGCCCCTTGCTCACAATGGTCCACCCACCAGGTCTCCATCATTCACTTCCTCCAACTCCCCTCAGGGCCTTAGAACATGCTTTTATCTCTGTTTATGACATCCTATTTCCATTTTCTCTAATGAGCGTCCACTCTCCCTTTAGATGTTAGCTCAACCATCCCATTCTCAAAGAAGCCTTCCTTGAACTTCCTGTCTTGGTCTGTTAGATGTTCTCATAGCAGCATGTACCTCTCATGTGTAGCTCTTTCCATCGTTATAATGTAATGATATTTGTATGAATTTTTGATTAATGCCTGAAAGTTCCCTGGGTACAGAGATCACGTCTTTTCCTTTTTTTCCCCACCTGCATCCTCAGTAGGGAGCATCGTGCCTGGCACATAAGTGCTCAATGAATGCCTCTTGGGTGAATACATGAACAAATGACTGAGTAGATAGAGCTGTTTAAGTGAGAATTGTACTCCTTCCACCAGAGATGTTTTATCCCGAGGCTACGAAAACCCAAAGCTTCTTTTAGAATCTGAGTCTATAATTCCAGGGTCCTTGCAATAAAGGTTTACTTAGTTAAGAAAATGGTAGTGAGCTCACCGGATTGCTGTGGTCAACCTCTGAACCATTGCCACATCGTGTAGTTGAAAAATGCCTGAGCGCCACCTAGCGAGCTGAGGAAATGTTCCTCTTGGCCATTCATCATTGTTCGTTCATTCCATCACGTGCGCCACCCAACACTACTCACATAGACTATGATGTCCTTGGGCAACATGGCGTCTCTGTCCCTCAAGGAGGTCACAAGTTTTTGGTGAACACAGATACATGAACAAAAGCTTACGGGTACATGTGACAAAGTACACTGGAGGTGTGTTTTCAGGAGGAACACTGTTTAACGTGGTTATTGGGAAGGATTTTAGTCTCAGAGAGAGGAGCGAGTAGCGAGGAACTGATTAAATAATTAGGACAGAGAGGCCGGGGGCGGTGGCTCACACCTGTAATCCCAGCACTTTGGGAGGCGGAGGCCGGCAGATCACTTCAGGTCACGAGTTTGAGACCTGCCTAGCTAACATGGTGAAACCCCATCTCTACTAAAAATACAAAAATTACAGGCATGTGCCTGTAATCTCAGCTACTCAGGAGGCTGAGGTGTGAGAATTGCTTGAACCTGGGAGGCGGAGGTTGTTGCAGTGAGCTGAGATTGTGCCATTGCACTCCAGCCTCGGCAACAGAGTGAGACCCTGTCTCAAAACAAAAAACAAAAAACAAAAAAACAAAAACAAATTAGGACAGAGAGAGAGAGAGAGATGGTGAGCAAGTAATGGAACATCGTACAGTAAAGAGGAAGAGATGGAGGGCTGGCCTCTCTTTGAGCTGGAGAAGGCTGCTGGGAAGAAGGTGAGATGGGCCAGATGTAGATGAGATGTTATATGGGAAGAGGACACCCTAAGGGAGACCTTTGTCTTGTTTTCTGGACAGTTTTGAGCTTTTAAACTATGTAAAGATAAATACTTTTCCACTGAACATGTCTTGGGAAAATATTGTGTGGGGTGAATTTTCTCAAACTTACCAATTTTCACTATGAAAATGAGACCTGCTGTAACTGACGTCTGAAAGCAGAGATGCTTGACTCTGTCCCTCTGTCATGTAGAAGATCAGCCAAGCCCAGGCCTAGACTTTTTTGGGGATTTGGGTCCAGATGACAAATAACTGCTCATTCTCTTCCAATGTAGACAGTTCAATCCTCAACTTGTCCACAATTCGTCCTTTTCCAAAACCCCAAGCTCCTAGCACTCTGTTTTGGTAAATTCAGTCCTCAACCCTTTCTAGCTGTGGCCTCAGTTTTGCTGTAGAGGTAGAGGATAGGGCTCAATCTCTCACTCTTTCACTGCCTCTGAGTACTGAGATACTGGAACACCTATTCTGTGCTGAGAAAAGGGATCAGACACTGGAGCCCCTCAGTTCAGGAGTCTGTCACTGACCCCAACTGGAGCCAACAATCTCTTCCATATCCAACATGAACTCTTGGCCAGGTGCGGTGGCTCACACCTGTAATCCCAGCACTTTGGGAGGCCACGGTGGGAGGATCACTTGAGCCCAGGGGTTTGAGATTAGCCTGGGCAATACAGTGAGACCCTGTCTCTACAAGAACTAAAAACTAAAAAAAAAAAAAACCCCAATGCATGATGTCTTGTCTCAGAAGAGGAAGAGCTACCATTTCTGTGAGGGGTAAGGGACTGCTGGTCAGATAGGGCAACTGCGTGCCACCGTGGCTGCCAGGAAAAGAATAGTGGTGTCTCTCTCTCTCTCTCTGTGTGTGTGTGTATGTGTGTGTGTGTAGGAGTGACAAAAATGTTGAATCTAGGGTTGAAAAAGAGAGTACAGGTGGTTCTCAGGGCCTTAGGATTCCTGCACGTTGAGGAGCGGGACTCCAGAGCCCTGTAGATTGGGGACTGGGAGGCAATTGGTGCTAAAAGTAGGCCCAGGGTGTAGGTGCACAGACTAGAATCTGCATGGTCACATTGTGAGGAGGTCGTTTGTTCCATTGCTTCCTGAGGAGCTGCCCAGGGTGAAACACATCTGAGGCTCAGGGAAAGCACGGGCTGTGTGAACTGCGAATGACCTTTGCATTCCTATCCTGCAGAGTTTGTTGCAAGTGCTCTGTGGGGCTAATGGGTACTTTCTCCACAGGCCAGTCGCCCAGCATTTCATAGTCTTAAAATCATCTGATTAGAGTTGACTATGCCTATTAAAGACTTTTATATGCATGTTTCAGCTCATGGGAACAAAGCTGATAGCAAGGCTGAGATTAGGAAGTGGGAAGCTGGTTATTCACCCCTTTTGCCCCATAAGTCACCCTATGTGCACATAGGGGCTCCCACCCCTTCCTGCCCTACAACAACAGTATGTTTTTTGTTCTACTACCTCACCTACTTAACTTGTTCTGCAAAAATAAAAATAAATTGAGTGACAATCAACCTATACAACATTAAGGGCTAATACAATTTTAAAGTTTAAAACAATCGACTGGGCACGGTGGCTCACGTCTGTAATTCTAGCACTTTGGGAGGCCGAGGCGGGTGGATCACTTGAGGTCAGGAGCTCGAGACCAGCCTCACCAACATGGTGAAACCTCGTCTCTACTAAGAATACAAAAATTAGCCGGGCATGGTGGTGGGTACCTATAATTCCAGCTACTCAGGAGGCTGAGGCAGGAGAATTGCTTGAACTTGAAAGGCAGAGGTTGTAGTGAGCCAAGATCATGCCACTGCACTCCAGCCTGGGTGACAAAACAGACTTTGTCTCAAATAAATAAATAAATAAATAAATATATATTTAAAAAATCATTAAGAATAAGACAAATATTCCCAGCTTTAAGAAATGGGTGCCTAGGTTGGGCTCCCCAAAAAGCAGACTTAAGAGAAAGATTCGTGGTCAGAAGGTTTATTGTGTAGTGCTTGAAACCACCTTTGCAAGAATTATAACTGAGGAAATTATGACAGTGAGAGAGATCAGATCTAACCGACTCCATCCTGCTTCTAACCTTTAATCCGTCCTTGTTCATTCCTGTGTGTAGGTCGAACTAGCCTTGGGAAGGAATTCAGTTTATGGTTTGACTCTGAAACAAAATTGATAATAGCCCTTTCCTGAAAAAGATCCCTGTCTTGCCTGGGGACCAGACTGCCTTTGTAGGACTAACAAATTAGCTACAAATTAGAAATTAAGGTTTAGAGGTCATGAGGCCTCTGCCTGCAAGAGTCTGAACCTCTCCCAGTTGTTCCTCGGGATAACATCATTATTGTAAAACCTAAGATCAGGGCTTGAGATATTTTGCGGACCCTGCACTCAATGATCAGCTGACACCACCCAGACTGGTAATCTGGCTCAGCTAGTTCTGTGATCCCACCCAGGAGCAGAAGACACAGCAAGAAAACTTCATTTTGACCCCCATGAGTCCATCTTCAACCTGACCAATCACAGCTCCTTACTTCCTGAGCCCCTACCCACCAAATTATCTTTAAAAACCTCGATCTCCAAATGTGAATGCTCAGGGAGACTGATTTGAGTAATAATAAAACACCAGTCTCCTGCACAGCTGACTCTGCGTGAACTACTCTCTATCCATTGCAATTCCCCTGTCTCGATAAATCAGCTCTGTCTAGGCAGCGGGCAAGGTGAACTCACTGGGCTATAACATGCTCTGGGGATCAACACCCAGGAGGATGAGGGAAGTGGCATCTGTCAGAGGGAGGTGTTGACTTGTGATGTAGTTGCAACAAAGGCCTCCACGAATTTGGGAGCTGACAGGATCCTTCAATGTTGCCCCACCTTGAGGCCAGGGGGCCACGCCTTTATACTCCCCACCATACAACATTGATCAGCCATTAGGTTCAGGCTGCCCTGGAGAGAGAGGGGCATGATTTTGGGCTAGGCAGCTCTCTTCTGCTGAATCCAGTTCCCAGAGAGTGACTCAGCTGAGATCTTTCAGCCACTGACAGTGAGAGAATGAATGCATCAGCTGTGAAAGGGGGGTCCGGATAGTGCTTCACAGCATCCAGTACAAAGGCCAAGTGACAAGAAGAGATAAACCAAATAGGAAGAAATCATTTTAACAGTGAGAATGTGAAACAAATGTTCAAAATTGTTAGTATTATGTGAAAAATTAAAGAATAGATCGCTCTTAGCCTATCAGACTCAGGATTTTTTAAAAAAGAGATTGGCCATGGATAGAGAAAATGATAACCTTTATGCTTTTAGATCCTGGGGTGGTAAAATGTGATTAATTTAAGGTTTAAAATACTAGTAGTCAATGCCATGAGAATAAATTTCATCACTCGGAAAGAGTGTAGGTAAAGAACCAAATAATGTCATTAGCTCAGAGGAAAATTACTATGAGATACATAGTACAAGGGTATTTGTAGAAAGCTCAATACCATTGTGCCAGGAAGCTTTTCCCCATGGGAATTGGCAGAATTTACTTTACAGCCTGGTTCTAGAGTCCACAGGATGGGCAAGGACATTTGGGTGAAAATTCCTAAATACAGAGTAAGGAAATTGGCTGTTTAGACTACTAGGGAGATGCTTGGAAGGCATAATAGTAGTGATGTATTTAATTGTGAGGTAAGGTATGCAGTGACCAATTATCTTTGATATCCATCAATGACAAAAGCTGGAGAATATCTCTGACTTTTGGGGTTAAACTATAACTTATGCCAGAGAGAGAACTAATATTAAACTACCCAAATCCCAAATCCCATGAAGGAGAACAGTAGAGGATATTGTGCCTATTGGAGAAAGGCTATTCCATCTATAGCAGAGAACTGTATAGTTGGGCCTCTGTATCCATGGGTTCCACATCCATGGATTCAATCAACCACCCATTGAATAAAAATATCCAGGAAAAATAACCATATAACCACAAAAATAATACAAATAAAAAACAATGCAGCACAACAACTATTCACGTAGCATTTACATTGTATTAGGTATTAAGTAATCTGGAGATGATTTAAAGCATACTGGAGGATTATACACAAATACTACATCATTTTATGTCAGGTGCTTGAGCATTCACAGATTCTGATATCTGTGGGATTCTGGGAACCAATCCTGCACCTATATGGAGGGATGACTGTACACTATTCAGAAAGCAGTTTCTCCACCATCCTTGTTGGGTCCTGGTGAATATGAAGCAAGTGAGCAAGAGACATCAGATGATCATGCAACCAGAACTATCCATTATGAGAAGTTTTCTTTCAGACTACCACATCATAAGTTTGGGTGGGCCCAGCAGCAATCTATAAGATGGAAGTGGTACACCAGTGGGATAGGGCACATGTAGGGTCAGAAGGAACAAGCAAGCCACAAAAGCAGGTGGTCCAGATCTCATGTTGTCCAGTGCTTCTCCTTCAGCACCAGCCACATGGGGAACCTCTTATGACAGCTGATGGAGGGGAAGAAAAGGTTGAAACTTGGTTCACAAATGGGTCAACTCGATATCTCAGTACAAACCAGAGGACAGTAGCTGCATCACAACCCTTACTTAGGTATTGATATGCTTTGGATGTTTGTCTCTTGCAAATCTCATATTGAAATGTGATTCACAGTATTGGAGGTAGGGCCTGGTGGGAGCTGATTGGATTATGGGAGTGGATCCCTCATGAGTAAGGTTTGGCACTATCCCCTTGGTGATAAGTGATATTTTGCCCAGTTAATCCACATGATGTCTGGTTGTTTGAAAGAGTTTGGGACCTCTGCCGTCTTTCTCTCTTGCTCCTTCTTGCCATGTGATATGCTGGCTCCCCCTTGACCTTCCACCATGATTGTAAGCTTCCTGAGGCGTCACCAGAAGCAGATGCCAGCACCATGCTTTCTGTACTGTGAGCCAATTAAACCTCTTTTCTTTATAAATTACCCAGTCTTAGATATTTCTTTATATCAACACAAAAACAGACGGACATAGGTGTGGTACTAAAAGCTAGCAGTGAGAAATCCTACCAATGGGGAAATCTCTAGCAGGTATGTCTGGTCATGTAAGTTCCCCAAGGTATGAATATACATGGTTTCACGAGTAGTAGCAAATGGTCTGCTGGGGGGTTTGGAAGGAGATAGATTGAAAGATCAGGGTTAAGGAGCTCTGAGGAGGAGGCATGTGGGCAAACTTATGGGAGGTGTGAAGATCTTTGTTTCACATGTGCATTAGCCCACTGGAGTATCTGTTATAGAAGAGGCATTATCCAACAAATACAGACCAAGTGACTCAGCCAGTTGACATCATTTGGCTTCTGTTATTAGATACCTGGGTGTTGGAATAATGAGTGCATTTATAGAGTAGCCACAGTGGTAGGGATGGAGACTCTGCATGGACCTGACAGCTGATCTGGCTGTTGCTTCTGCTCAAAGTCCAGCCTATCAGCCCCAGAGACCAGTACTGAAACCCTGATATAGCCTCATCCCCTAGGAAACTAAGCTGCCATTTGGTGGCTATTTGATTGCATTGGATCCCTTGCACAATAGAAGGAGTAGATACCATCCTGACCAGGCTCAACTTATATTCTGTGTATCGGGTTGTCTTTCCTGTTGTGGGGCCTCAGCCAGTACCATGATCTGAGACCGAACGGCGTGTTGGATAACAGCAAAATATCAGAGCTAAGCATTCTACTTCACAGCAAAAAAGTATATAGTGGACACCTGGCCATGGGACCCACTTCTTCTATCTCAAACTTTGTCACCCAGAAGCCACCCTATTAGAGTGGCAGAATGGCCTTTATGAAACCAGTCAAGATCTCAATTTAGAATTAACACCCTATAAGGATGGGGTACCATCCCCCAGGAGACCCTAAATCAATAACCATTGCATGGTGCTGTTTTCTGTCTCCAAAAGGTAGACTACATGAGCCTGGAAACTGGGGGATGGAAGTAGGCCTGGCCCCACTTCTCATCTCTCTCAGTGATCTTGGGAAATTTGTGCTTTCCATTCCTGCAGCTTTAGCACTAAAAGGGGCTGCCTCCACCAGGGGAGACAGTAAGAATCCCACTGCAATTTAAGCTATGGCTGTCGCTGGGGCGCTTCCAGTTCCATGTGTCAAAAGAACAGCAGTAAGAAAGGGAATGCAGGGGCAATTAAGGTCACTGCTACTCAAGGGGGACAGGAAGAATATGTTTGGACCCCACCATGAAGCACATCTTGGTGTTCCCACACCCAGTGGTAACGGTAGTTGGAGAATTGGAGCAGCCACAGTCTGAGAAAGGCATAGTAAATCAAGGCTCAGACACTTAGGGATGAATGGTTTGGGTCACCTCACCAGGTAAGCCGCCTAGACCAGCAGAGGTACTAGCCAAAAATGAGGGGAAGACAGGATTGTAAATGGTGGAGGGGATGATGAATATCATTTATGGTGTCAGGATAGCTGCGGCAGTAGAGGCTATAGTTCATCCTACTAATCTTTCTCTTGTAAGTTTCCCAGCAAACAAGCCAACCAGAATTACGGGAAAGTCGTTCCCAAAGGGATATCAGAGAAATATGAGAGGTGAGCTGCAGTGGAAATTGTGGTATTCACTCATGTGCCCCCTTCAGGGCCAATGTACCTAATTCTCAACTTCTGGTAATATCATACTGCCAGCCCACAGCTGAGAATATGAGAATCTCCCTGGACTGGAAACCTGTAGGAAATATTGAGAAAACTTTGAATTTCCATAAACTGTAGGATAGGAGTTTAAACCAGTGTTCTCTAGAACTTGGGAGAGAACCCACCTGATGACTGGATTATACCAGTGCAGAATTGATCTGCCTGGGAAGTTTGAAAATGGAGATTGACTTCAAATTTCTGGGCTTGAAAAGAGAATATGAGTATTCAAAGCAAAAGTTTGTAACACTTGAGCATATCTGATGAAAACTATATTGTCCTGGTGAGGGCTGCAAGGTTGAAAGGGCAGTGATCCCAGGTCTGGATAATGTAGCCAATATTTCTTTGGTGATTTCTGAGGTCAGAATTGTCTCCTGGGAGAAAAACGAGATACAGACTATCAAGAAGCTGATACAAATCAGGAATATGAAGTTCCTTTCAAGTGCTGCTGGGCCTTATGTTCATACTAACGCTCTGTTCTCTGCTAATGATTTTATAGCAGCTGCTTCCTAGCTATTCCTCTTCGAAAACACTGTGGGTGGGAGTAAATGGCATGCCTGAAGTGTCTATGGAAAATAGCCTGTTAATGGGGATATTATCTGTCCCTGAGCTCAGAGGTGCAAAAGAGACAGAGAAGACCTTTCTTTGCATCTCCTGGGGTGACAGGGAGGCATCAAAGTCATATCTTATAGGCTTTATCCTCTTGCATCAAAATAACAAGATCTCATACTCAGGAGAGAACTCGTTTGGAATGCTGTGTCCTTGAGGTTTCTTGGAGTGGTCATTTCTGACTGTGTGACGCTTTTGACAACTATGGATGGAGGGTGTATCTGTCTTGTGACCAGCCGCCCTCTTGATGTCCACATTGGAGTATTTCCAGAAGAAAACCTGGGCAATGACACCTTCCTTCCAGGCCAGTTTTGAACCCAGCTTATGCTCTGTAAAGGACTTTATGACATTGCTCTTATTCCCATTCTTCACACAGAAATATGCTTGATGTTTGAACCAGTCAGGTATTTGAAATATGTTTGAGATGTGACTTAATGTGACCAGAAAAGTCTAAATGTATTTAGGAAAGAGGCCACAGAATTGCTAAGTCTAATTTTGTCATGCAAATCATGTGCACACAAAACTTTTTAATGCAATATTTGAGAAAACACTACCCTTAGGTAACTGGCATGACTTCATCTGCTGTGGTATGTACAAATTCTTTCATTCGTTCCCTCATTTAATGAGGACTTGTTGGACACCTGCTTGTGAAAGACACCTGTGATGTCAGGGAGACAGTCCTCAAGACCACGCTAGCTTCTGACACTTGCAATTTGGGAGGATTCCCAAGACCACCCTCAGGTTTGATAATTCACTTGGTGGACTCACAGAACACACACTGAAAGCTGTTATACTCACAGCTATGGTTTATTACAGCACAAGGATACAGATTAAAATCAGCCAAGGGAAGAGATGCATAGGGCAGAGTCAGGAAGTTTCCTAGAGCAGAAGCTGTAGTGTCCTCTCTCAGTGGACTTGTGGATAACACTTTCCCGGCAACAATGTATGACAACATGCACAGAGTATTGTCAACCAGGGATGCTCACATGAGCCTTGGTGTCCAGAGTTTTTTGTTTTTTCTTTTGAGACAGGGTCTCATTCTGTTGCCCAGGCTGGAGTGCAGTGACACTATCGTGGCTTACTATAGCCTTGACCTTTCTGGGCTCAGGTGATCCTCCTACTTCAGCCTACCAAGTAGCTGGGACTACAGGCATGCACCATTATGCATGGCTAATTTTTGTATTTTTTGTAGAAAAAGGGTTTTGCAATGTTGCCAAGGCTGGTCTGTAACTCCTGGGCTCAAGCAATCCACCTGCCTTGGCCTCCCGAAGTGCTGGGATTACAGGCATGAGCCACCATGCCCAGCCGGTGTCCAGAGTTTTTATTGGGGCTTCATCCTGTGGACATGCTGTGAATAGCCTGTATGGCTGACCTTTAGTCTCCAGCCCCTATGGATGTTAAGCTGATACTGTGCGGCCCAAAATGCTTGTTATAAATCACATGGTTAGACAGTCTAGTGTCTCTCAAGGAGCCTAGGTAAACAAAGACACTCTTATCAGGCAGGACATTCTTTGGGCCTAGAGATCACCTCCCAGTAACTGAGGCAAAGGCCAGACTTCCCTTTGGGTAAGGCTAATTCTTTAATACACAGAAAAATTCCAGGCTCTGGGGATATAGCAGCAAGCAAAACAGATACAAATTCCCACTCTCTTGAAGTCCACTATCATATTCAGAAAGTACCCTTAAGCTGCCCATTCCAAGCCCCCACTGGCTTACTAGCCTGAAGTGTATTATTTTCCCAGGAACAGCTCCTTAAATAGACCTAGACATTTCCAGGGACCTTGCAAATATAATCCAAATGTTACTCCTATTGGGATCACTTATTCTCTTGGATCCTGGGATAAAACAATAGAAGAGAGATGTTTTGCTTTTAAAAGGATCCTTCAGATTGGGTTCCTGCAGCTGAGCTTTTGGGCCCCTAGAAACGGAATTCCTTCTTTTGCACTTTAGTTCTCTTCTTTTCATAGCGATCAAGCCCTGGCCATCATACCCTGTGCTTGGGATGGCTGCTCGTTGCGTACTGTAGGCTGTGTGCTTCCAACTGGCCTGGACTGGCAGTCTTCTTTATCTGTGGTTGCTCTATCATTCCAGTTTAGAATCTATCATTCCACATTCCTCAGGGATCCAGTCAACCTGGCAGATCTGAACATATGTTCTTGGCTATCGGAGACCCAGGGAACTGGCATCTGATTTGTAGCTGAGAAAGCCAAAGTGGCCATGAAACACAGGAGAGTCTGCAATTGGAAAATAAGCACACTCTCCCACAAAGGCAGAGCAAGGCCCATGAATTCTCAGAAATGATAGCAGGAATGTTGGTCTGGATTAACAAGAATTCTGCCTAGGAAGATGGCCTGCCAGGGGAGATTCTGGGATGTCCTATAGGAAGATGCTGGGTGGGGTGAATGGTATGGGTAGAAAGAAGGCAGTCAAGGAGCGGAGCTCTGCCTACAGCGTGGGAGTGGTCGTCAGAGGAACTTTTCAGGGGGACCTACTTGAGAAAGGGTCAGCTTTAGATACCTGCCAAGTCCAGAGAGCACAAAGCGGTTTTATGATAGCATCAGGCAAGAGTGAACTTTTTTCCTCCTCCCTTTTCCTTCTCCCTCCTTGGGCTCCAATCCCAGGGAGGCCACAAGCAGCTGTTAGGCATCTGAGAGAGGAGCAATGGGAAAAAGAGAAAAAGACAGTTCCCAGAAGCCTGCAGTTTCCCTGCAGTGACTTTACCTGAGAAGAAAGGGCTGGTAAAGGTGGCTCATGCCTATAATCCCAGCACTTTGGGAGGCTGAGGCAGGCGGATCACAAGATCAGGAGTTTGAGACCAGCCTGGCCAACATAGTGAAACCCGGTCTCTACTAAAAATATAAAAATTAGCCAGGCGTGGTGGCCTGCGCCTGTAGTCCCAGATACTCAGGAGGCTGAGGCAAGAGAATTGCTTGAACCCAGGAGGCGGAGGTTGCAGCAGTGAGCTGAGACTGTGGCACTGCACTCCAGCCTGGGTGACAGAGTAAGACTCTGTCAAACAAACAAAACAAAACAAAACAAAAAAGAAGAAGAAGAAGAAAGGAGAAAATTTATCTTTACAATGAACATCCAAATGTTGATTAAATATATCATAGTGGACAGCATCATTTCAGAATCAAGACTATGTTTGTGACTTAAAGTAAGCCCTGGCATATAAATGTGTGTTTTACTAAATAATCCACTATTGATGTGGACTCTATGTACAGACAAAAAAGAGGGGGAGAGACTCATTTCTCCTTCTCTTCCTCCTTGAATAGTGTTTTGATCTTATCTTCCTTGGCCTGAAGCCAGCTCTGCCACTTGGACCAGCAGGCTCAGCATGACCAGCCAGGAGCAACCCACAAGCATTGTCTATTTCCAGCTTGGATAATGTCCCATAAGAATCCACTTTATTTTGGGAGAGTATGTGCTTAAAGTGGAAAGTACGTGTTTATTATCATTTGCACTCTCCTCATGCAAGGCCGTATCAAAATCTCTCAGTGTTTTGACTGGTCTACATGTTGTCTACACAGTTAAAATGGTATATAATTTAGCTTTTCACAATCTATTATTATACATCATGAATTCTGTTAAATATAAGGCCTCATTTCCCAGTGAAAAATTTGGAAATAATAATTTCTCCATTCACACTTAAACAGACTAATTAGTATAAAAGTCTTTTAGATTAAAAACTAATGATCTGAGAATCAACGGAATCATTGCTCGAGTTCAGCATTTCTATGCAAGAGTTCCTTATCTTTCTCATTTGCTCAGGCCTAATCCAAACCTTTAAGGATCTCTGGCATTTGTTAAGTAAAGGCCAGCTGTTGAATCGAATTAATGCATAACACTATGATATAATAAAGCATCTTCTTAGAGCAACTATTATATACCCGGCACTACCCTGAACTGTTTCTGCCAGTTCAAGTCCATTTGATACACAGTGGGAAAAGATGGCTATTGAAGTTATCCTTTCCCCTTTGATATAATCACTAAATGATTGATCTTTTTCTCACAAATAGTGGCAATTTGGGGAAATCTCAGAACAGGCAGGCCTTCCAAATCAACGATGCTAGATAACGTTTTGCTTTATAAATACGAAGTTGTCCCAGGTTGACTGTGGGAAGAGCAACACTGGTTCATTGCATAAAACATTACACAATGTTTGTTGATCTAACTTGACTTGCAAGCTATCCTGTGAGTTTTATGATAATTTATGCCAATTGGTGGTATGATGCTTGAGTTATGGTACCTTATGATGTTGCTTATAAGTGAAATGAAGTATACTCCAATGTAGAAACACCTACAATCTGATTAAATTGTAGGGTGCATCTAATAAATGGTTTCTACAGACATACTTAAAGTGGACAGAAAAGCAAAATATGTGTCTAAACAGAAATGTTAAAGGGGAATATTCTGATTACTGAGTTTTCAGCAACCCTTCTGCCCACAATCTTTCCTGAAGTTTGGGTAAATTCATGGCTGGGTCTTCAGCCATAGAAAGTCTGTCCTCATCCTTTCTTTTTTCTTTCTTGAATTTCATTTCATTGTGGTAAGAGGACTTGGTAAGAGATCTACCCTCTTAAAATTTTAAATGTATAATACCTTCTTATTGACTAAAGCTGCCATGACTGTAGATATGGCAGAGGACCGACAAGCTATAGAGATCTGCCCTCATCCATTCTCTCTGGACTCTTGTGTCAGGTTGCAGTAGGTCCCCCACATTAAAATTTCCCACTAAACCCAAATGTAATGCATCTAACTAGTTTCCCCCAAGCCAGATGGCAAAAAACCCTTCTAGCCTTGTCTTAAAATCCTTAGCATTATATAAGTTCTAATTCTGTGACTTTAACAGCTTCTTGGAATCAGTCATGTACACATAGCTCTGGTTCCTGGCTGGGGTATTCACTACCTTAAACTTTCTTAAAAAAAAACACCCGATGACCTTCTAGTGTTGTTTTGGGGATTAGTGGGCAGATGTAGAGGACAGTGATGTCTACACTTGCTACATTCTACCTCTTGGCTGTCTACTATATCCACAGTCACTTCTTTCCATATAATTTTTAAAATATCCCTGCCTGATAATATAACCAGTATAAAAGTGAAAATATGCTCATTCTCCTTCCAAGAGAGGGAAAACATGAAACTATATTAATTCATTGTATCGAGATTCTTGTTTAGGCTCTCTATCTAATATCTGTTTCGTTCTAATTCTAGAGATGATCCTCTATTATTTAAAAAAACCCATGGCTGATTGATAAGCCTGGCCAATAATACCCTGCATTCAATGGTCAAGAAAGGAAGAAAAAAGAAGACAAATTAAGTATATGATACATAATAAGAAAGGTAGCAGCTGTAATCCTCACTTAAGTATAAGATCCTGAGGTACTACTGATATTTGAGGGGTTTCTTTGCCATGAATTTTATGTTCCTCTTTCCTTTGGCAAACATTTCAGCTAGTCAGGATTCTTTGCTAGATGTTGTATCAGTCAGCTGTTGCCAGAGAAATACTATATATAAAACAATTTCAAGATTTAGGTGACTTACAGTAACAAGTATTTTTTTCTCACTCACAGGTCTGTGGGTTAGCTGTGGGTCAACTGATCTACCCTGGGCTTAGCTGGGCTTGACCTTAAACTGTGGGTTAGATCAAAATCCACTCCCCATATATCTCATCCTCTTTCAACAAGTGACTACCCAAGGCATATTCTTATTAATTCAAAATGCAGGGATACAAGAGGACAAATTCAACTACACAAGTGTATTTCAAACCTTTGCTCACATCATGTTTGATAACATCCATTAGGAAGTCACGTGGTCAAGTCCAAAGTCAAGAGATTGAAAAGTATCCTTCACACATCATGAGTAGATACAGAAAATTCTACTTCAGGAGAGTGAAGAATTGAGACCAATAATTTAGTTTATCATAGGAGTGATTGAATACTTATTTCTGAGGACTTTGACCCCTTGCTGGTCTTGTTTGTAGAAGATTGCATGCTCTTCCATTAACTTTACCACTGGGAGTCTCCTGAACTCTACACATAGGCCCTCTGGCCCCTATCATGTGGCAGAGACTCTTTTTATGCATGATAATAAGGATAAGTCACCCAGCTAACCATATGACCCTCTTAAATTGCCTGTCCACCTAATGGTATGAGATTTCTCAAATGGCCAGATGACAATCTCCACTTCAGTAGAATTGATAGAGGCATTCTAACCTTGAATACTAACACCATTAAGCAACCAGATCCCCAAATCCAGATATAAGAGGTAAGCAATTTATGAGTGAGTTATTTAGATATGATCACAAGAGATGTTACTCCTACCTCTACCCCTTGATTTCTAGACTTATAAATCCTGCATACAGGAGAAACTACATATACTGTATCTTGGAAAACCTTATCCTTGCAGGGTTTTATGTCCAAGGAGGAGTCATAGGTGAGTCCACAATGAGTCATTCTACCTTTAGATAAGGCCAGCTGATTCTGAATAAGGAGACTTGTAAAACCAGTTGGTTTATGGAATATCAGCTCATTTCTTCACTACTTTTACTTTGACACATATTTCTTGGTTAAAAGCAACATAATGGTGATATAAAATATATCATGAGAGCACAGAAGACATTAGTTAAGCTGTGGATGTTGATATGGCAGAGGTATGACAGGAAAGGAGGCAAAAAAATGTTTAATTCCCCAGGGACAAATGACTAGCCCTTTTCAGATATGATATGCTGGAGGTGGCAGCCATGCCAGCCTTGGCAAGTGATATATGTGATGTTTAACCCAGGCATAACCTTCCTCACTGTCGTCATGGATATTTGGAGCAAGCACTATCCTCACTGGAATAGAGGCCAACTAACATCTACAAACTAGATTATTCTATCTGCCCAACTGAGTCCCTTCAGCACTAGGAGACTTCTGCAGAACACTCAGAGGGCACACCTAGATTCTCATAGTCTAGGACCATCAGACAGATCCTTCTGCATAGCTCTTCCTCAGTCTTCCTTTTTTATCCATCATCCTGTGTAATTCCTTTTAAATTCCTGATCTTTGGATCTGATTAGACACTAATCAGGGATGGGTTAGATCTTGACCTTAGTTTCCCTCTCTCTGAAGGCAAGATAAGACAATAAGATGTGTTAAAAATCCTGCCCCAGGGATGAGGCTGAGGCAGGGGGAGGGAAGCCCTGCTTCTATACAAGAGTGAAGCGGGGCTGCTGAGGTGATGGAACTGTTCTGTATTTTGACGGCATCAGTGTCAATACTTGGTTGTGATATTGTCCTATATCCAATGTTCTACCCTATGTCCAATACCTCGCTGTAATATTGTCCTATAGTTTGGCAAGATATTATCGCTGGGGAAAACTGGGTAAAGGGTACGCGTGATCTCTCTGCACTATTTCTTATAACTGCATATGAATCCACAATTGGTTCTGAATAAAAAAATTTAACTAAAAACAAACAAATGAACAAACAAAAAATAGGCCTGCCTCAAGGTGGATTGTCTTCCTCTACTGTCTTTCATGGACACTACTGAGTGAGTTATGATACCACTGCAGACTATGAGTGTTACCAGCACTTCATTCAAATCCATTAATAAGCCATATTTAAGAACTTTATAGTTACTGATCTATAGTCACTAATCATAGGAAGCTCCTTGTGAGGCTACTGGTATGGGTCGAGGTAGGGAGTATAAACTATCTGCTCATGCATCTTATGCCTTTAGGGACTCTTCAGGCCCTGTCCCATTGAGGATGTATTTCTGGGCACACTTATCCATCCTGGGCAGATAGGGTGGCAGCCAGCTTGTGATGGACAGTTTGGATCATGGGGTTATCTGATTAGAGAGTCTCTGTTAGAGCCCAGGAGCAAGTCAGGAAGAGTTTCACAAAAAAGAACAATTTCTTCCCAAAGGGATCGTGGCTTTTCTCCTAAATCCTTGGAACCACCACTGTGATTCTCCCAGTGGGGCCATGGAAACTTCTGGGCTGGAGAAACATTTTACGGCCTCACCAGCTCCACTAATGGAAACTGACAACTTCAGGGTCATCATTTTCGGGAACATATTGGCAGATCTGAGAATCCTAGGTTTAAAGAGTCTCCTGTGCCAACCTTAATACTTACTGGGCCCAGCCACAGGTTATCAACATGTTTTCATTCATTTTTACTCTGTAGTCTTGCTAAAACATCATCTTTGGGCTCATGTGTGGCATGTTGACAAATTGAAATATTCTCTCTTTGGTGCTTGTTCTTTAACGTCTTGTGCTTGTTTTAGGGAAAATGTCTATTTTCTATAACCTGTTCCATTTACAATCTCTCTCTTCCTCCTGCTTTTCATATTCTTAGTTTCCTTAATTATGCCTTTATCTGGCCTTTCATCTAAGAAATTTCTATCATACTTACAGAGCTTTCCTCAGGAAGTCAAAGGACTTCTTGTTTTTCTGCTGGGCAAACTCAGGGAAGGAAACAGGATTGATCGAAGGTAGTAGGAGATAGAATATTGGCCCCAGATGAATGTGACCAACTTGAACATGCTGTGAGCTCACTTAGCCCTGAGCTCATCTTCCCTTCGGATCCTTAATTCTTATGCTTTGTTCAATTCGGAAACCTCACCTAATGTAGGGATGGTCTCTATATATGTCTTGTTTCTGAAATCTAAATCTCCCTCAACCCCTGCTTCCACAGCAATTCCTTGGGCAGAAGAGACCAGGAAGCCCTATTCAGATAGTTTCATTGTGCCTTGGCCACTGCATGTTTTACTGGCAACAGCAAGAAATTGAGAAAAGCAGAGTCTTGAGAATGATTCAATCCTTTTCAAAAAGCAGGTATTCTAGCTTTTATTGAAAGGCAAAATTAATTCGGACTGACTCTATGACTAAGTAGCTACCCTAGGGTTCTTAAACATTGATAGAAGAGGGACCCAGGGGAGGAAAGACCATAATCCTTGTTAATCCGCAGATGGAGGGTTTGAATGTTGGGCTCTGGGTCACCTCTGTGGGAAGTCATTTCTTATACCCCAACCTGGAATAAGGGGACTTTTCACATATAACTATGGTGTCCTTTTCAAAGGAAGATTGCATTGAACCAAGGGTTTATTGTTATCTTGGGATGTGTGTGTGTGTGTGTAAGTGTGCACGTGTGTGTGTGTGTGTGTGTACTTCTTTCTGGATTGTAGAGGTCTGGCATGCGTTCAGAAATTTCCAGAGACAAAGGCCTGGATCTTTCTTCCTTCTTCCAGTAACTCAGATACAATTGGAAGTATCTACCCCCTTAATTGTTGACTTACTGTTTAGGATATAAAGAGGAACTGGAATCTAACCTCCAAAAACTCAAAGGAGCTATTGAAACACAACTAGATATATAAGCTGAAAACCAATTGCATTGGATTTAGGACAATTGAATGTTTGGAATATCTGAGCTATGAGACCTGAGAGACTGTGCCATTTTCCCAATAATAAAATGAGGAGTTAGTCCATTGAGGAAGAGCCACACTCACTTAAGTTGAAATACTTGACTTCTAGCCCCAAGAGTCAGCCTTGCAAGATTTCATTCAAGGAATTTTTGCTTGTTGCTGACTTGTCCCTTTACTATACATGCATCATTCAGGAAGGATGTCTAATGAGATTGTAAAGTTAGAGACAGTAGCTCAGGAGCATTATTGAGCCTTAGGATGATGTAGCAAACAACAATTAGAGTTGTATGTCTTCTGCAAGAGAAGACCATAACTTTCACAAAGTTCAGAAAAGAGTCTGTTCTTTTGCTTGCTGTTATGCCAAGACTTCCACCTTAAACACCTAGATTAAAAACCTCCTACTATAGCAAAGGAGGGCCCTTATTAAACTTCAATGGCCATGAATCAACCCGGACCGTCTAAATGTCTAGACTCAATCATCAGTCCTTCCTTCTTTCCCAGAAAATGTTGGTAATGATGGTAGAAGACTGATCAAAACAGAAAGCATCCTGCAACCATAGCTGTCTATCCTTATCTCTCTTCCCCTCCCCCAAACACACACCAAAGCCTCAGATGCTATCAGATGAATTGCATACTCTGCTTTAGGTTCAAAGCATAAATGGAGGATGGAAATCTAACACTTGTGGAAGCCGAGGGAGGTTCTCATTTACAGGAGGCTAAGACTCATCTCCAAGATGATCCAAATTTATTTCATCCTGTATCATGATGAGATTCATAACTGGCTCACGGATTGAAAGGAGGTCCTCTTTCACTACACAGAGGAAGGACTTTTCAGGGAGTCACAGCCTGCAGATCTGCTATCCAGACAGCAGATGTCAGTAAGAGCCTCAGAGTCACCAGCATACGTTTTTAGAATGCTAGGTTTCTCTTGTCCTACAAGTCAGCCTGAGGGTTTAGATCACTCAGCCCTTGATATCTAAAGCCACAGCATGTTATCTCAAGGTGCTAGAGCTCAAAGGGAAATGACAACAGTTTGGCCAGATAGTGTGGTCATTACGGGAGTCTTATACAGAGAATCTTGTCCCATGGCTTCACTTAGTGTAGGTTGGGAAAGCATTAAGAATAGGTTTCTCCATGTTTTGAATGCCAACAAATAATGGAGAATGTGCCTTCCTTTATTGACTGTCCGTGTAAGAGGCAATCATGATCTCATTCTCCCCTAAGCTTGCTTTGTCCAAAATGTTACCCCAGAGACTTACAAGGGTCCTGCCACCAGTGATCTTTGAGTGGCAGGATGGGATCTCTGAGAAAGGAAACTTCTATACCATCTCCACCTCCCTCACACCAGTGTCGACCTTGGATGTGGAGAGATGGAGGCCTTCACACAAGTTTCTCTGTTGACCACTCCTAACCCTGGATCTGGAGTCTCCTCTGCTGATGTCCATAGAGCTTGTGGCCACTTTCCATGTCCGACTATTTCCTTTGACAGGAATTTGACTCTTCAGGAATTTTGTACTTATTACTCAACATCCATTCAAGACCAATTGGCCTAGGCCAATGTTGATGTTAAATTTCCCTAATAATTAAAGACATAAAAGTTACAATTATCATAAGATGGGAGAAAATCAGAATGGCAAAGAATAAAAAGGTGGCCAATAGCCCACTGGCTACAATGAAGCCATGATCACTCATACAGCAGCTGCAGGAGTTTAAACTGATGGCCCCTTTGGAGGCCCAAATTTTGCATTTGTGTGTGTGTGTGTACACACACCTAAGTTTTCTGTGAAGTCCATACTCTTTAATACCTACTTCTACTCCTAGGAATGTATTCTACAGAACTGTTCATTCAAGTACATAAAGCTGTATATGTGTTATATGTACAAGGGTGTTCATTTTTTATAAAAGAGCAAATATTGCAAACTTCTAACAGCTGACTGATAATAGTACTGCTCTACAATGGAACACTATAAAACTGTTAACAATATATGCTGGCTATCTTTTCACTTTTTTTTTGAAAATTTTTATTGTGGTAAAAGCGTATTTAACATAAAATTTGCCATTTTAACCATTTTAAGTGTACAATTCATTGGCATTAATTACATTTACAATATTGTGCAACCATTACCTCTGTTCCCAAAACTCTTTTTCATCACCTCAAATAGAAACTCTATGACCATAAAGCAATAACTTCCCATTTCCTCCCTCTATCACCAGTCTCTGGTAAGCTTTAATCTACTTTCCATCTCTCTGAATTTGTCTATTCTAGATATTTTATATAAACTGTCCTATTGCTAGTTTTGATCAAATGGAAATATACTGTTTTGAAAGAAGAAAGCGTAGTTACAGAAGAAAATAAGCTTAAAAACTAGGAAAATGAATTTTGGTAAGTAAGATCCCCTTTAGAAAAAACAGGGAAGAAACTGAAAAACTGTAGACTATTTCACATTTTTTGTTACCAAAAAATGAGGTGAGTCAAGCCCCTAGTTGGAATCTGGCCAAGTTGAGTTGAGGGCTGGGTGAAGGTTGAGCTGTTAGCGCACCAGCATCAGCTGCTCTGGAAATGTGGACACAAATCACAAGAATCATGATTTAATGTTTCTGTTTTAATCAGGAGAAAACACATACAAAGGAAGCAAATAATCACTAGAGGCCTAGCAAGTGGTTGACCACCCTGTCTTGGAAAGAAGGGCTGGGATGAGGTTTGGGGGTCTGGAGCTGAAGGACAGACTTTGAGTCTTATGTCAAATGATTGTTCTATAGTTTGTAACTTGCAAACTTCTGGGTTACATGCAAACCTCTTGTATTGTCCATTAACTTGGGTCATGGTTAAGATAGATTATCAATAAATATGTATGGGTTCAAAAAAATTAAGTTGTCCTATTGTATCTAGCTTATTTCATTTAACATAATGTTTTCAAGGTCTGTCCATGTTGAGTATGGTCAGAACTTTACTCCTTTTTAGGGCTGAATCCATTTCATTGTGTGCTTGTACCTCATTTTATTTATCCATTCATCTGTTCATGGACACTTGGGTTGTTTCCACATTTTGGCTGCTGTGAACAATGCTGTAATGAACATGAGTGGACCAATATTTGTATGATTTCCTGTTTTAACTCTTTGGGGTGTATACCCTGGAGTAGAATTTCTGGGTTGTGCAGAAATTCTATGTTGGGGCTTTTGGGGGAATTGCCAAATTGTTTTTCACCTCGACTTCACCATTGTACATTCACAGCAGCAATGTGCAAGAGTTTCACTTTCTCTGTATCCTCACCAACACTTGTTATTTTCTATTTTTTCCCTTCTGAGGTTTGCTGACTTAGAAGGTGTGAATTCATATTATTTTTTAGGTTAAATAAAAATCATGTTTCAGAATAAGATATAGTGGTGTATCCTACCAGA
This sequence comes from Homo sapiens, assembly GCF_000001405.40. Lineage (NCBI taxonomy): Eukaryota > Metazoa > Chordata > Mammalia > Primates > Hominidae > Homo > Homo sapiens. The sequence continues at coordinate 112,924,199 of NC_000009.12, forward strand.
GATGATGTATTACTAGAGATTAAGTTTGTAGGTCCTCTTCCCCCACCAATCTTCTGTTACAATGAACCAATCATTCCACTCCTTGTATTTATTAGAGGTAGCTTCTGAAGAAGCTCCCTAAGAAAGAGTAGGTCCCTTAGAAAAATTACTTAGGGTATCCTTCCTTAGAAGGTAAGACAGGGGTTCCCCTGGAGTCCCTGAGTGTAGCCTCCTTTTGGGGAGGGGGACAAGTGAGTAGCCCCATTGTCTGGGGAAAGGGAAAACAGTCTGGCTCTGTTTTGAGGGCTTAAAGGAAAAAGTGGAGTGGGTTTCCGGGAAGGAATGGAGACAATTGTTTTGTTTGTGAGGTGATGGCCACTGGAACCAGATCTGATTCCCTGCTCTTCTGGGGCCCATGGAAACCTGGAGATTGCCTGCGATCAGGGGAAGGAAGGGAGGGTGACCATTCAGAACTATACCCTTAGGAGCACTGTGTTACTGTTGCAATCAGCTCTTCTCAATCTTTTCCAAATTATGGGACGACTGTAATAATCTTATAGATGGAGATATTAAATCAAAGAGAAGTTGACCATTTTTAAACCTTGGAGAGGCTGCTTCTGGCTGAAGTTACTGGGAGAAGCAATGAAAGAAAAGACAACTTACACTTCTTCACTTCATCTACCAAAATATGCAGTTCTATTTTCGTTTATAGAAACTTCAGGTGATAGATCAGTGATCAACAGTGCCCTGGGAACAGTGCTCCCACGTTTTTCTACACCCCTGACTTTTGCTTCTATGATACTGACTTTTTAAAGAGACAATTATCTTTTTAAACACCCCACCTTCTGGATTTGTTTGATAATTTTCTCACAGTGTTTTTTAACCTGTTTCTGTATCCCTTGAATTTCCTCTAAATTGGAGACTAGGGCTAAAGGCTTAAGTTCAAGTTTACATTTTTAGCAAGAATGTGTCGTAGGCGATGCGGTGGGAGTCATTTTGTATCACATAAGGAGACACAATGTCAGATTGCCCCACTATTGATGATGCTTAATCATTTGATTTGGATGGTGACCGCCAGATGTCACCATTGTAAAGCATGTTTTCCCTTCTGCCATATCGAGTGACCTGTGTAATCTCTTGAAAAATATTCGTGTCGACAAATCCTGTTTAGAATTTTCAAGTACCCGCTGCCCTCCACAACACTTTAATGAATTTGAGACTGTCTTTGTCATCTTGATACACAGTGCTCTGTAATTTATCCTTAAGTGGCTCAAACATGTCAAAATAAAAACTCACAGGATTATGCTAGACACCTAACTTCACAGTGCTCACACCACAGGGAAGGACCACCTTAGTCACTGTGAGAATTCACCATAATGGGCTGGTTGTTATTTTCCCCAGGAAGGGAGGGAAAATGGCTGCCATTGTAAACTGAGGAGCATAGAAATAAGACCAGCTTTGAGGAGGAACGGTGTTTTCTTCTTCTTTTTAAAGATATTTACATGTCAGCGGGTTTTACTTCTTGGAGGTAAATCACTTTCTAAATTTCTCCTTGGACTGTTCATTATAAAGTTGCTGTTTAATCTTCCTGGAACATAACCTTCAATTTTAAAGAATGCAAAGCTTTGTATTATTTGTTTAGTGAATCTATAGCGGTGCTTCCCAGCTTCCCAGTATTTTTCAGATTATTAGCATACATAGAAAGTGATAATATTGACATGATGCACTGTGGTGTGCTAGAGGAGCTTTAGGGGCATCATGTGGGACTTATTTTTCATTATATAATTATAATAAATATAAAATGCACATATTAGAAAATATATTAAAGATTCGATTTACAGGAAATTTCCAAAGACACTCTAAGTTTTTTTTTTTTTTCAAATGAAAAAACTTCAGCTTTCTACTATCAGTTTTTATGCTGGAAATACTGCCGTGAAATTTATGATTAAGAGTTTTAAGTAAAAACCTCTTCAAATTCTTGATAGCGCTCATCAGTGAAACTCTGCATCAGTAGGTGACCAAGTGTTTAACCATTTTTCTTCACAACCTTTGAGATTTTCTAAAAGTTAAAATTACAGTTAACATCACTTATTTTCTTTCATTGACAAATGTAAAGTTGAAATTTTGTGGTAAATTCATTTCAAATCCAATGGAACTTTTTTATATTCAGTATTTCAAAGCAATAATGAAGTTCTTATGAGCAGATCATCCACACATGGTTGGAAGAGTCATCTGGAGTTGCCCAGGCAACACTAAAAGGATTTCAGCTGCAAATGGCTAGCCTACATTTGAAGACGGATTTGTCCCCCACCCCACTACCCTCCGGCCCAGTTGCAAATAAAAGCATAAAGAATAATTCACCAACCCTCTCTGGGCACACCATCCAGCTTCAGTAATTAACATTTGACAATCTTTTTTTTCTTTTTTTTTTTTTTGAGATGGAGTCTCGCTCTGTGGCCCAGGCTGGAGTGCAGTGGCCTGATCTCAGCTCACTGCAACCTCTGCCTTCCAGTTCAAGTGATTCTCCTTCCTCAGGCTCCTGAGTAGTGGGGATTACAGGCGCATTCCACCATGCCTGGTTAATTTTTTGTATTTTTAGTAGAGATGGGGTTTCACCATGTTGGCCAAACTGGTCTCAAACTCCTGACCTCAAGAGATCCGCCCGCCTCAGCCTCCCAAAGTGCTGGGATTACAGGTGTGAGTCACTGCGCCCAACCAAGACAATCTCAATACATCTATTCTTGCCCCATGTTTAAAAATACTAACCAGAGTAGTATGAATCAAGAACCAGACATCGTGTCATTTTATTCAGAAATACTTCAGTATGTAAAAACACCTCATCATTAGTACACCTGACAAAAGTCAACATAATTCCCTTTATTAGGTGATATTCAAATGTATCTGTTGTTTCAAAAGAAGCATGTTAGTTGAATTATCTGAATCCAAAGTCCATTCATGGCATTTCATTGTTTCTTAAGTCTCCAAGTTCTTAAAAAATTTCCCACCCTTCTATCCCATTTCTTTCATGGAGAACTGGGGTATTTGCACTGTAGACTGTTCAACATGACATTCCAAATTTGCTGGGTTTTTCCTCTGGCTCCCACATTTCCTGAAATGGTTAGTTAGATCAAGAGGTTTGATGAGATTCAGGCTCAATTCTTTTTTAGGTGTGAAGCCCTCACAGCTGGTGCTGACTGGTTTCGGCTGCCTTGCATTAGGAAGCTTGTGTCTGTTGGTTCCACTTTGAGCGATGTCAAGACTAATTAGGAGGTTTACAGTTGACCATCTATTCCACCCACTATAAAGTTGCAATCAACTTTTCTCCTAATGGTCTAGCATCCCTTGATGGTTGTTGCCTAGATACAGGAGCTGCAAATGTCAATTTTTAAATCCTATTATTTCTTCCTTATTTATTTGCTGGAATGTTTCTGTAAATAGAAATTAACCTCATCAGCTCTGAAATACAGATTGTACGGAAAGGCAGATACATATTTGATTTTTCCCCTTTCTTTGTTGTTTTTCATAGTGTTGAGTTGTCCTAGCACCCTCCCGGGATGATCAATGGGGTTTAAAAATTTCTTTTAACTATCATTATAAGCTCATGTTTTGTGCTTCAGTCCATTGTAGTCCATGACACTGGTGCTTGAATTGTCCCATTTTAAGCCAGAGGGAACCTCCTCAAGTTGGTTTCTGAGTGCTTATTGACAAGGCCTTAGTGGTTTTTATGGTTTGTCTTTTGCTTTTTAGCACAGCAAGGCATCCCAGGATTACCTTGGATATGTCCTGCCCCAGAGATCAGCCATTTTGTCAAAGATCCCCAGTTTCTTCTAGTGAATTTACATTCTTTTTACAGTCCCCCCACTTTCTATTATATTTGGATTATTAATAATGGCTATTTAAATTTTCTATATTCTCATTATTTGTTTATCTGATATGTCCTTTTCTGGGTTAAAAATTCCATTATGCTTATGATCTTATCCATTTTCATTTATTGTTCTAAGAGATTTTACTAAGATGAAAATAATTTTGGAAGTGCAAAGAGCACATGCAAGAAATGTTCAGGAAAATATGGGTTAAATGGTTGATTTTTCAGGGAAAAGCTGTTTTTTGAGAGGTTGGGGGTGGGTAGAAGACTTGAGGATGGTGATGCTTGATTGTGGGGACCATTCATCTTGCAAGAATTCAATTAAAATTTGAAAACACTGAAAAATTGTAAACAGGACTTTCCATTGAATACTGTTGAGGAAATGTACTTTGAGAGGTGAATGAAACCAGGTAGTGAGACTCGCTTGAGGGGTTGCACTAGGTCAAAGAATTAGTGAGGTGTTTTCCTACTAGCCACTTTCAATCTTTTACATAGGTTCTGTGCAACTCTCTTCCAATGCCCCAACTGCTACACAAACAACATCTTTCAGGATCTTGAATCCCCAGAGGAAATTCTATTTGATTACACCCAAATCACAGTGGGATCTTGCCCTAAGCATCAAAGAGTGCCAGCTTCTGAGATTTATATAAAGCCTTTCTCTGCCAACACTGGGCAAACATACTTCTGCCTGCAGAGACCTGGACAAACATCCAAGTTTGGAGATATGAGTGGAAAACAGGTAACAAAAACCAGCATCCCTTTATCTGACTCCCCTGTTGCCATTGGCCCACTCCATTTAGAATCTGAAACTATAATTTAGATGCAGTCTGGGGCTCAGAAGAAAGAAGTAGAGAGCAAACCAGCTATAGAGCAGGATAAAGAAGAGTAGTCCTGTGAGAATGGGGCAGATCTCCAGTGTTCCAGGCGGATGCTGATGGATTTGTTAGGGCTGGGGAGGTCCAGGAGGCCCACAAGATCCAAGAGCCTTCCTATCTGGCAAGGGTGGGAGGGTGGGGAAGTCCAGATGGGGCTTATATGCCTGTGGGCTCTGATTTCATATGAGCTCTCTGGGTGGGTGTTCTAGACGTGGAAGAATATATTTGACCATAAGAGTCTTGGGCCGGGATAGGGAGGAGCAACCTTGAGACCAGCATGGTGGTGGTGGCAGTAATTAGTAGGAGCATCCAAAGGGTTGAGTAGCCTGGACATCCACCCCCAACTGGAGAATTCCTCTCTGGTGCCAGCGTTAGCCTGGTGTCCTTGCTTCTCATTCAGATGGGGGCAGTGTTGGAGGCCTTGGAAGAGCTGCAGTCTCCAGAAGGCTCTTTCCTACATGTGTCTGCTCCTGAACTACAGCCCCTGGCTCAGCAGTGTACCTGGCTCAGCTGCTCCCCACCCAGCACAGGACTGCAATGGGCTGCCCACATAGCAGATACTCTGCTTGCTTTGGAAGACTGAGACGTTCCTCCCACCAGCCTCCCAGACCTCTGGCCCCCAGGGTTGGCCACTATTCCTGTTGACATCTTTCTGAGGATTTCCAGATGCACTCACAATCAGCAGACTCCAGGGATGCCTTACTTTAGTAGGGCCGAGTCAAAGCTGGACTTTCCTGTCATGGACCACGAAGACACTGGTCACCACAGTAAAAGTGACACTTAGATGAAAAATATTGGGAAAAAATTAACAGTATGTGGTTGATGAGAAAAATGTTCCCATTTAACAAGAGCAGGTTCCCAATGTAAATGAAAAAGATATAAACTGACAATTCACCAAAGAAATTTCCATATCCAAATTAAAAATAATTATTTTGTATTTTACATTTACATGCACAGATAGTATAGAATGGTCCCAACTTTATTTATTTATTTTTGAGATGGAGTCTCACTCCATTGCCCAGGCTGGAGTGCAGTGGTGCAATCTTGGTTTACTGCAACCTCCGCCTCCTGGGTTCAAGCAATTCTCCTGCCTCAGCCTCCCGGGTAGCTGGGATTACAGGCATGCACCACTACACCTGGCTAATTTTTTATTTTTACTTTTAGTAAAGACAGCATTTTGCCATGTTGGCCAGGCTGGTCTTGAACTCCTGACCTCAAATGATCTGCCTGCCTTGGCCTCCCAAAGTGCTAGGATTACAGGCATGAGCCACTGTACCTGGCCCCTAACTTTTAAATATATGCCTGTGAAATACATGCTTGGAACAAAGACTGGCAGGATAGTTGCCCAGTGGATACAAGATATATTCAGGGCAGGAATGAGAGATTTTGGGTGCTTTTAGTTTTTTCCTTTGTTCTCTATAATGAACATACATTCCTTTTCTAATTTGAAAAACTCCAACCCATGTTATTTCTTGATTTGTTATCTGTTGACTTAGACAAATTACCTTAAGACCTAGTGGCTCAAAACAATAAACATTCATTATCGCAGCTTCTGTGGGTCAGAAATTTGGGAGCAGCTTAGCTGGCAGTTCTGGTTTGAGATCTTTCATGAGCTGGCATTCAAGGCTGCTGCAGTCATTGAGGGGCTTGACTGGGGCTGGATGGTCTTCTTTCCAAGGTGGCTCACTCATATGACCAGCAAGTTGGTCCTAGCTGTGGGCAGGAGATGTCAGTTCCTTGCCACGTGGACCTCTCATAGGGCTGCTTTGAGTGTGCTGACATTGTAAGTGGCTCCCCCAGAGCAAGTTGTTCAAGAGAGGGGAATACACAAGGGTAGGTGAGGATTAGAGGGGGCCACCACACAGGTGTGGCTATCATATTTTTAAAAAGGCAATTCCTTCAATAAATGACTCTGGAATGGTGGTCTGTAAGATAGATAAAGTTAAACTGATCAGGCAGAGAGAGATTCTGATGAGGGAGTATATGATCACTTCAATTCAAATTGCATCATTTCTCTCTTAGGTCAGTTTCCCAAGAAGTCAAAGACAGGTTCAGTCTGTAAGTCGACCCTGTGTGGCATTAGAAAAGTTAAATTTTTTATGTGATTTAAATTTGTAATGGAAATTAGTTAATTAAGTTCATAAATGGAGCTAATTATTTGAGGGATTTAATCTGTTAAATGAAGAACTAGGGAGAGTGTTCTTATTCTATAAAAATCACTCGATTTGTGAGGAAAATGATAAGAGTTATAGTTGGAATTAAATTATTAAGACAAAACTAGATGTTTTTGATTTCCAATGTTAATATTTGGATGTTGGTGAAAACCAGTATTCACAAGCACGGATACTTCTCTGAGACAAAGAGCCTCAATTGGACCCTTTTAAATTTGGCCTCTGAGTATCTTGATCCCTAGTGATGGATAAGGGTATTCCAAGCATGGGATTTAAGTTTTAAAATTCTTTTAAAAATGACATTGAGTCTATTAGTCTTTGTAAATGATAGGCTCATATTTGAAAATATAGGTACAATCAAACATGTTTATATAAATATTTCTGAATACATTTCCCAAAATATAACACTAGTTATTTAAAGTTTTCTTCTTCTGAGTATCATTATGGACTCATTTTTTGAAGACTATTTTAATTAATTATGTTTTAAAATTTCTTTTGACATCCAAATTGTCCCATCTTTGTCAATGCAAGCTGCTTCTACCTGGCCTCTCTCTCTTTTTTTTTCTTTTTTTTTTTTTTTGAGATGGAGTTTTGCTCTTATTGCCCAGGCTGGAGTGCAATGGTGTGACCTCGGCTCACTGCAACCTCTACCTCCTGGGTTCAAGCGATTCTCCTGCCTCAGCCTCCCGAGTAGCTGGGATTACAGGTGCCTGCCTCCACACCAGGCTAAGTTTTTGTATTTTTAGGAGAGACAGGGTTTCACTCCTGACTCAGGTGATCCACCCGCCTCGGCCTCCCGAAGTGCTGGGATCACAGGCGTGAGCCACTGCGCCCGGCTGGCCTCTGTGTTCTTTTAGGCTACACTTTAGAAGCTAAGAAAGTATCTTCACTTTCTGATAATTAGATGTTCCAGGCTCACAAATTTCATCTGTTCCAAGGCAAAGACACAGCCACTTTTCAAGGATCCATGCTTCCTTCTGGTGCAGGCTGTGTTAGAGACCAACATCAGGGTCATGGGGATGTACCTCCTGACTCCAGATTGCTCTGCAGGAGCACTTATGCTAAGGCATCCCAATAAAACCCAGAAACCTAGTTTTTAAAATGGTTTTATATTGATGTTGTCAATTTAGTACTAATATGATTTTACATATTACCTGTGTTTGAGTCCCCATTTAAACCATACTTTTCCACCTCCAAAATTGTGTGAATTTTGCAATCATTTTCTCAACTGAAAATTGTGATTATGTTGCACATAATTTTTTTAATTGTCCACCAACAACACCAACAACAAAAAACTGAACAGTTGTACCATCTCTGAGGGCCTTTGGTATGGAACAGACAAAGTTGTAGTTGGACAAGTTTTTTTCATCGGGTTTCAGTTACACATGGTCAAGCCTAATTCTTACTAATTCAATAAGGTTAATGAATACAAAATCAATGTGAACAATTATTTCTGTCCTTTTTCACTGGCTGTAGAGTGTATTAGTTTTTAAAAAGATACCATGTATAATCAAAATGGAAGAAAAAGATAAATTATAATAAATCTAATGAAAGATGTTCAAGATCTGTATGAACATCCTAGAGTCTCACTTGTCAGCATGTGCACATGCCATATATGTGTATAGGATTGTTTATTTAGCATTATTTAATATTAAAAGACTGAAAAGAAGATATATATCAGTCAATCCCAGAGTACTGCTAAGTTAAAAAGTGGAGAATTAATTCAAGGGAATATCACAGGGCAGAGACTGATAGAGTTTTTCTGTAAGGGCTCGATAGTAAATATTTTAGACTTTGCCACAGCAAATCAACACTGCCACTGTGGCCCCAAAGTGGCCGAAGATAGTGTGTAAATACATGGATTTGGCTGTATCCCAATAAAACTCTTTACAAAAACAAGCAGTGAGTAGGATTTGGTGCTGCTCGGATTTGCCTACCCGTGTTCCAGATTGGTAAAAAAGAAAAAACTAGATTTCATGTATCGACAAAGACAAATGATTCAAATGATTTGAACGAGGAAAAGCTGTCGCAGAAGGAAAAGTAGAATGACACCATTGACATAAAGTATTAATTCAAGCAAAACACGCTATGTGTTTTTCAAGGGGTCATGTATATGTAGCAAAAGTCTTAACATACCCATTAGACAAGGAAAAGGGAAATAGAAAACTGATTTTCAAGCTTAAGGTGATTACAATTTAACCTTAGGTACATCAGCATCTTACACAGAGAAACAGAACCATTTTCCATTGTACATTAGCTCCTAAAAGGCTCCTGAAACCAATCATCCCTCTAAACTCACAGATCAGAGGCTGCTGCTTCCCCTTCCACACAGCTGAAGTCACTGGACCCAGCTTCAGGCTGAAACTGCCTTGGCTCCAGCTGAGAGCTGGCTGAAGGAGAAAAGTATTTAAGTACGTGAGCCCTACCCTCCAGGGACTTTAAAATGCTTGGCCTTAGCATTTTAAGGAACTGAGAGAGTGGACTTCGGGCTGCTGGCAGTGGGATTTCTGGCTTCAAAAGAGACTTCCAGGTGGGTAGCCTCTGTTCTCAGGCTGGAAGAACAGCCCTGCTCTCTGTCTCTGTATCTACTAACTGTCAGTCATGGTGCTGAACTGAGGGGCATGTTGAGACCAACCTACAGCACCCAGGACAAATGAGGCCCAGAAACCAGTCTTGTTTAGTTCATATTAGTTCAGCATCACATAAAATCAAGACAGTCTATGTACTTCTGTAGGTTCCTGGCTGCTTTTGGAGAAAGTGTGAAGCTGGCAGTGTCCATCCCCAGCACTTCCCAGTGGTCGGCGATAGGATGTGGCAGTAGCTGGTTTCCCCTGATAGAGCTGCAGCAAGGAAGCTGGCTTTCCTCCTGTGTTTTATCTTTTCTTTCCTCTATCTACTTCTCAACATAAAAACACAACTAAACCTGCTTCTAACTGAAGACTCTTCTTTTCTTCTTAAGGTTTTCAGTTACAGCTGTCCTAAGTTGAGGCCAAAGTGTGCCCACTTGTTTTGGACTCTGTGTTCACAAGTGCCTCTGTCTGGAATGCATTGCTTTACTAACAAAGGAGGTGGAAGAGGGATGTCTCTGACCACAAAAGAAAGACCTGAGTTGGCAATGGATTGAAGGGATTGTAAGAGTTATGTGCTGGTGCGTGTTCCTGGGGGACCCGGAGCTACTTCCTCCCTGTACATAACCCTACACCCTCTCTCTGAGGTGTAGGGTTATATTAGCAACCCCAGGTTCATATTCAGAGGGACCAGAGAACAAAGGTAACTGGCATATAGCTATGATGCTAGGCTAGGAAAGAGCCTCACGCACTTAGGGCAATGGTGGCAGAGTGGAAATGGTAGCAGGGCTCATGAAGGCCAAGAGAAGCCCTGATATAGTCCACTCCCCATCCCCTGCTATATCCCAGGGCTCCAGAGTGTCCCAGGAGAACATGAGAAAACTCATCATTGCTTTGGAATGGTGACTCTTCCCATAAAGAGAATTGGTAGGCAGGAATGGCTCACTGGTGGAAGATGAATAGAGACTTGGAGACAGGAGCAGGAGATAGGCTGTGAATGCTTCAGCAATGATGGGAGTGGGTGCAGACTAACAAACTCCAGCAAAGCTGCACTCCTCCGAAGCCAGCCTGAGTGGTTGATGATAGTGGCCCAGGTGCTGCTTCTCCCAAACCAGAATGCCTAACCTCCCCTAGGAGCTTAAATTATTCTCAGGGAGTAAAGAAGAGCAGGGAAAAGGGAAGAAGTAAAATATCCTGAAGCTACTTAAGAGACAAAGAGAAACAGTCCCAGGAAGGAAGTAACAAGACTTGACTTGAATCAGATTTTCTGCTGAAGGCAAAAACTGGAGTTTTAGAGATAAGAGCAGAAAGGTAGTAATGCTCTTTCTTTCTTTTTTGTTTGAGACGGAGTCTCGCTCTGTCGCCCAGTCTGGAGTGCAGTGGTGCGATCTTGGCTCACTGCAACCTCTGCCTTCTGGTTTCAAGTGATTCTCCTGCCTCAGCCTCCCGAGTAGCTGGGACTACAGGCGAGTGCCACCACACTTGGCTGATTTTTTTTTTTTTTTTTTGTAATTTTAGTAGAGACGGGGTTTCACCGTGTTAGCCAGGATGGTGTCTCAATCTCCTGACCTCGTGATCCGCCCGCCTCGGCCTCCCAAAGTGCTGGGATTACAGGTGTGAGCCACTGTGCCCAGCCAGTAATGCCCTTTCAAATCTAATGTGATATCACTTAAACTCAGTGCACCTGTATTGAGATCTCATGAAGAACTTGTTTCACAGCAATGCTATACCTTAAAACGCCCATCAAGCTCATCTGAGGATAGACTTATACTACCTCCTTGCAAGGTTTCTTGACCTTATGAGCTGGATGATTCTGTTTGGGGCAGGGCTGTCCTGTGCAATGTAGGGTGTTCAGCAGCATCCCTTGCTTTTACCTGCCAGATACCAGTAGCACCCACCTCCTAGTTAGGACAGCCAAAAATGTCTTCACACATTGCCAAATGTCCCCTTGCAGTACAAGACCTACCTCCCCACCCCAGTTGAGAGTCGTTGTGCTAAGGCTATCTCCTCTCCTGTGTGTAGGATCCTGGGGCATAAATTAAAACACGTGGAGGTAACCTCCCGGGCATAGCTAGCAACTCCAGCTGCGCTCAATTCCCTTCCTATCCAGAGGATTCCAGGGAAGCAGGAGCCTTGGCTGGGCAGGACCCAGATTTGCCCACCAAATGCAGAGGAGAATGGCTGGAGGGAACCAGCAAGTTCAGATGACCAGCAGCTCTAAAAGACAAAAGGACTAAGGACATCTCCAAAGAGTTAGTATAATAAGATGAAGTATGACTGCGTACTGTTAAATAGGCACTTGATAAGCTTCACTATCTTGGGATATGGGGTTTACATGCCTCGAGAATGAGGTTAGTCTTTGGTAGGAGACTTAAAGATACTTCATAGTGGGTGGGTCTGTTATGAATGTCATTGAACCTTAGTCACTCAACATGTATAGGTTGTTTTCAGGAAAAACCATCTTGGAGTGACAACTGTACCTGGAACTTAAACTGTTATGGTGGAATTGGTAATGGTGACAAAAGCCTATGTTTCTTCCAAATCCTAAGTGTCTTCAAACTCTACCACAACTTTGATCTTTTGAGAGCTTTTCAAGAAAAATGGATGAAACACAGGCTTGAGCCTAGACCCCAATTAAAATGTCAGGTTATTTATTTATTTATTTATTTTACATAACCAAACAACCAAATCCACTTTTGCTAACCCTGTATCCTAGCCCTATGGTGCTCTGGTTTCTTCTCTCATCAAACCAGGTTTTCCTGACATACCCCTGACTTCAAAGGCTTCATATCTGTTTTTGAGGAAATTAATACCTGTGAGGACTAGGACTCTGAAGACTGAGGCAAAATCTTCATGTTGAAGGGATGGGAAAAGAACAGTCCTGTCAGAACAAGGTAGGATCCCAGGTTCTTGCCATTAGAGGCTGGGGAAGGGAAACATCTAGGAGAGTAGAACAGATAATTCTTTTCTCCATTTGTTGTATAAACTTGGTCCCACTCCCAGCATTGAGCAAGGCAGAGTTAAACCATCAGAAAATAATTACCTATGCAGGAAGTCAGTCCTGTCAGAACAGCATGACAGCTGCTGGTGGTCAAGTCGAGTTCTGGATTTTAGCCACCCAGCCTGAGGGTCTGTGTCCGAGAACACAGCAAGATTTGGGAGATGGAGCACAAGGAATAGGAGGGCAATGTCCCTTAATTGCAGGGACAACTCATCTTACCAGAATTAGATTAAGTCATTGAAAACTAGGTTGTCTTCCTGAATATTCTTGGAAGTCTATCTTGATAGGTGTCAAATCAGACATACTAGCAGCTCCTTTGAATGATCGGGGATTGGGGTTCTCTAAGCTTCAAATCCCCTCAGCTGTGCCAGAGCTACCCTACTCAAGGCTGCGCCTCATTGCGATGAGACTTGCACAAGGGAGGCTGGGGGTGGGGGAAATGGATTCAAACACGAAGCTTGTGCCACCTACCAGGCAGTAAGTCAGTCGTTTTTTCTCTGACGAGGGGTTTCCTGTCTCGGCATCTATAAAACTGTGGCAGGATAACTTGTTAGCTTGAAAATAGGGTAAAATCTTGACTCTTGATGGTTCTTAAGTTTTGGTGATGAGAATGGGACACAAACCTGGATTTCTGCAAGAGAAAGGACAAAGATCCTTTGCAGGCTGGGTCAGGGGAGATGAGAAGCAAGTCCCTTGAGACCCTGTGTCTGGTAGTGAACGCTGCTGCCCAAGTGTGAGGGTAAGTCTTCACTGTCCTGTTAATGAGACTAAGGGGTTGAGACTAGGATTGAAACAAGCAGCCCCAATAGTGCTTTTAGTCATTTGCTTTCTTCCTAGTGGGGAGAAGGAAGGTCAAGGAGTCACTAAAGCTGACACAGGGTGTTGGGTGAACGAAACTGGTTGAGCCATGAGCAGCTGTTTAGAGACTGACAGTAATGGGCCTGGCTTACTGGTGTAAGTTACAATGCCTTATTGGACTCCTTGGACATTGGAAACAGAACAGGTCTGACTTTTGTCAACTGGGGCCTCTGGCAAAGGGAGTCAGCCTCCCACCTGGAGGTGCCATTGGTGTCCTGGAGTTGTGGCCCCTCTGACAGGGCTACCCAGGTAGACCTCTTTTGGAAAGTAGCTCTTGGCTTCTTGAGTTCCCATTGAAATGAAACACCTCATCTCTAGAGGCTTTGTGACTTAGTCCTGAAATTATCATTTTGGGATGGGTCAGTTTGCACTCAAAGACTAACAAGGTAGAAAGCACCCCAAAAGCCTTGCTTAGAAATAGCCGTGACATAGCCAAGAACGAAACAGTCTTTGCCCAGTGGTATCTTGGCTTTATGCGGAAAAGTAGCTGTAATTCCTATGGAGAAACTGCATTCTACCTACTCTGCTACTGGGGAGGAAAAGCCACTGGCCCAAGATGCCCTCCTTTGTACTTGCCTGAGCCTGCCTCAGTGAGGGTCTGGCTGAGTTGAAACCTCAGTGTCCACTGGGCTGATGCAAGTCCTCAGCCTCAGAGCCAGCCCTGCAGAGCTAAGAGTGAATGTGGTTGCCCTACTCAGAGCAGAATTCAAACTGCTGGGCTGTTAATGGCCTGTTTGCCAGTTCATGTTCTAAGTGGAAGAAACAGATCAAATAGTCCTCTCAAACTGGAAACTATCTGGCTCACTCCCTCAGATACCCATGGCAAAGGCTGGTTCTGAAACTAACTAGAATCAAGCTGCTGATTGAACTGAACTGTGTTTTGATGCAGAGGCTACTGTTGCACACCAAACTTCTGACTCCTGCCACAAGCTCATGCAATATCACAAAAGGTAGTTCCCTTTTCCCTGCCTGGAAGATTGACTTTATCAGCTCTGACCCCCTTCTAAGACTGTTTCTCCATAGATTCTTCCTCAGGTTATTTATGAGCTTATTTTCCCTAAGCCAAAAAGGAGGCCTTGGGGACTCAAACCTGTTAAATCTTAGTGTCCTATCCCTTTCACCTGATCTACAGAAGGTCTGGGTGTGAGCAGGGAATGGTTGGATAATAGCTGGAGTTGTAGCTCCTGGAATGGGACATCAATTTTGTGGAGATGATGGAAGAGCAACAAACAAGCCAGCATCTGCTGAGGTGACCTGTCTTACACCCTAGGAGGTGAGAAAGAAAGAGGGGCATTAGTGATACCCCTCTCAGAACTGTGCTAGAGTCTTGGTACAGAAAGGAAAACTCATGGCATGTCTCTCAAACTATAGCAATCTGACTGCTGGGTCTGCCATCCTCAGCCAGACAGCTGACTGTTTAAACGTCTGTCTTGCCCCATCCTCTAGATGATGCATTTGTTGGTCGTGATGGCTTCATCCACAAAGTGGCACTTACCTTTGATAAACACTGGGAACATTGAAGTTCATGTTGAACAATGAACGTTGGGTCATTGAACAATGACCCCTGCTCTCAGAACTGCCCTGAAGTTTTGATACAGAAGGAAACTCCATGACATGTCCCTCAAACCACAGCAATCTGACTGCTGGGACTGCCATTCTCAGCCAGACAGTTGACCTATTTTGTGAAGTGGATAAATGCAACCCAGCTGGCATTATCAGCAATCTAGACTGACTCTCCTCAGGCAGACCCCCTGAGTAGATGGAACCGGGAATTTTCAGGCTTACCAGCTGGCTGGGAGTCTATGCTGGAGCCACTGTCAACCTATGCTAAGTGGTATAGATCTCACTTTGGGTAAGGCAAAATAAACGCTGTGTCCAGGGATGCTCTGTTCCACATCACTGTAGCTTCTACTTAAGCTGTACATCAAGCTGGACATCAGTTTGCCTCTTTCCTAAAACAATTGACTTAGACCCTAGTGGTGGTCACAGGAGACCTGGAAGTGTTTAGGGAAACACTACCTGGGTCCTGACAGAGCAGCCCAGCCTAATTCACTGGCCAGGATTGTTATGGTTGTGACTCACCCTAGACCTCTTCCTTGTGTGCCAAGGTGCAGTCTGTGCAATTGCTAATACATCTTGTTCCACCTGGGTTAATGCTTTGGGTTAATACAGAAACTTAAGGAGCAAGCTACTTGGCTTTCTAAGGTAGATGTTGATGATTTGAAATCTGTTCAGCTGGAACCCTGGGGGTTATAGCTAAGCTCAATATTACAGGTTGGTCTAATTCTGGTGCTTAGAGTACAAACTAGAATTTTTGTCTTGGCTCATGTTGGCCATATTAGTCATACTGGTTGAATGGCATGCTCATGGAAAAAAATCTGCCAGAAGCCAGGACCCTATAGAAACAAGAGAATGATGCTATTGCAGGGCAATCCTCAAAGGCGTTTCTACATATCTTGTGATGACTTATGTCCTGGACCAGCTTACTAAGGACTCTTGTATGGCAAACCAGCAGGGAGGGTAGAGATGCTGTCTCTCTGGGGCAGAGGACAGACTAGCTTCCTGACCAGAATAATAAAGATAACGGCTTACCACTGTCACTTGGCTGTCCAATAGTCACTTCAAACTTAACGTCTAAATCTGAACTCGATCTTTCCAAAAAAACTGCAACTCTTAGTTTTCAACTAATGTTCACTTTTTTCTGTTGCTTGGGCCAGAAATCTAACATGTCATTCCTTCATTTTGAAATCCTGTTGGCTGTATCTCAATATATGCAGAAACTTGTCACTTCTCACCATCTCTATTCCCATGCTGGTGTCAGTCTAGGCCATCTCTGGTCTAGGCTTGCAGCAGAAGCAGGGCTTAAGTGCATTCCTGGCCCATCCATGCAGATGTCCCCTTTGCCCTGGTTCTCTCCTGGGCTGGAGGCTCTGCAGAGTGCTGTGCTGGAATTCTCTGTACTTCTTAGCTTTCCCTTCCCCTTGGCTGCTGCACTTCCAGCTTTCTCTGCTTTGCTAACTCAGCCCTAGCACACCTGCTTGCCACCAGTCAAAATGGCATTCCTCCTCCTCTGCTGTTTCCCCTTTCACACTTTTTGTCTTTGAATGCTACTTCTGCCCCCTTGATTTCTACCCCCTCCCAACCTTTCAGTTCATGGGGTTTTAATGGGGTTTCAGGAGGGAGCACAGATAACCATATGCCCAACGTTCCATGTTTAACTGAGCACAAGAGGTAATTTCTTAAATATAACCAGCCTTACAGACCATATAGCTACCATATATCCCTCAAACCATAGGAATCTGATTGGTGGGTCCCTTAACATTAGCTCCAAACAACATCTTATGTGTAAGTGTATTACTTCATAAGCTATGCCTTGAAAGTATTAGGGATATTGCTAGCATTGCTAGAATGTTAAGTTTTAAAATCGTTAAATACATTCGGCAGGTAGCCTGAGGAAATTTGGAACATTGCCTGGAAGATGGAGGTAATGTCACTAGTGCAGGGAATACCTAAGAATTGTTTAGATGTAAGAACTCAATTTATTGGCAAACTTGTGCTTTGTCCTATTTGCACATCCTGATAATGTGTTTTCTGTAAGTTTTAATGTATTATTGAACACCAAGAGCATGATTTCCTACTACATGTAGTGTGTTGAAGTTGCATATTACAAAAAAGGGTCTCTATGTTAGGCACGATGGTTCATGCCTATAATCCTAGCTATTTGGGAGGCTGAGGTTGGCAGATTGCTTGAGGGCAGGAGTTTGAGACCAGCTTGGGCAACAAGGCAAGACCCGGTCTTTTTAAAAAAAAAAAAAAAAGCTGGCATGGTGGCACACATCTGTAATCGCAGCCCTTTGGGAGGTTGAGGCAGGCAGATCGCTTAAGTCCAGGAGTTCAAGACCAGCCTGGACAACATGGCAAAACCCTGTTTTTTTTTAAAAAAAAAAGTATACAAAAATTAGCTTGCCATGGTGGAGCATGCTTGTAGTTCTACTCTGGAGACTGAGGTGGGAAGGTGGCTTGAGCCCAGGGACTCGAGGCTGTGGTGAGCTATTATCATACAGCTATACTCCAGCCTGGGTGACAGAGTGAGACTCCATCCCTCCTGTACCCCCAAAAAGTCCCCACCCCTAACCCCCAGAAGTCCACTTTAATACAGTTCAATGTGTATGAACATGAAATAGCTAATACCTTTTCAAAACAGCTCCTTGCCTCATCTTAGGTCACTTTGTAACTTATAGCTAGTGCATTAAACAGAAATGTAGATGTTTGAGAGTGGAACAGTAGCTCCTAGATCTAAAAATTGTAGCACTTCTAAATTAACAAGCGAAAAAATATCAGATCAGCCGCTCTAAGGAACAAAGTAAATTCAGCAAAAATAAATAGGACATACAAGTAGCTAAATGGAAGCTAGATGAATTTTGCCTATTACCAAGTGGACTGTCAGCATGGATTAAAGAGCACAACTGTATTTTTAGATTAAGGGAAGGCAGAGATGAAAAAACAGGTGGGGTGATGTCATTGGACAAATGGGAATTTAAGAAAGGTTGAGACTATTAAAGCAGGAACAGGACAAACTGGGATTTTATATACTGTAATCGTGACTTAAATTGGAAATATGGTAGTCAAACTTGATCTACCTCTACCCAACTGTAAAAGCAAAAAAACCTCACAAAAAAAAAATGAAATTTGATAAGAACAATCTTAGTGGGGCTGTTGAAAATACCTCTTAACAATGACCAGACTATCTAGTAGGCAAAACAAAGTATATGAATAAAACAACTATGCAAAGAACATACTTTCTGCGGAATATGTAGGATATATATTTGTCCACTTAAAATTTTCAAGGGTCTTTTCTGATCAATAAAACTAGAAATGAAGTAAAGATAAATTCTTAGTTTGAATTGAGAAATTATGAGATTAGATACCTAGATTCAATAAGAAATCAAGATAAACCATAACAATGAAAAGGGAACATTTTGTACCAAAAATAATGGGACACAATTTACGCTGAAATCTGAGGGCATGTGTTTGCATATTTTTAAGACTGAAAAATGAGCTGGATGCTAATTTCAGTAGTTTGGTAAGAGGATGAGACACTTATAATAAGTAATGTTTGTTGAACATATACAAATGCCAGGCACGGTTTTACATGCAGTAGTCCTTCCAATGAATTAGGTGCTCTCATCCCATTTTACAGAGAAAACAGAGGCAGAAGAGGATTGGTCATTGTTCTAGATCACACAGCCTGACACTGACAAGGCTGGGATTCCAGTGTAGGGAACTTGGCTCCAAGCCCATGACCTTGACCACCATGCTAGACTTTTTCCTTCATGTTGAAGCTGAATGAACTAGAAAGAGCAAAGTTTAAAAGGACCTGGCTCTTTGGAAACTGAAATATATAAATCCCTGGTAAAGTTGATTCAGATAGCAGGAGAGTGAAAATATGATTGAGAACGAGAAAGGCAAACCAATAACATAATTAGAAGAGATTACAAAATACACAAGAACATTGGGTGTAACTCATTGGCAATGCGAAAACCTAAAGAATTTCACTTCCCTAGCAAAACATGAGTGTCCAAGATTGACTTCATGTACTTGGCAGGACAGGCTGTGTTATATTGTAACAACCTTGAAATTTCAGCGGCTTGACACCACGAAGATTTCTTTCACAGATTAAACTGGACAAATAGGAATTTATTTGTCCTATATGTTCTTCATAGGCTAGCTGAGGACTCTGGGCCTTAGGTCATTGTCCTCTAGGACCAGGCAGGTGGAGTGACCATTGTGAGCTGGTGATGTGGCAGAGGGTAGAATGGATAAATTGCATACTGGCTTTCAAAACTACTGCCGAGGAGTGACATCTATCACTTCTGCTACCAGCCAGACAAGTCACTTGGTGTCACACAACTTCAAGGGGATGGCATAGGGAGAGCAATTCTCCAGAATTGCTGGTTCCCCAGGGGGGAGCCAGAAATAAAGCCACAGAATGTTGTCTTAGTAGAACGTCTTCTAATTTTTATTTTAGTTATTTGTTTTGAGATGGAGTTTTGTTCTTGCTGCCCAGGCTGGAGTACAATAGTGTGATCTTGGCTCACTGCAACCTCCGCCTCCTGGGTTCAAGAGATTCTCCTGCTTCAGCCTCCTGAGTAGCTGGGATTACAGGCACCTGCCACCATACCCGGCTAATTTTTTTTTTTTTTTTTTTTTTTTTTTGAGACAGAGTCTCGCTCTGTCGCCCATGCTGGAGTGCAGTGGCGCAATCTTGGCTCACTGCAAGCTCCACCTCCTGGGTTTATGCCATTTTCCTGCCTCAGCCTCCCGAGTAGCTGGGACTACAGGCGCCCGCCACCACGCCTGGCTAATTTTTTGTATTTTTAGTAGAGATGGGTTTCACAGTTTTGGCCAGGCTGGTCTCGAACTCCTGAACTCAGGTGATCCACTTGCCTCAGCCTCCCAAAGTGTTAGGATTACAGGCGTGAGCCACCACACCTGGCCTAATTTTTAATACCCACATTATCACAGAATATTTGTATCTCAATATTTTTTGGGCAGTTTGGGAAAAATTTGCTTACATTTAAAAACTTAGTGCAACATTTTAAACAATCTGTGGGGAAAGTTCATGTTACATTCCATGTAAAGGTAGAACTTCAGAATCCTCAACAAAAGTGATAGGTGTCTCTGATGCACCAAGAAAAGCACCACAGGTTTACTGAATGCAAAGCAACTGTATTAATTTTTGGTGATGAAGAAATAATGTTTTAAGCTTTTTATGTGCCAACATTACAGTTTGCTATTTTCATACAGGCACTTAATGTGTTTTACTTAGATTTTAGGAAATTGTTGGGAAGTTTTGGGTTCTCTGTAACACATTACAGTTTTTCCCTTTTAAAATACCAAGTGCAAGCCAGGCATGGTAGCTCAAGTCTGCAGTCCCAGCCACTTGGGAGGCTGAGGCAGGAGGATCATTTGAGCCCAGGAATTCGAGGCTAGCCTGGGCTAAAAATAATACCAAATGTTGAAGGAACTGGAACTCTCCTACACTGCTGATGGAGATGTAAAATGGTACAACTCTACAAAAGTTTGTCAGGTTCTTAAAATGTTAAATATCTACTATATGACCCAGCTGTTCCATTCCCAGAGAAAAATGAGAAATGTACATGACTGTTCATAATACCTTTATTTGTAATAGCCAAGAATGGGAAATAATCCAAATGTCTATCCGTGGGTGAATGGATAAACAATTTGTGAGATATGCATACAATGGAACATTACTCAGCAATGAAAAGGAAGAATGGACTATTGACACACATGACTTCGGTGAATCTCGGGATAATTATGCTGAGTGAAAGTAGTCAGACTCCCCCTGCCCAAAGGAAAAGAGTACACACTGATGATTGTGTTTATAGAAATCTCTAGAAAATGCAAACCATAGTGACAGAAAGGGTTTGGGTGGCACTGCGGGAGGGTGAGATCACAAAGGAACATGGGAAAACTTGAGGGAAACAGATATTCTCACTGTTGACCGTGGTGATGGTTTCAGGGGTCTATCCATATCAAAACTGTTCTGATGTGAAGCAGGAAATGGCTATGTTTGGAAGGTAGAGCTAATGACACCTCACACTGCATTGACTCACAGGCCTTGGAGATGCTGGGATGAGGCCCTGGGCTGTTACGGTGCATGCTCCCTTAATTCCTAAAGGCATTGAGGTTGGCCTCTACTGAAGCTGAGTGTAAGTGAAGGCTCCAAAATAATTCCAAGGCCAAGATTCTGGAGATACCTAGATGGGCCCTGGGCTCTGGCAGGAAAAGGGACTAAGAAATCCTTAGTTTCCAAACAGTTTTTGGGGGATTGCCCTTAACCTGCGGGCAGCAGGGAGCAACAAACCACCCACTGGCTACAGGTTCTGCCAACAAAGGGCCGCTAGCAGCCCCTAATTCCAAGATGTGCAATCCCTACGAGCACCTGGATGAGACCAGAGAGGTCTGGGGCTCCCCAGCCAACCCCAAGATTCTAAAAACATCTGTACCAGCCCCTACCTTAGTGAGGCTGCTGTAGCCTCACCCTTCCCCAATCTCCCTACAGCCCTTTTGAGCTGCCTTCCCCCCCCATGCTCCTCGGCGACCTGGCTTCTCAGATCTGCAGAGAATGGGAGGAAGCCAGCGTGATCCCCAGACCTTTTGGAAGAGGCCTCGGCCTGGGCTCCGGAGGACACCTGGCTCTTTCTGAACTGCGCCCGGGCGGCAGCGGCTGGCAGAGCCTGAGATGCGCGCAAACGGCCACCGGGGGCGCCAGGTATCTGCCCACTCGCAGGGTACCTCTCTCCTGCAGGTGAGACGAGCCAGAGCAGGGCGTTGGAGAGGCCCTGCGAGCCGGCCAAGGCATTCTCTAGGGCTCCTCTGGACACCGGGGCGGATCTGAAGGGACCAATCCACGATCCCCGCACCCAGTGGCCACCTCCCTCATCTCTAAGTTCTGAGGGGGAAAGGAAAGGGAGAGGAAAGGAGGCAAGGAGGGCGAGAAACTGAGTCATAAGACTTTGGGAGACTCCTTCCAAGGTGTCCAAACCTTTGTTGGACTGCCCCGGGTACCCCCTCTACAGAGCACTGTATCTGGACTCCAGTCCTAGGGATTCTAGTTACCATCCTTAACTGTTTTTCATCTTTGGCTGCAGTTTCAAATAACTGCTTTGAAAAGTCCTCATGCCCAGAACATTGGGAACTTACCCTCATTTTTTACTGGTCAAAGCAAGTCACAGAGCAACGTGAGCTTTCAGTGTGCCTAGGAGGACCATGAGTCTTTGGTGGTGTTACAAGAAATACTTGGGACCGTAACGTCCCCCCTACCCCCCAAACTGAGAAGGAGCTGAGAGACCAGAGAATGACTGTGCCAAGTCCACCTAGAGGAGTAGATGAGTTTATTAGGACTTACGTACAGGACACTCCTGGACCGCGGCAGGACAGCTCTAGAGATCTGCACAGCATCCAGTCTCTAAACTGCTTTTAAGCGAATTTTCTGGCTCTTTGCTTACTGTGTTTGAGTGATGAGGTTGTTTTTCTTGGTAGGTTCTCAGATACTCTCCAGGATGTTTGGGTTCTCAGGGCCACCTGCTCCTCCGCTGGGCACCATGGCCTCGGCTCACCTACCAGCCTTCAGGGTTCAGGCATTGGACGTACAATCTTAAGTAACCTGATGGGGAAACCCTCACGCTGCAGGTAGACAGCACAATAACCACAGTCCAGGAGAAATAGGACACGGGAAAAAAAGTTACCAAAGATAATGGCCTGGCAGTTTTACAGATACATTCTCTGTAATTTGAATCATAATCTATAAAATAGCTCATCCCAAAGCCATTTGAATTATTTTCAGATGGAATGTTCTCATATATTTTATGAATTAAGCATTATCATAAAAATGTGTATGAATTATATAGAAATATACCATGGTGAGTCTCACAATTATGAAACTAGATATAAAAATTACAATTATGAGCAAACTGAAAAAATGTATTAATGGAATAATAATAGCAAGCTCATTAAATAGTGCTTACTATGTGTCAGGCACTATTCCAAGTGCTTTGCAATATTTAATCTCTGCACAATCCATTAGGTATTATTTTTATTCCCATTTTACAGATGTGAAAGAAATAGATGGATCTTTATTATACTCCTTGCTTTAGAGCTAAGATGAAAAAGTACAGTGAAGATGCATGGAGAGCAGCAACTCAATGGTGGGGAGATATCTTTTCCTGGCTTTAAAGAATGTGAAGATGCAGGCATAGCTGTCAGTTTGGGGAAGAGGTATAGCAATATGTGTTTCATACAAGATGACCACTAACGTGGTTATCCCCTTGTTCTTGTTGAGCAAAGTCTCATATCTTTATCTGCTGCAAGAGCCTGTGAGTTGATTGGGAAACTGATTTGAGGGAATGGAAATGAGTAACATGTAGGTAAAGACTCCTCACATGCTCAGTCCTTTTCTTCTGAACCTTGCAAATCTACTCTTTCATTTCTATCTGCATAGAGATCTCTGATGCCCTTCACCCTTGCTACCCCACCCTGACTGAACTCAGAAGACTGAGTCATATTCCAGAAACACCCATTTCCCTTTATCTGGCCAGTTATGTGTCTACCATTTCATTAGCATCTTGAATCCCAACTTTTATCAAGACCCCCTGGGAGGCGGGACAGAATGGAGAATGAGGTATGTAGCATTGTGGCCAGGGTTGTAGAAGGTAGGGAAGCAGGGTCATGGCCCCCAGTTCTTCTCTTGGAGGCCGATTGCTAGGCCTGCTCTTGTATGTGTAAGGGATAACTGGGCCCCTGCCCCAAGAGCCCAGTGTTTTATGAAGCCACCTTCTTGGAGTTCTCTCCATGCCACCAGTGGACAAAATCTGAAAGGGCCCACATTCAGTGTGAACTGAGACACCCTCCTGAAGATATTAGGACAAGAAAAGGAGAAAGAGAATGGATTTTCTACTCTTGCCTATGCACGTCATGGAAGCCCACTTTTTTTTTTTTTTTTTTTTTTTTTGAGACAGAGTCTCTCTCTGTTGCCCAGGCTGGCGTGCAGTGGCATGACCATAGTTCACTGCAACCTCTGCCTCTGGGTTCAAGTGATTCTCCTGCTTCAGCCTCCCGAGTAGCTTGGACTACAGGCACATACCACGCTTGGCTAATTTTTGTATTTTTAGTAGAGACGGGGTTTTACCACATTGGCCAGGTTGGTATTGAACACCTGACCCCAGGTGATCTGCCAACCTCGGCCTCCCAAAGTGCTGGGATTACAGACATGGGCCACCATACCCGGCCGGAAGCCCACTTATTAAAGCAACAAATACTGAGTGCCTGTGTCACGCTTGGTATTGTTTCCAGTGCTGATACCACAGTGAACAAATAAAACTCTTGACTTTGTTGCACTTAGAGGGAGTGGGTACAGGCAACAAACAAGTATGAGGGGCCAGTCAAGGAGGCTGGGGAAAGAGTACTCCTTTATTCTTGGGGTTTCGGGGGCTACCCTCTTTGAGGTGACCCCTAGGGGCCAGAAGGTTATGAGGGAGTGCATCGTGCAGACATCTGGGGGATGAGTATTTCTGACAAAGGGAACTGCAAGGAGAAGAGTGTAGAGGTGGAATTGTTCTTGGGTTTTTGAGGAAAACTGTGTGCAGTGCTAATGCAGGTTTAACAGGAACATGGGAAAATGAAGGTAGTTGTGTTAGGCTGTGGGAATCCAGGCAGCTGGGTAATGGCTCTTGGTACTGCTGACCAGGTCGGATGTGCAGCACCAGGCTTTCCAATCAACCCGACACTCCACTTCTCTCTTCACCAAGTGGTTATGCAGTAATTATCTCTTGTTCTAATAACCAAAAACAGAGCCATCATAAACATTTTGAAACCAGTGGAACAATATTCCTGAAATACTGATTTTCAAGAACAACAGCTAGTATTATGATGGGCCTGTTTCCAGGAACAGACAGTTTCAATGAAAGTTCTGTCTTGGGATAAGAGCACTGAATGACAAAAAGTCCTCTATGCCAAGAATAGAAATTTGGAGTCTTCATTGTTGTCCTTGAATTCCTGAAATAACCTCAGAATGTCCTGATTTGATATTTACTCTGGAAGTGTATTTGACATTTATCTAATTTTCTTCCATTTGGGCTTAAATTATTCATAATGTTTAAAGAGGAGCAGTAACAGGACTACTTCAAAATAGCTCCTTAACCACACAGTTGTATAATTTCATGCCCATTTTATTAAAGGCATTCTAAGTGGTTCATTTTGACAAACGTGTTTATTTGGGGGGAAATGCAGCACAAAACAACTACAGTAAATAACGGTTGGAATGGCCAGGTGCGGTGGCTCATGCCTGTAATCACAGTACTTTGTGAGGCTGAGGTGGGTGAATCACTTGAGCCCAGGAGTTTGGGACCAGCTTGGGCAATATGGTGAAACCCCATCTCTACTAAAATACAAACATTAGCTGGGTGTGGTGGTGCATGCCTGTAGTCCCAGCTACTAGGGAGGCTGAGGTGGGAGGATCACCTGAGCCTGGGAGGTTGAGGCTGCAGGAAGCCATGATTGCACCACTGCACTCCAGCTTGGGTGACAGAGCAAGAGCCTATCTCGAAAAACAATAAAAAATAAAAAAATAACTGTTGGAGTAAAGGCTGATAGAAAGGGGGATCAGCAACAATTTTCTCCAAAGGGCTAGATAGAAAATATTTTAGGCTTTGAAGGCCAAGAGGCAATCAAGGGTATTATGTAGGTATTTATGTAACAACAGCAAAACACATTTCTACTTTTTTTTGGTGAAACTCAAAATATAATATTGCATACAATGATTTTGAAATACAGGTCTTTTAATGAGAATAAGGGAATTCTTTTTTGGCATAAGTTTGCTTAATTGAAGCTGAAAGTTAGTGTTTCTAGTATCACATCAATTGCAAATGTTCTTGGCTCATGGGCTATATGAAAACAGGCAGTGGGCTGGATTTGGCCTATGCGCCATAATTTTCTAACCCCTGGGATAGAAAATATGGTTTCAGTGTTTAGTCCTGGAGGTTCTAGCTAAAGTTATAAGGAAAAGAGAGAAAAAAGAGAGCATGAAGCATAAAGATTGGAAGAGATACAGTGACATCATTTGCAGATAATATGACTGTATACCTGTAAAACCAACAGAATCCATGAAGTATTAGAACTAATTTTATGAGAACTAATAAAAAATCTCATCAAAGTTGCTAGAGAGATCATCCTATAAAAATCAATAGCAGGCCAAGTGCAGTGGCTCACGCCTGTAATCCCAGCACTTTGGGAGGCCAAGGCAGGCGGATCACCTGAGGTCAGGCATTCAAGACCAGCCTGGCCAACATGGTGAAACTCTGTCTCTACTAAAAATACAAAAATTAGCCAGGCATGGTGGCACACACCTGTAATCCCAGCTACTCAGGAGGCTGAGGCAGGAGAATGGCAAGAACCCAGGAGGTGGAGCTTGCAGTGAGCTGAGATCACACCACTGCACTCCAGCCTGGGCAACAGAGCGAGATTGTCTCAAAAAAAAAAAAAAAAAAAAAAAATCAATAGCACTTTTCTATACCAGCAAAAACTAATGGCATTAACTGATGGTAAAAGAAAACAACAAACACCAAAAAACTGTGAAAGTATAGAGTTAATAACAAAGAATACACAAGAAAATTATCAAGGAGAAAGCTTTAAAATGTTAAGAAAGGACATAGAAGATGACCTGAATAAATCGACAGACATTTCATGCTCTTGATGAAATGAGTTAAAATTAAAATATTTCTATTCTCTCCTGGTAAATACCTTGTGAATTTAATATATGATAAATGTGGCACTAAGGACCAGTGGGGAAACACAGATTGTTTAGTAAATTGAGTCAGGAAAACTGGATTTGTAATTCATACCACATATAAAGGTAGACTCCAGATAAAGACTGAAATGTGAATGACAAAGCTATAAAGTTAATTGGAAAAAATATAGGAGAATATTTTTGTGTACTAGAAGCAGTAAATAATTTCCAAAAGAAACCTTTAAAAGCATAAAACATAAACCTCCTACTGCCCAAAAAAAGATGAATCTGATTGCATCAAAGTTGAAAGACATCATGGACAAAGTTAATCAACAGTGACTGTGGGAGAAGATATTTGCAATATCTGAAATTAACAAGCAATGGTGTTCCAGGAACTCCTGCAAATATGTACAAGAAAAAGAGAGAAATTTGAATAGCATGAATAAGCAATGTACAGAAGAGGAAACCCCAAAGGCTAACAAGTAAAGGAAGAGATTTTCCAATTCATTAGCATCCAGAGAAATGTTAATTATATAACACTGAGATGCCAATTTACACCTATTACACTAGCAAACATGGAAAAGCTGGATAGGGCCAGGTTGGAAGAGAGATGGAAATGCAGGAACCCTCGTGCACTGATGGTGGAAGTGTAGGTGAGTGCAGCCTTTCTGGAGAAAGTCTCAGGACTTAGTCAAATCATGTATATACATACTTTCTGGTGCAGAAATCCACTCTGGGGCATATACCCAAAGAAATCTCACGAAGATCCAGAAGAGGAAATGTATAATTATGTTCACTGCAGCATCATTGGGTTGGCAGGGAGTTAGAGGCAGTGTGAGTTTCCATTACTGGAGGTAACATGTGGATGCATTTGTAGAAGCCCTGAGCGGCAAATAGAAGCTTTCAGTCTGCTAAGAGTGATAGCCTCCAGCTCCATCCATGTCCCTGCAAAGAACATGATTTAATTCTTTTTTATGGCTGCATAGTATTCCTTGGTGTATATGTACCACATTTTCTTTATCCAGTCTATCATTGATGGGCATTTATGTTGACTCCATGTCTTTGCTACTGTGAAAAGTGCTGCAATGAACATACATGTGCGTATCTTTATAATAGAACCATTTATATTCCTTTGGGTATATACCTAGTAATGGGATTGCTGGGTCGAATGGTATTTCTCTTTAGGTCTTTGAGGAATCACCATAAGTGGGAGCTGAATGATGAGAACACATTGACACATAGAGGGGAGCAACACACACTAGAGCCTATCAGAGGGTGGAGGGTGGGAGGAGGGAGAGGACCAGGAAAAATAACTAAGGGGTACTAGGCTTAATACCTGGGTGATAAAATCTGTACAACAAACCCCCATGACACAAGTTTACCTATGTAACAAATCTGCACATGTACCCCGAACTTAAAAGTTTAAAAACATTTAAAAAAAGAAGCTTTAATTCTATGATCTTATTTATTTTCCCTTTGTCCCATCAGTTGCTTCCTTTTTTCTCTTTTTCTGCCCTCTTTTGGACTGAATATGTTATAATTCCATTTTATTTCCTTTGTTGGTTTATTAGCTATAACTCTGTTTTGTCATTTTAATGGTCGCTTTAGGGTTTATAGTAAACATCTATACCTTATGGCAGTCTACCTTCCACAAATGATATTATTATGCTACTTCATGTATAATACAAGAATCTTAGAGCAGTGTACTTTCCTTTCTCAGCCTTTTTGCTATTTTTGTCACGCATTTTACGACTATATATGTTAAAACTGCATATTACTGCTGAGTGTGGTGGCTCATGCCTATAATCCTGGCACTTTGGGAGGCTGAGGCAGGTGGATTGCTTGAGCCCAGGAGTTTGAGATCAGCCAGAGAAATATGGCGAGATCCCATCTGTACTAAAAAAATTTTAAAAATAAATCTGATGTGCATGGTGGCTCATGCCTGTAGTCCCAGCTACTCAAGAGCTTGAGGTGGGAGGGTCATCTGAGCCCTGGATTGGAGACCGTAGTGAGCCTTGATTGTGCACCACTGCACTCCAGCCTGGGCAATGAGAGTAAGACTCTGTCTCAAAAAAAGAAAAACTGCATATTACTTTATTATTATGTTGTTTAAATAGTTATCTTTTTCAAAAATTTTAAGAAAAATATAAACACACTCATGTTACCATTTCTGATGTTCTTCATTGCTTTATGTCCTACTTTCATCCGGTGACATTTTTCTTCTTCCTGAAGGGCTTCCTGTAATATTTCTTGTAGTAGTGTATGTTTCATCTCATGCATTGTAGTTTTCATCTATAGAAGTTCAGTTAAAATGACTATTTTAGTGTCTTTGTTGAGCCTAACATCCATGTAAGTTCTGGGTCAGTTTCAATTGACTTATATTTTTCTCCTCATTGTGAATCATATTTCTCTGCTGCTTTATGTACTAGGTAGTTTTTTTAAGTTGAATGCTAGATAGTGTGATTGGATCATCTATTTCTATAACTATTTTTGAGCCTTGTTCTGGAACACAGTTGAATTACTTGAAAACAGTTTATCTTTTTTGATATTGCTTTTTAATATTTGTTAGTTGGGATAAGAAGAGCACTGAATTGAGGGCTAATTATTCTTTACCCTGAAGCAAGAAATTTCTGAGTACTCTACCCAATGCCCTGTGAATTACAAGGTTTTCCATATTTTTCCCCTAATGTATATAAAAACTAAACCCTATTTTCTAGACTTGAATGGATCTGTAATGTAATCGTCTTTTTCCTTTTTTTAGAATATAAAAAGAGAAATGTTACTTTCTAGAAAATAATGGGGAGATACCGGAATCAAAAGAGAGACAAAAATACCCAATGCATAAGTACACAGAGGTTGGGTTGGAGGGTGGAGGAGGCCTAGCATGGGGCAGGGGCTGAAGGACTCCTAAGGAGACCTACAGTAGGCAGAGGTGTCCAGGTATCAAGAATTCAGATATCACAGCCTGGAAAGCTGTGATATCTAATTATATGTTAGCAAAACATTTGGTCAAATGGTTGCTTGTTGTACCTTGGAAGACAGACCTTGTGCTGATGAAGGCTGCAGAGCTAGGGGAATAGACAGGAATGATTTAGGGTATTGGCATATTGGTATTGTGTTGGCAACTGCTTGCTGCTTTCGACAAAACTTATAAGCAAGAGAGACTTGGAGTTAGCCCAGCTTCAAGTATAGAGGGCATTACTAAAGGAGGCCTTCTCTGCCTGCAGCCTCCCTCTAAGTTGATTGAGGGTTGCTACTTCTATACCCCACAGCAAAGCAGTTTAATGACTGTGAAGTAAAAATCTACGCTTAACCAAGAAAGGTTGTGAGCCTGCTGGCGCAAAAAAAAAAAAAAAAGGGCTTAAGGATCCACCTCACCCAGATCCATTCTTTTAAGTGGTCTCAAAGTAGCCCCCATTAAATTAAGAGAAGGGGATGAGATAGGCAGAACATAGAAGTCAATCTAGGAAATACCAGAGTTTCTAGGCTTAAATCTATGTCTAGATAAGATTTGGGGGGTGTGGTTACCTGAACATGGAAAAGTCGAGAGGCAAATATAGCAGAAGTCTACTAAATTTTTGAGAAATTTGTATTGCCAAAAGAAATTTAGCCTTGGCCTATAGCAAAAGCATGATGGAGTCTCACCCTGTTACCTGGGCTGGAACGCAGCGGCGTGATTGCAGTTCACTGCAGCCTCAGACTCCTAGGCTCAAGGGATCCTTTTGCCTCAGCCTCTCAGGTAGCTGGGACTACAGGCATGCAACTGCCACCATACCCAGTTAATCTTTTCTTTTTTTGAGACAGGGTCTTTCTATGTTGCCCAGGCTGGAGGGCAGTGGCACAATCACAGCTCACTGCAGCCTCAAACTCTTGGCCTCAAGCAATCCTCCTGCCTCAGCCTTCCAAAGCACTGGGATTACAGGTGTGAGCCACCATGCCTAGCTGCATGTAATTCCATACTCCTCAAAATAATCTATCCAAACCTGCACAAGCAGGAAATGGGTAGCGATCATGAAGGATAAGGGACAAGAAAGAAACTTCCAGAGTCAGGGGCCACAGAATCCTGTGGACATAAGACCATGCTTCCACCAGTCTCTTTTCCTTTACCACATGCAACTCAGCTTTAACCATGCAAATAAGGACAATGTCCTAGGGGATAGTACAAACAAAGAACTGGGTTCCTGAATGACTACAAGGAACAGAGTTGCCAGCCAACTTGGATCATTTATGTTAGATTGTTCATAGAAGACAGAAATTAATTCTATCTTCATTAAATTGTATGAATTATGATTGAGTCTCTTTTATAGCAGCCTAGTTTAGCAGGTTAGATAAACTAATGAAATGTTTAAAACCGATATATTTATCCTTTCCCACTAAACCTACTCCTCCAGCAGATTGCAGTAAATGGCAATTCCATCCTCCTAATTTCTTAGTCCAAAGTTCTTGGAGGCCTCCTGTTCTAGTCCCTACCAGGGGCACAGTATCAAACCAGGCCTTGCATTTGTGATTTAGCTTGGTGCTTCCCAGAATTCTAGGCTGCAGATGCATGGAATGGGCATGGGCTCTTGTCCTAAAAGTGTTAATATCCTTCAACCAAAGATCCCCAGGAACATACATGTAGTTGAACAAATTGGGTTGACTGTTGCAGCTAGGAAGAACACGCACCATTGGGAACCCATGTGTGTCTCCGTAAGAGAGTGGTAGAAAAAAAGCTATAGGATTTGGAAAAAACCTACTAAGAAAGCTCCAGATTTGGTGCTGTCAGAAAAGGGGAAAATTTAACGATTGGATTCTCAAAAAATATTATCAATAGGGAGGAGAGACAAGCATGAGGATAAAGCTGTAATTGGTAAAGAAATAGCTGCCACTCATTTTAGCTAAGAGAGGCATATTTGTGGATTGCACAATGATCTTGTTTTTATGATTGATTGCAGAGTGACTTTGTTTAATGTTGATGTTTGATGAGACTGTGTATGTCTAACAGAACAATCTGGCTTAGCTGTGAGCAGCAGCCCAGCTTGTGAGCTTGTGATAGCACTGAAGCCCAGCTGTGAGAGTCCAGGATTGCTTTTTTTCTTTCTCAAATGGGTGATGGTGCCTTATCACAGGCAGCCAGCCTCTCTCTGAGACTCCAGGTGAGGGAGAGGAGCTGTCTCAAATTCATTCTGCTCCTCAGAGGTGTGCATCTTCAGCCTGCATCCCTGTCTGGCCATTGTGACACTTGTTCCTGGCACTACATTGACTCAAGGTGCTTCTGAACTGTTCTAAGAACCCAGAAAATGATGCTGCTCTGGTCCATTTACCCTCATCATTCCCATCTGTTTTTTCTTTTTTTATTTCTTTGGAAAGGGATTGTTCTGCTTCTTGGCGAGGCAAGGTGTTTCATGTCTGTAAAGAAACACAGCAGGTGGATCGCTTGAGGCCATTAGTTCAGCCTGGCCAACATGGCTAAATCCTGTCTCTACTAAAAATACAAAAATTAGCCAGGCATGGTGGTGCATGCCTGTAATTCCAGCTACTTGGGAGACTGAGGCATAAGAATTGCTTGAACCTGGGAGGCGAGGGTTGCAGTGAGCCAAGATCACACCACTGCACTCCAGCCTGGGTGACAGAGCAAGACTCTGTCTCAACAACAACAACAAAAAGGCGGGGGGGTGGGGGCGGGGAATTCTTCTGGATTTTTCTGTTTCTGATCTATGAACATTTCCTATTTTCCATTGGCTATTAATATTTCATGCCTCACTTGCACAAAATGTTTGGAGTTGAAGGGGTAGGTTTCAGTGTGAGCTCAAGCTGCTGTCTTGACTTGGAAACAGCAGAGGGCCTTTTTGTGCCTCCCTCTGGGCTGTAGTTTCCTAACACGTGGCACTACCCAGCCATCTCTCATCATCAAAGTGGTCCTCAATTGTTATTGTTATTAATTTTCTAAGTGTTCTCAAGGCTTTGCCAGGTCATGCACTTCTGGGCATCAGCTGTTCTCTCCCTTACATGCCAACAGTAAAAAATGAGAGATTTCAGTGTAACTGGTTGTCTTTCTACATAATCT
This sequence comes from Homo sapiens, assembly GCF_000001405.40. Taxonomy (NCBI): domain Eukaryota; kingdom Metazoa; phylum Chordata; class Mammalia; order Primates; family Hominidae; genus Homo; species Homo sapiens. The sequence goes on from NC_000009.12 coordinate 112,956,867, forward strand.
TTTGCCATATTTCAGCTAACCAGACAAAGCATTTGATCCAGGAGTAATAATCTGAATCTAATTTAGTCTTCTGATCTGGGAGAAAAGCAAGATACAGGGATCTTCAGCTGCCTAGAAAACCTTCTCTCATTAACCTTTATGCCCATAAGGACTAAGCCATTCTTCTTGCAGGACCCATCTTGCTCCGCCCTAACACCCATGGGTAACTTTTACATTTTTAAAAATCTGCTGTTGGTGGGAAAGGGTTATTAGTGGTGAAGGATCTTTCACATCCCTTTGCCCAAGCCTGTTAGCTTTCAAAAGAAGAAGTTAATAACATTCCCCATCAGTGCCTCCTGACAAAACCAAGTACAGGTTGCTGAAGACAGGTATTGTTTGCATTTAATGAAATCTCACTTACTGTGTTCACAGTAGATAACTGTGGTGATTGAAGGGGGTTTTTCAAGAGTGTGAAAGGACACTGAACCCATCTTATAGGATGGATGGTATAGAGAAGCTAGTATCTAGAGGCATCTCTGTCAAGCTGGTATCAGCCTCAGCAGCATCTATCTGTCAGTGTCCCCAATTGAAAAGCGAATTCTAGGATGCAGAAATCATGGGGCAAGTCTTATATTCTTATATTATTTATAATGTTCTTATCAGATCACTAAGAAATTGGCAAATCAAGGGGCAAGCAGCACTCATGGGGACTTGGGATAACCAACAGGGAATTACTGCAGAGGAAGGAGAATCCTGAAGCTCAGAGAAGATTCTGAGATACTAGAGGAGGATTATGGGTTCAGGGGCAAGGAAGCCCCTTCATTCACTCACTGTCAGCCTCACATCCTCACAGATACAAAGACAAATTACATGACTGCAAGGTTAATGATTTATTGATCATGTAGAGTCAGGTGTTATTCATGTAGAGTTCCCCTGGCTGTGACAAAGACAGTCAGAAATTCAAAGAAAACCTTTGATTCTTGGTGAATTTCTGAGTCTTCTTAGGCAGTTAGGGAAGATCCTAAAGATGCAGGGATGACGTCTTCATGTGTGATATGATGGAAATCAGGTCACAGAACTTGTCATAAGAGGACATGGGGATCAGGAAGGGAAGATACTGGAGTCCAGGTGAGGAAACATTCACTCAGCACTCAGCATTCACTCATTCACTCATCACTCATTCACTCAGCACTAATTAAGCAGAGAAGAGAGAGAACACAGGAACTTATTAAACATTCCTTGCATTGCATGAATGATGAAGAGAAATTCTATTACAGAGAAAAATGATGAAGAAATAGTTCTGACCCTGTATTCTAACTTATGTTGTATACCAGAAAAGGGGGAGGGAGGATGTTGAGTAAATGACTTTTGCTTTTTTGCTATTGCTAATGCCATCTTAACCTTCTCTCAGCTGAATACATGAAAAAGAGAAAGGAAGTAATAAAGGGTCCCAGGTTTGTTTCTGCCATCTTCAACATCAGAAGTTTTGAAGAATTTTTGATAAATTGAGGAATAATGGCAAAATCTGTAGATATCTCTTATTAAATATTTGCTTTATGCAAGCTGCTAAGACTTTCACATACATTATCTGAAAGCCCCACGATAAATCTAAGGTAGTTGAGAAAACTCAAGATCTATTTTCCAGGTTTGTGGAAAATGGGAAGACAGTTCCATTCCCAGGTTAGACGTCAAGGACATACAGAGTACAGAAGAAGAAATGTGGATTATAAGTTGGAGGGTGAGATGGCCTCCTGGGAGTTGGTCCACAAACACAGAAACATATTTGAGTTTCATACAACCTACTACTTTTTCCATTTCGAACGTGAAATCCTAGTGATTTTTAGCACATCTTCAATTACTGGGCCCTTTTCGCAAGCATTATATCTACACAGCAACTCTGTAAACTAGGCATCATTGTTTCCTCTTCTTTTTTTTTTCTCCCTTTCATGGAGAATGGTATCTCATTATGTTGCCCAGGCTGGTCTTGGGCTCCTGGGCTCAAGCGATCCTCCTGCCACTGCCTCCCTAAGTGCTGGGATTACAGGTGTGAGCCACTGTACCTGGCCCATTGTCTCCTTTTTAAGTCTTAGGTTATTTGCTCAAAGCTTATGGGAGAATTGGGTCCTCTATCCAGGTCTTCCAACTCCAGATTTCAAGATTTTCCCACAAGCTTTCCTACCAAATTATTTTTATGGTATCTTTGGGTGCAAACCCCTAATGCTTTTGGAAGGCACTGGTCCCTGGGCCACCCTCTCTCCACCGGTGTCAGAGATCACCAACCCGGAGTCCTAGGCTGCTCCCTCATCTCGGGCCTGGAGACAGCGATCTGTCGAGGGAGAAGAGAACAAATTCAGACACCAACCCCAGTTTATTTTTCAGAGAGAAACCAGATGATTCTCCAAGTTAGCACAAAGGGGACTGATTTGGAGGGTATTACTTCCCCTGGATTGCTCCCTTCTGTAACATGGGAATTTAGGAAGAGAATACCAGAAACCCCGACTTACCAACTTTGGTCAAGTCAAATATGTTTTCCTTATCAATCCCATGTTCTTCACAATATTTCACAAACCTCTCCTTGAGTTGTGAGCTCACATCCGGTGTTCGAACTGTGGGAAGAGTGACAGTAACTGCCATGTCTTGGGTATTCGTCATAGAGGCAAATGAGGGGACAGGGCTCAAGACAGATGGGAAAATGAATGGCAGCCATTGGATGCCAGGCAGAAGTCTTGGGGGTGGGATATAATGTGTCCTAAATTTGACATCAGTAGCACAATGGAAGATCATAATTTCTTATCACTGAGCTTGAGGGATTACCAAAGGTAAGCCTCTGTTTGCAGAGAAGGAGAGATGGCCCAGGATAACGTGGGAAAGACCACTTTGTATCTAAGTTTCTTGCCTTCCCTCCTTTCCCCACCCCAAGATGAGTGTCAGCATGAAAATACTCTACCATAGAGCTCCAGCATTAGGAATGTTTCCCCATTCTTGATATTCTTGTTATAAAAATATATATAATTATCATAGTCCGTTTCAAGTATGTCAATGACATTAAGTCCGTTATCTGTGGAGGAAACAACACAGCTCAGAACTCCTTTGGTCCATAGAAAGCAGTTGAAACCCTTTACCTGGTCTCTCCCACAACACAAGTTCAAGTGCGTATCCTGTTAGAGATAGTGAGGATGTTGAATGTCTTCCATTTGCATCGCCCTGGGCTTCATGAGGCAAATTCTGAGAAAAGGGTAGGTTGACCACTAGCAGTCAAAAAATTTAGCCCCAGCAGCCACTCAGACTTTAACATCCCCCCCGAGACCTACCCACCTCCAGCAGCATCTCTGTCAGTGATGTGTCTCTGTCCTCTCTATAAGCCCCCACTGGCATTACTTACTTGATGCTATATCCTGAGCAATGTGCTGTGGCGATGACCATCAGGCATCAGAAAGCCAGGGAGGGAATAAGAAGCTGTCTTGACAATTTACCATTTTTTTTTTTTTTAAAGATAAGGTCTCGCTTTGTTGCCCAGGCTGGAGTGCAGTGGCGCAATCTTGGCTCACTGCAACCTCCTCCTTCACGGTTCAAGCGATTCTCCTGCCTCAGCCTCCCGAGTAGCTGAGATCACAGGTGTGCATCATGATGCCCAGCTAATTTTTGTATTTTTAGTAGAGACAGGGTTTCACCATGTTGGTCAGGCTGGTCTCGAACTCCTGACCTCAGGTGATCCCCCTACCTTGGCCTCCCAAAGTGCCGGGATTACAGGTGTGAGCTACCATGCCCAGCCCCAATTTATATTTTTTCCCTGCCAATTAACTTTTGTTGCAGGAGGTGCATATGACCAAGTCACTTTCCTGAAGCTGATTGTATTATGTGGCAGGCACTGGCTTTTACATGCAAGGTTCTCCCAGCTTCAGGTTATTGGCTATTATATAACCCCCATTTTATTATCAAAATAGTCATTGATCAGAAATTGATCAAGATCATGAAGATACTGGGGTTTAGTAAATTCCTTGCAGTTGGAAGTATAATTTAGAAAGACTTAAAAAAATACTTACAGTCAGTACTACATATGGCATTCTTTTCTGTTGGTTTACAAGCCAAATTAATTTCAGTACAGTTTCCATTTTCACTGTAAAACAATAAATTGATGCCCAAGGGCTACTGATGAGGCTGGCTTGCTTACCTTCTCCTCTACCAGTAACTTGAGTTTCTGATTCAACTTTTGAACATTTTTTGGTACAATTATCAAAGACCTTTTATGTGTATTATTTCACATGATTTGATAAGAATGACTTAAATGACAACTTCTATCACTGTTGCTACTTCTCACTGTTGCTATTACTACAACTACTTGTCTAGATCATTAGCTGAGTGTTCACCACATGCCAGCCTCTCAAGTAAGTGCTTTACAAATGTGACCTGCCTTGGTCCACACAAACACACACACACACACACACACACACACACACACACACACCTCAAAACAAAACAACATGAGGAGGAATTATTGTCATCCCCTTTTACCCATGGGAAAAGGGAGGTGGAAAGACATTAGTTTTCTTGGTAACACAACTGGTAACTGGAAGATTCAAATTCAGGCTGTTAGTTCCAAATTCAGTTTGCTTAACCTATGCTATATTGTCATACTACTTAATGATTCTGATATCCCTCTACCTCCTGCTTCTCCCACTCCAATTAAATTTAAAATTCTTGTTACTGACTCTTGTCTCTGAATCTTGAAAAGCCCCAGATCCATCAAGTCCTGGATCAGTGAATGTGTGTGTGTTCAAGACCATACCCAGGCTTCTGTTTTTCCTTCCCCAACTAAAAAAGGCCATACTTATATTTCATGCAATTTAAAAGTCAGAGAAGAATTCCCCAGGTAATCAATGTGTTTGACAAAAACCCTCATGCTTCCATCTTCTTCTATCTTTTCCCTGCAGTCAGAGGCCAAGAGAACCGAATACCACTCTCCTGAAATCTGCAATAAATAAGGTCATTGGGTAAGAAAAGAGGAGTGGGGATACCACATGGACACTTCTTTCCTTGAACTCTGGCCTGTGGGCCAGGGCTCATAATGGTGAAGTGAAGATAGAACTCAGATCAGTTGGCACCACACCTAGGGCTCTTTCCACTGCCCCTTTAGGGAGGATGGAGATCCCCAAGCATTGTCATCTTTTCATATGGTACAATTGCTCTTAACCCAAGATCAGAAACCAATGCTTTTGTCTGATATGTTAAGGAACTCCTGCCCTACAATAGGATCCACATGGCTTCAGAATCCCTGAAACCACTCCCCAGAGCCAGAAGTCAATGCGTTCCATAACTCTACCTTTGACAGATCGAAGTTGCTTGTCACAGCATCATTGTTTTCTTCCTCCTGGGCACAGACGAGGGTCAACCCCAGACACAGCAACAGCAGCATCATCTTGGTAAGGGACAGCACTGCCTCCTCCACAGTTGCTGGGGATGGGTCTTTCTCTAGCAGTGGGCTCCACTCCCCAGCTCATCTGTCTTTATATCCAGTCTGTGTCCAGTGTTTTGCCCATGGGGGTACTACCTTTCCCTTCCCCCTCCATGAAATGGTCTTTCCTTCACTGGTGTGCAACCAAGGATTGTTCCTGCCCTTTTGAAACTTGGCAATTCCGTCTCCTTTAGATCTAGTTAGTGACCTCAAATTTCCCAGAACACATTATCAAGAAAAATAGCAGATGCTCTAAGGGGCTGTCATTTGGAACTAGATTTAACTGTGGATCTGGCCTAAAATCAGAAAGCCGATTATGTGTGGCAGGAATGGGCATAACTGAGAAACAGGATGTGCCAGAATCTCTGTTCTACTTCTCATACAATGTGTGAAATTAGGTGAGTTACTCAATTTTTACAAGCCCCAGAAACAGACTGTTCTACCGAAGATGAAAGCACCTATCACAAAGCATTAAAATAGGGTTGAACAGAAAAAGTCTTTAAAGTATGGTGTCTGGTTTTCAGTACATTCAAATTCCTTTTCCTTATTCTCTGAACCCAACCCCTGCAGCCTTCCCTCTCCCCACAATAAGTGAACAATATTTAGTCACTATGTGTATGTCTTTACCATAAGAGACATACACATGGGCCCATAAGAGAAAAGGAGAAGTACAAGATATCATTCCTTCCTTCAAAGAACCTTTAGTGAAGTTGGAAAAATGTTTCACATACTGAGTAAAAATTTAAACCTACAAGCACATGAAATGACCCAATTGAGTAACCTAATAAAGTCACTATTATAAACTTTAATAAAGGTTTATATTAATAATGGAGGTGCCCAAGCCCTGTCAACTTTTCCCATGGTACAATTGAAAAGGGGCTGGAGTGGGGGCATCATGTCAAAAGAGCCTAAGAACACAGGTTTTGGAGTCATGAAGACCTGGGCTTCATTCCTATCTCTGCTGTTTTGAAGCCATAAAGACAGACTGTGACTTCTCTCTGAGCCTTCTCTCTGTTAGTTTCCTCTTTTTTTTTTTTTTTGAGATGGAATCTCGCTCTGTCACCAGGCTGGGGGGCAATGGTGTGATCTCGGCTCACTGCAACCTCTGCCTCCTGGGTTCAAGTGATTCTCCTCCTCAGCCTCCCGAGTAGCTGGGACTGTAGGCATGTGCCACCACTCCTGGCTAATTTTGTATTTTTAGGAGAGACGGGGTTTCACCATGTTGGCCAGGATGGCCTCCATCTCTTGACCTCGTGATCCACCTGCCTTGGCCTCCCAAAGTGCTGGGATTACAGGCATGAGCCACCACACCCAGCCTGTTAGTTCCTCTTAACAGGGCTAATGACATGTTTAATACACTGCTAGGGATTCAATGGGGTGATGTGCGTAAAACCCCCAGCATCATGTCTAGCACACATTGAGCTGGTGGGTCAGAGAATGCTTCCCGGATAAGGTAGGACTTGTAGTAGGTGTTGAAAGTCAGGGAGGGTATGGAGATATGGAGTGCATGTGGGAATAGCATTCCAGGAGGGAGGAATATCATGAGATAAGATCTCATGCCACCAGCCAGGGTTGTTATATAGCTCATTTCTGCCTTGTGCTAATGGTCTTCTTCTGCACCCCCAAGACTAGAAAGAGTTTAGCATCATGGGAGGAGCTGAGCACAGGGCAATGAACGTAGGAATGGTGACACTCTGTCTGTAGACTGCTTAAAAAGTCATCCCAGACCCTCATGTGAGCTTTCCTGGTTCATGCTCAACCGATGTTCAGTCACTGGTGTTTTGAGGCCTATGTAACTTCACCATCATAGGTGGCTGTGGGTTCTCCTGGCCTGAGATGGAAGAACTGAGCTTGACAAGTGGTGACAAAGGCTGTGTACTTGATTTCCTCCATTTGACTCTCTCCAAGAACTGACGGCAGCCTGTGAGCCAACAGATTTGCAAAACAAGCCCCACTCTTCCTGGGTCATGCTGAGGGGAGAGTCAGCTACCATCGCAGCATCCACCATTCCAACCCCTCCCACTGCCACTCCTAACTCTGCACTCTTACAGCACCGTATTGTAACTCTGCTTCTGTTTTTATTCCCTATGAGAAGGTAAACTCCCTTCTGAAAGTTGAGACATCTTTCTTTGTTGTACCTACCATAGTACTGAATATATAGTATCACCTTTGGAATGTTTATATACTAAATCCTATCATAAAAGCACTAAGGATTCTTGATATTAGAGGCAACCTTCTAGAAAATCCTTTTGTAAATAGGAATATTATATTTGGGTGATGACATCCTAATTTATATTATTGGACCACAGGAATAGAGGAAGAGCCTAGGACTAAAGTTTGTGATCAGAGCCTATGTTTAGATGATCTTACTTACTAAAATCTGAGTTGAATATTTCACTCTCTGGCTGCTTGCTTCCATTTCAAATGTACCATATTTTTGGTGGTTGGTTTAAGCATTGCCAGAACAGCCTGTGATCACTGAGATAGCAAGGTCTAGGCTGCAAAAATACCCAAGAGGTGTGATGCAATCTAGCTAGGGAATTGGTGAAAGAAAACCCAGACAAACTAAAGCTGAACTAATATTAAAATGTGAAATCAATCAGGAGGGATGCATTGGTTTATGATAGAATTCCATTAAATAATACTCTAGTACTGCGTTTAAATATTTGTGGTAGGAACTACAGATTAATAACCTGACAACACTTTCACAAATTATAGATGATCAATAAATATTGCATCAAATGAACTCTAGACTTCTTTAGTGGGGAGGATTGGAAGAAGTAGAAAGATAGAGAAGGATGACAAAAAAGAAAAAAGAATAACCACTGATGTTAGCATCTCCCAGACAGTATAGAAAGTATAAATACATGAAACAAAGATTTAATTTATAAAAGTTCACTTGACCACCCATCTGTAGGGAATACATCTATTGTACAATGCAAGATACACAGGGTATAGGATTTAGAGTAATTTGTCTGTAGTGCAGCAATTTGCTTTAGGAAATGATGATATTAAATAATTTTTTTAAAAAAATGATTCGACTTAATTCAACTAACATTATCAAGTGCCTCTTCTATGCTAGGCCTATACCAGGCACTTTGAGGGCTAAAGAGATAAACCAGATGGCGGCTGTGCCCTCAAGAAACTCCTGGCCAGTGTGGGAATGATTTAAAAACAAACTACAAGGTCTAAAGTGAAAAAAACTAGGAAAACAGAGGTGCCAATAGTAATCATCAAGAGGAGTAACAAGAGAAAGACTGACCACCTAATTCTAGGTATGAAGCCAGAAAATTTTTTTCCTACAGATAAGCAGGACTTTATCTAAGACACACAAATTTACAAGGTAAGAGTGGAACATAGCAAGCTTTTTATTTTTTATTTTTTGGGCGGTGTCTCACTCTGTCACTCTGTCACCCAGGCTGGAGTGCATTGGTGCCACCTTAGCTCACTGCAACCTCCGCCTCCTGGGTTTAAGCGATCTTCCCACCTCAGCCCTGAAAGTAGCTGGGACCACAGGCATGCACCACCATACCTGGCTAATTTTTTTGGTATTTTTAGGAGAGGTGGGGTTTCACCATGTTGCCAGGCTGGTCTTGAACTCCTGAGCTCAAGTGATCTGCCCGCCTTGGCCTCCCAAAGTGCTGAGATTACAGGTATGAGCCACCGCGCCTAGCCAGCAAGCTTTAATGGACCTCTCCTGATACAGTGGAGAGGGAAACAGTGGAGGTTCTCTGGGGAGTAAAGGTTCTGTGCTTTCCAGCAGGGAGAAAGGAGTGAGTTGAGTTGTCCTACAAGCCTGGGGGCCCCAAGGAAGTGACTCCTTCCTTTCTGCCAGGTGACGAACGACACTTCTGATTAATGAGTCTTGGTCTGTACAACAGTACCAGATGGACCGAGTGTACATTGGTTATCTGTCACCATCCTAGAGAGGTGGCCTTTGGATCTTCTCTTTTATGAGACCAAGTGAGTAGGGTCCTAACTCTTGTCAAGATTAATTCCAGGGCTGAATTCTACAATGTATACATATGTCACAACATCATGTTGTATACAACAAATATACACAAATTTTTACTTGTTAATTAAGAATTTTTCAAAAAGATTACAAAAAAAGTTCATTCCAAGGCTGAGCTGCCCAGACCCCTAAAACCCATCAATCTTTTAAGAACATGGCATTGACAGCTGAATCCAAACTGCTGTATTAACAGTCAAGTTGCATCAGCTAGTTTTATATTTGTGGTCTTTGGACTTCAACAGACTTAGAAATAATCTGGTAATAAAAGAAAGAAGGTCTTGTTCAAAGTCATATTTTCTCAAGGAGCTCCAAGCCCAGAATTGTGCCAGAGTCTACTTACCATGACTAATGGTTATGACTGGGATGGATTTTTGCACCAGTACAAGTTTCATCTGTCCTGGGGCCACATAAACAAAAATAATATTTTGATGCTGGAAATAAAAGAACTCAGTAAGTTTTGATGAGTGTTCTACAAACATTATCTTCTTTAATCCTCATAATTGCTCAACATGGTAGGTATCAATATCCTGTTTTACAGTGGTATGAACTAAGAATCAGAAAGGGGAAGTAATCTTACCAAAGTCACATAGCCAATAAATGAGAGAGCCCGTGTGTGAACCCAAGACTGATTCCAAAGCCCCTACTCTTATTGATTCTACTATGTAGGTCAGGGCTTAATGTTGCTAACATGAAGGGCAGATGGTTGAATATAAGGAACAGGAATAAATAACCCTGTAGACCCTAAGAGGAATCTGCCTGGTAGTTGCTACCGAAAAAACTGCATGCAGATTTCTTAAAAACATGATACTGTGGCTCACGCCTGTAATCCCAGCACTTTGGGAGGCAGAGGCTGGTGGATCGTGAGGTCAGGAGTTCGAGACCAGCCTGGACAACATGGCAAAAGCCCATTTCTACTAAAAATACAAAAATTAGACAGGCATGGTGGAGGGCACCTGTAATCCCAGGTACCCTGGAGGCTGAGGCAGGAGAATCACTTGAACCCAGGAGGCGGAGGTTGCAGTGAACCGAGATCATTCCATTGCACTCCAGCCTGGGTGACAAGAGCAACACTCCGTCTCAAAAACAAACAAAAAATGTGGTACTGTGAGGGTAGCTGCAACAGTTTGATCAAGTGAAGGCAGAGTAACAACTCTCTCCTGGTCTTTCTTCTTTTGCTCATACTGTAGTTCCTCCTGAAAAGGCTTTCCTTCTCTGCCTGTTCAAATATTACCCTTTCTCCAAAGCCCAGCTCAAGACTCCCTTTTTTTTTTTTTCTGAGACGGGGTTTACTCTGTTGCCCAGGCTACAGTGCAGTGGCACGGTCACAGCTCACTGCAGCCTCAACCTCCTGGGCTCAAGTGATCCTCGCACCTCAGGCTCCCGAGTAGGCACACGCCACTATGCCTGTCTAATTTTTGTATTTTTTTGTAGAGATGAAATTTCACCATGTTGTCCAGGCTGGTCTTGAACCCCTGGGCTGAAGAGATCCACACACCTTGTCCTCCCACAGTGCTGGGATTACAGATGTTAGCCACTGCAACTGGCCAAGAATTCCTCCTCTTTGCTTCTCTCAGCACTCACCTTTTTCATCCTTTGTATGACCTGTTAAGTTAAATTTGGCCTGAGGCTGCCTCCACACTTAGAGTTCCTACATCATAAACTGGAACCTAACTTAGTATGCAACTAACTGAAAACCTATGTAGGAGGATACTTTTGTAACAAATAGCTTAATCTCAGCCAATCACAGCAGCCAAACTTGTCAATCACAGGCAGCAACTGATCAGACCATGTTGAAATCAGGGAAAGGCAGAGCTGTAACCAATCAAGCTATTTCTGTACCTCACTTCTGTTTTCCGTCCATAAGTGTTGCCTGTGCATCTTGAGGAGTGGAGCCCTCTGAACTTCTGGTTCTGAGGACTGCCCAACTTATAAATATTTATTTGCTCAGTTAAACTCTGTTAAGTTTAATTTGTCTGAAGTTTTTCTTTTAATAGTCTCCATAGCATATAGAGCTTTATTCTCACACAACAGCAGCCAACTACTTACTGGCTCATGTTAGTATCAAAATATAATTCACAAAGAGTTAAGAAACATAACTCTTATACAACCATGCTCTATAGGAGCATGTGTCAGAGATTTAATTATTTAACTCATTATTTAAGGAACCAGAAGAATGACAGCTTGTTCAAAGGAGGCTATGAGAAGCTGATGTAAATCAGTAAAAGAAAAAAATTCTGGAATAAAATCGCTAAGTTAGATACAGAGTGGTTAATGTCCTAAAGACAATAAATGTACAACTTTGTGGTCTTCTTGATTGCACAGAAATTATTTACATATCTACCAAACAAAATGGTATGCACTTTCTCAGTTTTTAAAGTTAATTTCTAATTTCAGAGTCTGGCTCTTAAAAAATAGCAAATAATAAGTTAAACATAGTCACATTTGCCAGGAGATCCAGATGAGCCTATGAAGGCTTATTAGATAGTGCTCTAGGCTAGGCGCGGTGGCTCACCTCTGTAATCCCAGCTACTAGAGAGGGTGAGGCAGGAGAATTGCTTGAACCCGGGAGACGGAGGCTGCAGTGAGCTGAGATCATGCCATCGCACTCCAGACTGGATGACAAAGTGAGACTCTATATCAAAAAAAAAAAAAATAGTGCTCTAGTAAGTCTTTAAAAGGACACACAATCATCTTTTTACATTTTTTCAATTTTTGTGTAATTCTTCAAAACACTAGTTTCTATGGTCGCGCATACATTGGAAAGGTAACAGTGAAAAGATAATTAAAACCTGGGTTCAAATTCTCACCTCACAATTCGACCTCTCTGAGTTCTTGCAAAGGTAACATGAAAAGGTTTAGAAAGGGCTAGAAAGCAATTGATTCCCAATAAATATTGGTTCCTTCACAGTTTTCCTCTCTTCTTTTGAACATAGAGACCAGATATTGTACTCCTTGTGTCCTGGAGCTCTGTGTAGTGGGTTTTCAACAAATCAAATCATCTTTTACTGTTTTGTATATATTATGTCTTACCTGTGATTTAGGCAAATTCCTGTCTCTGGCCTTCAATTTACCTATTGATAAAAATGAAAAGATTCAGAGTTTCTTAACTGAGGACAGCATTAGTTCTAGAAGAGGTTTTGGAAATGGGGTAGGGGGAGCATTTTTGGTGTTTACAATAACAGGAGAGAATGACTGACATTTGGTATCCTGGATGCAGAGGTGATAAACCCCCTTGAGTGCATAGGCCAGTCCCCTGTGAGGTGGAACTGTTTCATCCAACACATCCATAACATCCCCACTGAGAAACACTGAGTACTTCTCTACAGGCCTTTGCAAATTTCACCTTCTGACAAGTTGATGCTTCTCTGGTGTTTTCTTTAAAGGATGGCAGATACACACTGCCATCTGCACTACAATGGCCTACTTTGGTTAAAGAAAAGTATATTTTGCCTTCAAACATTTTAGCAATTCCTCAGATTATTCTATTCCTCAAGTGCAGCCTCATTTTGTTGACTCATTCTTGTCTGAAGAATAGCTCTTGCTTTTGGCTGCTGCCAGCCACGGTGAGTGAATCTGTTTTCTGCAGAAGGAGATTGCTCCAGGGCCCCCTTATCAGGAACCAACTAGTCTTTGCTGAGTGACAGGCCTAGTGCAAAAAACAGTAGGAAGTTGAAGACAAAGTATCTGCCATCGGGCAGGAAAAACACAAGCATTCTTCTGCCTAGAGCACCAACGTGGGTAACCCCGCATTCTAGGAGAAAGCTGAGGTCAGTGTATTAGTCTGTTCTCACACTGCTATAAAGAACTACCTGAGACTGGGTAATGTATAAATAAAATAGGTTTAATTGACTCACAGTTCCACAGGCTGGACAGAAACCATGGCTTGGAAAGCCCCAGGAAACTAACAATTATGGAGGAAGGATGAAGGGGAAGCAAATATCTCTTCACATGACAGCAGGAGAGAGAGAATTTTTAATAAAAAGAATCTTGTGGTTTTATGAAGACTGCTTTCCCAGAAGAAAAATGATTTGGTGCCTTGGCTCAAAGGACTTGCTTCTTTTTAGGGTAAAGAAGTTGCTTTCTTTTCCCTTTTCAAGACAAAAGGGGGAGCTGATAGGGAAACTAGATTTGGTTTAAAAATGAATAAGTACCCAGGAGGAAGCCAGAACCAGAGAATGTGAACCAGCTGTTTGAAGGGACAGTGTCCAGTGGAGCGGGGATATGGATGCAAGGCCACGAGCAAAAGAATGGAGAAAAGAGGAGAGAGAGAGAGAGAGAGAGAGAAGAAAAGAAAGAAAGAGCTATACACTTTTAAACATCTAGATGTTGTGAGAACTCACTATCGTGAGAACAGCAAGGGGCAAGAAAACCCCCATGATCAAATGACCTCCCACCAGGCCCCACCTCCAACACTTGGGATCGCAATTCAACATGTGATTTGGGTGGGGACACAGAGCCAAACCATATCAGTCAGCTAGTTGCATTCTGAGTTCCTTTCAAACAACTCCTCTTTTCTCCATTCTTTTGCTCATGGCCTTGCATCCATATCCCTCTCCACTGGACACTGTCCCTTCAAACAGCTGGTTCACATTCTCTGGTTCTGGCTTCCTCCTGGGTACTTATACATTTTTAAACCAAATCTAGTTTCCCTATCAGCTCCCCCTTTTGCCTTGAAAATGGAAAAGAAAGCAAGTCCTTTACCCTAAAAAGAAGCAAGTCCTTTAAGCCAAGACACCAAACCATTTTTCTTCTGGGAAAGCAGTCTTCATAAAACCACAGATTCTTTATATTAAAAACTAGCAAAGCGGGGAAACGAAGTAGCCACAGGGTGGCAGAATAGGAGAGATTTTATTTTCCTGCAGGATAATTGATGAGGAAACGTGTGGAATGGTACTGTCTTAGGAAGTCGCCTGTTGTGATGTATTGATAACTTAGTATATAAAAAATTGAAGGAAAGAGGGAGGCAGGTCAAATGCTGCTGAAATGTCAAGTAAAATAAGGACCGAAAATAAGTCCATCTGATTTCGTATCCTGGAGATAACAGGTAGCCTTAGAAAGACCTGTACCTATGGGGTGCAGAGGCTGCAGCCTCGCCAAGATCTCTGCAATTGTCTGTGCTTTTATCTGTTCCTGCTCATCTACAGATGAGAGGGGAAGAATTCATAACTCCATTTTCTATCAGCAGCTTGGGATGCAGTTTGAAGCTGGTTGAGGGTAGCAAAGAGGAAGACAGACTGATTTGATGCTTGGCTGCTGGGACAAGAGGCTGCAAGTGGAGCAAGGCGCAGGATCGCCCCCAACAGGTCAGCCAGAAACAGCTCGCCTAATGCGGTTGGTACTTCCTTGCATTCTCTGTATTGTGAAAAGGTTTCCGTGATCAGGGGTATTAGATGTTGGTTTATTTTTGTTATTTATATAGAAATAGAATTTGCAGTACAAATTACAGGACTGGTGCACATTATGGTCCCTTTTAAAAATGGAAAATTCTGTTATTTTGACAACTTTGAGAAACGTTGCAATGCCTATTGGCTCTAATCTTCGTTTCATTGATTTCCATTCACAAGGGAAAACTGTCTTCCACACAGCTTCCAGAGCAAACTTATAAGAGTGGAAATGAGTGAGATAACTTCACTCCACTGCTCAAAATCTCCAGCGTCTTCCCATCACTCTGGAGATTTGGGGTTGATGGGCTTTCCTGGGGATTCTGAGAAGGAGGGAGATCTGAAAATGGGTGTCTTAAATTTGGGGATGCTGAGATTTCAGGTGGTACCTTTGGGAGGAAGGTCTGTGAAGAGGTTGGATGAGGAATCTACTGAAGTTTGGTGAAGATCAGTGATTGACAGCATCTCTGCAGCTGAAAAATCTGAGGCCTATAGGGGAGGGTGTTGTTAGGAGACAAATGAATGGGAAGACTTGTGAGAAGTTAGTAAATTAGAGAACTATAGGTTTTAGTGATTGTGGGGGCCAGAGCCTCAGGTTTGGGGGATATTTTTAGGGAGTTAGTGTTGACAGTCTATAGAGGTCAGTGATTTGCTGTTTGTGGATTGGTTGGGATATACAGAATTCAGGGATTGGAGGAAGTTGTGGGATTCAGTGTTTGGAGGGGCCAGTGGTGGTCAGTGAATAGATACTTCTGGGAATTAGTGATTGGGGTTGCCTGTGGGTAATGGTGATTAGGATCTGTGGGGTCTATGCTTGGGATATTTCTTTTTTGGTGGAAGCTATGACAATCAGGAATTTACAAGAGGTACTGTGAAGTTAGTGATGTGAGTTATTTGAGGGTCCACTGTGATTTGCTCTTGACTGATGGCTGTAGAAGTCAATAATTGGAGAATTGCTGGATATTAGTTTTGTTAGCCTGTCAGGATCAAGTTGGTGATCAGTGGAAATCAGTGGTGAAGGGGAGTTTAGGATTCAGTTGAGAGGCTTCTGTGGATGCTGTGATTTAGGGGTGTAGGAAAGCCTGCAATCGGTATTTCTGTGGAGTCAGGGATCTATGGTTTCAATGATTTCATATGGGGGAGTGTTAACTGGAAGTATGTGATTTGAGAGTTTTTCAAGCATCAATGAATGGTAGCCAGCATGGCTCAGTGGTGGGGGATCTGTGAAGGGCAGTGTTTGGAGGTTGTGTGTTTACTGACCTTTAAAGATAAATTATATATTGTTGAGTGTGGGGTTGGCGGGGGGAATCATGTTTCAAATGTTTTGTACTGTGTCATGCTATTTGGAAAAGAATTCAGTATCTCTGCAGTTGTTATCTCTGAACGTTGAGATCACGGGTAATGTTTGTTTTGGGTGAATATATTTTTTAAGCATAATTATTACAAGTTTCTTGTGTAATATTTTTTGTAAAGAGAAATTTATTGTACTGTAAAGACAACCTCTACTGGTCATGATGATTTTTCTTTTTATGTTGGTTTACTTTGTTAATTACACAAGGTATACATACATATATTTTACTTAAAAATGCAAGCAAACAGATGTATATGGAGCAATCCTAACTCCTTTCTTAAACCCCAGTTTTATTCACCTCCACAAATATAACTATCATTAACAATTTGGTCTATATGTCTCAATATTTTTTTAGTTCACATATATGTATATGCACACAGTTTTGTTTATTTTATGTGAATTGGACTGTATTGTATGTATTGATCTACAATTTATTTTTTATATATAACGGTATGTCTTAAGAGAAATTTCTATATCAGAATGTATAGAATTGTTCCTTGTGTAGTCTTTGATGGTGCAGCATTCCTTGTGTGGACATGCAGTGATTTTATAGTATTCTATTGGGTAGATATACAGTCTTGAGGAAGGAGCAGACTGCCATCTTTGGTGTTTCTCAGGCTTCATTGGTGATACCTCCATGTGCAGGAGGGATTTAGGTGATTAGAGTCTGGAGTGGACCCCCAGCAAACTGCAGCAGCCCTATGGGAGAGTGGCCTGACTGTTAAAGAAAAACAGAAAGCAACAACCACATCAACAAAAAAAAACCCCACAAAAGTCCCATTTAAATATCAGCAACCTCAAAGATCAAAGGTAGATAAGCCCACAAAGATGAAAAGGAATCAACATAATAACACTGAAAACTCAAAAAGCCAGAGTGTCTCTTCTCCTCCAATGGCCACAACACCTCTCCAGCAAGGATATAGAACTGGGCTGAGGCTGAGAGGAATGAACTGATGGAAGTAGGCTCAATTCATTTTACAAAAGTTAACTACAAAAATTAACTCAACATGGATTAAATAAGACTTAAATGTAAAATCCAAAACCATAAAAACCCTAGAAGGAAATCTAGGCAATACCATTCAGGACATAGGCATGGGCAAACATTTCATGATGAAAATGCCAAAAGCAATAGCAACAAAAGCAAAAATTGACAAATGGGATCTAATTAAACTAAAGAGCTTCTGCACAGCAAAAGAAACTATCAACCTACAGAATGGAAGAAAATTTTTTCAATCTATCTGTCTGACAAAGTCTAATATCCAGAGTCTACAAGGAACTTAAACAAATTTACAAGAAAAAGCAAACAACCCCATTAAAAAGTGGACAAAGGACATGAACAGACACTTCTCAAAAGAAGACATTTATATGGCCAACAAACATGAAAAAAAGCTCAACATCACTGATGATTAGAGAAATGCAAATCAAAACTACAATGAGATACCATCTCATGCCAGCCAGAAAGACAATTATCAAAAAGTCAAGAAACAACAGATGCTGGTGAGGTTGTTGAGAAAAAGGAATGCCTTTACATTGTTGGGAGTGTAAATTAGTTCAACTATTGTGAAAGATGGTGTGCTGATTTCTCAAAGACCTAGAACCAGAAATACCATTTGACCCAACAATCCCATTCCTGAGTATATACCCAAAGGAATATAAATCATTGTCTTATAAAGATACATGCACACGTATGTTCATTGCAGCTATTCACAATAGCAAAGACATGGAATCAACCCAAATGTCCATCAATGATAGACTGGATAAAGAAAATGTGGTACATATACACCACGGAATACTATGCAGCCATAAAAAGGAAAGATCATGTCCTTTGCAGGGACATGGATGGAGCTGGAAGTCATTATCCTCAGCAAACTAACACAGGAACAGAAAACCAAGCACCACATTCTTTCTGATGACTATCAGAGTAGTGGTCGTAGCTTTACTTATACTTTCTATTTTTCATGCAAGTCCCTTTTTTGAATAACTCAAACCTGGAACCATACAGAAAGTAATTCTGAGAAGTATAGTTCCAAGCTTAACCAAGTTAGCAGAACATAAACTACCTATGTGGTCAAGAGGATCACTCTTGGCAGACTTAAGCTGAGACCCAAAGTATGACAATTTATTAACCATGTGAAGCCTGTGGGAAGGGCTTTAAGACAAAGAACAGTGAGTGCAAAGGCTTGGCTTATGTGACAGAAAACAGACCAGGGTGCCTGGGTCATAAGGAGAAAGGGAAAATGGTATGAAATAAATTAAGCTATATAGGGAGAGTAACTAGATTATGAGGGGCCTTATAAAGTAAGGAGTTTGTGGCTGGGCGCGGTGGCTCACACCTGTAATCCCAGCACTCTGGGAGGCCGAGGCGGGTGGATCACGAAGTCAGGAGATCGAGACCATCCTGGCTAACACGGTGAAACCCCATCTCTACTAAAAATACAAAAAAGTAGCCTCGTGTGGTGGTGGGTGCCTGTAGTCCCAGCTACTCAGGAGACTGAGACAGGAGAATGGCGTGAACCCAGAAGGCGGAGCTTGCAGTGAGCCGAGATTGCGCCACTGCACTCCAGCCTGAGCAACAGAGCAAGACTCCACCTCAAAAATATAAATAAATAAAATAAAGTAAGGAGTTTGAATTTTATTTAAAGTGCAAGTCACTGAAGGGTTTTAAGCAAAGAAGTAACTATCAGATTTGAGTTTTTAGATCACAGTGTATACTATAAGCAAGAATGGATTGTGATGGGACAAGGGAGGAAGAACTAGCAAACATCTTTGATATAAATTTTTGTATGTGTATGTATTTCTGTAATCCAGATTTCTAGAAGGTGAATTTTCTTGTCAAAAGGTAAGCACATTTTACCTTTAAATATGTATCCAAACTGCTTAAGTAGTACCTCCTTGAAGAGCCTTCCATGACCCTGCCATCCAGGTTTGCATATCTGTTCTTTACTTTGTGGCACTCTATTTATTTTCTTCCTAGAACTGATAATAATGTGTAAGATTTTGTTTTTACTTATTTTTATATTGTCTGTCTTTTTGGTGAAGGCATGACCTTGTCTTATTTCCCATTATACTCATGACATAGTTGGCACTAAATGAAGATCTGGGCCAGGTGTGGTGGCTCACATCTGTAATCTCAGCACTTTGGAAGGTTGGGTAGGGAAGACTGCTTGAGGCTAGGAGTTGGAGACCAGCCTGGGCAACATAGTGAGACCCTACCTCTATGAAAAACTTTAAAATTAGCCCTGTGTTGTGATGGGCACCGGTAGTCTCAGCTATTCAGGAGGCTGAAGTGGGAGGACCACTTGAGCCCAGAAGATTCAGTGAGTTCCCTCCACTCCATGATGGCACCACTGCACTCAAACCTGGGTAACAGAGTGAGACCCTGTCTCAAAAAAAAGAGATGTTGAAGAAATAATTTCTGGTATAGTTTGTATATTTGTCCCCACCAAAATCTCATGTTCAATTGTAATCCTCAATGTTGGAGGTGAGGTTTGGTGGGAGGTGATTGGATCATGAGGACAGATCCCTCATGAATGGCTTGGGCCATCCCCTTGGTGAGAAGTGAGCTCTCACTCTGAGTTCACACCAGATTTGGTGATTTAATGTGTGTGGCACCTCCCCCTCACTCTCGCGCTCTCTCTCTTTCTTGCTCCTGTTTTTGCCATATGATGTGCCTGTTCTTGCTTCTTCTTCTGCCATGCATAAAAGCTCCCTGAGGCTTCCCCAGAAGCTGATGCCAGCACTGTTTTCCTATACAGCCTGTAGAACCACAAGCCAATTAAACCTCTTTATTTATAAATTACCCAGTCTCAGGTATTTCTTCATAGCAATGCAAGAATGGTCTAATACAATTTCCCCACTAAAAAGTCTGCACAAACTTATACCTTCAGCAATAGCATATAAGTCTGGTTTGCAAATTCCCAAACCAAAAAGAATATTACTGTCTTTTAGGAAGGGGGAAAGTTTAAATGATATTTTATTATTTATATTTTTAAATTAGAACTATTATATATCTCTACACACTAACCAGAATGACAAAAACACACAAAAACCTCACAACATGAAATATTAGAAGAATGTGGAGCAACCAGAATTGTCATACATTGTTGATAGAATGTAAAATGATACAACCACTGATTTATATATTAGTGAATGAAAAAGCCAAAAGCAAGGCACATCACACTTAAATTTAGAAGACTCAAGAAAAAGAACCAGCTGGGCGTGGTGGCTCATGCCTGTAATCTCAGCTCTGTGGGAGGCTGAGGCAGGAGGAACACCTGAGGTCAGGAGTTCGAGACCAGCCTGGCCAACATGGAGAACTTCGTCTCCACTGAAAATATAAAAATTACCTGGGTGTAATGGTGTGTGCCTGTAATCCCAGCTACTCAGGAGGCTGCTACAGGATAATCATTTGAACCCAGGAGAGGGAGGTTGCAGCGAGCTGAGATTGCACCACTGCACTCCAGCCTTGGCAACAGACCAAAATTCCCTCTGAAACAAACAAACAAAAAAGGAAAGAAAAACAGGTCACGTGCTAAATCAGAATGACATTTTTAACAGGAACACTGGAAGCTAGAAAATTATAGAGAAATGCCTTCAAATTCCTGAGGAAAAATGATTTTTAACCCAGAGTTCTTTTTCATTTTGTTTTTCTTTTTTTATACCCTGCCAATATCTGTATTTAACCTAGAGTTCTATATCCAGCCAAACTATCAATCACGTGTAAGAGTAGAACGGTTTTACATATGAGAAGCTGAAAATTTTACTTCCATGTATTCTTTCTTGGGAAGTTGCTGGAGGAAGAAATTCATGAAATGAGGGAAGAAACTAAGAAAGATCTGGGATCCAGGAAATAGGAGATTAATACACAAGAAGTAAAGGGAACTCCTAGGATAACATGAAAGGAAAGTCCTGGGGCCGGGCAAGGTGGCTTATGTCTGTAATCCCAGCACTTTGGGAGGCCAAGGTGGGTGCATTATTTGAGGTCAGGAGTTCAAGACCAGCCTGACCAACGTGGTGAAACCCCATCTCTACTAAAAATACAAAAAAAGTTAGCTGGGTGTGGTGGGTGCACGCCTGTAGTCCCAGCAAGGAGGCTGAGGCACGAGAATCGCTTGAACTTGGGAGGCGGAGGTTGCAGTGAGCCGAGGTCGCGCCACTGCACTCCAGTCTGAGTGACAGAGGGAGACTCCATCTCAAAAAAAAAAAAAAAAAGGAAAGTCCCAACATGAAAGCACAAGCACAAATAGCTGACTGAAGAGGGTGAAGCACTCCCTCTCCAGTTGAATGTGTCACCCTGTTGAAAAGAAGGAGATGGAGGAATAAAGAGGAGGGAAAGAAATTACAAGTAAACAAATAAATGAGGATTTTTACTTATATATTAGTTCTACTGCCTTTTGGTTTTATATATCACCAATATCTGCTTTTGTCTTTATTATTTTGTTTCTTTTGTTTCTATATTAATGTTTTTACTAGTTTTTTGAGTTGAGAATTTGATTTCTTAATTTTCTTCCATTTTAATGGAAATTCCCTGGCATCTGAATGCTGACTCCCTTCAGCCCCCTGTCAGACTAGCAGAGCTCTTGCTGGCCCCAGGTTCTATGCATGCAAAAATGAGAGGCAAAAACCTGCCAGGCAAATCAGCAGTTGCAGTAAAAGGCAGGGCTCTGGGAAGCTGGCGTTGAAGGTTGGTGGCTGCTGGGTGGAGCCAGAACACTTGTAAGTGGGGCATAGTTGGCTTCTGGTGCGACTTGAAGCCTGGTCTAATTATTTCACCAAACTAAGATGGTGATGTCAGCATCCCACTCACTCTTTTCTGTCCCTCTCTCTGCACCCCACTTCCAGCAGAAGACAAGAAATAACTAAGATCAGAGCAGAACTGAAGGAGATAGAGACATGAAAATCCCTTCAAAAAATCAATGAATCCAGGAGCTGGTTTTTTGAAAACATTAACAAAATAGACTGCTAGCCAGACTAATAAGGAGAGAAGAATCAAATAGACACAATAAAAAATGATAAAAAGGATATCACCACTGATCCCACAGAAATACAAACTAACATCAGAGAATACTACAAACACCTCTACACAAATAAACTAGAAAATCTAGAAGAAATGGATAAATTCCTGGACACATGCACCCTCCCAAGGCTAAACCAGGAAGAAATCGAATCCCTGAATAGACCAATAAAAGTTCTGAAATTGAGGCAGTAACTAATGGCCTACCAACTAAAAAAAGCCCAGGACCAGATGGATTCACAGCCAAATTCTACCAGAGGTACAAAGATGAGCTGGTACCATTCCTTCTAAAACTATTCCAAACAATAGAAAAAGAGGGACTCCTCCATAACTCATTTTATAAGACCAGCATCATCCTGATACCAAAACCTGGCAGAGACACAACAAAAAAAGAAAATTTCAGGCCAATATCCCTAATAAACATCGATGCAAAAATCCTCAATGAAATACTGGCAAGCCAAATATAGCAGCAGATTAAAAACCTTATCCACCACGATCAAGTCAGCTTCATCCCTGGGATGCAAGGCTGTTTCAACATATGCAAATCAATAAACATAATCCGTCACATAAACAGAACCAATGACAAAAACCACATGATTATCTCAATAGATGCAGAAAAGGCCTTCAATAAAATTCAACACCCCTTCATCCTAAAAACACTCAATAAACTAGCTATTGATGGAACGTATCTCAAAATAATAAGAGCTATTTATGACAAACCCACAGCCAATATCATACTGAATGGGCAAAAGCTGGAAGCATTCCCTTTGAAAACTGGCACAAGGATGCCCTCTCTTACCACTCCTATTCAACGTAGTATTGGAAGTCCTGGCCAGGGCCATCAGGCAAGAGAAAGAAATAAAGGATATTCAAATAGGAAGAGAGGAAGTCAAATTATCTCTGTTTGCAGATGGCATAATTGTATATTTAGAAAACCCCATGGTCTCAGCCCAAAAACTCCTAAAGCTGATAAGCAAAGTCTCAGGATACAAAATCAATGTGCAAAAATCACAACCATTCCTATACACCAATAATAGAGAGCCAAATCATGAGTAAACTCCCATTCACAAGTGCTACAAAGAGAATAAAATACCTAGGAATACAACTTACAAGGGATGTGAAGGACCACTTCAAGGAGAACTACAAACCACTGCTCAAGGAAATAAGAGAGAATACAAACAAATGGAAAAACATTCCATGCTAATGGATAGGAAGAATCAATATTGTGATAATGGCCATACTGCCCAAAGTAATTTATAGATTCAATGCTATTCCCATCAAGCTACCATTGACTTTCTTCACAGAACTAGGAAAAACTACTTTAAATTTCATATGGAATCAAAAAAGAGCCCATATAGCCAAGACAATCCTAAGCAAAAACAACAAAGCTGGAGGCATCACACTACCTGACTTCAAACTATACTACAAGCCTACAGTAACCAAAACAGCATGGTTCTGGTACCAAAACAGATATATAGACCAATGGAACAGAACAGAGGCGTCAGAAATAACACCACACATCTACAACCATCTGATCTTCAACAAACCTTAACAAAAACAAGCTATGGGGAAAGAATACCCTATTTAATAAATGGTGTTGGGAAAACTGGCTAGCCATATGCAGAAAACTGAAACTGGACCCCTTCCTTACACCTTATACAAAAATTAACTCAAGATGGATTAAAGATTTAAACATAAGACCTAAAACCATAAATACCCTAGAAGAAAACCTAGGCAATACCATTCAGGACACAGGCATGGGCAAAAACTTCATGACTAAAACACAAGAAGCAATTGCAACAAAAGCCAAAAATGACAAATAGGATCCAATTAAAGAGCTTCTGCACAGCAAAAGAAACTATCATCAGAGTGAAGAGGCAACCTACAGAGTGGGAGAAAACTTTTGCAATCTATCCATCTGACAAAGGGCTAATGTCCAGAATCTACAAGGAATTTAAACAAATCTATAAGAAAAAAAAGCAACCCCATCAAAAAGTGGGCAAAGGATATGAACAGACACTGTTCAAAAGAAGATATTTATGTGGCCAACAAACATATGAAAAAAAGCTCATCATCACTGGTCATTAGAGAAATGCAAATCAAAACCACGAGATACCATCTCACACCAGTTAGGATGGCGATCATAAAAAGTCAGGAAACAACAGATGCTGGAGGGGATGTGGAGAAATAGGATCGCTTTTACACTGTTGGTGGGAGTGTAAATTAGTTCAACCATTGTGGAAGACAGTGTGGCGATTCCTCAAGGATCTAGAACTAGAAATACCATTTGACCCAGCAATCCCATTACCGGATATACACCCAAAGGATTATAAATCATTCTACTATAAAGACATATTCACACATACGTTTATTGCAGTAGTATTCACAATAGCAAAGACTTGGAACCAACCCAAATGCCCATCAATGACAGACTGGATAAAGAAAATGTGGCACATATACACCACGGAACACTGTGCAGCCATAAAAAAGAAAGTTCATGTCCTTTGCAGGGACATGGATGGAGCTGGAAACCATCATTCTCAGCAAACTAACACAGGAACAGAAGACCAAACACCGTATGTTCTCACTCATAAGTGGGAGTTGAACAATGAGAACATATGGGCACAGGGAGGGGAACATCACACAACAGGGCCTGTCGGGGGGTGGGGGGACAAGGGGAGGGGATAGCATTAGGAGAAATACCTAATGTAGATGACAGGTTGATGGGTGCAGCAAACCACCATGGCACATGTATACCTATGTAACCTGCATGTTCTGCACATGTATGCCAGAACTTAAAGTATAATTTTAAAAAATTAAAAATAAAGGTGAAAATCCATATGATTATTTCAATAGATATAGACAAAGCATTTGAGGAAATTTAACATGAAATTCTCAGCAAAGTAGAACTAGAAAAACTTCCTCAATCTCATAAATGGCATCTACCCACATATACATGTATGTATGTTTAACCTGTCGATCTATTAAAATGAGGGACCCAAAGACCAGGCAGTAGCCATAGCTTCATGGTCAGTGGAACTCCTGCCCTAAGAAACAGAACCTTTAAACTAGCACAGCCTAAGTTTATGGGAAAAGAAAGATTAGTGGGACTCTGGAAATAACGGTGAGAAAAGCCAATTCTACTTTCACCCTTGGTTACTGGACCTGTGTATAATAGCTACTGGGGATAGAGAACAATTTGTTAGGCAATAGCTTCAATATATGTACCACAACTTGGACAAGAGCACCCTAACCCTGAATGGTGTCATTCCTAAACTGGTGCCTTAGATGAGTCTTCGTTTTTTTGAGACAGGGTCTCATTCTGTTGCCCAGGCTGGAGGGCAGTGGTGCAATCACAGCTCACTGCAGCATCGACCTTCTGGGCTCATGTGATCCTCTCACCGCAGCCTCCCGAGTAACTGGTACTACAGGCACATGCTAGCAAGCCAGCTAATTTGGGTATCTTTTGTGGAGATGGGGTTTCATCGTGTTCTCAGGCTGGTCTTGAATTCCTGAGCTCAAGCGATCCTCCTACCTCAGCCTCCCAAAGTGCAGGAATTACAGGTATGAGGCACCAGCCTTTAGCTTAGTCTTAAAGAAGCCATTTCAAAATTAGTATGTCAACTTCTAGGTGATATGGTATATGGTAAGACCTGTAGATCTCATGATCTACTCATGTGTATGATCTCATGATCATACACACACTGTCATACATCCTTCACTGTAAAATGGGTACATTGGTCTGAAGCAATGTTTTGCAGGCTCCCACATTCATAAATTAGCCACTCAGTAAGCTCCTCAAATAGTGATACAGTCAGTCACTGAAGAAGGTGAAGGTAAACCCACCTCCAGTGTAGTTGCCAGTTCCAGCAAGAACAAATCAGTGCTTCTTCCTAAATAAAAAGCGTCCATTTTAATCAACTTGCCACCATATGGCTGGCTGATCTCCTAAAGGATGTTACCACACAGAGGCTTACAGTCAGTTTCTGCAGCTGAAGCTTCAGTCATTCAACAATAACAATAGCTGAATGAGCCTTGGTGATAAAGAGACCATGTTGTTGGGCCCATGTAACACCTACATCCCTGCAATCATGGTTTCTTAATTCATGAGCCCATTGCACAGAACCATGGTAGCAAAAGACAGACTGGCTCCTTGTATACTTGTTTAATGCCCATTTTTCATAAGATTCTCTCTACAACACAAACTTTTTCAGCCTGTGCGCAATCCCATAGATCCATTTACATGCCTCTTACCTAGACTTCCTTATCTACAGTATCCCAATTATTAATCCTTTCATGTCTCTGCCCAACCAGCCAAGCCATTTGCCACTGTCTTAGTCCATTTTGTGCTGCTATAACAATACCTGAGACTGGGTAATTTATAAGGAACAGAAATTTATTTTACACAGTTCTAGAGGCTGAGAAGTCCAAGGTGATGGCAGGTTTTGGTGTCTGGAAAGGGCCCAGTCTCTGCTTCTAAGATGGCACCTTGAACACTGCATCCTCTTGAGGAGTGGGAGGAACACTGTTCCTCACATGGCAGAAAAGCAGAAAAGAGCAAATCCATTCCATTTTATAGTGGCATTCCATTCATGAAGGGTGAAGTCCTCAGTCCTCATGACCTAAACACCTCCCATTAGGCCTCACCTCCCAACACTTTTGCATTGGGGATTAAGTTTCAACATGAGTTGAAACTTTTTTTTTTTTTTTTTTGAGACAGTCTTTGTCTATCACTCAGGCTGGAGTGCAGTGTGCAATCTTGGCTCACTGCAACCTCCTCCTCTCGGGTTCATGCAATTCTTGTGCCTCAGCCTCCCAAGTAGCTGGGATCACAGGTGTGTGTCACCATGCCTGGCTGATTTTTGTATTTTTAGTAGACATGGGGTTTCACCATGTTGCCCAGGCTGGTCTCGAACTCCTGACCTCAAGTGATCCACCCGTCTTGGCCTCCCAAAGTGCTGGGATTACAGGCATGAGCCACCATGCCCGGCCCGTTCAAACATTCAAACCATAGCAGCCCTGCTTAGGAATCCTTGTAAAGCCTCATATCAGACCACCTCTTCCTGCATGTGAAGTGGAAGATCAAGTATAGTGCTATAGACCTCTAGTGCTCCTGTTAAAGATGCTTTTCTTTTAAGCTAAGCATGCACCTAGGGATGGGAGATTAATATAGATGAAATAATTGCTTATGTTTAACTACATAAATGCCATGTTTATCTTTTAATATTTCTAATGTTCTTTTTTGTATTCTCAAGGGACCCTCCCTCAAGAGCAAGACATTTTTTAGCAACAGTTGTGGAGATAAAAGAAGTTTTTAAAATTTTTCATTGCTTCCACTATGCCTTCTATCATAATCTCATTGTAGAATATCCTAACACTGGCCAAAATACCCTATTTTGAATCCCATACTTCATCCTTGATAGAAGGAAGCCATAGGGACTTATGGTGTCTTCATTATCACTAAAGAATTCTTTCCTTTTGTTTGGCAATCCAGAAGTAAAGTTTGGGACAGGTGAGGAATTTTCTTATGGGATACTGGAAAAGAGTTATTGTGAATACAGGTCTATTTTAAGACAAATACATTTTAGGAAAGAGGGTCTAGAAATTGACTATCTTCAAACCATATCTACTTGTGTTTCCATGTACCTCCAGAGATTCCTGTTTGCAGACCACTGGCCTAGCCTAACTTTACATTCCATGTTCTAACCTATGAACAATCATCCAGGATTTTTGACCTCAAGATTTGCCTCACCTTTTATACCTAACATTCAGAATGGCTTCATCTGTTTGCATTCTGCCTCAATTGTGATTCATATTTCCCTCTAGTTTTAAATACTATAGTGAGTTGAAACATGCCCTCCCCCCTCCAAATATTGGTCTAAATCCCTTGAATCTGCGAATGTCAGGTTCTTACTTGGAAAAAAAGGGTCTTTGTAAATATAATTAAGGGTCTAGAGATGAGATCATCCTGGATTACCCCTGTGTGCCCTAAATTCAATCACAAGTGTCTTTAAGAGACACTTTAAGAGAAAGAAGAGAAGACAGACACTGGAGGTCACGTAAAAATGGAAGTGGAGATTGGAGTGATGCAGCCAAAAGGAAGGCTGAGAGCCAGGAGAATCTGGAACAGGCGAGAAAGCATTTTCCCCTACAGCCTCCAAAGGGAGTATGGCTTGGCTGACACCCTGATTTCAGACTTCAGGCCTCCAAAACTGCGAGAGAATAAATTTCTGTTTAAGCTACCAGGTTCATGGTAACTGGTTACAGCAGTCCTCTGGAATAAACATACATTCTTTTAGGTTCCTCTGTCCATATTCTGCCCAGTCTTGGGCTCTACTCGATGGCATAAGCCCTTGTGTATAGTATCATTACAACATTTTATACAAGCTTTGTAATTACAGTGCTACATATTTACCTTTGTTATGAAACTTTTTGCACAATTTTATTTTAGATATATTTTGTTTTTTTAATCCCAGTTCTGCCATTTAGAAGCTGGGTGGCCATGGACAAGTTAGATAATCTTAGAACCTTAAGTTCTTATATTATTTCATTTAGCAACCAATAAATGTTCTCCTCCTTGTGAATCTAATCTAAAAGTTATAACTTTTTAAAGAGGACTTCATCTTTATAATAGTTATACTTACTCTTACTTGTTACTTTGTTTTAGGTTTATTTCTTTTTTATGTTTTTCACCCAAAGCCATGTTGTTTTCTTTTTTCCTTTTTTTGGTAATGATTTGAAGAGAGCTATGCTATTATAATTCTATCAATGGTAATAATATAACTTTTTCAAAACTCTTCTTAAACTTGTGTTTATTAAATAGTACTTATGGAAGGATCTGAAGAAAACCTCATATTTGTGTGCCTAGCTCTTGTCTCTTGGTAAACTACCACAGAATGGTAGTCATGGCTGGGCTCATTGATTCATGCCTGTAATCCCAGCACTTTGGGAAGCCATGGTCGGAGGATAGCCTGAGCTCAGGAGTTCAAGACCAGCCTGGGCAACATAGCACCCCCATCTCCATAGTGAGCGCCCCCCTCTCCACAAAATAAAAAATAAAAAAATTAGCTAGGCATGGTAGTGTGCACCTGTGGTCCCAGCTACTTTTGAGGCTGAGGTGGGAGGATGCTTGAGCCTGGGAGATCAAAGGTACAGTGAGCCCTGATTGTACCACTGCACTCCAGCCTGGGCAACAGAGTGAGACCTTGTCTCAAAAAAATGGTAGTCACTTATTTCCTTCTGGAATTTATATGTTATGAGGTATTTTTTTTTTCAAATAAATAGCTAATTTTCCCAATATCACTTACTGACTAGTTTATTCCTTCTCTACTGTTTTGAGATGTTATTGTTATCATATATCAAATTCTCATATATATACACATTTCTCTTTGTTTTCTACTTTATTGATCCATTTATTTCATCTATGGTATATAAACTATTTCCTAAAGATTGACATTTGAATTACTTAGAGGACAATTCCCTTTGTTGTTTCTAACTTTTAAGATTCTTTTGGTTGTTCTTACATATTAAATTTTAGTGTGCTAAATTACATTTTAAAATCTCATTGAGGACAAGGGTATCAAGACAAATGTGGGAAAGAATAGTCTTTTCAACAAAGGGTGCTGGGACCAACTGTATCTCCACATGCAAAAGAATGAAATTGATCCCTACTTCACACCATATACAAAATAATTAACTCAAAATGGATCACAGACCTAAAAGTTAAAAGCCAAAACTATAAAAACTCTAAGAAAAAATATAGGAGTAAATCTTTGTGACCTGGTGTTATAGCAAAAGGAAAAACTAACAAAAGAAAAAAATAAACTGGACTACATCAAAATTAAAACCTTTGTGCTTCGAAGAACATCATGGAGAAGTGAGAAGACAACCCACAGAATAGAAAAAAACATTTGCAAATCATATAAGGGCCCAAAATCCAGAATATATAAAGAATTCTTACCATACAATAAAAAATTAACTAATTTAAAATAAACAAAGAATCTAAATAGACATTTCTCAAAATATATACATGAATAATAAGCACATAAAAAGATGTTTGACCTCATTAGTCATCAGGGAAATGTAAATCAAAACCACATTAAGATACCACTTCACATCCACTAGGCTGGCTATAATTATTTTTAAATGGAAAAAAACTGCAAGTGCTGTTGAGGATGTGGAGAAATTAGAGTACTTGTACGTTACCAGTGGGCTTGTAAAATGGTACACATGCTTTAGAAAACTGTTGAATGTTTCTCAAAAGAAGGAAAAATAGAGTTAACATATGACCCCAGCAATTTCATTCCTAGCTGTACCCAAGAGAACTGAAAACATGTCCACACAAAATTTGTGCATGAATATTCAGAGCAGCATTATTCACAACAACCAAAAAGAGGAAACAGCCCAAAGGTTTATCAATTGATGGATGAATAAACAAAATGTGATATGTCCATATCGTAGAATATTATTTACCTATTAAAAATGAAGTACTGAAATATGCTACAACACAGACAAACCTTGAAAACATTATGTGAAGTAAAAGAAGCCAGCCACAAATAGCCACATATTCTGATTCCATTTAAATGAAATGGTCAGAATATACACATTCATAGAAAGAGAAAGTAGATTAGTGGTTGCCAGGGGCTAAGAGAGAGGGGCAATGGGGATAATTTTTTTTTCCAGACAGAGTCTTGCTCTGTTACCCAGGCTGGAGTTCTATGGCACAATCTGGGCTCACTGTAACCTCTGCCTCCCAGGTTCAAGCAATTCTCCCACCTCAGCCTCCTGAATAGCTGGGATTACAGGTGCCCACCAACACGCCCGGATAATTTTTGTATTTTTTAGTAGAGACGGAGTTTCACCATGTTGGCCAGACTGGTCTCAAACTCCTGACCTCAAATGATGCACCCGCCTTGGCCTCCCAAAGTGTTGGGATTACAGGAATAAGCCACCACACCTGGCTGGTTTTTTTTTTTTTTTTGGATGATGAAAATGTTCTGAAATCACATGGTGGTGATGGTTGCATGGCTGTGAATGTACTAAAATCCAGGAACTGTATACTTTTAAAGGGTATGTGAATTGTATCTTTTAAAAAAATTTAATTTTAAGTTCTAGGATACATGTGCAGGACATGCAGGTTTGTTACATAAGTAAACATGTGCCATGGTAGTTTGCTGCATCTATCAACCCATCACCTAGGTATTAAGTCTCACATGTATTAGCTATTGATCCTGATCCTCTCCTCCTGCTGCACCCCCAACAGGCCCCAGTGTGTATTGTTCCTCTCCCTGTGTCCATGTGTTCTCATTGTTCAGCTCCCACTTATAAGTGAGAACACACAGTGTTTAGTTTTCTGTTCCTGTGTTAGTTTGCTGAGGATAATGGCTTCCAGCTCCATCCACAGCCCTGCAAAGGACACGATCTGTTTCCTTTTTATGGCTGCATAATATTCCGTTTTCTTTATCCAGTCTATCATTCCATTTTCTTTATCCAGTCTATCGTTGATTGGCATTTGGGTTGATTCCATGTCTTTGCTATTGTGAATAGTGCTGCAATAAACATACGTGTGCATGTATCTTCATAATAGAATGATTTATATTCCTTTGGGTATATACTCAGTAATGGGATTGCTGAGTCAAATGATATTTCTGGTCTGAGGTCTTTGAGGAATCACCACACTGTCTTCCACAATGATTGAACTAATTTATATTCCTACCAACAGCGTGAAACTGTTCCTATCTCTCCACAGCATCTGTTGTTTCTTGCCTTTTTAATACTGACTGGCATGAGATGGCATCTCGTGGTTTTGATTTGCATTTCTCTAATGATTAGTGATGTTGGTTTTTTTTTCATGTTTGTTCACCACATAAATGTCTTCTTTTGAGAAGTGTCTGTTCATGTCCTTTGCCTATTTTTTAATGGGATTATTTGTTCTTGTAAATTTGTTTAGGTTCCTTGTAGACTCTGGATATTAGACCTTTGTCAAATGGATAGGTTGCAAAAGTTTTCCCTCATTCTGTAGATTTTCTGTTCACTCTGATGATAGTTTCTTTTGCTGTACAGAAGCTCTTTAGTTTAATTAGATCCCATTTGTCAATTTTTGCTTTTGTTGCAATAGCTTTTGGCATTTTCATCATGAAATCTTGCCTGTGCCTATGTCCTGAATGATATTGCCTATATTTTCTTCTAGGATATTTATAGTTTTGGGTTTTAAAGTCTTTAATCCATTTTGAGTTCATTTTTGTATAAGGTGTAGGGAAGGGGTCCAGTTTCAATTTTCTGCATATGGCTAGCCAGTTCTCCCAGCACCACTTATTAAATAGGAACTCCTTTCCCAATTGCTTGTTTTTTCAGGTTTGTTGAAGGTCAGATGGTTCCAGATGTGTGGTCTTATTTCTGAGATCTCTATTCTGTTCCATTGGTCTATGTGTCGTTTTTGGACCAGTACTGTGCTCGTTTGGTTACTGTAGCCTCATAGTATAGTTTGGAGTTGGGTAGTGTGATGCCTCCAGCTTTGTTCTTTTTGCATAGGATTGTCTTGGCTATTTGGGCTTTTTTTGGTTCCATATGAACATTAAAGTAGTTTTTTCTAATTCTGTGAAGAATGTCAATGGTAGTTTAATGGGAATAGCATTGAATCCATAAATTACTTTGAGCAGCATGGCCATTTTCACGATATTGATTCTTCCCATCCATGATCATGGAATGTATTTCCATTTGTTTGTGTCCTCTCTTATTTACTTGAGCAGTGGTTTGTAGTCTCCTTGAAGAGGTCCTTCACTTCCCTTGTTATCTGTATTCCTAGGTATTTTATTCTCTTTGTAGCATTTGTGAATGGGAGTTTATGATTTGGCTTTCTGCTTGCCTATTGTTGGCATATAGGAATGCTTGTGATTTTTGCATATTGATTTTGTATGCTGAGACATTGCTGAATTTGCTTATCAGCTTAAGAAGCTTTTGGGCTGAGACAATGGAGTTTTCTAGATATAGGGTCATGTCATCTGCAAACAGAGACAGTTTGATTTCCTCTCTTCCTATTTGAATACCCTTTATTTCTTTCTCTTGACTGATTGCCCTGGCCAGAACTTCCAATACCATGTTGAATAGAAGTGGTGATAGAGGACATCCTTGTCTTGTGCTGGTTTTCAAGGGGAAAGATTCCAGGTTTTGCCTATTCAGTCTGATATTGGCTGTGGGTTTGTCATGTGGCTCTTACTATTTTGAGATATGTTCCATCAAAACCTAGTTTATTGAGAGTTTTTAACATGAAGGGATGTTGAATTTTATCAAAGTCCTTTTCTGCATCTATTGAGATAATCATGTGGTTTTTGTCTTTAGTTCTGTTTATGTGATGAATTACATTTATTGACTTGCATATGTTGAATCAACCTTGCATCCCAGGGATAAAGCTGATTTGATATTAGTGGATAAGCATTTTGATGTGCTCCTGGATTCAGTTTGCCAGTATTTTATTGAAAATTTTTGCATCGATGTTCATCAGGGACATTGCCCTGAAGTTTTCTTTTTTTGTTGTATCTCTGCCAGGTTTCATATCAGGATGATGCTGGCCTCATAAAATGAGTTAGTGAGGAGTCCCTCCTTTTCAATTGTTTGGAATAGATCCAGAAGAAATGGTACCAGCTTCTCTTTGTACCCGTGGTAGAATTCAGCTGTAAATCCATCTGGTCCTGGGCTTTTTTTTTGTTGTTGTTGGTAGCTTATTATTGCCTAATTTCAGAACTCGTTATTGGTCTATTCAGGGGTTCAACTTCCTGGTTCAGTCTTGGGAGGGTGTATGTGTCCAGGAATGTATCCATTTCTTCTATATTTCTAGCTTATTTGCATAGAAGTGTTTATAGTAGTCTCTGATGGTTGGTTGTATTTCTGTGGGGTCGGGGTGATATCCCCTTTACCATTTTTTATTGTGTCTATTTGATTCTTCTCTCTTTTCTTCATTAGTCTAGTTAGCAATCTATTTTATTAGTTTTTTCAAAAACCAGCTCCTGGATTCATTGATTTTTTTGAAGGGTTATTTGTGTCTCTATCCACTCTGATCTTGGTTATTTCTTGTCTTCTGCTAGCTTTGGGTTTGTTTGCTCTTGGTTCTCATTTTTTTAGTTGTGATGCTGGGTGTCTATTTGAGATCTTTCTAGCCTTCTGATGTGGGTATTTAGTGCTATAAATTTTCCTTTTAACATTGCTTTAGCTGCATCACAGAGATTCTGGTATGTTGACTCTTTGTTCTCCTTGGTTTCAAAAAACAATTTGATTTCTGCCTTAATTGTTTACTCAGGAGTCATTCAGGAGAAGGTTGTTCAATTTCCATGTAGTTGTGTGGTTTTGAGTGAGTTTCTTAATCTTGTGTTCTAATTTGATTGTGCTGTGGTCTGAGAGAGTGTGATTTATGATTTCAGTTCTTCTGCATTTACTGAAGAGTGTTTTACTTCCAATTATGTGATCAATTTTAGAGTCAGTGCATTGCGGCACCGAGAAGAATGTACATTCTGTTGTTTTTTGGTGGAGAGTTCTGTAGATAATTATCAGGTCTGCTTGATCCAGAGGTGAGTTCAAGTCCTGAATATTCTTGTTAATTTTCTGTCTTGATGATCTAATATTGAAAGCGGCATGTTAAAGTCTCCCACTGTTATTGTGTGGGAATCTAAGTCTCTTTGTCGGTCTCTAAGAACTTGTTTTATGAGTCTGGGTGCTCCGGTATTGGGTGCATATATATTTAGAATAGTTAGCTCTTCTTGTTGAATTGAATCCTTTACCATTATGTAATGCCCTTCTTTGTGTTTTTTGATCTTTGTTGGTTTAAAGTCTGTTTTGTCAGAAACTAGTATTGCAACCTCTGCTTTTTTCTGCTTTCCATTTGTTTGGTAAATTTTCTGCCATCCCTTTATTTTGAGCCTATATGTGTCTTTGCATATGAGATGAGTCTCTTGAATACAACACACTGATAGGTCTTGACTCTTTATCCAGCTTGCCATTCTGTGTCTTTTAACTGGGGGCATTTAGCCCATTTACATTTAAAGTTAATATTGTTATGTGTGAATTTGATCCCGTCATCATTGTGCTAGCTGGTTATTTTGCAGACTTGTTGATGTAGTTGTTTCATAGTGTCACTGGTCTTTATACTTCAGCATGTTTTAGGAGTGGCTGGAAATAATTTTTCCTTTCCATATTTAGTGCTTCCTTCAGGAGCTCTTGCAAGGGAGGCCTGGTGGCAGTGAATTCCCTCAGCATTTGCTTGTCTGAAGAGGATTTTATTTCTCCTTTGCTTACGAAGCTTAGTTTGGTTGTATGTAAAATTCTGGGTTGGAAGTTCTTTCCTTTAAGAATGTTGAATATTGGCCTCCTCTTCAAGCTTGTAGGGTTTCTGCTGAGAGGTCTGCTGTTATTCTGATGGGCTCCCCTTTGTAGGTCACCTGGCCTTTCTTTCTGGCTGACTTTAACATTTTTTCCTTCATTTCGACCTTGGAGAATCTGATGATTATGTGTTTTGGGGTTGATCTTCTCATGGAATATCTTACTGGGGTTCTCTGGACTTCCTGAATAAGAACGTTGGCTTGTCTTGTTAGGTTGGGGAAGTTCTCCTGGATGACATCCTGAAGTATGGTTTCCAACTTGGTTCCATTCTCTCTCAGGTACCCCAATCAGTTATAGGTTCAGTCTTTTATACATAATCCCATAGTTCTCAGAGGTTTTGTTAATTCCTTTTCATTCTTTTTTCTCTAATCTTGTCTGCCCGTCTTATTTCAGCAAGATAGTCTTCAAGCTCTGAAATTCTTTTCTCCAGTCTATTTGGTTATTGATACTTGTGGCTTCATTGTGAGGTTCTTGTGTTGTGTTTTTCCGCTCCATCAGGTCATTTATGTTCCTCTCTACTGGTTTTTCTGGTTAATAGCTTCTGTAATGTTTTATCATGATTCTTAGCTTCTTTCCATTGGATTAGAACATGCTCCTTTAGCTCAGCAATGTTTGTTATTACCCACCTTCTGAAGCCTACTTCTGTCAATTCATCCATCCTCAGCCTCTGCCAAGTTCTGTGTCCTTCCTGGAGAGGTGTTGCAATCAATTGGAGGAGAAGAGGCACTCTGGCTTTTTGAGTTTTCAGTGGGGTTACTTTTTTGTTGATTCTTTCTCATTTCATGAGTTTATCTAGCTTTGATCTTTGAGGCTGCTGACCTTTGGATATGTTTTTTGTGGGACTTTTTTGTTGATACTGTTGTTGCTGTTGCTGTTTGTTTTTCTTTTAACAGTCAGGTTCCACTCCCATAGGGCTACTGCAATTTGCTGGGGGTCCCTCCCATACTTGGAGGTATCACCAGTGGAGGCTGGAAAATAGCAAAGATGGCTGCCTGCTCCTTCCTCTGGGATTTCTGTCTCAGAGGGGCACCAAACTAAGGCCAGCAGGAATGCTCCTGTATACGGTGTCTGGTGACCTCTGTTGGGGAGATCTCCCCAGTCAGGAGGCATGGGATCCAGGACCCACCTAACAAATCACTCTAGCTGCCCCTTGGCAGAGGAGGTGTGCTATGCTGGGTGGAATCCCACTCGTCCAGACTGCCCGGATTCCTCAGAGCCAGCAGGGGGAAAAGACTAAGTCTGTTGATCCATGGAGACCACAGCCACCCCTCCCCACAAGAGCTCAGTCTCAGAGAGATCAGAGTTCTGTTTCTAAACTCCTGGCAGGAATTGCTGAAGTTCCTGCAGGGAGGCCCCACCCAGTGAGGAGGATTGATCAGGGCCTGGCCTAAAGAGACAGTCTGGTTATAACCTTTTATAGCTGCTGTGCTGTGCTGTGGGCAATTCCTCCTGGGTCCAAACTACCCAGTCTCCCCAGCACTGGCAGGGGAAAAATGGCAGACTGGAGCTGCAGTGATGGCTGCCACTCCTCCTACCGGGAACTCAAGTCATCTTAGGCAGCAGGAAGCCACAGTGATGGTGGCCAGTCCTTCCCGCAGGAACTCAGCAGCCTTAGGCAGTCTCCAGCCTAGTGGCTGCTGAGAATCTGCACAGCTCTGTGGTAGGCTCTCTCTAGCCTTGTGGCTACACACCAAGGCCCTGGTGTGTGGGCTCACGAAGGGGATCTCCTGATCTGTGGGTTGCACAGATCCATGGAAAAAGTGTGGTTTCCTGGGCAGGGTAGCACAATCACTCACTGCCTCCCTTGGCTGCAGGTGGTAGCTCCCTTTGCCTTGTGTGGCTTCCAGGTGGGCCGTCACACCACCCTGCTTTTCCTCACTCTCCGTGCTTTTCCTCACTCTCCATGCTTTTCCTCACTCTCCATGGGTCATGCCAATTGCCTAGTAAGTCCCAATAGGAGAACCTGGATACCTCAGTCACCAGTGCAGGATTCACTCACTGTTTTCATTCTTCTCAGTGGGAGCCTCTGTCTGCAGCTGTTTCTTGTGAATTATATCTTAATAGAGATGTCATTTTAAAAATTCCATTTATATTGTGATTCAATTAAATTTACAAATCAGAGATAAATTAAATACAAACTGGCATCTTTACATTATTTTTCCAATTTTTCCCAATCAGTTCTTTTCATTTATTATAATATTCTATATTTTTTAGAAAAGGTTTATTCCCTAATCACATCTTGGATTTTTTAAATTCCTGGTATTTTTAGATTGTCAAAATTGTAAATGTCACTTCTTTCTACTATCTTTTCTATTTCTCCTACTTTTTTTTAATATATTGTTTTGTACATATATCATTTTAGTAGTTCTAATTGGATTTTCTAATATTGAATGTATTTCAAATTATGACAGTTTTTCTCTTCCTTTAAATTATTGCTATCTTTTTTTTCTCTAATTGGATTACCTGGGATCTTTAGCATAATATTGACTAATAATGGTGGCATCAAACATCATTTATCTCATTCCTGTTTCGGTAAGAATGCTTTGGGTTATTCATGGTTTTTCTTGTAGGTTTATAGTAAATAGCCCATCATGGTTAATTTTATGTGTCAACTTGACGGTCCAAATATGTGGTGCTTAGATATTTGAATAAACATTTTTTCTAGGTGTCTTTGAATGTGTTTCAAAGAAGAGGTTAACATTTGAACCAGTAGACTAAGTAAAGCAGATTTCAATGTGGCTGTAGACCTCATCCAATCCATTGTAGGCCCAAATAGAATAAAAGGCTGAGTAAGAGACTTCTCTCCCTGCCTGTCTTCAAGCTGGGACACTAGTCTTCTGCCTGCCTGCAGACTCAAACTGGAACTTACACCTTCAGTTTTCCTGCCCTTCAGAAGACTCAGGCCCTCAAACTCAAGACTAGAACTTTACCATCGGCTCTCCTGAGTCTCCAGCTTGCTGACTGCAGATCTTGGGCTTCTTATCATCCATTAATGTCCATACACATCTCCTTCCTTCCTTTCTCTCTTCCTTCCTTCTTTCCCTCTCTCTCCCTTCCTCCCTGCCTTTCTCTCCCTTTCCTCCCTTCCTTCCTCTCTCTCTCTTTCCTACTTTCCTTTCTCTCTCTCTCCATTCCTTCTCTTCCTTCTCTCTTTCTTCTCTCTCTGGAGAACACACACTAATACATGCTCATCATCAATATACAATATAAGGAATTTTCTAACTTTAAAAAAAGTCACCAATGTATATAGAATTTTATTAAATGATTTTTACAGCATCTATTAAGATAGGTTTTTGTTTATTAATGTAGATTTCTATTTTTGAAATAGTCTAGAAGTTCTAAAATAAACCTTAGTACTGACTTTACTAAACTGCTAGATTTCCTAATGATTGACTTCGAGTATTTAAGTTTCCTTCCATATATATTTATAATCATTTTCTTACTCTTGGATTTTTTGTCCTTTTCCCATCATTCCTACTTGCTAGAAGTTTGTCTATTGCCTTATGAAATCTACCTTTTGTAACTATTTCATTGAGGTGTGGTTTTATCTTTATTAAAGCATTTCTTTTCTTTGGATTTATATTATTCTTTTTCCTTTCTGAATTCAATGTATAATTTTTGTTCTAGTTTTATTGTCTTCTAATAATCACGTTTTTTTTCCTGTACAGATTTATTCTTTAACTCCAAAATTACTTAGAAACTTATTTTAAATTTCTAAATCATGTTGGGGTGCTACTTTTAGTTGTTTTCATTTATATTTTTACTGCATTGCACTGAAAAAAATTAGGGAGGGCCTGAATATTTCCCTCTGAGAATTTATTGCAATTTTCTTTGTAACCATATATATAGTCCATTAAAAAATATTACATAAATCTTAGAAAATAATGCATAGTATCTTTGTGGGAGAAAACATTATTTGTCTATGGCTATTAATGAAATCTGTCAATTTTATTTTCAAACCCTCTATAAAAGTGTTTCTTGAATGCTGAAATATAACATAGGACTTAATAAACAAAAAAGGGATTATATATAGAGTGAACAATTTTCCTTACCTAAGATTTCTGTGTAATTCAAAAGGTTTTTTTATGGCCGGGCGCGGTGGCTCACGCCTGTAATCCCAGCACTTTGGGAGGCCGAGGCGGGCAGATCATGAGGTCAGGAGATCGAGACCATCCTGGCTAACACGGTGAAACCCCGTCTCTACTAAAAATACAAAAAATTAGCCGGGCGTGGTAGCGGGCGCCTGTAGTCCCAGCTACTCGGGAGGCTGAGGCAGGAGAATGGCGTGAACCTGGGAGGCGGAGCTTGCAGTGAGCCGAGATCGCGCCACTGCACTCCAGCCTGGGCGACAGAGCGAGACTCCGTCTCAAAAAAAAAAAAAAAAAAAAAAAAAAAAAAAAAAGTTTTTTTATAAGCAAATATATACATTTTAATAAATTATCTCTGAAAGTAACTTTCTAAATGTCTTTAAAAAACAAACCTCAGTTTTGGATGAACACTTCCATTATAACTTTCTCTTTCAATAACACCTTTTTTAGATTATAAGCATAGTCCTTCTTCTCAGTACAAATAGCATATTAAGTAAATGAGTGTTTTGCCTAAGATTTTCCTCACATAACAATCCTAGGGTTGCTTGAACTGTGAGTGCTCAGGTGTAAACAATAACCTACGACTGACTGCAGGCTTTCCCACACTCATTACTCTGCTAAGGTTTCCTTTCTGAAATGAGTTTTCTGATGTCGAATTAAGGATGTACTATGACAAAAGACATCACCACACTTAGTACATTGATAGGGTCTCTCCCTTGTATGTATTCGCTTATGTTTAGTTAGAGCTGAGCTTAAGCTGAAGGATTTCCCACATTCATTACACTGGTAGGGTTTCTCTCCTGTATGCGTCCTCTGATGTCGAATTAGTGATGTTCTATAGCAAAACAGTTTCTGACATTCATTACATTGATAGGGTTTCACACAAGAATGAATTTTTAGATGTTCAGTAAGGTGTGTACTTCGACTGAAGGTTTTTCCACATTCTTTACAAACATAGGGCTTCTCTCCAGTATGAGTTCTCTGGTGTTCAGTAAGATGTGCACTCCGATTGAAGGCCTTTCCACATGCATTACACTCATAGGGTTTTTCTCCAGTATGAATTCTTTGATGTTGAATGAAGGCTGGGGTATGGCTGAAAGCTTTCCCACATTCATTACATTCATATGGTTTCTCTCCTGTGTGGGTTCTCTGATGTCGGATTAGTGATGTACTGTGGCAAAAAACTTTCCGACATTGCTTACACTGGTAGGATTTTTCCTCAGAATGAATTCCCTGATGTTCAATTAGGTGTGTGCTGCGGCTGAAGGTTTTTCCACATTCAGTACATTCATATGGTTTCTTTCCAGTATGAATTCTATGATGTTGAGTAAGGGCAGAGATATGGCTGAAAGCTTTCCCACATTCATTACAAGGATAGGGTTTTTCTCCAGTATGGATTCTCTCATGATTTCTAAGGGATGACCTATGACTAAAGGTTTTTTCACATTCATTACACTCATAAGGTTTCTCCCCAGTATGGACTCTTTGATGCTGAATAAGATTAGTGCTCTGACTAAAAGCTTTCCCACATTCATTACATTCATAAGGTTTCTCTCCAGTATGTATTCTTTGATGTTGAACAAGATTACTGTTCCGGGTAAAGGACTTACCACATATTTTACATTCATAAGGTTTTTCTCCAATATGTGTTTTCTGATGCTGGGTCAGGGATGCAAGACAAGTGTAGCCTTTCCCACATTCAGTACAGAGATATGGGTTCGCGGTCATATAAATTTTCTCAGATTCCATCAGTACTGAACTATGGCTTTACATTTATTTATTTTTTCATTTTTGTCGGTATGTAATAGGTGTTGGCTTTTCATTTATTTCCAGAATAAGTAAAGTTTGAGATACAAATGCATCCTTTCTTATATCTAATAAATTATTTTTCATTCATGAGTTTCTTTTGAAAAAATCCACTACAGCAGAATTATGCTTCAGGTTCCTACCATTGATGTCATAGTTACAGTAGTCCTGCCTTATCCACAGTTCCACTTCCCATGGTTTCAGTTATCCATGGGAAACTGTGGTCAAAAATATTATATGGAAAATTCCAGAAATAAACAATTCATAACTTTTAAATGGTGTGGTTTTCTGAGTACTGTGATGAAATCTTGTGTGATCTGCTCTGTCCTGCCTGGGCTGTGAATCATTTCTTTGTCTGGTGTATCTACACTCTATGTACTACCCACCCATTTGTCATTTAGTAGCTCATCCTAAGAACCTGGTTAGGGTTTGGTACATCAGTGATTTCAGGCCTTCTCTGTGGGTCTTGAAATGTATCCCCCATGAATAAGTGGGGACTACTGTATGAGGTCTTTTTCTTATAAAAACTCTCAGTTGTTTAAAAAGCTTTGGTCTTTGGTTAAATGTTTCCTCGAAGTTGTTATATTCATGATCATCCTTTTGACTCGCTTTTTCTTGTAATCTGGATATACTGGTGTTTCTCAAACTGGTCATCAAATTCGAGTTCTTCTAATGTGAAGTATTAGGAACCATCATTTGAAAAAAAATTCTAACATCATATGATGACATTATTTTGTTTTTCAGAAATTCTCTGCTTTGGAGTGGATGCTCTGACTTCAGATATAGTATCCAGGATTAAGTAGAAGATATTATCTCTTTCCTCTGAAATACAAAGGCAGAAAACAAGGCTCATTCATCAGTTACAGAAAATAAAATAGTGCTATGATAAAATGTAAAGTTTTTCAATATAAGTGCTGATTAATAGGGAAGTTTAAAGGTGAAATGGAACAATATATATGTCTGGAAAACAGTTTCTCTACTCACAACATTTCTGACAAATTGTATAGCCACAGCCTATTCTTCTCTATAACTCATACTTAACACACTTCTGTGTGCAAATGTGTGGGGTTGTTTCCATTCTGACCAATTCTCCAACTCTCTGGACACCAACTAGATATCCTACAATTTACTCTAATTCCAACACTACCTACCTGGAGTAAGCATCATATCCCTCAAGTTAAAGGGCTCAGTCCCACAAGACTGCCTCCACTTCAGATGATAATCACAAGCTGGTCCTCCCATACTTCTGACCAACTGGCTACAAGTTGAGGGTTCCTATAACCCCTCTTTCTCTGGTTCAATAATTTGCTAGAATGGCTCACAGAACTCAGGAAAACACTTTACTTACATTTACCAGTTTATTATAAAGGATACAATTCAGGAGAAGCCATTCAGGAAGAGATGCACAGGGCAAGGTGGGCAGAAGGGAAAGGGGTATAGAGCTTCCACATCATCTCTGGGCATGCGACACTTCCAGCACCTTGATGTGTAGACCAATCTAGAAGGTCATCAAATATCACTGTTTAAGAATTTGTATAGAGCTTAATCTCCATCCCCATACCTTCCTTCCCAGAGGTTAGTTGGGTGGAGTTGAAAGTTATAACCCTCTAGTTGCTTGGTCTTTTTAGTGATCAGATCCACTATTGAGGCTATCTAGGGGCCCTACCCTATTTCACCTCATCCACATAAACTCAAGTATGATTTTTTAAAAAGGTGTATTATGAACAACAAAAGATATTCCTATCACTCAGGAAATCTGGAGGGCTTTCAAAGCTCTGTGACAAGAATTGGAAACAAAGACCAGATATGTTTTGTATGATATCACAATAGTTGTGATAAAAGAAATGGTAGCTTTGAGACAAAGTACATAATAAAATCAAGGGTAAAGATTCAGTAAAATAAATGTTGTGAATAAAAGACAATGAAACTAATTCAAATGTATGTATGTTTTTGGAAACCAGAGGCAAAAAACCAGAAAAGTGAAATGGGATCAGATAATAAAAAACTCTCACACTTTAAACAGAGAAATTCAATGTCATCTAGCAGGAGACAGGAAAACTGAAGTTTTCTGTCAGAACATTAACAGGATAAATATATCTTAGATGTGATGTTTTAGATTAAAAGCTTGTTAATTCTGTGTAAAATGAATAAAAGAACAATGGTCAAACTTAGCAAGAAAGTATAATATGAAAGATATGAGCCTGGATTGGGAGAATACTAGTAAGAACTTGGTGTAAGTGTAGATAAGACATAAAAAAGAAGAAACAAAAAATGCTGAAATAGATTATAGGGAATTTTTACAAAACAAGATTCATAAAGATACAATGTTTTCTAGCCAAGGAGGCTGGAAGAATAGTGGTACTAATGATAAAGAAAGAGAGGCTACCCAGGGCAAGTTGGTGATTTTGCTTTCACCATATTGAGGTTAAAGTGTTTTAAAGTGAAGTAGGACATTCTAATGGAGATAAGCTCTAAGCAGGGGAATATATGGGGATAATAGAATATAAGTGAAACACTTAAGTTGAAAAAATATATAAGACAGTTAACATGGAAGGACTATTTGAGGATATCAGAATGCACTAATTTTTTGAGATAAAAATAAGTAAAAAAACCATAAAGGCACATGCATTTACGTTAGGGAGCAAGTGAAGTTAACAAAAAAGCATTTGGAAAGAGATTAGAATGGAAAAGAATCTGGTGATGTCACACAAGGTAAAACAAAATACCAAACACAGCAGAAAGTCTGAACAGAGAAAGGACTAAGAACAGGTTGCTATAAAGAAAGAATTCAAGAATCTCTTCAAAATAATTTTAGCAGAAGACAAGAATCTAACTCCAAAGATTAAAAGAGAATAGGAACTTAGGATATTAGCTACAAGTCTGAAACATTTGGTAATGACAGAATAATTTTGAAAGGTAGATAAAAAATTTTTAGGCAACATGTTATTTTAAAAGCAAGAAAACCTTTTTAATGTCTGAAAGTAGAAGGAAAGGAGCTGGTGAACGGCAGAGAATGAATCATAAAACAGTCATTAAATCAGGCCCTAAAACAAGTAGAAAATAATGGAATCTGATGTACAGAATGGAAAGATTAACAATGGAAGGGGCCAATCTTCCTCTGAGATCAAGAGATATGTGAGAAGATAGATAAAGGTATATAGAAATGAAGTTGCTGTTGCTTCTACTAGATGAATGCAGGTTTTTAAAATACAGACGAGGGGCTCTGCATAGAGGACCTTAACCAACATTTCAAAAGCTATCTCCTAGTACCACTATTGTTACTAGCACCACCATAATGGATAAATGGACTCTTATTTACAAGGATTCCTGTCTTCTTGGTTGTTTTAGTTATCTGATTCTTTCCTGGCTGATATTTTGTGACATTTCTCCATTTTTCCTTTGTTATCTATTTATATGG
The DNA here is from genome assembly GCF_000001405.40 of Homo sapiens. Taxonomy (NCBI): domain Eukaryota; kingdom Metazoa; phylum Chordata; class Mammalia; order Primates; family Hominidae; genus Homo; species Homo sapiens. The sequence continues at coordinate 113,001,735 of NC_000009.12, forward strand.
TTCTTCTTAGTTGGAAGATAATATCAATGGATCCTAGAATTATGTCCTAAGTAGTCTTCAGGAATTCTGCGATAGAGAAATGTTGATACTTCTAAGGTAACAAAGTAAGACTATTTACAAAGTTTTAAAGAAAAGGACTATCATCTGTTTAGTACAGAAATATCTTGTCTCTGGTCCCTAAACTCAAAGCTCAGTCTCAGATGAACACTTGTAAATCTCATGATCCTACATATTTTGGCATTGGAGAAACTGTACTCACCCAATGAGATGAGGCTGTAACAGTTTTTGAAGATCACATCCATGTGCCATGTCTCTGACATCTTCCAATGCCACGGGTTCCTAAAACATCAAACAAGTACCTGCTCATTAAAGGATCAGTCCTGCAGACATTTACGAAAGAAACAGTAAAGCTAACAATTAAAAATGACAAAGTGGAGGACTATTAAGTTGTTCGAAAAGGATTCAGAGTTCTAGGTTCAAGAGTGGCCAAAAGTTTATTATTTGATGTCTACTACTTGTTTAGGATATACAGAAGCAATACGGAAGTTTCCCTATAAAGACACCTAAAACAATAATGGTGATTTAAAAAGCTAAGAAAATATTGCAGCCAATAGAAGCCTAAGGAGAAAATATAACTAAATGTAACATGGTATCTTGAATGAGATCAGAGAGTAGAAAAATGACACTACATAAATACTAAAAAAATTTTAATGAAATACTACAGTTAATAATAATGTACCAACCTTGGCTAACTGTGACAAATGTACCAAACTAACATAAGATGTTGACAGTAGGGAAAACTGGCTATGGGGATGTGGGAACTCTCTGTAATATATCTGTAAATTTTACGCAAATCTAAAACTATTCTAAAATAAGTTTATTAATAAAAGCAAAAGATACCTTATTTTTAAGTTAATCTCCTATTCAACTATTTTCTTACAGCTTGTTTTTCTTTTAATCATCATTTAGCCATGTGCTATATTCTAAATGAATCTCCCAAAGGCACATGTTGAAACTTAATTGCCAATGCGATAATATTAAGAGGTGGAGGCCTTCGGGAGGCGATTAAGTCATGAGTGTAGAGCCTTCATGGAAGGGATTAAGGACCTTATAAAAAGGCTTGAGGGAGTGGGTTTGTTCCCTTCCATGTTTTCTGCCATGTAAGGATACAGTGTTCACTGCAACAAGGCACCATCCTGAAGCATAGACTGAGCCTTCACTAGACAACAAACCTGTTGGCACCATGATCTTGAACTTCAAGCCTCCAGAACTGTGATAAATAAATTTCTGTTCTTTATAAATTGCCCTGTCTCAGGTATTTTGCTATAGCAGCACAAACTAAGACACCTTGTGATATGATTTTGCTGTGTCCCCACCCAAATCTCACCTGGAATTGTCCCCACACGTCAAGGATTGGGCCAGGTGGAGATAACTGAATCATGGGCGCAGTTTCCCCCATACTGTTCTCATGGTAGTGAATAACTCTTATGAGTTCTGATGGTTTTATAAATGGGAGTTCCTCTGCCTGCATAAGCTCTCTCTTGCCCACCACCATGTAAGAAGTCCCTTTGCTCTTCCTTCGTCTTCTGCCATGATTATGAGGCCTTCCCAGCTTGCTGAACTGGGAGTCCATTAAACCTCTTTCCTTTATAAATTACCCAGTCTTGGCTATGTTTTTATTAGCAGCATGAGAATGGACTAATACACCTTGTTTTATGTTTTACTTCCTGATGATGCAGTTTATGTAGTCCTTTTCATATATCAGATATTCAATAGAAGCTTATCTCTTAAAAATGAGTATAGGGGCTTATGTGACTTAAGCGGTCTAACATATAAGTGGAGTCTCAAAAAAAAAAAAAAGAATGGAAATGATGCTATATTTAAGGGAATAAGGATAGATTTTTCCCAACCAATGACTCACAGATTCCACTGCCCTCAAACCATAAGCAAGCTAAATACAAAGAAAGCTACACCCAGGAATAGAATAGTCAAACTCCTGAAAATCACAGAAAAGGAGAACAATCTTAAAAGTAATTTAACAAAAGGGCAGAGTAACTTCAAAGCAGAAACAATAAGACTGCTGACTCCTCAGCAGTTCAAGAGAATCAACTGAAAAGCCATGTTTCTGGATGAGAAGACTTAATATTGTAAAGATGTTAATTCTCCCCTGTTGTGGGTTGAATTGTGTCCCTCCAAAAAAGGTATGTTGTAATCCTAACAGTACCTCAGAATGTGACCTTATTTGGAAACAGGATCACTGCAGATGTAATTAGTTAAGGTGAGTTCACACTGGAATGGGGTGGGCTCCTAATCCAGTATGGCTGGTGCCCTTTTAAGAAGACGGTCACGGGAAGACCCACAGACACACACACAGAAAGTCATGTGATGAAAGAGCAGAGAACAGAGTTACGCAGCTGAAAGCTGAGGAATACCAAAGATTTCCAGCAAACCACCTGAAGCTAGGGAGAAGCAAAGAATGATTTTCCTACAGGTTTCAGAGGCAGGATGACCTTGCTGACAGCTTGATTTTGGAATTCTAGCCTCAGAACTGTGAGATAATAAATTTATATTGTTTTAAGTTACCCAATTTGTGGCACATTGCTAGGGCAGTGCTAGGAGACAAATGCATACTCCAACTTAACTGACTAAACTTTAGCTAAGAACTAAATGTTTGTGTCCTCTCAAAATTCATATGTTGAAATTTTAACCCCTGAGGTAATAGTATTAGGTGAGGCCTTTGGGAGGTAATTAGGTCATGATGATGGAGGCCTCACCAATAGGATTAGTGCACTTGTAAGAGGAAACATGAGAGAAATGATCTTTCTCTTTGCCATGTGAGGAAACAATAAGATGGCCATCTGTAAACCAGGAAGAGGGCTTTCAACAAGAACCTGACAATGATGGCACTCTGATTTTGGATTTCCAGACTCCAGAACTATGAGAAAGAAATGTTTGTTGTTTAAGCCACCCAGTCTACAGTATTCTGTTACAGTAGCCCAAACTATCTAAAACACCTATATAATACATGAAAAAAGACGAGGATTGAGGGTGGGGACTTGCCCATACTAGATATCCAAACATATTCTATAGCTACATTAATTTTAAAACAGGGTGGTAGTGGCACAGGGATAGACTGAAAGAATAATAAAACTGAGTCTAGAAATAGGCCCTTTATTTTGTGGGGATTTAATATATGATAAAGGTAGCATTTCAAATTATTTGAGGAAGGATAAAAATTTAATAAATAATCTTAGGATAACTGGTTTATCCACTTAGGGAAAAAATAAATTCAAAGCTGCTGCCTTATGAAAAATAATTATAGGTGAATTAAAAACTTAAACATAAAACTAGAACTATAAAAGAGCCAGGAAAACTATTGCAAGAATATTTTTTATAATCTTGCAATGGGGAAATCCTTAATAAAATATAAAATCTAGAGGCTATATAGAAAAAGATTCACAGATTTGACTATACAAACAGAAGGCAATCAACTAAATTAAAAGACAAAAGACATATTGGGAGTAAATATTTGCAACTAATAAAGCAAAAAGGACCATTTTCTGTATTATATATAGTTTCTACAAATCAAATAGGAAAAATGTATAATGCAATACAAATCTGGGCAAAAGATATGAATAGGAAATTCACAAAAGAAATACAAACGATCAATATACAAAAAGATTTTCAAGCTCACTTCTAATCCCAGAAATACAAATTAAGATATCAATTTTCATTCATCAGATTGGCAAAAATGTCAAAAACAGGCAGTATTCAGTACTGTTTTAAGTATTGGGAAAATGGCTGCTCTCATATACTCTTAGTGGAAAAGGTTTATTTATTTGTATTTACTTATTATAAAGTCACATTACAACCAGACCAGGTTCATGACAAATTACCTTTGAGTCATAAACATTGTTAATAATAGTTATATTACCTGCAAAAATGAACTCACAGAACCTTGTACTTTTCCTCTCACTACATCATTACATTCATTGTACGTCAATATTCTACTTCCAATGTCTGTCTGCCTTCCTAGGCTATTAGCTTCTTGAGAACAGGACAGTCCTCTTCTCTCCTGACAGTTACTCTTCTGTCCTCAGTGCCACCCACAGAACCTGGTATTCACTATGCATCCAGTAAATATTACTTGAATGAGTGCATGAACAGACTTCTCTTGATTCCCAATTCTGTAGTCTTTGTATCTGAGATAGGAATTCAGCAGGACTAGTTTACAAGACAATGAGTCATATGACACCACTGGTAAGACAGGAGAAAGTAAACAACAGGTAACAAGATCCTGCCAATAAGAGGCATACAGTAAAGAAACCAGCCTATTTCTCTAAAAGTTCAAGCATGAAAAATTAAAAAAAAAAAAGAAACCAGCCTAAACCAGCTAGAATCAAGATGACAACAAAAGCGACCTTCCCTGCTCATTATACACTAATTATAATATATTAGCATGCTAAAAAACATGCCCACCAGAGCCATGACAGTTTACAATTGCCATGGCAATGCCCAAAGTTACCCTGTATGGTTTGGACAGGGAAACCCCCAGTTCCAGGAGCACCCCCTCTTCCCAGAAAACTCATGAGTAATCGACCCCTTGTTTAGCATATAATCATGAAATAGTCATAAAATAGCCAGCTAACAACCCCTGCTCCCCATGCTACTATACATATGGGGTGGCCCTGCTCTGCCTATGGAGTAGCCACCCTTTTATTTTACTTTTTAATAAACTTGCTTACACTTTACTCTGTCGGCTTGCTCTGGAGTTCTTTCCTGCACAAAGCCAAGACCCCACTTGGCCTCCCGGGCTAAGCCTCAGTTTTGGAGTTCACCTTGTGATATATCTGTAACATGCTTCTACTTAAACCTGCTATCTTAAAGAAGTAGGATTCAAGTCATTAGTGTTTTTCCTGTATCAACAGTCCATGAATCTGTCCAAATTACCTTATTGCCATATAAACTTCAGAATTTGATAGGATTTGGGTACCTATCTAATACCCAAATACCATCTAATCTGTCTCTCTTCTTCTACAGCTAAGCCATTATTAACTATATTTTTCAAATCAAAATTTATTGAATACCTTCTAACTGCAAAGTAAGGTTAATGCTTCTTGTGGCTAGATTTTATCTTTCTGAGCAAAGACTATGGTAATTTTTTAAAAAAAAAAATCTTGGCTGGGCACAGTGGCTCACGCCTGTAATCCCAGCATTTTGGGAAGCTGAGGCAGGCAGATCACGAGGTCAGGAGTTCAAGACCAGCCTGTGCAATATGGTGAAACCCCGTCTCTACTAAAAATACAAAAATTAGCCGGGCGTGGTGGTTCATGTCTGTAGTCCTAGCTGCTCAGGAGGCAGAGGCAGGAGAATCGCTTGAAACTGGGAGGCGGAGGTTGCAGTGAGCTGAGATCGTGCCACTGCACTCTAGTCTGGGCAACACAGCAAGACTCCGTCTCAAAAGAAAAAAATCTCCATGTACTTAGTAGGGTACCCCTGACGGGGTAGATGTTTTAATGAACACTCAACGATTAATGTTCTGCAAGCTATTTATTCTTTCATCAGTTTAGTTTCAGCAGCCTGCCTGTCAGAATTCTAAACTACACTTCTGCTAGTATTGCTGAATCTGTGAGGTTTCTTGGTCACAGTAGCCAGATAGAACTCATGACTAACTCCCCAAAATATGACTGGAGACCCTGTCTTACCTACTTCTTAGTATACTGGTGACCTGACAGTTGTTATTTAAAAACCCTGTGGTTACTATGTTCTCAACTCATAATGATCCCTGTAATCAGCCAGGCAAAATTAGCTGTGAGTATCCTAATCTTTGCCACATCCCTCAGGCCATCCAACTGTAAGTTCCTTTCTCTTTCAAGGCTGACTCTGATGTTGTTAGAACAGTAAAGACAGAAAATAAAAACGAGTGCCAGATGCTAGAGCTTCTTGCTCTCTAAACCTCACAAATGATGTCATAATGTCAGTGCATTTGAGTTAGAAAGAGGTTCAGGAAACATTAAGGCAAATTTCTTCAGTTTGCCCAGGACACACCTCAAGCCAACAGTAATGAACTGACTTGCCTAAGGTCACCCAATTAGCCACTGGCAGAGCTAGGACTATAGCCTCTCCCCTATTCTCGAGTTCAGCATTATTTCTCTCCATTTAAAAATGGTCCAAACACTATTTCTGAAAAGAAAAAGAAGGAAAAGGAGAAAAATTTCAAATTATTAGTCAAATTCATAGAGGGAAAATTTTTCTGCATCACCGGGACAGCATTTTGTACAAAGATTTTCTTGAAAGGGCAATGAGCCATTCAAATGACCCTGAGTCCTTCTAAAGACATAAATTCTTCATAAATTAAAATTTTAATGATTATCATAAGAATGTATTAGTTTTTAATCAGGTAGTTAAGTGTAAACATTTTAAGTGGAAAGCCTCATGTTTACACATGCAAATTACTGCCTATAAAGCATATTCTCTTTAATTTACTAATGACACAAGAAAATGTACAAAACTGAAGTGAAATCAAGACACATGTGAATGGCCTAAACTCAAATAGAAAAATACAGATACCAGGGCTTTGAGAATTGGCTAAGATGTCCTTTTTTAACATTCTAAGTAATGAAACTGAAAATGAGACAAGGGTTTGGGAGGGAATGGTGCATAGAGTAACAGGAAGAAATATTTATGAAAAGGAAGGAAATTCTACGGATTTATGAATAGTTTTGATCCAATGGAATTACAGTTGAACTCTTTTAACAGAAGTTCCTTTCAACTCAAGAATGATAGAAACATTATGTATTTGTGGATTTCTCTCACAGTAAATTAAGTGTTGATGGATATTAGATCATTTATGATTTAAAAATCCAGCATTTTATTTGAATTTTTCTATTTTTCTGAAAAATTATGTCTATATAGCTAAATAAGCAAAATATATATAAATGACAAAACTATCAGGAATTTTGCCCAGTGACTGTCCCAGGCACTGTCCCGGGTAAGTGAGAGAAAGTGAGATCTAGTGCACTGGTAGAGGAGTTGGCCATAAATTAGAGTCCAGGCCATTTCTCCATAGTAACAGGAGGGAAGACAGGTTCCCTCCTGTTACTATGGAGTATAATGGGAATACTTCCTGGAAGGTTAGGGGATGTGGTGGTGAGAGCATTTGGAAGTTCTTTTCTAGTTCTCTTAGTGAAATAGGAAGCATGAGAGTGGAGATGGGGAGAGGAATTGGAAGTTTGGGGTGGATGAAGTGTTGGTTGGCTTAAAAAGTCAGACAATGAAGGAAATAGAAAAATCCATCTTTCACCTGGATGATTGCTTTAGCTTCCTAGCCAGTATCCATGTCTGACCTTGCTACCCTATACTCTATTCTCAACAGAGCATCCAAAATTGTTCCTTTAAACTAAGTCAAGTTATGTCACTTCTCTATTCAAAACCCTATGAAAATTGGTAAATTATATGTAAATCTTAATAGAGCTGAATAAACAATAACACCGAACACCATCACCTCCTACGTTTTCTCTTCTCATTCAGCATAAAAGCCAAACTGGCTGTGGCCATACTAGCCTGTGTGCTGTGTGGTCTGCACGCCTTACCTCTCTCATCTCAACTCCTACTGTGCTGCTATCACTCACCCCTCTCTGGCCACGTGGCCTTCCTGATGCTCCCACAAAGGTTAAGCACATCTGCACCTTGAGGCTTTGCATTTGCTGTTGCTTCTGCTGAGGAACTTAATCTCCCTAATCCCCCTCCCCTCCCCAAGTATCTACAAGGCTCATATTCCTTTTTTTTTTTTTGAGACAGAGTCTTGTTCTGTAGCCCAGGCTGGAATGCAGTGGCGTGATCTCGGCCCAGTGCAATCTCCACCTCCCAGGTTCAAGCGATTCTCCTGCCTCAGCCTCCCGAGTAGCTGGGACTACAGGCGTATGCCGCCACGCCCAGCTAATTTTTGTATTTTTAGTAGAGACAGGGTTTCACCATGTTGGACAGGATGGTCTCAATCTCTTGACCTCGTGATCTGCCTGCCTCAGCCTCCCAAAGTGCTGGGATTACAGGCATGAGCCATCACGCCCGGCCCATATTCTCATTTTCTATAATGTCATCTACCAGTGAAGCCTTCTCTTACTCCCCTATATTAAATAACAGCTGTCCTATGCCTTCCCTAGCCCCATTACTCTGGTATAGTTTCCTCTATTCATCACTATGAATGATGTTCAGTAGGTTAGGTGAATTAGTACATTTTTGAATTAATATTTTCAACTTACACATTTACTGGAATGTAACCTCATGCTCAGTTGAGGAACATCTGTGTTTACATTATTGTCTGTGTGCCCATCCAAGACTGTCAGTTCCACATAGGCAGAAACTTTGTGTTATTCACTGTTATATCCCAATGCTTAGAACATTAGCTGGCAAAAAGTAGGTGCTCAATGAATATTTATTCAGTGAGTGAAAGAAAGAAAATTTTCCCTCCCTCTGGACAGAGGTGATATTTCAGGAAATAAAAAATACAGCAGAGCTGCGTTACAGACACACATGTATATTTTATTTGTACAAATCTGCCCAACAGGCTCAAGAAAGTATGTTATCTAAAGGTAAGAGTGAGATGGGAGAATCTCCTGTTTCCTCAGTCTCACTTCTTACAGCCCTCTCGTAAGTGAGCATCTTGCTATGCTGAGTTATTTTAATGTTTAAAGAACATAGTCGGGGTACATTTACACATGTATATTATTGCATGGTTGTATACACATTACATGTGCATACACGTTATGAACTATTGTTCATAACAATGTATTCTTGAAAATTGCTATGAGAGCAGTTTAAGTGCTCTCACCACAAAAAATGAAAAGTACGTGAGGTGATGCATGTTCATTAGCTTGATTTAGCCATTCTACTACGTATACATATTTCAAAACAACATGTTACACATGATGAATATATAAAATTTTTATTTGTCAGTTATAAAGAAAAATTAGGCCGGGCACGGTGACTCACACCTGTAATCCCAGCACTTTGGGAGGCTGAGGTGGGCAGATCACGAGGTCAGGAGTTTGAGACCAGGATGCCCAACATGGTGAAACCCCATCTCTACTAAAAATACAAAAATTAGCCGGGCGTGGTGGTGCACGCCTGTAATTCCAGCTACTCAGGAGGCTGAGGCAGAAGAATCGCTTGAACCCAGGAGGCAGAGGTTGCAGTGAGCCAAGATCGTGCACTGCACTCCAGCCTGGGCAACTGGACGAGACCTTGTCTCAAAAAAAAAAAAAAAAAAAAATTGAGAGCAAATAATGAGCAATAAAAGAGATTATCAAGGGACGTTTAATTGCATATGATTTTTCCACACTGCAAGATGGAACTTTAGAAATTAAACCCAGCTTAAGGTACAAATGCCTTGAAAAGTTTTGCTCACCAAAGACCATGTAGTCAGGGGCCAGTGGTCAGGTCCTTCTTCTTGATGCCATCTTATATAAGTAAGTAGAGACCTGAGAAAGCAGAGCTGAAAAAGGAAAGGGGCCCTGAGAAATCAGGACTGTCTTTATGAGAAGCCTGTCTGACTACCTGGATATAACCCACACCCTCTGTAAAAATGTCAGAATGAATCTAGGAACAGATTCTTTCCCTGCAGAGTACAAAGTGAAAGGCCACTTACATTCCTCTCTCTGGTCACTGGTCCAATCTGACAAACCAGAAACAGGGCTAACTTTATCCTCCCATGATGGGTGGCACCGAGTGCACCAGCTCCCTCTTTGTTTGTTAACAATACTTGTAAAGCATATACAATTTTTCGAAGTGCATTCACAAATGCCATCTCAAAGAACAAACAATTGCTCTTCGTCGCCCGCAGAGTGTAGGGAATCAATTCCACAGTTCTTTATAGAAGAGACTTCAGAAATTTACCAGTAAAACGAAACAAGCTATCTCTAGAGAGGAGGTGAGTTTCTGAGGAAAGAGCAAGAACTGGATGTCGGGAAACCTAAATTCTAGTTGGCACTAAATACGTATATCACGGTTTTCTTGCAATTCCCAGGTCTACCTACCACCAAGGTCTGGGGTGGTTGCCCCTCCCCAGATAAACTGCCCCCCATCACAGTCAAAGCAAGGCCCAAAAGCTCTGAGCTCTGTTCTCATGACTCTCCAACCCAGAAGAGAACCCAAGCCCCTGACTGTTAAGGCTGGGATGAGCAGACACGGCTTTGCCTCCTCCTCACCCTGAAGCGGGATGCTGGCCCAGGTCACCACCACCCCTCCACTGCAACGTGAACCAAATACCCAGCCTGACCTAATCGGCTTTCCTCCGCCCCCGGGCCCGGCCAATGCATTCTCAGGCCTCTCCCGACCCGCCCGAATGGTTGTGTTTGAAGGGGACCTCTCTCCCCACCTCCCACACGAGTGCAAGGGTCGGGAAAGAAAAAGCTCACCTGCTCCACCGAAAAATAAAGAGCACGGTCGGGCGATGTGGTTCCCAAGCCAGGAAGTACGCCTGCGCACGCGGCCGCCAGGAACTACATTTCCCAGCATCTTCTGCAAAGCGCCCTCTTGAGCTGCGTCTTTCACCGGTGTCTTTCTAATGCTTTGCGGGTTGCGAACGTGCGTCGTTTCCATCGTTGTTTACATGAAAAGAAGAAAAAAGGAAAAGATTTTTTCTTTTGCTATAAACAACTGTAAATCCAAAGAGATGCAAAGTTTGCGTTAACAACACCCCAGACACAAAAGTAATACCTATTCACTACATTAATAGATGATTTATAAATAACTCTTTATTCAACAGATAAAAAACCAAACTACCCAGATGGATTCATTGCAGAAATATTTATTAACGCAGTGATTAATATTTTTTAGCATTCTAAAAGTAAATCTCTGATTTATAGCTAGCTTCTTTGTTATGAGTGTGTGTTGAGGGGACGGTGGCGGGGGGGCGGGGCGGGCAGAGACAGGGGGCAGAGAGAGAGACAGCGAGCAAGCACCAGAGAGATTCCATCCAAGAATGAGGTCATACTTTTGGGGTAGATTTTTTTCTAGCTTTTTTCTTCCTGTTAGGAACTTAGGTTATGATCCCTTCAGTGCTACCAAAAATAGTATACTGATGAACATCCTTGTAGAGTAATCTGTTCACTCCTCCACATCTGTTCTTGACAAAAACGTCCGAAAAACGAATATAATGAAGAGGGAATATGTATATCTAACTTTTTTCTTAAACAAACGAATATAGATAGATAGACAGATTGTAGATAACAGAGAATAGAGGTAAGGAAAAAGAACAAAATTAGTCAGATAAAAGTTCACTCCAAGATACTCCCTATTATATATTTAAATATGTAATTTCTATGCATATATATACAAATTCTGTATAATTAGATATTCTCAAGTATAAAACTATACATACTTTAAAAAATTGCTTTATTGAGCTATGATTGATATAACTGTACACAGTTAATATACACAACTTGATGTGTTTGGAGGTAAGTATATATACCTGTGAAACCATTAAGCCATCATGCCATCAATCCCATAAATTCATCTATCACTTCCAAAAGTTTCCACCCCTTTGGGCTTCCCCCACCTTTTGTGGTAAGAACACTTAATGTGAGATCTACCCTCTTTACTTATTTTTAAGTATATAATACACTATTGTGAATCATAGGCTCTTTATGGTAAGAAGACATCCAGATCTTATTTATTGTGTATAAATAAATACTGAAACTTTGTACTCTTTGACCAAAACCTGCCTATTTCTCCCTCACCAGCCCCTTCACCATTTTACTTTCTGTTTCTATGTATTTCCCTATTTTTGATTCCACATATAAGTGAGATCATGCAATATTTGTCTTTCTGTGCCTAACTTCTTTCACTTAGCATAATATCCTCCAGTTTCATCCATGGTGTCATAAATGACAGGATTTCATTGTTAATAAGGCTGAATAATATTCCATTATATGTATATACCACATTTTCTTTACTTGTCCACCAATAGATATTTAGGTTGTTTCCATATCTTGGCTACTGTGAATACTGCTGCAATAAACGTGGAAGTGCAGATATCTCTTTGAGATCCAGATTTCCATTCCTCCGGATATATACCCAAAAGTGAGATTGCTGGATCAAAGGGTAATTCTATATTTAGAGGTACATTTATATTGATTTCCATAGTGGCTGGACCAATTTACATTCCTACTAATAGTACACAGGGTTTGTTTCCTCTACATCATCTGTTATGTATTTATTTTTATAATAGCTATTTTAACAGAAGTATGGTGATAACTCATTGTGGTTTTGATTTGCATTTCCCTGATTACTAGTGATACTGAGCACTTGTTCATATACCTGTTGGCTATTTGTATGTCTTCTTTGGAAAAATGACTATGCAGATGCTTCACCCAATTTTAATTGGGTTATTTGTTTTTTGCCATTGATGCATAGGAATTCCTTTGTCAGGCAGATATTAACTCTCTGGATATTAACCTCTTATCAGATATATGGTCTGAAAATATTTTCTCCAAAAAATAAATTCTGTTGGTTGCTTTTTTATCTTTTTATTTTGTTGTTTCTTGCTGCGCAGGAGGGTTTTTGTTTTTTTTGTTTTTTTTTTTTTGGTTTTGGTTTTTTGATGGAGTCTTGCTCTGTCGCCCAGGCTGGAGTGCAGTGGCGTGATGATCTCAGTTCACTGCAACATCCACCTCCTGGTTTGAAGCGATTCTCCTGCCTCAGCCACCTGAGTAGCTGGGATTACAGGTGCACGCCACCACACCCGGCTAATTTTTGTATTTTTAGTAGAGATGGGGTTTCACCATGTTGGTCAAGCTGGTCTCAAACTCCTGACCTCGTGATCCACCCGCCTCAGCCTTCCAAAGTGCTGGGATTACAGGCGTGAGCCACTGCACCCGGCCAGTGCAGGAGGTTTTTAGTTTGATGTAATCCCACTTGGTATAATCCCACTTTGGTGTCATATCCAATAAATCATTGGCCAGCACAATGTCTAGAATATTTTCCCCCATGTTTTTGTCTAAACGTTTTATTGCTTCAGGTTTTATGTTTAAGACTTTAATCAATTTTGAGTTAATGTTTGCATGTAGTATAACATAAGAGTCCAGTTTCATTCATGTGGCTATCCAATTTTTCCAACACTATTTATTGAAGAGACTATCTTTTCATCATTGTGGGTTTATTTCTGAGCTCTCTATTCTGTTCCATTTGTCTAGACGTCTGTTTTTATGCTAGTCATACACTGTTTTGATTAATGTAGCTTTATAATATATTTGGAAATTAGGGAGTATGATATTTCCAGCTTTGTTAGTCTGGCTCAAATTTTCCTTGGTTATTTGAGTCTTTTGTGGTTCCAAATGAATTTCAGGATTTTTTCTGTAAAAAAAAAAATGCCGTTGGGATTTTACTAGTGATTGCACTGTATCTATAGGGCACTACTGGAAGTATGGACATTGCTATGCTTTGAATCTTTGTCCTCTTCAAAACTCATGTTGAAATTTAATTGCCATTGTGACAGTATTGACAGGTGGGACTTTAAAGAGGTGGTTAGGTTGTGAGAGCTGTGCCCTCATGAATGGACTAATGCCTTTATCTATCAAGAAAGTGCGTTTGCCACGTATGTTTATTGCGGCACTATTCACAATAGCAAAGACTTGGAACCAACCCAAATGTCCATCAATGATAGACTGGATTAAGAAAATGTGGCACATATACACCATGGAATACTATGCAGCCATAAAAAATGATGAGTTCCTGTCCTTTGTAGGGACATGGATGAAGCTGGAAACCATCATTCTCAGCAAACTATCTCAAGGACAAAAAACCAAACACCGCATGTTCTCACTCATAGGTGGGAATCGAACAATGAGAATACTTGGACACAGGAAGGGGAACATCACACACTGGGGCCTGTCATGGGGTGGGGCGGGGAGGGATAGCATTAGGAGATATACCTAATGTAAATGACGAGTTAATGGGTGCAGCACACCAACATGGCACATGTATACATATGTAACAAATCTGTACGTTGTGCACATGTATCCTAGAACTGAAAGTATAATAAAATGAAATAGCCTAACTATACTTTTAAAAAAAAAAAGTGCATTTGCCTCCCCTTTGCTCTTCTCTCTTTGCCCTTCTGTCATGTGATGCCTTCCATCATGTAATGATATAGCAAAAAGGGCCTATCTAGATGCTGAAACTTGGATATTGGACTTTCCATTTTCCAGAACTGTGAGACAACAAATATCTGTTCATTATAAATGACCAAGTCTATCATATTCTGTTATAGCAGCACCAAATAGACTGACAGATGTTTTAACAATAGTAATTCTTCCAATTCACAAATATAGGATGTCTTTCCATTTACATGTCTTTCAAAATTTCCCAATGTTGTGTAGTTTTCCATGTCTACGTCTTTTATTTCCTTTGATAAGTTTATTCTAAGTATTTTATTCTTTTTGATGCTATTGTAAATGGAATTGTTTTCTTAATTTCCTTTTTGAATAGATTATTGTTAGTGTATAGAAACACAACTGATTTTTACATGTCGATTTTGTATCCTGCAAGTTTTTTTATATCCTGCAAATTCAGTAAAGAATTTGCTTGTTAATTCTAAGAATTTTTTGTAGACTTCTTAAAGTTTTCTATATATGGGCATACCTTATTTACTGTGCTTCACTTTATTACACTTAGCAGATAATGCATTTTTACAAATTGAAGGTTTGTGGCAACCTGCACTGAGCAAGGCTATCGGTACCGTTATTCCAACAGTATGTGCTTGCTTGATGTCTCTGTGTCACATTTGGGTAATTCTCACAATATTCCAAAGTTCTTCATTATTATTATATCTGTTATGGTGATCTCTGGTCAGCAATTATGGATGTTATTATTGTGATTGTTTTGGAGTGCCACAGACCATGCACATATAAGACAGCCAACCTAATCAATGTTGTGTGTGTTCTGACTGCTTCACCTACTGGCCATTCTGCCATCTCTTTTTCTCTCCTTGGGCCTTTCTATTCCCTGAGATAAAACAATATTGATTAATTAGGCCAATTAATAACTCTATAATGGCCTGTAAGTGTTTAAGTGAAAGGAAAAGTCACACATCTCTCCCTTTAAATCAAAAGCTAAGCCAGGTGTGGTAGCTCATGCCTATAATCCCAGCACTTTGGGAGTCAGAGGCAGGAGGGTCACTTGAGTCCAGGAGTTTGAGACCACCCTAAGCAACACAGTAATATCCTGTCTACAAAAATTGTTAACAATTTTTTTTTTGAGACAGAGTCTCACTCTATTGCCCAGGCTGGAGTGCAGTGGCACGATCTCGACTCACTGCAAGCTCCGCCTCCCAGGTTCACACCATTCTCCTGCCTCAGCCTCCCAGGTAGCTGGGACTACAGGCGACCGCCACCATGCCTGGCTAATTTTTTTTTTTTTTTTGTATTTTTAGTAGAGACGGGGTTTCACCATGTTAGCCAGGATGGTCTCAGTCTCCTGACCTCGTGATCTGCCCACCTCGGCCTACCAAAGTGCTGGGATTACAGGCGTAAGCCACCGCGCCTGGCCAACAATTTTTTTAAAAGCTAGAAATGATTAAGTTTGGAGAGGAGGGTATATAAAAAGCCAAGATCAGCCAAAAGCTAGGCCTCTTGTGCCAAGCCATTAGTCAAGTTGTGAATGCAAAGGAAAAGCTCTTGAAGGAAATTAAAGGCGCTCCTCCAGTGAACACACAAATGATAAAAAAAAAAAAAAAAAAAAGGCTTATTGCTGATATAGAGGAAGTTTTAGTGGTCTACATAGAAGATTAAACCATTCACAACATCCCCTTATGCTAAAATCTAATCCAGAGCTAGGCTCTATCTCTCTTCAAGTCTATGAAGCCTGAGAGAGGTGAGGAAGCTGCAGAAGAAAATTTGGAAGCTAGTGGAGATTAGTTCATGAGGTTTAAAGAAAGCAGTGTTCTCTATAACATAAATGTGCAAGATGAAGAAGCAAATGCTGATTTAGAAGCTACAGAAAGTTATCCAGGAGATCTAGCTAAGATGATTGAAGGAGGTCGCTACACCGAACTATAGATTTTCAGTGTGGATGAAATAACCTTATACTGGAAGAAGATGCCGTCTAGGACTTTCTTAGCTAGAGAGAAGTCAATGCCTGGTTTTAAAGCTACAAAGGACAGGTTTACTCTCTTGTTACAGGTTAATGTAGCTGGTAACTTTAAGTTGAAGCCGATGCTCATTTAGCATTCTAAAAATCCTAGGGCCCTTAAGAATTTTGCTAAATATACTCTGTGCTCTACAAATGAAGCAAGAAAGCCAGGATGACACTGGTTTATAGCATGGTTTACTGAATATATTAAGCCCATTGTTGAGAACTGTTGCTCAGAGAAAGATTCCTTTCAAAATATTACTGCTCAGTGACAATGAACCTAGTCGCCAGAGTGCATGCCTGTAATCCCAGCTTCTCAGGAGGCTGAGGCAGGAACCCGGGAGGTGGAGGTTGCAGTGAGCCGAGATCACACCATTGCATTTCAGACTAGGCAACAAGAGCAAAACTCTGCCTCAAAAAGAAAAGAAAAGAAAAGAAATTGTTCTATCATAAAGACACATGCATGCGTATGTTCATTTCAGCGCTATAATAGCAAAAGACATGGAATCAACCTAAGTGCCCATCAACAGTAGACTGGATAAAGAAAATGTGGTACATATATGCCATGAAATACTATGCAGCCATGAAAAAGAATGAGGTCATGTCCTTTGCAGGAACACTGATGGAGCTGGAGGCTATCATCCTTAGCAAACTAATGCAGAAACAAAAAAAACAAACATTGCATGTTCTCACCTTTAAGTGGAAACTAAATAATCAGAACACATGAACACATAGAGGGAAACAACGCATATTGGGGCCTACTGCAGAGTGGAGGGTGGGAGGAGGGAGAGGATCAAGAAAAATAACTTATGGATACTAGGCTTAATATCTGGGTGATGAAATGATCTGTACAACAAACCTTGATGACATGAGTTTACCTATATAACAAGCCTGCACATGTACCCCTGAACTTAAAATAAAAGTTAAAAAATTTCTCTCAGCAATGTTTTATAGTTTTCAGAGCTTATCTTCATTAATTTACTCCTATTTTATCATCTAACATGCTGTTGTAATTGGATTGTTAAATTTTATTTTTTAATATTTTATTTTTAATATGTAGAATACAATTACTTTTTTATTTTTTTGAGACAGAGTCTCGCTCTGCTGCTCAGCCTGGAGTACAGTGGTGTGATCTTGGCTCACTGCAACCTCCCCTTCCTGGGCTCAAGTGACTCTCCAGTCTTTTGTTTTGAGACAGAGTCTCGCTCTGTCACCAGGCTGGAGTGCAGTGGCACGATCTCGGCTCACTGCAACCTCTGCCTCCCGGGTTCAAGTGATTCTCCTGCCTCAGCCTCCCAAGTAGCTGAGATGACAGGCATGCACCACCAAGCCCAGCTAATTTTTGTATTTTTAGTAGAGATGGGGTTTCACCATGTTGGCCAGGATGGTCTCGATTTCTTGACCTCATGATCCACCCTCCTTGGCCTCCCAAAGTGCTGGGATTACAGGTGTGAGCCACTGTGCCCAGCGACTCTCCATTCTTATCCCCCTGAGTAGCTGCCACTACAGGTGCAAGCCACCAATGTCTGGCTAATTTTTGTATTTTTTTGTAGACATGGGGTTTTGCCATGTTGCCCAGGCTAGTCTAGGACTCCTGAACTCAAAGCAATCTGCCTGCCTCAGCCTCCCAAAGTGCTGGAATTACAGGTGTGAGCCACCATGTCTGGCTTACAATTGCTTTTTGTGTATTGGCCTTTTACCCTGGGAACTTGATAAATTTATTTATTAGTTTTGGTTAATACTTGTAGATTCCTTAGGATTTTATATGTCTATGATCATATTGATGTGAATAAGTAAGTGTTACTTCTTCCTTCTCAACTTGTCTGCTTTTCATTTATTTTTCTTCTCTTACTACACTGGCCAGGATTTATATTACAGTGTTGAATAAAAATGAGAACAGATAATTTTTTTCTGTTTTTGATCTTACATACAAAGCAGTAACCAGAAAACTGATACGGGTAGAAAAAAAACTTACAATCTCTCGTTCATTTGTTCAGAGTTTTCATCATGAATAGATGTTGAATTTTGTAAAATGTTTGTATGCCTCTATAGACATAATTGTGTAAGTTTTTGCATTACTTTATCATGCTAAATTACATTATTTTCACAATTAAATTAAAAACTTGCATTTCTGAAATGCCATTCCAATTAATCAGAACAAATTTCTACATTTTATGTATTAATGGATTCAATATACTAATTAATGTACTAAATTCTAGAGAATTTATAAATCTATAGTCATCCAGGATATTGATTTGGAGGTTTTCCTATTTATGATGTCTTTGATGTTGCTTTCAGGATAATACTGATCCACTAAAATGAGATGAAAAGTATTTAATTCTCTTCTACTTTCTCAAAGAGTTTTTATAGGATTGGTATTATTTCTTCCTTAAGTATTTGACAGAATACTCTAGTGAAGCCATCTAGACCTGGAGTTTTCTTTTGGGGAAAATTTAAAATTACTGCTTCAATTTATTTAACTGTTATTGGGCCACTTAGGCATTCTATTTCTTCTATACCCTGTTTTGGTAAAATATTTTTAAAGAAAATCTTCCATTTCATCTAAGCTGTCAAATTTCATAGTTTATATTGTTTGCTTTGTTTTACATGCCTTCAAAAAATGCAAACATGATGCTTAATTTAAGACCTCTATGAAAACAGGTCACTGGACCAATTCGGCCAGTTGTCTGACCCCTTTTCTACTTCACTCATTTGTGCTCTTATATTTATTACTGATATCCTCCTACTTAATTTTGGTTTAATTTGTTTGCATTTTTCTTTCTTCATATGGTGGAAGCTTACATCATTGATTTTAGACATTTATTCTCTTCTAACAAAACATATAAAGCTATAATTGTTTTTCTAAGCTGTGCACCAGGGCATCCCAATATTTTTTTTGTTTTTTTTATTTCATTTCAGTATTATCCAAACATTTTCTGATTGTCTTGTATCTTTTGACTCATGAGTGATTCAAAATTGTGATGTTTAATTTCCACATATTTGAGGGCACTGCAGTTATCTTTGGGTTACTGGTTTTCAGCTTAATCCTGTTTGTTCACAGAATATATTCTGAATCTTTTCAATATTTTAAAATGTATTATGACTTTTAAAAAGTCATTCAGAAAATGGTCTTACTTGTTGAATGTCTCAGGTGCACTTGAAATAACATATAGTATGCAAATGTTGAGTGGAATGTTTATAAATGTCAATTAAATGAATTTGATAGGATTGGTCATGTCTATCACCTTCCTGCTGACTTTTCGTCTACTTGTTCTATCACTATTGGGAAAGAAGTGCTGAGCTCTATAACTGTAAGTCTGTCTGACTCTACTTTATATTCTGTCATTTTTTTCTCTTTATTTTGAAACTCTTTAATTAGGTGTAGTCACCCTTAATTAGGATTGCTAGCTATGTTTTTATGAATTAACCATTGTCTGTTTTTGTCCTTGGTAATATAGTTTTTTTAAAAAAATTACCTTTATTATTCTTTCTCTCTCTCTCTCTCTCTCTCTCTCTCTCTGTGTGTGTGTGTGCATATGCACGAATGTATGCATATAGATTCAAATTTTCAAATTAGTGTTTTGGGTCGCTTGCTTTCAGCCTGAAGAACTTCCTTTATTATTTCTTGTAAGGTGGCTCAGTTAGTAATGAATTATCTCTTGCATTCATTTTTGAAAGATAAATGTTTTATGTTTTGCTGGATATAAAATTCTTAGTTGACAATTTTCTTTATGAGGTAGGGTGTTGCTCTGTTGCCAGGCTGGAGAGCAGTGACATATTCATGGCTCACTGCAGTCTCAACTTCCCAGGCTCAAGAAATCCTCTCACCTCAGCCTCTCAAGTAGCTGAGACTACAGGTGCACACCACCACACCTGGTTAATTTTTAAAATTTGGGTAGAAACAGGATCTCGCTATGTTGCCCAGGACTCAAACTCCTAGGCTCAAGCAATCCTCCCATCTCAGCCACCAGAAGTGTTGGGATTATATGCATGAGCCACCGTTCTTGGCCAAGAATTCTTTTAGGACTTTAAATGTGCCATCCCACTGCATCGTAGCCTCCATTTTTTTTCTGATGAGGAGTCAGCTGTTGATTTTATAAGGGCTCCCTTTTAATGACAAGTTGTTTTTCTCTTGTTGCTTTCAATATTTTCTCTGTATTTCAACATTTTAATATAATGTATCTGGGTGTATTAGTCAGTTTTCACACTGCTATAAAGAACTACCTGAGACTGGGTAATTTATAAAGAGAAGAGATTTGATTGACTCACAGTTCTGCATAGCTGGGGAAGACTCAGGAAACTTACAATCATGGCAAAAAGGTAGAGGGTAGGTCAGGTGTGGTAGATCATGCCTGTAATCCCAGCACTTTGAGAGGCTGAGGTGGGCAGATCATGAGGTCAGGAGTTCAAGACCAGTCTGGCCAATATGGTGAAACCCTGTCTCTACTAAAAATACAAAAATTAGCCAGGTATAGCGGTGGATGCCTGTAATCCCAGTTACTCGGGAGGCTGAGGCAGGAGAATTGCTTGAACCTGGGAGGCAGAGGTTGCAGTGAGCCGAGATTACACCACTGCACTCCAGCCTGGGTGACAGAGCAAGACTCTGTCTCAAAAAAAAAAAAAAAAAAAAAAAAAAAAGAAGTGAAGGGGAAGCAAGGCATGTCTTACATGGTGGCAGGAGAGAGAGAGAGTGAGGGAGTAAGTGCCACACTTTTAAACCATCAGATCTTATGAGAACTCACTATCACGAGAACAGCATAGGGGAAATCCACCCCCATGATCCAATCACCTCCTACCAGGTCCCACCCTTGACACATGGGGATTACAATTCAAGTTGAGATTTGAGCAAGCCAAATCATATCAATGGGTGTAGTTCTCTTTGCATGTATCCCTTTTGGAGGACATTGAGTTTCTTAGGTATGTATTTTAATGTTTTTCATCAAATTTGGGAAGTTTTCAACCATCACTTTTTTCATATATTTTTCTTTCTCTTCTCTTGTCCTGAAATTTTCATTATATATATGTTGATGTGCTAAATGATATCCCACTCTTCTCTGAGGCTGTGTTCATTTACCTTCACTCTTTTTTCCATCTGTTTTCTGAATTTCATAATCTCTGTCACTCTATCTTCAAGTTCACTGATCCTTTCCTCTGCCAGTTGAAATCTACTGTAATCACAACTAGTGATTTTTTTCATTTAAATTATACTTTTCAACTCTGAAATATTCTGCTTATTTATCATTTTCGTCTCTGTTGATATACTGTATTTGATGAGGTTGTCATAACATCCTTCACTTCTTTAGGTATAATTTCCTTTAACTATTTGAGCACGTTTATAATGGCTGATTTGAAGTCTTTGTGTATTGTCTGACATATGTGTCTTCTCACAGTTTCTATAGCTTGCTTTTCCCCTGTGTATGGGTTACATCATTCTGATTATTTTCATGTCTCATAATTTTTTTCAAAAAGTAGATGATTTAGATAATATATCATAGCAAGTTTAGATATGGATTCCTCCCAGGGTTTGCTGTTTGCTTGTTTACTTGTTTAACAACTTGGCTAGACAATTTTAGTCAAAATATTTCCCCCATAGTGTGAAGTCTCTGATGTAACTTATCAGAGGGTTCAGCCTTGGGCATAAGTACAGTCACTCTGGGATGACAATGGATTTAGCAGAGTTGTCTCTGTCTTCATCAAATCTCTCTGTTAAGCCATCTGCCTCAGTTGGTATCACATCCAGCTGTTAGGCTCCACAAGTTGCCAGCTGCTGTTCTATTGTTTTCAGCAATACCCTGAAGCATAAGTTGCTCCAGTCTTTTTAGAGGTAGCTTTTGAGGCCTATCTTTAAGGTTTTTTTCAGACTCCAGGAGGGCCCTTCTAGGTGTCTCTTTCCCTCCTTCTGTCTGGTAAACTAAATGGGTTACAGTTTGGGCTTATTGTCTTCACGGAGCTACTGGATTCCTCTTAAATACTTATTGCCAAAATCTCTGTTGTGTTTGAGAGCACACTTAGGCTTGAATTTCCCTTCACTCTGTTCTAAATGAAGTCAATTTTGGAGGGGGGGGAAAGGTCAGCTTGAGTGCTGTCTGTTCTTACGGTCTTCCTGTCCTCTGGACAGAATCTCTGAGTCGTTGCTTTAGAGCTAGGGTTGGAGGACAGTGGCCCACTTCTCCTGCAGTAACACTCCTGTTTTGTGAGAAGGTACTGTATGGGTGTGGTAGTTTCTGTTCTCAGCTTGCTTCTCCTGCCACGGAACTTCCTGGATGAGTAAGCTGAAGCAAGGGTGATTGGTGCCCCAGTATTCAATACCTGTCATGGATAGGGTAAAACCTCTGGCTTGTGTAAAGGGGTCAGTGGAAGAAAGAAGCGCTTGACCTCTCAGCTGTTTTTGCCTGAAATTTAGCTTTCACAGTGTGGACCTGGTGGTGAGGGGATGAGAAATTTTGGTGGCCTGCCCCTCATGGGGTGGGGGAGGACGTACTATTACTTGATTGGACACTGGAGGAGCCCTATCTTCTTAGCCACTTCCTAGAGTGGAGCTTCCATGATAGATGAAGTAGGAAAGTGGGAAGGAGAAGATGGGTCATGGCACACATGCTACAGATTCCCACTGTCCTTAATGAGATTTAGATTTTCTTGAATAAATGTTTTTTCCTTTGCTGTGTTCCCTTAGGACAATTTTGAGTGTCTTTAAATTATAATATTACAAATGTCACGAGTTATGTTTGCTTTACTGGGAAAAAGGAACTCAGACCTCCTACCACCATTCTGGAAGTGGATTTGTGGCTATTTTTTTTTAAGGTCTCTGCCCTGACTGACAAAATTCCACATCTCTTCTGATGGTCTTTATGAATATTCCTCAAGGCATTTTGGGGCAGCTCTGACAGCTTGCAGCTATTTTAGGCCAGAGAGGACAGAAAACTCAGGGAAGGAGGAAGAAACAATGACTGATAGGAATGATGAGAGCAAGAATGTCATTTAAGACATATCTTTAAATAAAGCTATTCTTATATGGTCAACATTTCAGTCTTGGCATTTCCCTTTCCACTTCAATCCTATTACGTGGTATTAATTTATTCTGTGATTTAAAATATCTTCATTTCCTTTACATCACAAACTAGTATTTTTAAAACACTATAACCATATTAAAAAGACACCTTGCATAGTTACATTTGAATTCAATTGCTTTTTTTAGTTAAAGAAGGGAAACGTTCTACAGATTTTTCTTCCTCTGTCTCCCCCAAGCAATTGCAGTTAACCTGCAAAATCCGGAACCATGATTGTTTTAGTTCTTTATTGTTTGACACCCACCCCTGCCCCCAACTTTCTGCTAATGTACAAAAATTTTCTACAAACTATTGCTTGGCTGTTTCACCCTAGATAAAATATTGATTAAAGTCATTTTGCATATACATTTTTACTTAGAATGTGCTGTTTTAAGCAAATATTGCTTTTAGTAAAGTTTTAAACAGCACAATGTAGCCACAAGACATTTTCACTTCTTTATTCATTAAACTTTGTTTCACTAGATAAGATAAAGCAATTAAGCAAGTAATGATGAAATACCTATTCCTCTGTGTTTTCGTGGTACATGAGACAACAAAAATGAATCTTCTGCATAGAAAATCCTCCAAACCTTGAATATCTAGTGCTAAAGAAGATAGCAATTAAGAGTGTGTGTGTCAACACCACAAAGTGATTGAGTCTTGGTGATGAGGTTGGCATGCTTTTTGTTTTTAAGATGCTGCCAAGACCCAATTCTAATCTAATGTCCTCCAAAAAGGAGCCTTGGTAAAGCCTAAAATATTCATGGATGTCTTGCTTATCCGTCTTTTGCCTTTGGATAATACAATATGCCCTGAAATCAGAATGCAAGCAAAGGGGAATTGTTGGTTCTACTTTACTGTTCATGACAATGAATACACTTCTTTGTTCCTTTCCAGGATTTGAGTACTCAGTTTGGTTAGTAAGAACTTTAAAAATGAAATAGGCCGTTTGTAATTCCTCCGTCCAGCTCAGAAGCTATTCTGCAAGAGCCATACTGTCTTGACTAATCTCTACCTAAGCTACCAAAGGGGTTTTGAAATTCCATTTTCTGCACCTTGTCAGAAAAAAAATAGTCTGCAGTGTGACTCCCTCCTATCCCATTCACCACACACTTGCATAATTCCATTTCAATCTGTTATACCCTAAGAATGTCTGAAATAGGGTAGATTCAACTGTGAAAATGGTAAGACCTTGAACTAGAATTTTAAATAAATGTAACACCTAAGCATCAGCATATCTATACACATCAGTACATACATTTAAAATAAACATTAGCATCTCATTGGAAGGCATAATTAACTATTTAGTCATTTAATTTGCAAACAATTTTTACCATATTTTTAGCACTAAGGTAGTCCCATTTGTTACAACTTTTAATTCTGCCTGAAATTTTTGAAATATCTGTAAGAGTTTACGTATAGTGCAATGTTTCAGAGTCTCTAGGTATGAGCTGTGCTTTCTTGTGCAACTTTAACAAGTTATTTTCTTTGTGACTCAAATCTCAGTTGTTTAAAATGAGAATGGTAACTGACTCAGAGGCCAGTATACATAAGTGCTATAATTGGAACAACCTCTACAAAATTCATGTTCAAATTTAATTGCCAGTATAATGGTACTGGGAAGTAGAGCCTTTAGCCTCTTTCCTATTTGGAAAAAAAAAAAAGTGCAGCTCACTGCCAGTGCTTGCTTAATTTTACATAAATATACTCTTTCAAGCTAAAGCAAATCTGACTGATTTTCAATGTGAAAATAAAATACAAAACTGTTACTGGAGTCACTTCTAAACAGAACTAACAGCAGAATCTTCTGAATCATCAGAATCATCTATTTTGGAAAAATCAGATTCATCAAATATATCTTCAGCTAACAACTGTTTGAGAGCAATGTTAACATCACACATAGGAATGCTACATTTTCTAGGATTTGACCTTTCCAGTGATTGAGAATTACTATATTTTGTAAATGGAAATAGCACTACTAAAAACAGAAGGCTATAAATAAAATAATGTCTTTTGTTTCCAAAGTTCATATATGAGGGCAATGTGAAAATATAATAAAAGTGAGATATTTCATGGCAATGTTATCTTGGGGTAAATGCTGCAGCTGCAAGCACTGCTGATGAGTATTCTTGGGGCAAATGGGAAAAGGGATAAGAGGTGATTAGCTCATAATGGCTCTGCTCTCATGAACGGACTGATGCCATTACTATAGAATTGGGATAGTTTACGAGGAGTCAACTCCCAATAAAAGGATACATTTTGCCCCCACTTTCATCTATCTTTCATGCTCCTTCCTTCTCACCATGTGATACTTTTCCAAGTTAGCATGCAGCAAGAAGGTCTTCACCAGATGTGGATCCTCAATCTTGGACTTCCCAGCCTCCAGAACTATGAGCCAAATAAACTTTATCAATTACACAGTCTGTGGTATTCTGTTATACCAGAGAAAATGGGCTAAGACAATTAGTAATAGTAAAATTACTGAAGTAGGAAGGAGGCAGTATTTTAAAGAGAAAAAATGTAAATAAGGCTTAGATGTCAAATATTTTGGGAGAAAAGTAAAGAGGAGAAGCACAAGAATTTCCTACCTATTTGATGTTCATTGCAATACTAGCAAGAGACCATGAAGTAGAAGGCAAAATGGTGAAATAAAGATATTGGATATTCTGAGACCAGAAATGACTATAGAAGGGGCATGGGCTTTCTTCTTGCTGAAGTCATGCACAGAATTAATAGAAATGGTGGTGATGACTATGTGGGCAGGATAAGGACAAGAAAGACAATAAATTCTAATAATAATTGCTTTCTGAAAATATTACTTGGTTTCATATGAAACATAATAGTAAACTGGATCTGCAGGAAATTCTAAAAGACAGGTGTTCCACAAATTATTGGTGACACTGCATAATCTGCATTATCATTTATTTTCCAAAAATGACAATGTTGAAGAGCAAGACAGATACAGGTATTTCAGTGTGACATGTTTAGAAAACCAGTCTCATGATTTACAGTCCCACCCCAACATTTCATCTTCAAAAGTGACTAATACAACCATTACCCAGATCATGACTGCAACAGACTTAGTTAAAAATCATTACTTGAAATTTTAATTTTTTAAATTTAAATTAAAAATCATAGTTATTATTCACTATGTTCAATTTAAAAACACTATTTTTAATTTATAAACCTACAAAAGAAAAATTTGATGTAAGAAAAACTGGGTTCAAGTTCAATAGGGTATATCAATTTCATCTTCACTCAAGAAAAGGCTTAAAAGGTTTTTTGATACCAATCCTTTTCGTATTACTTGACAATGAAAATTTATAACATGTAAGATTAGGTTATGCTTCAAAAGGCAATCATGCCTTAGATAATGACACAATTTGTAGGAAAAGTTCTGAAAATAAAATGACAGCTCAATGAAGGAAAGATTATTTTTTTCAAACTAAAAAATAATGGTATAACTTCCAATGTTCAGGCTGGTCAAAAGGAAATTTGTAGGGCAGTAAAACTGACATACCTGAAGCAATACCCCCAAAATATAACATTTCCAATACCTTCTACATATAAGGAATATGAATCTAATAATGGTTTTAAAATACATGTTTCTTGTTAACTTGTTGAACAAAATGCAGGGAGAGGATACAAAATGCCATGATGCCTGATCAAATTAAATTCAATAACGTTTGGAGTTGAGGTGATGTGGCACCTATCCTTCCATGTGCCCAGTGGAACAGAACAGTGTGGGGGCTAAAAACTTGGTCTGAAGCACCATCTTACACTTACTAGCCATGTGGCCTTAGCGGGGGCAGGGACTCTTCCTGGGCTCTACTTGCTTCATCTACAAAATGGAGAAAATGCCAGTCTCACAGATTTGCTGTACCTCACAGACCACAGATTTGTAATAATTAAATAAGAAGTATAGGTCACGTGCAGTGGCTCACACCTATGATCCCAGTACTTTGGGAGGATGAGGCAGGAGGACTGCTTGAGCCCAGGTGTTTGAGATCAGCCTGGGCACCAATGTGCGACCCCATCTTTACAAAAAAATAAAAAAATATATAGCTGGGTGCAGTGATGCACACCTGTGGCCCCAGCTATTTCACAATCTGAGGCTTGAGCCCAGGAGGCTGAGGCAGCAGTGAGCTATGATTGTGCCACCACATTCCAGCCTGGGTGGCAGAGCAAGACCCTGTTTTTAAAATTAAAGAAGTATATGCTAAATTGCTTAACAAAATTCCTGTGTGGCAGAAACATCCAATAAAAGCTTTAAAAAATTCACTGTGATCACCACAAGGAAACAAAGAACTTATGCTATGCATAACAGTATTTGTCTCAATACTGTACTGAGTTAAAACTAACAGAAGTGTGTAAACAGGAGTTCCATGTGCAGAACTACTCAAGTGTGTAGCATGGCAAGCCTGTCAGCTGCCACTTTGCTGCCCTCTTTTGTGTTATTCTGGTGCCCTTCTTACCACTTTATAGAAAACTACACTTTTAAAGCCTACAAATGACTTTGGATTACATAGAAATACATTAAATTTCACAGACAAACAGCCAAATCATGAGTGAATTCCCATTCACAATTGCTTCAAAGAGAATAAAATACCTAGGAATCCAACTTACAAGGGATATGAAGGACCTCTTCAAGGAGAACTACAAACCACTGCTCAATGAAATAAAAGAGGACACAAACAAATGGAAGAACATTCCATGCTCATGGATAGGAAGAATCAATATTATGAAAATGGCCATACTGCCCAAGGTAATTTATAGATTCAATGCCATCCCCATCAAGCTACCAATGACTTTCTTCACAGAATTGGAAAAGAACTACCTTAAAGTTCATATGGAACCAAAAAAGAGCCCACATTGCCAAGACAATCCTAAGCCAAAAGAACAAAGCTGGAGGCATCACACTACCTGACTTCAAACTATACTACAAGGCTACAGTAAGCAAAACAGCATGGTACTGGTACCAAAACAGAGATATAGACCAATGGAACAGAGCCCTCAGAAATAATACCACACATCTACAACCATCTGATCTTTGACAAACCTGACAAAAACAAGAAATGGGGGAAAGGATTCCCTATTTAATAAATGGCGCTGGGAAAACTGGCTAGCCATACTTAGAAAGCTGAAACTGGATCCCTTCCTTACACTTTATACAAAAATTAATTCAAGATGGATTAAAGACTTAAATGTTAGACCTAAGACCATAAAAACCCTAGAAGAAAACCTAGGCAATACCATTCAGGACATAGGCATGGGCAAGGACTTCATGACTAAAACACCAAAAGCAATGGCAACAAAAGCCAAAATTGACAAATGGGATCTAATTAAACTAAAGAGCTTCTGCACAGCAAAAGAAACTACCATCAGAGTGAACAGGCAACCTACAGAATGGGAGAAAATTTTTACAATCTACCCATCTGACAAAGGGCTAATATCCAGAATTTACAAAGAACTTAAACAAATTTACAAGAAAAAATCAAACAACCCCATCAAAAAGTGGGCAAAGGATATGAACAGACACTTCTCAAAAGAAGACATTTATGCAGCCAACAGACACATGAAAAAATGCTCATCATCACTGGCCATCAGAGAAATGCAAATCAAAACCATAATGAGATACCATCTCACACCAGTTAGAATGGTGATCATTAAAAAGCCAGGAAACAACAGGTGCTGGAGAGAGGATGTGGAGAAATAGGAACACTTTTACACCGTTGGTGGGACTGTAAACTAGTTCAACCATTGTGGAAGACAGTGTGGCGATTCCTCAAGGATCTAGAACTAGGAATACCACTTGACCCAGCTATCCCATTACTGGGTATATACCCAAAGGATTATAAATCATGCTGCTATGAAGATACATGCACATGTATGTTTACTGCAGCACTATTCACAATAGCAAAGACCCAAATGTCCATCAATGATAGACTGGATTAAGAAAATGTGGCACATATACACCATGGAATACTATGCAGCCATAAAAAAGATGAGTTCATGTCCTTTGTTGGGACATGGATGAAGCTGGAAACCATCATTCTCAGCAAACTATCACAAGGGGTTCTGGTTCTGGCAGCTGGGAAGTCCAATATTGGGTGTCAGCACCTGGTCAGTTTCTGGGGAGATCTTGTGCTGCATTATAACATGGCAGAGGCGTGGAAGAGGAAATGAGTGCATGTGAAAGGCACAAATCACAAGGGGAGGTCTTGCTCCATAACAATTGGCTTTAGTGGTTAGTAATTCAGTCCTGTAAGAGTGAGAACTTGCTCACTTCAGCAAGAATTAACCCAGTCCCGGGAGAGTGGCATTAATTCCTCTTAACAACCTAATCACCTCTTAAAGGCTCCATCTCCCAACACCTCTACCCAGGGACCAAAATTCCAACACATGAATTTTGAGGCACACATTCAAAATATACCACTTAGATTAGGCAAAAGCATAAAGACAGAAAGTAGAATGGTTGTTTCCAGGAGCAGGAGGGTAGGGAGGATGAGGAGTTATTTTTTAATGGGTATAGAGTTTCAGTTTTATAAGAGGAACAGAGTAATGGAGATGGAGAATGGTGATGGTTGTACATTATGAATACATTTAGTAACACTGAACTGTACTGTTAAAAATGATGAAGATAGTAAATTCTATGTTATGTGTATTTTACCACATAAAAAATTGGAAATAAACAAATGCATTCTGGTGAATTTTTAAATGTTACTCCACTAGTGTATGATGTCTACCTTACTTTAAACAATGAAAGTAATTCTTACTGTCCAAAAACTCCGGGATGATCATGGTGTGTTGGATGTTCTGTTCCATGTTTCCTTCCACTCCCAGCTAGATATAAGGTGAGAGGAGGCAAGAATCAGACATTACATGAAAATGGTATTACATGGAAAAGGTATTAAATGGAAATTTCATTACATGAAAATGGTATTATGCATATGAGGAAAAAATATATATCAAATCTGTTAAAAGAAAACAGCTGAATTAAATTTAAAAGGAGTTTAATTGAGCAGTAAATGGTTCACAAATCAAGCAGCCCCCAGAATCACAGCAGATTCAGAGAGACTCCAGGGATGTCTCATGGTCAGAACAAATTTACAGACAAAAAAAGGGAAGGGACATACAGAAACTGGCAGTGAGGTACAAAAATAGCTGGATTGGTTACAGGTTGGCATTTGCCTTATTTGAACACAGTTTGAACACTTAGCAGTCTATGCGTGGTTGAAGTACGGCTGCTGGGATTGGCCAAGACTCAGCTATTGTTACAGGCCCACACTTCTAAGTTAGGTTTTCAATCTTGTCTGCCTATTAAGCTAGGTTACAGTTTATCCACAAGGACTCAAACACAGAAGTACAGAATCCTTCTCAGGCCATATTTAGTTCGCTTCAACAAATCTTATGTGCTGCAGACGTGTGCATATGTGCACTTACTGCAACACAAATGTATTTTATTATGCTACTTACTGCAATCAAATTTAGAATCCAAATATTGTCTCCAGTTAGTCAAATACGATCAAGACACATCTAAAAGAGGCGATTCTTATAGATTATTATAAACAAGAGATGTAATCAATCAGGAAAACCACACAGACAAGGAAATGCAAGGCACAAAAGATGAAGCCCTGGAAAATACCAACTGGCAAAGGATAAGAAGAGAAAGAGGTGCTGATGAAAGAAATAAAGGAGAAACAGAGGGAGCAGAAGATGAAGGAAGGCGGCGTCAAAAGAACAAATGGTGACATATTTCAAGGAAGAGTGGAGGATTAAATGTTAGATGCAACAAAAAAATCTGCTAAGTTAAGGACAAGAAAATATCCCTTGGATTTGATAACAGCAAGATGGACTTCGTATTATAGAAGTTGTTTCAGAGTAATGATGAACACAGAAGCTCTACTGCATGATACTGAAGTGTGTATGTGAACTGAGGAAGCAGAAACACCAAGATAGTATCAGTTTTCAAAAGCTTGTGTGTTGAGGGAAAGAAAGATGAGAATGCAGGTTACAAGATGGTATTTTTAATTTCAGAGAATTTAAGCAGGTCAAAGACTGATGTGGGAAAGCTCAAGATGATTTAAACGGGTCAGAGATTAAGCAAAGAAAACTACAGAAGAAAAGGAGAAGTAAAAGGCCTATAAGAGAGTGAATTCCTAGTGGACAGTGATCCCTGGGTATAAAGGAGGAAGTTTCCAAGCTACACAAGAGATCAAAAACAAGAGAAATCAAGAAAACAAAAATTGATTACATAAACAAATTTTAAATTCACAGTGGAACCAAAAACAAAGTCAAATTTTAAATTATTATTGAAGAAACACATTTCTTCAGAAAATTATAAAGGGATTGATCAAAAACCCAATAGAAAAAAGGACCAAGAAAGCCCAAGAGGTCCCTGAGGCTTTCCATGGTGCACTGTGCTCCTGGTTAATTGAGAATGGAGAATGGTGATGACTTTTACCAAGCATACTGCCTGTAAACATTTTGTTAACAAGGCACATCCTGCACAGCCCTAGATCCCTTAAACCTTGATTCCATACAGCACATGTTTCTGTGAGCACAGGGTTGGGGCTAAAGTTACAGATTAACAGCATCTCAAGGCAAAACAATTTCCTTAGTACAGATTAAAATGAAGTTTTTTATGTCTTCCTTTTCTACATAGACACAGTAACAATCTGATCTCTCTTTCTTTTCCCTACAAAAACTTTCCTGCACAATGTATGCGTTGAATCAAAGACTTTATATGGTGGTGTGCATCCACTGGGAAGAATACATCAGTCCACTAACCAAGAGATGAGAGTGGGAGTGGAGCCTATTTACCATCACTGCCAATGCCAATTCTAGTAAGAGGCACTAGTCCCTAAAGGGGGCACATTTTCACCAGAGGACACATTGTTAGTCTCAGTAAATTATAAACTATGGCTACTTCCTGGATACTTTGAGCTCTTTGTGTTCAGGGACCAGGAGGAAAGAGGAGGAGTCACTCTCTTGGTACAGGTAAATAACACTGATATCGGTAGGAAATGGACTGCTATCGCACAATGTGGGCAGGGAGAAACACATGTGAAATCTAGTGATTAGTATCTCTCGTCTAATTTTGATATGAATGCACTGGCCCAGCAGCTCTGGACTGAGAAGGGCATAACGACCAATGTCTCAGGTCAGCAGAGTTGATAGCTGAGAATGAATAATGAAGAAGGGAGATGATGAGTTAGTTACCTATTGTGACCCTGAGATCAGTGTAGCAGCAGGGGCCGTGGTTCATCCCACTAATCTCCCTTTTCTAATTCCTCCTCAGGCATAGAGGCATACAGAAATCCTGGAGGAAGTACTTCCCAGACATATACGGATAATTATATCTGAGCCGAGCAAGGAATGGACTGTAATAGACACAGAGTTGCATGCCCAGATTCTCGTTTAAGGAAGGACTTGTTGCCTAGATGACAGGAGTGCCATCAGAAGACAACTTCTAGCTATCAGCTAGTTCACAGTGGGCCTCATCTACAGAGAGCTCCCTTACCTAAAGTCATGCCCTTTGCAAGACAGCCTACATCTTGTGAATGAGCAAGGTGGAGGTATAAAGCTCAAGGCAGGACACTCAGCTGGGGGAAACATTTACTCCAGAGCTCCTCTCCAGGTTGGCAAGGCTTCGTTAGGCTTGCAATAAAATTTCAACTTCTTCCTCTGCCCAATCCTCTTTCTCTCCATTCCTTTCATGGGTGTCGATCTCTAATAAATATCTGATAACTCCAACTCTGTTATTATTTGGATATAGTTTGTCCCCACCAAAATTCATGTTGACATTTGATTCTCAATGTTGTGGTGTTGAGAGATACAGGCTAGAATAGTAGTTGTATGGGTTATGGGGGATGGATCCCTCATGAATGGCTTGGTGCTGTTCTCATAGTGGTGAGTCCTCACTCTCATGAGACTGGATTAGGTCTCACAGCAATGAATTAGTTCCCATGAGAGTGGGTTGTTTTAAAGCCAGGACACCCCTCAGGTTTTCCCCTTTTCATGTATGCACTTCTCCTTAGGACACCCCTCAGGTTTTCCCCTTTTCATGTATGCACTTCTCCTTTGACCTTCTCTGCCATGTTGTGACACAGCACAAAAGCACTTGCCAGAAGCCAGGGCCATGTCCTGGAACTTCTCAGCCAGCAGAACCATGAGCTAAATAAACTTCTCTTTATAAGCAGTTCTTTTCTTTATATATACCCAGCCTCAGACATTCTTTTACAGCAACACAAAAAGTAGTAAGACAAACTCCTTTTCAACACCTGCCTCCAGGGAACTCAAACACAATTTTATTGTGGTCAGATAACATACTCTGTATGATTACAATTATTTTAAATATATTGAGACTTGTCTTGTGCCCCAATGTATTTCCTATCTTAGTGCACATGCCCTGAGCACTTGGAAAAAAAGGTATATTCTGCAGTTGCAGGTTCTATAAACATCAATTAGGTCAAGATCAAGGTTGCTGATAGCGTTCTTCAGATAATCATTGTCCTTACTGATTTTTCTCACTGTTCTATCAATTTCTTAAAGAGGGATATTAAAATCTCCAATTATGATTGTAGAATTGTTAGTGTCTCCCTTTAATTCTTCCAATATCTGCTTCATGTACTTTGGAGCTCTGTTTAGGTGCGTAGACACTTATGAATGTTATGTCTTTCTGTTGAGTTGATCCCTTTATATTTTTAAAGTGTTCCTTTTTATCTCTGCTCATACTAATTATCAAGGATTCTGTTCTGTCTGATATGAATATAGACATTTCAGACATCTTATGCTTACTATTTCTATGGTATATCTTTTTCAATTCATTTACTTTTAACATATCTGTGGTTTCTAAAGTCTGGATGTTGTAGAGATTGGGTCTCACTTTCTTAGCCATTGTGAAAATTTTGTCTTTGAATTGAAATGTTTAGTCCATTAACTTTTAATGTAATTATGGTTAGGGTTGGATTTAGCTCTAACATCTTATTATTTGTATTGTTTGTCCCCTCAGATTTTGTTCCTCCGTATCTCTCTTCATACTTCCATCAGGAACTTTTGAATATTTGTAGAGGTTTATTTTAATTTATTTGTTGTGTTTTGGCTATACCTCTTTGCATTACTCCTTAGTGGTTTCTCTATAGATTGCTTTATACATCCTTGGCTTTCACAGTCTACTTGAAATTAATATTGTACCATATCACATGAAATTTATTTTAAACTTGCTATAAGATAGGTGTGCCCTCCTTTCATTATGTAAACTTGTCATATGTATTGCATTTAATACCTTACATTCCATATAAGATAATAAGTTTTGTTATAAATAATCTGAAATATTTTAAAGAATTTAAAAACAAAAACCAGTCTTTTATATTTATCAACATATTTACCTTTTCTGATACTCATCATTGCTTTCTGAGGTTCCATCTACTATGATTTCCTTTCAACTTGAAGAACCATAGAGTTCTCTGGGTATACATTGTTTTAGTTTTCTTTTATCTGAAAAATGTGATTATTTCACAGTCATTCATGAATAATACTTTTTGCTGGATATAAATTTTGAGGGTGAAGGTTTTTAAATTCAGTTTTGTTTCTTTCCTATAAGAAGGATACAGATACACTGTCTTCTGGCCCTTGTAGTCTTTGATGGTAAGTCACCAGTCGTTTTTATTGTGTTTTGAAATACATTTAATGTGTAATTTTTCTCTGTCCTTGATGATTTTCTTTGGGTATTTTGTTGGTTTCTTTTAAGACAGGGCCCCACTCTGTCATCTAGGTTGGAGTGCAGTGGTGTGATTTTGACTCACTGCACCCCCTGCCTCCCAGGCTCAAGTGATCCTCCCACATCAGCATCCCAAGTAGCTGGAACCACAGGTGTGCACCACCATGCCTGGTTAATTTTTTTGTATTTTTGCTAGAGATGGGGTTTCACCATGTTGCCCAGGCTGGTCTTGAACTCGTGAGCTCAAGTGATCCACCCATCTTGGTCTCCCAAAATGCTGGGGTTTCAGGTGTGAGCCACTGTACCCAGCCCAAGGATTTTCTTTTTATCTTTGTGTTTCAGAAGATTGACTAGGATGTGCCTTATGGGGTTTTTTTTTTTTTTCCACATTTATCCTGATTGGAATTCACTGAGATTCTCAAATCTGTACATTTATATTATTCACCAAATTTGGGGAAATTTCAACCACTATATCGTAAAATATTTTGTGTGTCCCATTCTCTCCTCATGGGATTTCAACTACACTTATCTAAGACATTTTGTTATTGTCCCAAAGGTCACTGAGGTTCTGTTCATTTCTTCTTATTTTTTTACTCATTTGTTTGGGTAATTTCTACTGATCTATTTCAAGTTAACTGGCTCCCCTGTCATTTTTATTCTGCAGGCAAATTTATTCAGTGATTTTTAAATTTCAGTGTATTTACAGTTGTAGAATTTTCATTTGTATTTCTTTGTAGTTTCTATTTGTTTCACTAAGTTTTTTAAAAACTACATTCCTTGTGAGAATTTTTTTTAATTTATTAAGCATAGTTAAAATATCTACCTTAATGTTCTCATATGCTCATTCCATCACCTGGGTTGATTGTCTATTTTCTTGAAATGGGGGGTCATATGTTCTTAATTCTTTGAATGTCAGGCAATTTTTAAAAGTTGTGTCCTACATAACATGAATGGTTAAGATGTGGAGACTCTGGACTCTATTTTGCTCCTCTGCAGAGTGCTAATGTTTTTGCTTCATTAAATAATGAATTTAGTTAAACTCAAACTTCAAACGCTGTCTCTAGGCCAGCAGCACAAATGAAAGCTCAGTTCTTTTGTCCTTAGCGTATCCTATGCGCGCATAGCTCAGGTGTCATCCAGAGACTTGGGCAGCTTATGCACAGAAGTTGGGATGTCCACTCTTTTGAGTTCCTCTTTTCTGATATTCTTCCCTCACTTTCCAGTGACTGTGGTTACCCTGAACTTTGTCCTATGGTTTTTCATGTCAAAAATATTTTTTCTATCAAATTATCCCCCTCTGTTACACTAAATTCAGCCTATCTTCAAGCAAACAGCCTTAAAAATGTGATCTAACCCCCTTCCATTCCTTTCTTCCAAGATTCAACTCTTTCACATAATATGCCTGCTTTTTGTTCATTCTTCAGTACCACTGGATCATTGGGGGGTGTGTGTGTGTGTGTGTGTGTGTGTGTGTGTGTGTGTGTTTGTGTTTTGTCCAGAGTTTATAATTATCTGTGGGAGGGCCATGCCCAGTAGGAATCCACTTGGCCATATCAGAAATATTATTACTAAAAAAAAAATTGATTCATGAAAATATAAAAATTGTTTAGAAAAACACAAAACTTACTCTTAAACCCACGATCCCAGAAGAACCACTATCCACATAATGATAATATGCATTTTTCATCATATGTATTTGTGTGTATAAACAATATCTATATTTAAATTAAAATCCTAATGTGCATATAGTTTTGTAAACTGTTTTTTATTTAGTATTTTAGATGCTACAGGTTGGTTTGTACAACATCCATTTTTCAATGCCCATGTCTCTTTATTTCCTTTACTATGAAGGTTAAGAAATTAAAGATTTGGCCAAATGTGGTAGCTCACACTTTTAATCACAGCACTTTGGGAGGCCAAGGTGGGCAGATCACTTGAGCCCAGAAGTTTGAGACCAGCCTGAGTAACATGGCAAAACTCTGTTTCCACCAAAAAAAAAAAAAAAAAATTAGCTTGGTGGCATGCACCTGTAGTCCCAGCTACTAGGAAGGCTAAGGTGGGAGGAGTGCTTAAGCCTGGGAGGTAGAGATTGTAATGAGCCAAGATTGCACTACTGCACACTCCAGTCTGGGTGACAGAGACTTTGTCTCAAAACAAAATAAAACAAAAAAAGAAAGATTCAATTTCCTCAAGCCACCTGAAACTAGGTGTGGTCATGTGACTCATTTCTGGTCAAAAGATATGAGCACATTCTTCTAGAAGGGGGACTTTGTGGAAAATTTTAATTTTCTTCAATATTGGATTACTCACTTGATGCCTGGAGATGCATCACTCAAACACATTCCTGAGAGTAAAAGTAATAATAAAGAATTATTTGTATCTTCTTAAATATAGTTTGAAATTGTGGTTTTTAATGTCATATTACTCAATTTTTGAAGGAATCATGCTTTATTTAATCAATTAACTAGCAATGTATATGCTATTTCTCTCTGTTCTGCAATAAATATCATAGTACGCCTTGATTGTACAACATAGAATAGATTCCTCGATGGACTGCCGACCATCATAAGGCTTTGATGTATACTGTCAGATTTACATTTTGGTAGGTTGTACAAACTTACACAACTACCAAAAGCAGTGTGTGACAGATTGTTTTCTACCTATCACAAATGTAATTTTTTTTTAAATCTTGATTTAAAAAAATGTTTCCACTTTTTTTCCTCTTCTTTATGTCAGAGGAGTTTAACATCTTTCTCTTCCCACACCCTCAGATTCTAAAAGATATATCCCTGGAATGCTCTTCCGTCATATATATATACATGGTTTGCTCTTTTACCCTCTCTGGGTCTTTGCTTTTGTCACCATCTAAGTAAGCTTACTGCCTGCTTCCCATCACTATATTTAAAATTACATTCCCCAACACTTCCCTCCCCTTCCTTGGTTTGCTTTTTGCCATCCAGTGATCTGTTATACTTTATATTGTAGTTGTTTATTTATTACCTATGTCCTCCTCTAGAATTAAGGTCTATGAGAACAGGGTTTTGTTTTGTTTGTTTGCTTTCTTTTTGTTTTGTAGACTGCTGTATCTCAGGCACTTAGATGATCATATCACTTGAATAAATAAATGTTTCAAAACTGTTAATAATAATTTACTTTTATGCCCCTTCATTTTCTTAAAGAGGATCTGAAAAACAGTTTAAAAATAATTTTTTAAACTTACTTACACCATGATTTAGATTAGTGGTTCTCAAAGGGTGGTCCCCAGACCAGCAGCACAGGAATCCACTGGAAACTTATTAAAATGCAAATTCTCAAGGCCCACCCACAGGGTTTCTGATCCAATATGTCTGTGACGAGGCCCAAGAATTTGCATTCTCAAGTCTGTGTTTTAACAAATCATTCAGGCAATTTTTATGCACACTAGAGTTTACGTATCGATTCAGACTTACCACTGTGTGTCTGTTTTCCTATACTAACCTCCAATTGTATTTAGACATCCTTTCCTCATTCATCAATGCTAACTTTTAATTCATTTTATTACTGCACAAAGTGGCTTTCAGCATTCATTTATATCATTCAGGCATACCTATAATTCTCACTGTCTCAGATGTGGCAATACTATGGGTTCCCCAAGACATGTGGAAATTCAACATAGCCATAACCTGCAACTGTTTCATCCATCTAAAAAGTGCAGGCTTTCTACAGCTCTAGACAGTGATGACTCATTCTGTGCATAGTGCTATATTTCCACTTGTTAAGAAATTACTGGTAGAAATGGCTTTCATATTGCATTTTCTTCCCATGTGATAAATAAGTTACTTGGAAATGAGGGGATATATTCATGAGTTGAGCTTTCAACCCGTGCATGTGTATGCATGTGTGCACATGCACATACACGAACACATATTCCATTCTCAATATATTATATTAACACATTATAATTCTCTGAAATGAGGTCAGGAAGGAAGGAGCTTGAATGATAAATATTTGTAAAGATGGCATTTAAGCACATATTTCTTTGGGGCCCATTATTATGCTAAATTACTGTCTAGGTGAAATATTTACTCAACAGGATTGAACATGACTAGACAAGTCCCGATTACTGCTCATATGTTAGTTCTGAGGAATAAATGAAATAATGTAGGGATTGTGCTTTAAAAAATATAAAAGATAACATGCCAAATTATAATATTTTATATTATGTAAATTAATATTGTATTAAAATAAAGGTATGATGTTTTTGAAAACCATTTCTGTACTTATGTCTCTGCTTTTAGTGTAACAACTTAGATTTCAAAATAGTTCAGAAGTTTTGTGCATTTTTTGTATTTCTTTTTTTTGAGACAGAGCCTCACTCTGCTGCCCAGGCTGGAGTGCACTGTAACCTCCATCTCCTGGGTGCAAGCAACTCTCTTGCCTCAGCCTCCTGAGTGGCTGGGATTACAGGGATTACAGCATGCCCAGATAATTTTTTGTATTTTTAGTAGAGATGGGGTTTCATTGTGTTGGCTAGTCTGATCTCAAACTCCTGGCCTCAAGTGATCCACCCACCTTGGCCTCCCACAGTGCTGGAGATTACAGGCACCCACCATGCCCAGCCAGAAGTATTTTTAATCTATGGCTCAAGAGTAAAAAAAATCCAGGTGTGCAATGGCAAATAGGTCTCCTGTGACAGTCCAAGTTGATGCATAGTACCTTCTGGAATGCACGCTGCACAATGATTCTGAGGCCAACTCTGGGTTCACTCAGAAAGAGTACAGTGATCCAGTAAATAATGCCCAATATTGAGCGAGAACAGGGAGGGGTGACATTTGTTTCATTCGAATTCCCTGATTGAGGTGTTTGTGTGTTAGTTCTTTGAATATGAGATAAAACAGGGTGATTATTCATAAAATCACTTTCATTCACCTGCAATCACAATTCATCATCACCTGCAATCACAATTCAACATCAAAAAATGGCAAATGTAGAAACAGTGCTGTTATAATTCACTATGTTAATGAAAGAACTTGTGTGTGATAGAAAAAGTCTTTATGAATTCAACATCAAGTTTCATACTATATACTTTAGATTCATCATCATTCATGAATAAGCATACAAAGATTTTAACTCTGTCAAAATCTGAGATCTCACATGTTGATCTCACATGTTGTGGAGGGGCTCAGTGACAACCTTAAATAATGTTGATTTATGCATATTAAAATATTTTAATTATAAAAATAATACATGTGCATGATTTAAAAATCCAAATATACAAGGAAGTCTTGCTCCTATCCTAGACCCCAGTCCTATACTCCTCTGCCCAATGGCAACCACCATGAAGTTTATTCTGTATTTTTTCAAAGTCTATTCACATACAGATACATGTATATATGCATACAAAGATACATACACATACAGAGATAAGAGACAGAGGTTAAACAAACATACCCTTTTGTACACAAAGGGGAACATACTATATACATGGTTCAGCAACCTACTTTTTCACACTTCACAATATATCTTGAATATCGCTCCCTACCAGCACATTTGTATCCTCAGCTGCTTTATTTTCTCTCATTTTCCTGTTAACATTTTTTACATATATAACAACCCTTTTAAAAAGATTTCTGCTGATGCAGAAGCCAACACAGACATTAAGAAAGAGCTGGGTGAAAATGTCAAAGAGGCTTATACAGATGGCCACACTCATTTACATAAGGCAATAAACAGATATGCAAATTCAACTCTAATATATGGTGCTTAAGTACAAAACAAGAAGAAACACAGGAACTGTCAGCATATATAACTTGTTTCTCCATTGCTTTGAATATTCAAATAATTCACAATTTTTAAAGCTTTCAATTTCAATCTGAACATGTAGATCATTTATAATAATTGAGTAGTTAAAACAATATTTTTTATAAAAGGTTTTGTATCAAGTTTAAACCCTTGTTTCCATCCACTGATTCTATATGAAGATCCATTTTCAAAGTTTCTCATGTACAACAAGGTGTGACATCTTGCTAAAGGCTTTCTAACACTCTTTAAAATCAGCATATTTCCAAGGTTCAACAAAACCTTAAATTTAGTTAACAAATTTCCCACATTAACTTCACTCATGAGATTTATCTTCTGAATGAGTTTTCACATGTTTGGTTAGGGATGCATTTTGTTTGAAAGTTTTCCCACATTCATTACATTCATAGGGTTTTTCTCCAGTGTGGGATCGCTGATGTATAACAAGCTGTGATTTTGCATTAAAGGCTTTTTCACATTCGTTACATTCATAAGGTTTCTCCCCAGTATGAGTTCTCTGATGTACAATGAGGTGAGACTTTTGGCTAAAGGCTTTCCCACATTCATTACACTCATACGGTTTCTCTCCAGTATGAACTCTCTGATGTTGAGTAAGGCCTTCAATTTGTTTAAAGCCTTTCCCACATTGATTACATTCAAAGGGACTTTCACCTGTATGAGTTCTCATATGGTAAGTAAGAGATGAGCTATGTCCAAAGGCTTTTCCACACTCATTACATTTATAAGGTTTCTCCTTAGTATGAGTTCTTTGATGTATAATGAGGTGTGACTTCTTGCTGAAAGCTTTCCCACATTCATTACATTCAAAGGGTTTCTCACCTGTATGAATTCTCATGTGTTTAGTAAGGGATGAGCTATACTTAAAGGCTTTTCCACATTCATTGCATTCATATGGTATTTCACCTGTATGTGTTCTCACATGTTCGGTAAGAGATGAGTTATACCTAAAAGACTTCCCACATTCCTTACATTCATATGGCTTCTCACCTGTGTGAGATCTCACATGTTGAATAAGGTTTGAGCTGTGTCTGAAGGTTTTCCCACATTCAGCACATTCATAGGGCTTTTCTCCAGTATGAATTCTTAGATGGTCAGTGAGTGCATGTTTATGACCATGGGCTTTGCCACACTGAATACATTCATATGGTTTTTCTCCGGTGTGAGTTCTCTGATGTACAACAAGGTGTGACTTTTGGCTAAAGGCTATCCCACATTCATTACATTCATATGGTTTCTCCCCAGTATGAACTCTCTGATGGTCAATGAGTCCTTGTTTATGGCTGAGAACCTTTCCACATTGATTACATTCATAGGGTTTCACACAAGCTTGAGGTTTTTCATGCTTAGTAGATGAGCTAAGGCTGGGTGATTTCTCATGTTTCTCTCCAGTTTGAATTTTGTCCTGTTTAATATGGGATGAACTATGACAGCATAATTTGTCATGTTTTTTGCCAGTTTTGTTACACTTATCAGATGAGCTATGGCTGGATAATTTCTCATGTTTCTTTCCAGTTTGCTTTTTGCCTTTCCTTGTATCAGATAAGCTATGGTTGAATGACTTCTTGTGTTCTTTAGCTGCATCAGATTTCCTTTTTACACAGTTTCTTGAGTGATCAGGTAAATCTAAATTCTGTTTCAAAATTTTTCCACATGACTCAAATTTAAGAAGCCTTTTCTTTGAAGGAACATGTTTTTTATGCAAATTATTTTTTTTCCCCAGTGAACCACAGTCACTGCCATTCTTCTTAGCTTGAGTTTTCTTCTTGACTGCAACTTCCCTGAGGAGTTTGTTTTGAGATTTCTGGATATTTTCAAGCTGGTCATCATCTTTCTGGACTTCTAAAATGGAATTCAGTGAGATATTCTTGTGAATCTTTGTACTCTTATATTTTGGAATAAAACTGGTAAAGAAATGACCTGTTGTAGGGTTAAATTTTTATTCAAGCCTGGTATACCAATGTGAATGAAACAACTAGGGTGAATGGACTTGAGGGGGAAAATGTTGTAGTAAAAAGAGGTGGGAAAAGTGACAATAGTGATTTTTTAAAGTTTTTGCTGCTTAAAAATATGAGTGAGCAACCTGGGATAGAAGATGAAATAAACACAGGGAGAAGTGAACAGGGAATAGATGGAGTTAAAAGAGCTTATGATTGTAGCTGATACTTTTTGAGGTTTCTTATAAGCCCAAGCTGCCCAGTTCTGATAACTCCCAAGCTGGCCATAATATATTGCTCCTGCAGCCTATACTATATTACCCCAATTCTCCATGGGCACAGTTGGAGACAAATCTGACTCAAACCAAGATGTCCAACAAGATTCTTTCTTCTAACAAATTTGACTCCAGTTAGTCTCCACTTGGTACTTAAATTTAGAAATTATATAAAGCAGGTACTAGTAAACCATATTTTCTCTACGTAAACAGAAAGCTCGTCAAGTCAAAGTATGAACCATCCACACACCGAGAAGCAGAGACATAAGAACTGCGTCTTTAAAGAGATCATTTGCACAATTTCAATTCCCAATGGCTTCCTAGTTCCTTCCTAGTTCCTATTTCTAGTCCCTGGTGAGGACTGGCTGAACTATCTTGCCCTTAGCTTGTAAGGGATGTACCCAGGTCCTTATCACAAATTCCTGTATTTACTGAAGCTAGCTAACATAAACTTTTGTTATTATATCCAAAAAAGCCAGAAAAGAAAAATAAAGTGAGTCCACCAAGAAGTACTGATGAGCTGATAAGTGGCTAAGAGAATAAATAGGAAAGGTTATCCACTTTATACTACTCATGGTGAATTTTTCTTGTAGTGCTTAGATCTTTTCCTGCTGACATATCTTTTCCTTTCTATTGCTACCACTGAAATGACCCCTAAAATGATATTCTTGTACTTTAAAAATCCCTAGTTTCTCTAAATTACCTGATGCTTTCATCAAATGATAAAATTCATAGTAATTAGCTTAGCAAACAAACTTTACTCAATCTGATTTGTAGTGTACATCCAACCTTGTTTTGTTTTCCAATAGTTTGCTATGGAATATATATTTGTTCTTTTCAGGTCTTTCTAATTGTCAGTTATAAATTTTAAGTTTATTCCCAGCTCTAAGTGGTTGCTCATATTCTTTCTGCCATACATTATACACTTACACATTTTGAGATGTCTTCTTAATCCCTGCTTCCCTTCTCTGAGACCATTACCCACACTGAAAGCTGTGGGCCACTATGTTTGTATTACATAATCCAAATTCTGGCTAAAAACAATTGATTGGACCGTGGTAAACACCAGGTAGTCCAATAATATTCTTTTGCCTAAGAACCTGAAATTGAAATTTATAGACTTCTGTTAGCTAGCTATGGATACTACATGTATAAAAACCTATAATCTTAAGAGCTGGGGCCACCATTTAGGGGTGTCATTTTTCAGCTACATGCTATAGCATGGAATAGCAGAAAAAGCTTCAGAGTGAGA
This sequence comes from Homo sapiens, assembly GCF_000001405.40. Classification (NCBI taxonomy): domain Eukaryota; kingdom Metazoa; phylum Chordata; class Mammalia; order Primates; family Hominidae; genus Homo; species Homo sapiens. Next base: position 113,045,891 of record NC_000009.12, read on the forward strand.
ATTAAACAGTCTTAGAGAGAAGCAGATATAAAAATCCCCATGACTTCAGAGAGAAAGAAGCAGGAAGTGAATAGCCACCTTGATGGTAAAGAAACATTACACTGAGAAAGTGAAAACTGGACTCAAACCAAAAAGAGTTACGGTATCTGAATGGATAGAAAGGAAATATTATTACTTTTATAAAGGACATTAGAGAGATTAATTCCCATGTTGCAGAAGATCAGTTTTTGAAAAATAAAATATATATCTGTCTATATATATAGACAGATATATATCTATATATAGACAGATATATATCTATATATGTAGACAGATATATATCTATATATAGACATATATCTATATATATATAGACAGATAAATATCTATATATATACAGGCAGATATATATCTATATATATATTAGGGAGTCTAGAGAAGTGCAGTTGCTGGCTGCTTTTTCATTTAGGAAATTTTAAGTGATGCAGAGAGTATAACAAACTTTTAGGTACCATGACAAGGCTGTGTCTTTCAATGCCCAAGGATGATGGAAAACATTGAGGAAAAATTTCCTTCTGGAAAGAAAGGAATCAAAACTGAAAACTTTCCCCTTGACATGTAATATTATAAGAACCTTTACAATGATGAATTTGGCTGGTCCCAACTGATATCTGCCGGCAGGAAAAGACATAAGATACTACAAGAAAATATCACCATGAAGGAAAGGAGGAGAATTTGAACGAGTAAATTGGTATAGTAATATGGGTCTGGAAGAGCAATTGACTATGGCTGGAAGTTTTTCCTGAATTTGAGACAGTAACTAAAACATAAATGCTAAGCTAAAACAACTGTAACTTCAGAAACAAATATGGAGCTCACTTGGCCCAGCAAATTATTGGAGAGAATAGAACAGTCCTTCTTTGAAGAGCCTCCTAAGTAGTATATAAGAACCTGAACTGGCCGGGCGCAGTGGCTTAAGCCTGTAATCCCAGCACTTTGGGAGGCCGAAGCGGGTGGATCACAAGGTCAGGAATCGAGACCATCCTAGCTAACACGGTGAAACCCCGTCTCTACCAAAAACACAAAAAAATTAGCTGGGCGTGGTGGTGGGCACCTGTAGTCCCAGCTACTTGGGAGGCTGAGGCAGAAGAATGGTGTGAACTCGGGAGGAGGAGCTTGCAGTGAGCCGAGATTGCGCCACTGCACTCCATCCTGGGCTACAGAGCCAGACTCCGTCTAAAAAAAAAAAAAAAAAGAGAACCTGAACCAAGAAGAGAGTCACTGTAGCAATTATAAAGATGTATTAAGTGACTCAGGATTGTTTTTTAGCTGTAATTTAAGATGTCAACAAGAAAAGTAAGGATAGCCAAAACTGGAGCCATTAATGGATGAATCAGAAACTCCATTGAGTCTCTTCATTTGTCATTTGAAAGACTGGTTCCTCTGGTCTCAGGGAATTCATACAGTCTTGGACAATTCGGGGTCAAAAGAAACTTAAAAGACATAGCAGATATTCTGCTATTAATAATTTGGGGACTATGGTAACATAAATAATAACTGAATATTTTAATGTTTGGTGGTAACATGTAAGATCAATTAAAGCTGGGCATGGTGGCTCACACCTGTAATCCCAACACTGGGAAGCTGAGGAGGGAGAACTGCTTGAGACCAGCAGTTCAAGACCAGCCTGGGCAACACAGCAAGACCCTGTCTCTATGAAAAAAAAGAGAAAAAATTAGGGAAAAAAATGGATTTAGCAAATTTACCTAAGAATTGGAAAAATTAAGTATGAGATAATATGAACCTGATTTGTGTGATGACACTGAAAATTGAGAAAAAGAACCAGAAACTGAAGACAGGATAGTAACTCTATGGGAGACAGTCCTATAATCAGAGCACACCCTGATAAAAACAGGGAAGATGAAAAGAACCTCTAATTTAGAGAGAAAGACAAAGCTTTCCATTTCTGATATCCTAAGAATAAGCTGTTGTTTAAGTAGGTCAAATATGAGTATAAGACAAAGGAATTGGAGCTGCCCATTTGGAAGTCACGAGTGTAGAATAAATAGCTTTTATTTGCACAATGAATAATCAATACAATTTTAAAGAAGAACAGATGGTAGAAGACAAAACCTTAGGGACACCTCAGCAAAATGAGAAGGAAGAGAAGCTAGTAAGTAAATGATAAAGAAGCACTTAGAAGATAAGATCTGATTCAAGTTGTACAATTCAAACTGGGTAAGTGAGAACTTCAAGCTAACAAAAACGATTAAAGTATGCACTGAAAAGTAAGCAGTGGTGATCTTAAAGTCAGAAATTTAGATAGAGGCATGAATTCTGTGGGATTTGACTGCAGGAGTTAAGGAGAAAATGGAAATGATGATGTGCTATAGATCATGGGTCTAGAGAATTTCCTAGTGAAAGGAGAGAAACGGAAATAACTCAGGGCAGGAGCATCATGCCAAGACATTTGCAAAGAGGGCAGATCTAAGAATGTCCAATACATAGGAGAAAATTTGATACCGTAGGGTCTCGGAGTATGGGTGGAGAAAAGGAGAAAAGCTGAGGATATTAGGAAAAGGGAGGATGCTTTTTTTAAAAAGCACTGATTTATATAAGGTAAGCAGGAGTGGGATCGAGAATAGCTAAGAGGGTCACTGCTCCTTCTGAAGACTGAGCAATTGAGCACAGGAATAAGGATATGTGGCTATATGGAAGGGTCAGTTAGGCATCTGAGGGGCTGGTACCAAGTTTCAGAGCCTTGATTTTCACCTTTTATCCTACCACAACCTGAGTGGTGTGACAGATAGTATTATTGCTTCCTGTGGCAAGATTATACCTCCCAGCCCCTTCCAAATGCATAGCCTTTTGAATTATAGCGCACTTCCCAGTGGAAGGATTATACGTTCCTACCATGTTGAACTCAGGAGTGGCCAGATGGCCTGCTTTGACTAATAAAATATGAGCTGAAAGGGATATCTACAACTTCCAAGCAGTGACTTTAAGAGTTACCATGTGGTTCCACTCACCCTGTTTTTTTTTGCCTCTGCCATGAGACCAGAATTTGCTAAATGGAGAATGCTCTTTCAGCATAGGTCCCCAAATAAAGATAATATGGAATAGGGCTGTGGCTTGAGCAAGCAATCAATTTTTCTTATTGTAAGTAACTAAAATTTCAGGGGCTCATTCCTTCATGGAGCAAAACTGAGTGGAAATTGACTGATACAGGTGATATAACCAAACTCCCGTAGTTAACACTAGCTCACTACTATAGCGAACCTCACAAAGAACCTCTCATGTGAACAAGTTCATAAAAGGAAGAGATATTAGAATCTCTCAGGTTACAGAATCTTTGTAGTTTGAAATATTCTTTCCTCAGGAAATCCTGATTTTTTCTATTGCTATTTTCTAGTTAAGAAAGAAAGGTCTAGGATCTTTAAGAAGAATTTCAGAATAAATTATTTGCTGAAAAATTTCAAAGTTACAACTTACTTCCATCAGTTTCTTTTTGCTTGGGTCTTGCTATTTTACTTGGACAACCTTGACTGGGTCTTTTCCCCTTCCCCAACCATGGTGCTTCTCCTTTTTCCAACTTGGAGATCATGTCTGGTTTGGGAGCTTGACACCCTGCTCATGAGAAATAGCAGAAACTGAGTGTTAGAACAACCATCCCAGAAATGAAGCCGCAGCATTTGTACTTCAGGGCCTAAAGAATACATGGCTTCTGGAGTTTCACAATATGAATGCCAGGTCAGCTAAATAGACCTTCCATTTTGGAGGCAGGGGCACAAATATCCTGCCTAGTACCCAAAAAAGAAGAAAGCCCTTTGACCCACAAAAATGAAGGCCAAACTTATCAAGGACTCCAGAGAGAAGGTATCACAGTGGACACATTTTGAATTACAAAGGAATTGTTCTTACCCATTGAGGCTTGGTTGCAGTAGTTCTCCAGCATCACATCATTATACAGGTTGCTCTGAGCAGGATCCAGTTGCTTCCATTCCTTCTGGGTAAAGGCCATAGTCACATGTTTGAATGTTACTGATACCTGTGATAGCATATTCCTGTTCATGCTAATGTTATCCACATTTGGTGAGTGATTTGGACAAGATAATAATTTGTTCTTACCTTGACTACTCACTGTTGATCATGATATTATAAAGGATACCTATTCTCTACTCAATTTTTCATTATTTTGAGAAACAAAAACCATATTAAGAAATGTCCCTACTGAGCTAGGCATAGTGGCTCATGCCTGTAATCCCAGCACTTTGGGAGGCTAAAGCAGGAGGATTGCTTGAGCTCAGGAGTTTGAGACCAGCCTGGGCAACATGGCAAAACTCCATCTCTACAAGAAAATACAAAACGTAGCTGGGCATGGTGGTGCATGCCTGTAGTCCCAGCTACTCAGGAGGCTGAAGCAGGAGGATCACCTGAGCCCAGGAGGTCAAGGCTACAGGGAGCTGAGATCACACCACTGCACTCCAGCCTGGCTGAGAGAGTGAGACCCTGTCTCGACAAACAGAAATGTCCCTATTGTGAATTTATTTATTCAAGAGGATAGAATCACGTGCATATCGGAGAGAAAGACAAATAGCCAAAAAAAAAAAAAAAAAAGAAAAAAGGAACAGAATCAATCTTTGTCTCCTCTTCTATAACAGGGGATGCTAAAAGGCTATTGAGCAGTATTTATAGTTCTGAGGTAGAAGAATTGAGACCCTTGATTTTTGTAACCAGTCAAAGAAATCATTTATGGGCCAGGTGCAGTGGCTTATGCCTGTAATCCCAGCAATTTGGGAGGCCAAGGCAGGTGGATCATGTGAGGTCAGGAGTTTGAGACCAGCCTGGCCAACATGGTCTCTATTAAAAATACAAAAATGAGCCAGGCATGGTGGCAGGCACCTGTAATTCCGGCTACTTGGGAGGCAGAGGGAGGAGAACTGCTTGAACCCAGGAGGTGGAGGTTACAGTGAGCCAAGATCAAGCCATTGCTCTCCAGCCTGGGCAACAGAGACTCCATCTCAAAAAAAAAAAAAGTTATTTATGTTTGGCAGCAAAAGTAAGATATTGTAGGCATGTAAGAATGCAGAATGTACACTACCAATGTTCTTTAGAAATAAAGGAGAAAGTTGGGGAGAAATAGAGGAAGGGGGAAGGGGAGGAGAAAGAGGAAAAGCAGCAGAAAAAGAGAATGAATGATTTTTAAAAGAAGTAAAAATGGATCAGAATAAAGATTTCAAAATTGGGAAAGACTTAATATGCAAGACAGAGCTATGAAAAATACAACCAGTAAAATGTCTAGTTAAATCTAAGTAACTTGATAATGTGCTTGTACAACTGTTATGAAAGTATCCTTAAAATCAAGAGGTATGATATTAAAAAATAAGCAGAACCCTAACTAGGGGGGTGGGAGTAGGGAAGAAATTAAAGTATGTTGAAGTCCTCTTATTAGGCAGGTGGGGGAGGACGGCACAGCTATTGGAGAATTTTGATACTAATAAATATATTCAAACATGTTTGTCTAACATTTAAAGATAATCCCTTATCCTTACAGGCAACCAAATTTTTTTTCCTTCTTTTTTTTGCAGTGGGGTGGGGGAGCAGATAAAGTCTCACTCTGTTGCCCAGGCTGAAGTGCAATAGCGTAATCATAGCTCACCGACACCTTGAATTCCTGGACTCAAGCAATTCTCCCACCACAGCCTCCCAAGTAGCTGGGACTATAGGCAAGCAACACCCATGCCTGACTGATTTTTAAATTTTTTTGTAGAGACAGGTTCTTGCTATGTTGCCCAGGCTGGGCTCAAACTCCTGGGCTCAAGCAATCCTTCCACCTCAGCTTCCCAAAGTGCTGAGATTACAGATGTCAGCCACTGTGCCTGGCCAGACCACCATTCAATTACCTGCAAAAGTCATCAAATTAGCCCCACAGACCTGTAGTCACTGACTACCAATAATTTCCCATCATTGATTGTCACTGGCCTTCCAATCACTGAGCTGATACAGACAGCCTTGCCTAATTACTGGGCCTATAGTTCCAAAATGACTGGGTAAAGCAAACCTCCCAATCAGTAGCAGCAGCAGATCTCCCCAGCCACTTGCCCCCACAGACACTCCAATCACATATTCTCACAGGTTCCTCAACCAATGATACCCACAGGACACTGGTAATCTATCTCCTATTACCCCAAATCCCTCATCTTATCAATCCCCAATCACTAAACAGAATTCTCAAGCAGTGGCCTTTATAGAAACTCTAATTACTGCCAGCAAATTCCACTCCTCCCTCAACCTCTTTAGCCACTCCCTTCATTTGCATGCTTCACCTGAAATCTACCTGTCTCCTGAGGATCCTGCTTCCTTATAGGAGCCTCAGAGGAGTGGAGGCTGTCTTTCCTGCACCACCCCTCTCCCTGCCATGACCCATGTACCTCAGGGTCTAAAGATGAGGTAAATGATTACTTTCAACAATTTCTCATTCTTCCTTCAAAATTCATAGCTTATTTATAGTATCACCAGGTTTTCAGCCATTAACCCTTCTGGGTCCGGTGATTTGCTAGGAGGACTCACATGACTCAGTATATAATTGTACTCATAGCTATTATTTATTGTAGCAAAAGTGTACAAAGTCAGTTAATCAGCATGAGGTAAAGTCCACAGGACACCAGGCACCAGCATCCATGAGTCCTCTCCCAGTGAAGTCATATAAAACATGCTTAATTCCTCTGGAAATGAGTTATAATAACATGTATGAAATGTTGTCTACTAGGGAAGCTCATTAGAGACCAGTACTGCCTAGGGGTTTCACTGGGGGCTGGTCAAGTAGGCACTCTCTGCCTGCATGTACAAAAATTCCAGACTCCCAGAAGAAAGCAGGTGTTCAGCATAAACCACACTGTGTATTCTTTAAGCACTCGGAACTACTCTTAATCAGTTCCAGGAATGGTGGGATCCTTCCTGAAATCTAATTTCCCAGATGACAGCAAAAAGCAGACCTTGCAGCAGGCCTGTCTAAGGATAGCAGTTTTTCACTTCTATGTTAACTCTGTTCTGCAGTCATCCCACCCAATTCACTGAAAACTTTAGCACCAGCTAAATTCCTGCCATAATGCTGCACTACCTCCGTATCAACGTGGAAGAGCCATTCAACACCCTTGCCTCTCTTTTTCATGAGGTCAGCAACCTCTTCTTCCACTCAAATTCAGCCACCTATTCATCAATTATCTGCACTTACACCTTGCCATCACTGTACCACCTGCAAAAATCTCTAAGACATTCCGCCCTCTGACCATCATTTCCTATCCTGCTACTTTTTCTAGTACTTTCACTCCAATAATTCTCCAAACTCATTGAGCCCTCTGATCCTAACCACTTTTTCACAATCTTCCACCTTTACCTAGCCTTTCTTTCTTGTTCAGATTCCTTGTTCTAGCACCATACACAATCAATTAAAAACTATAAAGTTTTAACTTCCTTGATTCTCTTCTTCTCCACTGTACTCACCTGTCAAAGCCTCAACCTTGGTTAAATCCAACTCTCCTCTTAATCTCTGCCTGAAACCTTGCAACTGAACATTGCAAGAGAAAAATCAAACTGCTGAGTGGACTAACTTCAAATTTATAACACACATGCCAAATGGACACCTAATCCTGTCAGTAGTCCTACTACCTAACCCTAGAAAATACACCTTTCCTTTTTCCTAGGTGATTATTTTGAACATTCTCCTTTTTAACTCTGAAAACTCCAACATCTACTCCTTTCCCACTCTTGGCTGATGAATTTGCTTTATGCTTTCAAGAGAAAATAAATCCAAATGGACAAGAATTACCCTGTCTTGTTACCACCAATTCCAGCAACCTGTTTCCAAACTCATATACAATATACCTTCTCTTCTGTTAAAATGGAAAGTCTTCCTTCTCTCACCTAAGGCCAGTTTCTCCATTTGTGCTCTCAATCCCATCCCCAACTGCCTTCCCAAAGACTTCACTCCTGCAAGTACCTCTTTCTGTTTTGTAACATCTGTGTCTCCCTTTTATTTGGGTCATTCCCATTGACACACAGAGTTGTCTTAATATCATTCATCTAAAGAAAACCCCCTCTTGATTTCATATCCTATACAACGTCCATTTCTCTGCTTCCTTTACCAGCAGAACTCCTCATAACTGTTGCCTATACTTGCTGTTTCCACTTCATTACCTCTCATTCTTTCAACTCACTCTAACAGGATATTATCCCCTTAACTCCAATAAAAGAGTTCTAATCAATCAAAATAACCATTGAGCTACATACTGACAAAATCAAATGATCTCTAGTCCTGCTTTTAGGACTCAAAAGCATATATGACAATTGATTACTTCTATTGTCTTGAAAGGCTTTCTTCTCTATGCTACTTTGACACCCACTTGCACAGTTTTCCTCTTACTTCAATGGGCACCCCTTATTCTCTCTGTTGTTTTTTGTCTTCTACCAGACTTTTAAATGTCAGAGTGACCCAGCCCTCTGTCCCTGGCTCTCTTCTCTTCCCTATCTGTCTTCTCTTCCTAGGTGACCCGAGCCAATCTTAAGGCTTTAAATACCATCTTTATTGTGATGCATTTCAAAAATGGTTCCCTAGCTCACCCCTTTCCTAAGTTCCAGATTCATATATATAGTGGCTACCCAATATCTCTAGGTAGATGTGCAATGAGCATTTTGACACGGCCAAAATAGAGCCACTGACATCACCCCAGATCCCATTTCCATCCACCAAATCTAGTCTTTTCCACCATAACCCTTTCCATTCAGAAAATAGAATCACCATCCATCCGGTTCTTCAGGTTAAAAGTCTAGATGTAAATCTCGATTCTTCTCTTTCCTCATACTCCATATATCAATACATTAGTAAGTTCTATTGCTTATCTCCAGATGTATTCTGAATTTGATTTCATTTTGCTGCTACAACTCTATTCTAAATCACCATAATCTCTTGTCTTTGACTATTGCAAAAAGTTCCTAACTGACCTCCCTATATCTACCTACTCTTGCCCCTCTGCAGTCCGTCTTCCATGAGGTAGCCATGGTGATCTTTTCAAGGTGTCAGTCAGAACAGATCATTCCCCTGCTTAAACTCAATGGCTTCTCACTGCATCTAGAATAAAATCCAAATCCTTACACTAGCCAATAAAATCCTACATTATCTGATACCTTCCTACCACTATGATTCACAGCTTTCTACTTTCCCTCTGACTGTGCTCCAACAGCACTAATCTTCCTTCTCTTTTTTAAGCACACCAAGTTTACTCCTACCCCAGGTCCTTTGCAGTTGATGTTTATTTCTTCCTGAAACACTCTTTCTTCAGATCTCTGCATGGCTGCCTCCTTGTGATGATTTATGCCTCAACCCAACTGTCATTTGCTAAGGAAAGCTTTCCATGACTAACCTGGCTAAAGTCATGCACTCCCTACCCTCAATCACTCTGTACCACACCATCCTCTTTTACTTACTTCAGCACTTATTAGTGTCTGGAATAATTTTATTTGTTTATATTTTATGATATCTTTCATATTTCTATAATGTAAGTCATTGAGGGAGGGATTCTGGTTTTGTTTCCTGGTGTGTCTCCAGCATTTAAAACATTCCCTGGTTTTGAGGACAAAGCAGGGACTGCAAAACAACAACACCAAACAAATAAAATAAAAAATACCCCCTGGCATAAAATAAATGCTCATCTTACAGACTGTTCCTACTGTTCCTGCAAGTTTTCAATCACTGACACCCAAATACTCCCCAATCACTAACCTTCACAAACTTCTCCCAATTATGGATCTCTGCAAGTTCCCAACTATCACTCTCCACAGAACAATCATTAACCTCCACAGATCTCCAATCACTGACCACCAAAGAACCCTCAATCATTAAATGCAGCAATCCCCTCAAACTCCTGACCCCCTTAGACTTCTAGTCACAGAATCATAGAGGATCTTCAATCATTAATTCCTACTAATCACCTCATTACTCAAAGCACAGTTATTACTGCTAGACACCACCTAATTATTGACCTGCATACATCCCCAATTACCTTTTCTCCCCAGATGACATACAAATCATCTACCATCCCCAGAGACACCTCAACATTGACTCCCCAAACTCCAACAGTCATATTCCCCCCTCACTGGCCCCCCGATTCCTCCATTACCCACTGACCCTCAAAGATACTGCTAATCAAACTTCCACAGACATCACCGTCACTGACTCCCAAGCCCCAATCTCTGATGCTCCCAGATGCTCCCAATCACTGAATTTCCCAAATCCTAACACTGACCCTCTTTGATAACCCAGGCTCTAACCACCACAGGCACCCATAATCGCTGGCTCCCATAGACATCCCAAACCGCCAACCCCCACGGTCCTTCCCTATCTCTGACACATCACAAAGCCTCCATTTCTGATCTCCTTCCAAACTCCGACACTCGGTGACTGCCACAGACGCCTCCCCATCATTGTCTCTGCAGATCCCTCCTAATACTGATATCCTAAAGCCAAATCATTAACCCCACAGATAACTCAGAACACCGACCTCCCAAAAGACCATCTAGCATCGATTCCACCAATTCCCAAATCACCTATCGTCACAGACTACTCCAATCACTGCCCCGCAAGTACACCATCTCTGACCGCCAAAACACCCTGTCTCATCACAGCTCTCACCGCGGCGCTGGCCTCGGGCTCGGACACAGCCATCTCCAGTGGTCGCCCGGCCTCTTTGGTCGTTTCCGCACTTCTCCTCCGGTCCACGGTCTCTGGCTTTGTCAGAATCTGGACGCCGCTGGAGACCGACATGGCGGCTACCCGGAGGGCGGCCTTAGCGGGTCCGGCAGCCGCGATGGCGGCGCCCTTCGGTAATAGCGCACGGGCGCGGCCATCTTGGCAAACACTCAGCCGTACAGCGGAAGTGCGGGGACTTCTGGGACAATTAGATCGGGAGGTGGAAGCTGGCGAGGGCGTTACTTGCAGGATGCAGGAGTGATGCGATCAGAGCCAGCCGGAACCGAGTTCCGTTACGCACTACAGGACTGACCTGGGCCTGACAACCCACTGCCGGAGTTCGGATCGCATCACTGCCGGAAGATATTTTACAGAATTTGGAATTGCTTTTCCGAATACATGTCAGTGCGGCCAGCGGCTAGAAGTCCGGGAATCACAACGCTTAGTGCGGACTTTAGAAAGGCAGGATGCGAGAAATTGGAAGCATAACGGAGAAAAGCCTGATCGAACAAATAACATTATTTTATAGGGAGAGGACGTTAATCTTTGAGATATACGATAAATCTTTTCATATATAGTATAAGAACAATAAGAAAAACTGAAACAGAAACTTAAGTAAACACACCACTCCTCCGTGAGAGCCCGGGTTTGGTGAAGATATTTCACCAGAATAATCAAGCACTTGGAGAAATAATTCCTTAATGCGCCATTTCATGCATTAATTGCATTCATTGAATATGTGCAGGTTAGGTGCTGCGCTATGCAAGGTACTGGAAAAAGAGTGGAGAGGGGTAGGGATGATGTAAGTCCAGAGTCCAAAGGCCAGAAAACCAGGGTCTCCAATGTCAAAAGGCAGAAGATGAATGTCCCAGCTCAAGAAAAAAGAAAAGGTGGGAGGGAAGTGGGGATACTTAACGGGTTTTTAAAAAAAAAGAAAAGAAAGAAGGAATAAGACCTAGTATTTGATAGCACTACAGGTGTATATATCCAATAATAATTTAGTTGTACATTTCGAAATAACAAAGTATAAATGGATTGTAACACAGAAGATAAATGCTTGAGGGGATAGATACCCCATTTTCCATGATGTGATTATTGCACTGTGCATGCCTGTATCAAACTACTTCATGTACCCCATAAATATACTCACCTACTATGTACCCACAAAAGTTAAAGATTAAAAAAAAATAGAAAAGAGGATTCACCCTTCCTTTTCCTTTTTGTCCTTTCAGGCCCTCAGTGGATTAGGTGGTGGCCACCCACATTGGTGGGGGCTTTTTTATTCAGTTTGCTAATTCAAATGCTAATCTTTTCCCAGAAACACACTAACAAACCCAGAAACAATGTTTCACCAGTTTTCTGGGCATCCTTTAGCCCAGTCAAGTTGACCGATAAAATTAACCATCACCCTAACCATGATATACACAGACTTCCAGGTTACAGAATCTGTGAGATAATAGGTTTGTGATACTTTAATCCACTAAAGCTGGTGATAATTTGTTATCCAGCAATACTAAACTAAGGACTCAGTGAAGACTGAAAAATAATTGATGGCTTGAAATTACTCTTCACCTACTTAAGACACGGCCCCCTACACTGTGTTCCTGACAGAGTATTCTTTGAGCGTCACCTTTGTACGGATAGGCAATTGCTTTGTTTCTGCCTCAGATATGGTCCTGACTTTAATTGTTCCTGATATTAGAGTCGTAAAAAGGTACAATATTTTTTTCAATACCTCTCCTTTCCTTTCTTCCTCACAAATCAGAAAGAGGGGCAGTTCAGTTTCTCAAGGATTTTCTTGAAACCAACATATATATACATAATATATACATATATATACATATACACATATATACACATGTATACATATATACACATATATACATATATACATATATACACATATATACATATATACACATATATACACACATATATATACATATATACACACATATATATATACATATATATACACATATATATATATGTGGTAGGGATGAGTTAGTACGGAGGATCAGAACATAATGTTGTACTGTTGAGTATATTCATTCGAGTAGACCTGAAAATTCTCCCGACAGGGACAGGGGAAGCAAGTGCGGCGATAACTGTGTGAATTCGGCTGATTCTAGTGAATTCCCTAATGAAGAGGTCACACACGGTAAATATGTATGGTATTTATTGTCATTCATACTTGAAGGCACCGGGAGGGGAAGAAAATATTAATCAGGCAAAAAAACGTAAAAGAGACATTACTTCTATGAGACTCTAGCATTCGTAGGAACACTCTCTGGTTCACAAGGATTGACCGAACACCTCGATATGTGGCTCTCCATCTGAGGCTTGCTCCAAATGGCCCTCCACTATTCCAGGCACGTGGGTGTCTCCCCTAACTCTCCCTGCTCTCCTGAGCCCATGCTGCCTATCACCAATCAGTGCAGGTCCTTTCTGAAGAGCTCGGGTGCATTCTCTCCATCCCACCTCTTTTCCCAAGAAAGAAGCCACCTGTTCCAAGACACGAAGTGGGACATTCCCCTTCCACCTCCTTCTCCAAAGTTCCCCAGGTGATCATCACAGGGTAGGGAGACAAGTTCCCAGATTTCAGTTACAAGACATAGGACGCTGGCATGAACACACACACACACACACACACACACACACACACACACACCTCGAAGAGGTAGCCACAAGGGTCATTAAACACATGACGACTGATTTCCAAAAACGTGGATGCAGTTCATCCTTGCCAAAGCCGAGGGTGCAAACGCGGAATGGCGGAGAGATTCCAGAGGCTCACCAAAACCTGCCAGGAATATTTTCCTGACCCTGGGGGCAGAGGTTGGAAATATTGAGGACATTTCTTGGGACACACGAAGAAGCTGAGGGACCAGGCATTTTCCTTTCCACTACGAATGACCTACACCGAGGGCATTTCACTTTCCCCTGGAAATCCCCTATGGTGAGGTACCGCCCCAAGCCCCCACCCCCACTTCCGCGAATCCACGTGGCTCAGTCTCTACACGGGTGTCACTCCAGGTAGGCTTCTCAACGCTCTCGGCTCAAAGGACAATCCCACATCCAAACGCAAAGCCCACACCTCATCCCTTCCCAGAAAACGCGCAAAAATTCAATGGGAGAGAGGTCCCGAGTCATCAAAGTCCCAGATGTGGTGAGCCCCCGGAAGGAAAAACGGTGTCGTCCTTAGGATGTCCGGAACAAGAGCTAGGCTTCCGGAGCTAGGCAGCCATCTATCTCCGTGAGCCAGCGGGAGGGAGACCGCCGGGAGGCGAAGTGGGGCGGGGCCATCCTTCTTTCTGCTCTGCTGCTGCCGGGGAGCTCCTGGCTGGCGTCCAAGCGGCAGGAGGCCGCCGTCCTGCAGGGCGCCGTAGAGTTTGCGGTGCAGAGTCGGGATCGCCTCTGGGGCAGAGGGTTCGAGCTTTTCCAAGGCGAGGGTGCTGGCTCCCGTGCGCACCTAAGGCCCCCCAGGAGCGGGCGCAAAGGGCGGCGGGCCCGCGGGCCAGGGCCCCGCAGCCAGCAGGCTGTCGAGCGTGGCCAGCGCCCAGTGCAGGGCGGCCCCGGCGTGCGCCAGCTGCCAGGTGAGCCAGGCGCGCTGCGAGGCGCTGGGCTGCGTGCCGCCGGCGGGCCCCGGGAGGAAGGCGCCCCCCGGGGCCCGAAGCTCGCCCAGGGCCACGTCCAGCCCGCCCAGGTGGTTGACGACTCGCGAGAGCGGGCACGGGAGGGAGACCCAGGCTTCTGGGGAGTGGCGTCGGCGGCGCTTTGGGGAGGTGGGTCGCTCCTCCCGGACGTCAACGCGGCGTTGCGGGCCGCTCGTCCTCCCTGGCGATCTAGGCCGGTGCTTTGGCTCCTCCAGGCGCCTCGGGCTGGGAACAGAACCTGCGCGGGAGACAGAGCGGGAGGTGTCAGAGGGACTGCGCGCAGCGCTAGGGGACCCATTTCCAAGGTCCCGAAGCCGCTCCCGACCCCGCCTCCCCCTGCCCTCCATCCCCCACCCCTCCGCGGCTCGCCTCCGCGCCCCATCCTCTCGGCCCCTCCCTGCATCCTGGGGACTCCGGTGCCCCGTCCGGGGTGCCCTCCCCTCCGCCCATTCAAACTTGAAGCACATCTCATCTGGGGCCACCGGGGGCCCGGGTTCCTGGCGCACTGAGGGCTTCCTCGGCCCCCTCGGGGCCCCCCACTCCCCGCTCCCCTTCCCGGGGCCCTGCGCCCTCCTCCCCACCCCTCCAAGCTCCCAGCCCCTAAACCTGCCTCCTCTGCGCTCGTGGGGGCGTCGTGCTCTGCCGGACTCGGGCTTGTCGTGGCCTCGCTCTCCGGCTGGGGCTGGTCGTGGCTTGACCTTCCGCCCTCGGTTTCCGGTTTCTCTGCCGGGACTGCGAGGGGAGCCGTCGGGGCTTCTCCACCGTTTGTGCCTGGACGCAGAGGCCTCCCGGCTGTGCCCGCTGGAAGCTGCGGGGGAAGAGGAGGTCGACAGTGAGTGGGCCATGACCCGTCCGTAGACGGCTGCGGGAGGGTTGCAAGGGCCAAGCTCCCAGAGTGACTTCAAGGCAGGAATGGCTCTGCTCCCAGGTGTCCCCCACCCCCTCCTCTTTCTCCAGCTGCCCAAGACCTCCAGGCCCCACTCCCCGGGTCCCTTCCTGTCTCCTGACTCTGGCTGTTCCCCAGCTGCCTGGCACCCTCCAGCAAACCCTCCTCCGCGGGCGCACCCAGAGGATGGCCCAGCTGGCGGAGCCACCCAGCACACAAAAAGTCTGCCTTTCTTTGACCTTAGGTTTCCCCACCACCTGCCGGATCAGGGCCCGTGGGGCGGGGGCCGCTGCCTTTGTCACCCCAGCTCTAACTCTCCTGCCTCCCTGGCCCCTGCCACCCCCTCCACACACCAATCCGCACAGACGAGACACTCGACCCTCACTCACCTCGTCCTCTCTCAGAGCCCTCCCGGGTCTTGCGTGTCTCCATCTTCCCCTGCTTTCCACAGGGAGGTCTGTCTTCTCCCGTCTCCTCAAAGGACAGCTTCCCCATCCAGGAAAGAGCTCTGTGTTCCCGGCGAGGAGGCTCTAACCTCTGGCAGCCTGAGCAGCGCAAGCCGGGCAATGGCCGGTTGGGCGCAGCCGGCGGGCTTTGATAGGGAGCCAGGACCCCCTGCTGGGAGTTCCCAGGAGGATTGGCTGCGGACACGCCCACAGGGGCAGGCTACCTTGATTAGGTTAGGCGGGTTGGAGGGGTTCCGCTTTCTCCCTGGGTCCCTGCCGCTCTGTCTCCCGCAAGTGATGAGCAATTTTGCGGAGTGGCAGAACAGAGACAAAGGTAGCTGTGGGCTTCACGGTAATTTCAAAGGAAGTGCCCTACTTCGTTGCCCATTTCGAAGTCCTCTCTACCTCTGCGTTGGACGATTTCTCCACTTCCTGGTGTGCACCTGCGTGTGTGCGTGCCTGTGTGTATGTGTGTGTGTGTGTGTGTGCGCGCCCGCGTGCTTGGGTGTGTGCACACCATGCCGAGAGTCGGGCAAATTTCGAGTGAAGGGAGACCGAGTCCCGCAGGTTCTCTTGCTCCTGCAGTCTGCGGAGGAAAAACTCCTTTCTGGCACGGCGGCAGGAATCCATCTACCGACGTTAGGAAAGGACAGGGTGTGCTTTCGTCCCAGCTTAGTTTTCTATGGAGAAACAGGCAGCAGAGGAGAGTGGGCCAGAGGGCCACATTTTGCCCACGACCAGCCAGGTTTGAGTTGGTTCCTCCTAGGCCTCACGGTCTGATTTTCTCCTCCCCTTTGTGTACCCGACGGGTGTTGCTCTGAGATCAGGACCATCCCGGCGGGCTGCGGATGGGATCATCGTGTGTGTATGGCCACAGCCCTCCGCCCCGCTCGCTCGGTGAGCACGTGAATCAAGGAAGGGGCACACGACTCTAGGCAGGACCCGGCGGGGTGTCGGGAGGAGAAACTCGGTAAGAGAAGAGAGGGAGAGGGAGACGTGCGAGGCGCAGGCTGTCCCAGGCGAGTCTGAGAAACGGCGTGCGCGGAGACGTCCGCCAGAAAGCAAGCAGGCGAAAGGAAATGGAACATCCGCAGGGCCGGTGCCGTGGGATCCGATCACGCCCTGACGGCTTTCGGGGACATCTCAGGCTCGCTGTCTCCCCCTTGGACCTGGCGCAGAGAGGAGTGAGGCCTGAGGACAGGGCTCCGTGGCCAGCTAGGTGTGGGAGGTGCCAACACAGTAAGGGCTGGTCAAGGGGTGGTCGGGAGCGATACGGGGGAGTTGCTCAAGAAATCACCGCTGGAACTGGGATTCCAGTCCAGTGGGATACGTCCAGTCATCCCACTTCTGGACGTATCGCCTAAGGACACGAAATCGGGATGTGGTGCAAATATGTGTCCTGCTGCGTTGGTTGTCGGCACGCTGCCTGTAACCAAGACGTGGAATCGACCTAAGTGCCCATCAGCAGATGACTAGAGAAGGACAAAGGAGTGGGGTTCGCAGAAGAAACACATCAGGGAAAGGAAAGGAGAGCCGGTCATCTGGGACGTCATGCATGGACCCAAAAGTCATGGTGCCCAGTGAAATCAGCCAGGCCCATCCGACCCGTATTGCGTGATCTCCTTGGGATGTGGGATGGAAAGCGGTGAGGATCGCGAAAGTAGAGAGGAGAAAGGTGGTTGGCCGGGCCTGGGGCCGGGGTAGGGGCAGGGAAAAGATGCCAATGCGAGATGTGGGTCAAAGGGCAGAAAGTTTCCGAGAGGCAGGTGGAGTGCTTCCTGGATATCCGTGGCAGGGCAACGCGAGTACGGTGGAGCAGAATGTAAGGTTCTCGTGAATATACCCACGGGAGTAGAGCTGAAAATTCTCCCGACAGGGACAGGGGACGCATGTGGGGCGATAAGTGTGTGAATTCGGCCGATTCTAGTGAATTCCCTAATGAAGACGTCACACACGGTAAGTGTGTATCATATTTATTGTCATTCATACTTGAAGGCACCGGCGGGGAAGGAAATAATTAAATCGCAAGACAAAACCTCCAAGAGAGATCACCTCGAAGAGAGTCTAACGTCCGTAGGAACGCTCTCGGGTTCACAAGGATTGACCGAACCCCAGGATACGTCGCTCTCCATCTGAGGCTTGCTCCAAATGGCCCTCCACTATTCCAGGCACGTGGGTGTCTCCCCTAACTCTCCCTGCTCTCCTGAGCCCATGCTGCCTATCACCCATCGGTGCAGGTCCTTTCTGAAGAGCTCGGGTGGATTCTCTCCATCCCACTTCCTTTCCCAAGAAAGAAGCCACCGTTCCAAGACACCCAATGGGACATTCCCCTTCCACCTCCTTCTCCAAAGTTGCCCAGGTGTTCATCACAGGTTAGGGAGAGAAGCCCCCAGGTTTCAGTTACAAGGCATAGGACGCTGGCATGAACACACACACACACACACACACACACACACACACACACACACACGACTCGAAGAGGTAGCCACAAGGGTCATTAAACACTTGACGACTGTTTTCCAAAAACGTGGATGCAGTTCATCCACGCCAAAGCCAAGGGTGCAAAGCAAACACGGAATGGTGGAGAGATTCCAGAGGCTCACCAAACCCTCTCAGGAATATTTTCCTGACCCTGGGGGCAGAGGTTGGAAACATTGAGGACATTTCTTGGGACACACGGAGAAGCTGACCGACCAGGCATTTTCCTTTCCACTGCAAATGACCTATGGCGGGGGCATTTCACTTTCCCCTGCAAATCACCTATGGCGAGGTACCTCCCCAAGCCCCCACCCCCACTTCCGCGAATCGGCATGGCTCGGCCTCTATCCGGGTGTCACTCCAGGTAGGCTTCTCAACGCTCTCGGCTCAAAGAAGGACAATCACAGGTCCAAGCCCAAAGCCCACACCTCTTCCTTTTGTTATACCCACAGAAGTTAGAGAAAACGCCACACTTTGAGACAAATTAAGAGTCCTTTATTTAAGCCGGCGGCCAAAGAGATGGCTAACGCTCAAAATTCTCTGGGCCCCGAGGAAGGGGCTTGACTAACTTCTATACCTTGGTTTAGGAAGGGGAGGGGAACTCAAATGCGGTAATTCTACAGAAGTAAAAACATGCAGGAATCAAAAGAAGCAAATGGTTATAGAGAGATAAACAGTTTTAAAAGGCAAATGGTTACAAAAGGCAACGGTACCAGGTGCGGGGCTCTAAATCCTTCATGACACTTAGATATAGGTGCTATGCTGGACACGAACTCAAGGCTTTATGTTGTTATCTCTTCGAGAAAAATCCTGGGAACTTCATGCACTGTTTGTGCCAGTATCTTATCAGTTGATTGGGCTCCCTTGAAATGCTGAGTATCTGCTTACACAGGTCAACTCCTTGCGGAAGGGGGTTGGGTAAGGAGCCCTTCGTGTCTCGTAAATTAAGGGGTCGATTGGAGTTTGTCCAGCATTCCCAGCTACAGAGAGCCTTATTTACATGAGAAGCAAGGCTAGGTGATTAAAGAGACCAACAGGGAAGATTCAAAGTAGCGACTTAGAGTAAAAACAAGGTTAGGCATTTCACTTTCCCAGAGAACGCGCAAACATTCAATGGGAGAGAGGTCCCGAGTCGTCAAAGTCCCAGATGTGGCGAGCCCCCGGGAGGAAAAACCGTGTCTTCCTTAGGATGCCCGGAACAAGAGCTAGGCTTCCGGAGCTAGGCAGCCATCTATGTCCGTGAGCCGGCGGGAGGGAGACCGCCGGGAGGCGAAGTGGGGCGGGGCCATCCTTCTTTCTGCTCTGCTGCTGCCGGGGAGCTCCTGGCTGGCGTCCAAGCGGCAGGAGGCCGCCGTCCTGCAGGGCGCCGTAGAGTTTGCGGTGCAGAGTCGGGATCGCCTCTGGGGCAGAGGGTTCGAGCTTTTCCAAGGCGAGGGTGCTGGCTCCCGTGCGCACCTAAGGGCCCCCAGGAGCGGGCGCAAAGGGCGGCGGGCCCGCGGGCCAGGGCCCCGCAGCCAGCAGGCTGTCGAGCGTGGCCAGCGCCCAGTGCAGGGCGGCCCCGGCGTGCGCCAGCTGCCAGGTGAGCCAGGCGCGCTGCGAGGCGCTGGGCTGCGTGCCGCCGGCGGGCCCCGGGAGGAAGGCGCCCCCCGGGGCCCGAAGCTCGCCCAGGGCCACGTCCAGCCCGCCCAGGTGGTTGACGACTCGCGAGAGCGGGCACGGGAGGGAGACCCAGGCTTCTGGGGAGTGGCGTCGGCGGCGCTTTGGGGAGGTGGGTCGCTCCTCCCGGACGTCAACGCGGCGTTGCGGGCCGCTCGTCCTCCCTGGCGATCTAGGCCGGTGCTTTGGCTCCTCCAGGCGCCTCGGGCTGGGAACAGAACCTGCGCGGGAGACAGAGCGGGAGGTGTCAGAGGGACTGCGCGCAGCGCTAGGGGACCCATTTCCAAGGTCCCGAAGCCGCTCCCGACCCCGCCTCCCCCTGCCCTCCATCCCCCACCCCTCCGCGGCTCGCCTCCGCGCCCCATCCTCTCGGCCCCTCCCTGCATCCTGGGGACTCCGGTGCCCCGTCCGGGGTGCCCTCCCCTCCGCCCGTTCAAACTTGAAGCACATCTCATCTGGGGCCACCGGGGGCCCGGGTTCCTGGCGCACTGAGGGCTTCCTCGGCCCCCTCGGGGCCCCCCACTCCCCGCTCCCCTTCCCGGGGCCCTGCGCCCTCCTCCCCACCCCTCCAAGCTCCCAGCCCCTAAACCTGCCTCCTCTGCGCTCGTGGGGGCGTCGTGCTCTGCCGGACTCGGGCTTGTCGTGGCCTCGCTCTCCGGCTGGGGCTGGTCGTGGCTTGACCTTCCGCCCTCGGTTTCCGGTTTCTCTGCCGGGACTGCGAGGGGAGCCGTCGGGGCTTCTCCACCGTTTGTGCCTGGACGCAGAGGCCTCCCGGCTGTGCCCGCTGGAAGCTGCGGGGGAAGAGGAGGTCGACAGTGAGTGGGCCATGACCCGTCCGTAGACGGCTGCGGGAGGGTTGCAAGGGCCAAGCTCCCAGAGTGACTTCAAGGCAGGAATGGCTCTGCTCCCAGGTGTCCCCCACCCCCTCCTCTTTCTCCAGCTGCCCAAGACCTCCAGGCCCCACTCCCCTGGTCCCTTCCTGTCTCCTCACTCTGGCTGTTCCCCAGCTGCCTGGCACCCTCCAGCAAACCCTCCTCCGCGGGCGCACCCAGAGGATGGCCCAGCTGGCGGAGCCACCCAGCACACAAAAAGTCTGCCTTTCTTTGACCTTAGGTTTCCCCACCACCTGCCGGATCAGGGCCCGTGGGGCGGGGGCCGCTGCCTTTGTCACCCCAGCTCTAACTCTCCTGCCTCCCTGGCCCCTGCCACCCCCTCCACACACCAATCCGCACAGACGAGACACTCGACCCTCACTCACCTCGTCCTCTCTCAGAGCCCTCCCGGTTCTTGCGGGTCTCCATCTTCCCCTGCTTTCCACAGGGAGGTCTGTCTTCTCCCGTCTCCTCAAAGGACAGCTTCCCCATCCAGGAAAGAGCTCTGTGTTCCCGGCGAGGAGGCTCTACCCTCTGGCAGCCTGAGCAGCGCAAGCGGGGCAATGGCCGGTTGGGCGCAGCCGGCGGGCTTTGATAGGGAGCCAGGACCCCCTGCTGGGAGTTCCCAGGAGGATTGGCTGCGGACACGCCCACAGGGGCAGGCTACCTTGATTAGGTTAGGCGGGTTGGAGGGGTTCCGCTTTCTCCCTGGGTCCCTGCCGCTCTGTCTCCGGCAAGTGATGAGCAATTTTGCGGAGTGGCAGAACAGAGACAAAGGTAGCTGTGGGCTTCACGGTAATTTCAAAGGAAGTGCCCTACTTCGTTGCCCATTTCGAAGTCCTCTCTACCTCTGCGTTGGACGATTTCTCCACTTCCTGGTGTGCACCTGCGTGTGTGCGTGCCTGTGTGTGTGTGTGTGTGTGTGTGCGCGCGCGCGCGTGCTGGGGTGTGTGCACACTATGCCGAGAGTCGGGCAAATTTCGAGTGAAGGGAGACCGAGTCCCGCAGGTTCTCTTGCTCCTGCAGTCTGCGGAGGAAAAACTCCTTTCTGGCACGGCGGCAGGAATCCATCTACCGACGTTAGGAAAGGACAGGGTGTGCTTTCGTCCCAGCTTAGTTTTCTATGGAGAAACAGGCAGCAGAGGAGAGTGGGCCAGAGGGCCACATTTTGCCCACGACCAGCCAGGTTTGAGTTGGTTCCTCCTAGGCCTCACGGTCTGATTTTCTCCTCCTCTTTGTGTACCCGACGGGTGTTGCTGTGAGCTCAGGACCATCCCGGCGGGCTGCGGATGGGATCATCGTGTGTGTATGGCCACAGCCCTCCGCCTCGCTCGCTCGGTGAGCACGTGAATCAAGGAAGGGGCACACGACTCTAGGCAGGACCCGGCGGGGTGTGGGGAGGAGAAACTCGGTAAGAGAAGAGAGGGAGAGGGAGACGTGCGAGGCGCAGGCTGTCCCAGGCGAGTCTGAGAAACGGCGTGCGCGGAGACGTCCGCCAGAAAGCAAGCAGGCGAAAGGAAATGGAACATCCGCAGGGCCGGTGCCGTGGGATCCGGTCACGCCCTGACGGCTTTCGGGGACATCTCAGGCTCGCTGTCTCCGCCTTGGACCTGGCGCAGAGAGGAGTGAGGCCTGAGGACAGGGCTGCGTGGCCAGCTGGGTGTGGGAGGTGCCAACACAGTAAGGGCTGGTCAAGGGGTGGCCGGGAGCGATACGGGGGCGTTGCTCAAGAAATCACCGCTGGAACTGGGATTCCAGTCCAGTGGGATACGTCCAGTCATCCCACTTCTGGACGTATCGCCTAAGGACACGAAATCGGGATGTGGTGCAAATATGTGTCCTGCTGCGTTGGTTGTCGGCACGCTACCTGTAACCAAGACGTGGAATCGACCTAAGTGCCCATCAGTAGATGACTAGAGAAGGACAAAGGAGTGGGGTTCGCAGAAGAAACACATCAGGGAAAGGAAAGGAGAGCCGGTCATCTGGGACGTCATGCACGGACCCAAAAGTCATGGTGCCCAGTGAAATCAGCCAGGCCCATCCGACCCGTATTGCGTGATCTCCTTGGGATGTGGGATGGAAAGCGGTGAGGATCGCGAAAGTAGAGAGGAGAAAGGTGGTTGGCCGGGCCTGGGGCCGGGGTAGGGGCAGGGAAAAGATGCCCATGCGAGATGTGGGTCAAAGGGCACAAAGTTTCCGAGAGGCAGGTGGAGTGCTTCCTGGATATCCGTGGCAGGGCAACGTGAGTACGGTGGAGCAGAATGTAAGGTTCTCGTGAATATACCCACGGGAGTAGAGCTGAAAATTCTCCCGACAGGGACAGGGGACGCATGTGGGGCGATAAGTGTGTGAATTCGGCCGATTCTAGTGAATTCCCTAATGAAGACGTCACACACGGTAAGTGTGTATCATATTTATTGTCATTCATACTTGAAGGCACCGGCGGGGGAAGGAAATAATTAAATCGCAAGACAAAACCTCCAAGAGAGATCACCTCGAAGAGAGTCTAACGTCCGTAGGAACGCTCTCGGGTTCACAAGGATTGACCGAACCCCAGGATACGTCGCTCTCCATCTGAGGCTTGCTCCAAATGGCCCTCCACTATTCCAGGCACGTGGGTGTCTCCCCTAACTCTCCCTGCTCTCCTGAGCCCATGCTGCCTATCACCCATCGGTGCAGGTCCTTTCTGAAGAGCTCGGGTGGATTCTCTCCATCCCACTTCCTTTCCCAAGAAAGAAGCCACCGTTCCAAGACACCCAATGGGACATTCCCCTTCCACCTCCTTCTCCAAAGTTGCCCAGGTGTTCATCACAGGTTAGGGAGAGAAGCCCCCAGGTTTCAGTTACAAGGCATAGGACGCTGGCATGAACACACACACACACACACACACACACACACACACACACACACACGACTCGAAGAGGTAGCCACAAGGGTCATTAAACACTTGACGACTGTTTTCCAAAAACGTGGATGCAGTTCATCCACGCCAAAGCCAAGGGTGCAAAGCAAACACGGAATGGTGGAGAGATTCCAGAGGCTCACCAAACCCTCTCAGGAATATTTTCCTGACCCTGGGGGCAGAGGTTGGAAACATTGAGGACATTTCTTGGGACACACGGAGAAGCTGACCGACCAGGCATTTTCCTTTCCACTGCAAATGACCTATGGCGGGGGCATTTCACTTTCCCCTGCAAATCACCTATGGCGAGGTACCTCCCCAAGCCCCCACCCCCACTTCCGCGAATCGGCATGGCTCGGCCTCTATCCGGGTGTCACTCCAGGTAGGCTTCTCAACGCTCTCGGCTCAAAGAAGGACAATCACAGGTCCAAGCCCAAAGCCCACACCTCTTCCTTTTGTTATACCCACAGAAGTTAGAGAAAACGCCACACTTTGAGACAAATTAAGAGTCCTTTATTTAAGCCGGCGGCCAAAGAGATGGCTAACGCTCAAAATTCTCTGGGCCCCGAGGAAGGGGCTTGACTAACTTCTATACCTTGGTTTAGGAAGGGGAGGGGAACTCAAATGCGGTAATTCTACAGAAGTAAAAACATGCAGGAATCAAAAGAAGCAAATGGTTATAGAGAGATAAACAGTTTTAAAAGGCAAATGGTTACAAAAGGCAACGGTACCAGGTGCGGGGCTCTAAATCCTTCATGACACTTAGATATAGGTGCTATGCTGGACACGAACTCAAGGCTTTATGTTGTTATCTCTTCGAGAAAAATCCTGGGAACTTCATGCACTGTTTGTGCCAGTATCTTATCAGTTGATTGGGCTCCCTTGAAATGCTGAGTATCTGCTTACACAGGTCAACTCCTTGCGGAAGGGGGTTGGGTAAGGAGCCCTTCGTGTCTCGTAAATTAAGGGGTCGATTGGAGTTTGTCCAGCATTCCCAGCTACAGAGAGCCTTATTTACATGAGAAGCAAGGCTAGGTGATTAAAGAGACCAACAGGGAAGATTCAAAGTAGCGACTTAGAGTAAAAACAAGGTTAGGCATTTCACTTTCCCAGAGAACGCGCAAACATTCAATGGGAGAGAGGTCCCGAGTCGTCAAAGTCCCAGATGTGGCGAGCCCCCGGGAGGAAAAACCGTGTCTTCCTTAGGATGCCCGGAACAAGAGCTAGGCTTCCGGAGCTAGGCAGCCATCTATGTCCGTGAGCCGGCGGGAGGGAGACCGCCGGGAGGCGAAGTGGGGCGGGGCCATCCTTCTTTCTGCTCTGCTGCTGCCGGGGAGCTCCTGGCTGGCGTCCAAGCGGCAGGAGGCCGCCGTCCTGCAGGGCGCCGTAGAGTTTGCGGTGCAGAGTCGGGATCGCCTCTGGGGCAGAGGGTTCGAGCTTTTCCAAGGCGAGGGTGCTGGCTCCCGTGCGCACCTAAGGGCCCCCAGGAGCGGGCGCAAAGGGCGGCGGGCCCGCGGGCCAGGGCCCCGCAGCCAGCAGGCTGTCGAGCGTGGCCAGCGCCCAGTGCAGGGCGGCCCCGGCGTGCGCCAGCTGCCAGGTGAGCCAGGCGCGCTGCGAGGCGCTGGGCTGCGTGCCGCCGGCGGGCCCCGGGAGGAAGGCGCCCCCCGGGGCCCGAAGCTCGCCCAGGGCCACGTCCAGCCCGCCCAGGTGGTTGACGACTCGCGAGAGCGGGCACGGGAGGGAGACCCAGGCTTCTGGGGAGTGGCGTCGGCGGCGCTTTGGGGAGGTGGGTCGCTCCTCCCGGACGTCAACGCGGCGTTGCGGGCCGCTCGTCCTCCCTGGCGATCTAGGCCGGTGCTTTGGCTCCTCCAGGCGCCTCGGGCTGGGAACAGAACCTGCGCGGGAGACAGAGCGGGAGGTGTCAGAGGGACTGCGCGCAGCGCTAGGGGACCCATTTCCAAGGTCCCGAAGCCGCTCCCGACCCCGCCTCCCCCTGCCCTCCATCCCCCACCCCTCCGCGGCTCGCCTCCGCGCCCCATCCTCTCGGCCCCTCCCTGCATCCTGGGGACTCCGGTGCCCCGTCCGGGGTGCCCTCCCCTCCGCCCATTCAAACTTGAAGCACATCTCATCTGGGGGCCACCGGGGGGCCCGGGTTCCTGGCGCACTGAGGGCTTCCTCGGCCCCCTCGGGGCCCCCCACTCCCCGCTCCCCTTCCCGGGGCCCTGCGCCCTCCTCCCCACCCCTCCAAGCTCCCAGCCCCTAAACCTGCCTCCTCTGCGCTCGTGGGGGCGTCGTGCTCTGCCGGACTCGGGCTTGTCGTGGCCTCGCTCTCCGGCTGGGGCTGGTCGTGGCTTGACCTTCCGCCCTCGGTTTCCGGTTTCTCTGCCGGGACTGCGAGGGGAGCCGTCGGGGCTTCTCCACCGTTTGTGCCTGGACGCAGAGGCCTCCCGGCTGTGCCCGCTGGAAGCTGCGGGGGAAGAGGAGGTCGACAGTGAGTGGGCCATGACCCGTCCGTAGACGGCTGCGGGAGGGTTGCAAGGGCCAAGCTCCCAGAGTGACTTCAAGGCAGGAATGGCTCTGCTCCCAGGTGTCCCCCACCCCCTCCTCTTTCTCCAGCTGCCCAAGACCTCCAGGCCCCACTCCCCTGGTCCCTTCCTGTCTCCTCACTCTGGCTGTTCCCCAGCTGCCTGGCACCCTCCAGCAAACCCTCCTCCGCGGGCGCACCCAGAGGATGGCCCAGCTGGCGGAGCCACCCAGCACACAAAAAGTCTGCCTTTCTTTGACCTTAGGTTTCCCCACCACCTGCCGGATCAGGGCCCGTGGGGCGGGGGCCGCTGCCTTTGTCACCCCAGCTCTAACTCTCCTGCCTCCCTGGCCCCTGCCACCCCCTCCACACACCAATCCGCACAGACGAGACACTCGACCCTCACTCACCTCGTCCTCTCTCAGAGCCCTCCCGGTTCTTGCGGGTCTCCATCTTCCCCTGCTTTCCACAGGGAGGTCTGTCTTCTCCCGTCTCCTCAAAGGACAGCTTCCCCATCCAGGAAAGAGCTCTGTGTTCCCGGCGAGGAGGCTCTACCCTCTGGCAGCCTGAGCAGCGCAAGCGGGGCAATGGCCGGTTGGGCGCAGCCGGCGGGCTTTGATAGGGAGCCAGGACCCCCTGCTGGGAGTTCCCAGGAGGATTGGCTGCGGACACGCCCACAGGGGCAGGCTACCTTGATTAGGTTAGGCGGGTTGGAGGGGTTCCGCTTTCTCCCTGGGTCCCTGCCGCTCTGTCTCCGGCAAGTGATGAGCAATTTTGCGGAGTGGCAGAACAGAGACAAAGGTAGCTGTGGGCTTCACGGTAATTTCAAAGGAAGTGCCCTACTTCGTTGCCCATTTCGAAGGCCTCTCTACCTCTGCGTTGGACGATTTCTCCACTTCCTGGTGTGCACCTGCGTGTGTGCGTGCCTGTGTGTGTGTGTGTGTGTGTGTGCGCGCGCGCGCGTGCTGGGGTGTGTGCACACTATGCCGAGAGTCGGGCAAATTTCGAGTGAAGGGAGACCGAGTCCCGCAGGTTCTCTTGCTCCTGCAGTCTGCGGAGGAAAAACTCCTTTCTGGCACGGCGGCAGGAATCCATCTACCGACGTTAGGAAAGGACAGGGTGTGCTTTCGTCCCAGCTTAGTTTTCTATGGAGAAACAGGCAGCAGAGGAGAGTGGGCCAGAGGGCCACATTTTGCCCACGACCAGCCAGGTTTGAGTTGGTTCCTCCTAGGCCTCACGGTCTGATTTTCTCCTCCTCTTTGTGTACCCGACGGTGTTGCTGTGAGCTCAGGACCATCCCGGCGGCTGTGGATGGGATCATCGTGTGTGTATGGCCACAGCCCTCCGCCTCGCTCGCTCGGTGAGCACGTGAATCAAGGAAGGGGCACACGACTCTAGGCAGGACCCGGCGGGTGTGGGGAGGAGAAACTCGGTAAGAGAAGAGAGGGAGAGGGAGACGTGCGAGGCGCAGGCTGTCCCAGGCGAGTCTGAGAAACGGCGTGCGCGGAGACGTCCCGCAGAAAGCAAGCAGGCGAAAGGAAATGGAACATCCGCAGGGCCGGTGCCGTGGGATCCGGTCACGCCCTGACGGCTTTCGGGGACATCTCAGGCTCGCTGTCTCTGCCTTGGACCTGGCGCAGAGAGGAGTGAGGCCTGAGGACAGGGCTGCGTGGCCAGCTGGGTGTGGGAGGTGCCAACACAGTAAGGGCTGGTCAAGGGGTGGCCGGGAGCGATACGGGGGGGTTGCTCAAGAAATCACCGCTGGAACTGGGATTCCAGTCCAGTGGGATACGTCCAGTCATCCCACTTCTGGACGTATCGCCTAAGGACACGAAATCGGGATGTGGTGCAAATATGTGTCCTGCTGCGTTGGTTGTCGGCACGCTACCTGTAACCAAGACGTGGAATCGACCTAAGTGCCCATCAGTAGATGACTAGAGAAGGACAAAGGAGTGGGGTTCGCAGAAGAAACACATCAGGGAAAGGAAAGGAGAGCCGGTCATCTGGGACGTCATGCACGGACCCAAAAGTCATGGTGCCCAGTGAAATCAGCCAGGCCCATCCGACCCGTATTGCGTGATCTCCTTGGGATGTGGGATGGAAAGCGGTGAGGATCGCGAAAGTAGAGAGGAGAAAGGTGGTTGGCCGGGCCTGGGGCCGGGGTAGGGGCAGGGAAAAGATGCCAATGCGAGATGTGGGTCAAAGGGCACAAAGTTTCCGAGAGGCAGGTGGAGTGCTTCCTGGATATCCGTGGCAGGGCAACGTGAGTACGGTGGAGCAGAATGTAAGGTTCTCGTGAATATACCCACGGGAGTAGAGCTGAAAATTCTCCCGACAGGGACAGGGGACGCATGTGGGGCGATAAGTGTGTGAATTCGGCCGATTCTAGTGAATTCCCTAATGAAGACGTCACACACGGTAAGTGTGTATCATATTTATTGTCATTCATACTTGAAGGCACCGGCGGGGGAAGGAAATAATTAAATCGCAAGACAAAACCTCCAAGAGAGATCACCTCGAAGAGAGTCTAACGTCCGTAGGAACGCTCTCGGGTTCACAAGGATTGACCGAACCCCAGGATACGTCGCTCTCCATCTGAGGCTTGCTCCAAATGGCCCTCCACTATTCCAGGCACGTGGGTGTCTCCCCTAACTCTCCCTGCTCTCCTGAGCCCATGCTGCCTATCACCCATCGGTGCAGGTCCTTTCTGAAGAGCTCGGGTGGATTCTCTCCATCCCACTTCCTTTCCCAAGAAAGAAGCCACCGTTCCAAGACACCCAATGGGACATTCCCCTTCCACCTCCTTCTCCAAAGTTGCCCAGGTGTTCATCACAGGTTAGGGAGAGAAGCCCCCAGGTTTCAGTTACAAGGCATAGGACGCTGGCATGAACACACACACACACACACACACACACACACACACACACACACACGACTCGAAGAGGTAGCCACAAGGGTCATTAAACACTTGACGACTGTTTTCCAAAAACGTGGATGCAGTTCATCCACGCCAAAGCCAAGGGTGCAAAGCAAACACGGAATGGTGGAGAGATTCCAGAGGCTCACCAAACCCTCTCAGGAATATTTTCCTGACCCTGGGGCAGAGGTTGGAAACATTGAGGACATTTCTTGGGACACACGGAGAAGCTGACCGACCAGGCATTTTCCTTTCCACTGCAAATGACCTATGGCGGGGGCATTTCACTTTCCCCTGCAAATCACCTATGGCGAGGTACCTCCCCAAGCCCCCACCCCCACTTCCGCGAATCGGCATGGCTCGGCCTCTATCCGGGTGTCACTCCAGGTAGGCTTCTCAACGCTCTCGGCTCAAAGAAGGACAATCACAGGTCCAAGCCCAAAGCCCACACCTCTTCCTTTTGTTATACCCACAGAAGTTAGAGAAAACGCCACACTTTGAGACAAATTAAGAGTCCTTTATTTAAGCCGGCGGCCAAAGAGATGGCTAACGCTCAAAATTCTCTGGGCCCCGAGGAAGGGGCTTGACTAACTTCTATACCTTGGTTTAGGAAGGGGAGGGGAACTCAAATGCGGTAATTCTACAGAAGTAAAAACATGCAGGAATCAAAAGAAGCAAATGGTTATAGAGAGATAAACAGTTTTAAAAGGCAAATGGTTACAAAAGGCAACGGTACCAGGTGCGGGGCTCTAAATCCTTCATGACACTTAGATATAGGTGCTATGCTGGACACGAACTCAAGGCTTTATGTTGTTATCTCTTCGAGAAAAATCCTGGGAACTTCATGCACTGTTTGTGCCAGTATCTTATCAGTTGATTGGGCTCCCTTGAAATGCTGAGTATCTGCTTACACAGGTCAACTCCTTGCGGAAGGGGGTTGGGTAAGGAGCCCTTCGTGTCTCGTAAATTAAGGGGTCGATTGGAGTTTGTCCAGCATTCCCAGCTACAGAGAGCCTTATTTACATGAGAAGCAAGGCTAGGTGATTAAAGAGACCAACAGGGAAGATTCAAAGTAGCGACTTAGAGTAAAAACAAGGTTAGGCATTTCACTTTCCCAGAGAACGCGCAAACATTCAATGGGAGAGAGGTCCCGAGTCGTCAAAGTCCCAGATGTGGCGAGCCCCCGGGAGGAAAAACCGTGTCTTCCTTAGGATGCCCGGAACAAGAGCTAGGCTTCCGGAGCTAGGCAGCCATCTATGTCCGTGAGCCGGCGGGAGGGAGACCGCCGGGAGGCGAAGTGGGGCGGGGCCATCCTTCTTTCTGCTCTGCTGCTGCCGGGGAGCTCCTGGCTGGCGTCCAAGCGGCAGGAGGCCGCCGTCCTGCAGGGCGCCGTAGAGTTTGCGGTGCAGAGTCGGGATCGCCTCTGGGGCAGAGGGTTCGAGCTTTTCCAAGGCGAGGGTGCTGGCTCCCGTGCGCACCTAAGGGCCCCCAGGAGCGGGCGCAAAGGGCGGCGGGCCCGCGGGCCAGGGCCCCGCAGCCAGCAGGCTGTCGAGCGTGGCCAGCGCCCAGTGCAGGGCGGCCCCGGCGTGCGCCAGCTGCCAGGTGAGCCAGGCGCGCTGCGAGGCGCTGGGCTGCGTGCCGCCGGCGGGCCCCGGGAGGAAGGCGCCCCCCGGGGCCCGAAGCTCGCCCAGGGCCACGTCCAGCCCGCCCAGGTGGTTGACGACTCGCGAGAGCGGGCACGGGAGGGAGACCCAGGCTTCTGGGGAGTGGCGTCGGCGGCGCTTTGGGGAGGTGGGTCGCTCCTCCCGGACGTCAACGCGGCGTTGCGGGCCGCTCGTCCTCCCTGGCGATCTAGGCCGGTGCTTTGGCTCCTCCAGGCGCCTCGGGCTGGGAACAGAACCTGCGCGGGAGACAGAGCGGGAGGTGTCAGAGGGACTGCGCGCAGCGCTAGGGGACCCATTTCCAAGGTCCCGAAGCCGCTCCCGACCCCGCCTCCCCCTGCCCTCCATCCCCCACCCCTCCGCGGCTCGCCTCCGCGCCCCATCCTCTCGGCCCCTCCCTGCATCCTGGGGACTCCGGTGCCCCGTCCGGGGTGCCCTCCCCTCCGCCCATTCAAACTTGAAGCACATCTCATCTGGGGCCACCGGGGGCCCGGGTTCCTGGCGCACTGAGGGCTTCCTCGGCCCCCTCGGGGCCCCCCACTCCCCGCTCCCCTTCCCGGGGCCCTGCGCCCTCCTCCCCACCCCTCCAAGCTCCCAGCCCCTAAACCTGCCTCCTCTGCGCTCGTGGGGGCGTCGTGCTCTGCCGGACTCGGGCTTGTCGTGGCCTCGCTCTCCGGCTGGGGCTGGTCGTGGCTTGACCTTCCGCCCTCGGTTTCCGGTTTCTCTGCCGGGACTGCGAGGGGAGCCGTCGGGGCTTCTCCACCGTTTGTGCCTGGACGCAGAGGCCTCCCGGCTGTGCCCGCTGGAAGCTGCGGGGGAAGAGGAGGTCGACAGTGAGTGGGCCATGACCCGTCCGTAGACGGCTGCGGGAGGGTTGCAAGGGCCAAGCTCCCAGAGTGACTTCAAGGCAGGAATGGCTCTGCTCCCAGGTGTCCCCCACCCCCTCCTCTTTCTCCAGCTGCCCAAGACCTCCAGGCCCCACTCCCCTGGTCCCTTCCTGTCTCCTCACTCTGGCTGTTCCCCAGCTGCCTGGCACCCTCCAGCAAACCCTCCTCCGCGGGCGCACCCAGAGGATGGCCCAGCTGGCGGAGCCACCCAGCACACAAAAAGTCTGCCTTTCTTTGACCTTAGGTTTCCCCACCACCTGCCGGATCAGGGCCCGTGGGGCGGGGGCCGCTGCCTTTGTCACCCCAGCTCTAACTCTCCTGCCTCCCTGGCCCCTGCCACCCCCTCCACACACCAATCCGCACAGACGAGACACTCGACCCTCACTCACCTCGTCCTCTCTCAGAGCCCTCCCGGTTCTTGCGGGTCTCCATCTTCCCCTGCTTTCCACAGGGAGGTCTGTCTTCTCCCGTCTCCTCAAAGGACAGCTTCCCCATCCAGGAAAGAGCTCTGTGTTCCCGGCGAGGAGGCTCTACCCTCTGGCAGCCTGAGCAGCGCAAGCGGGGCAATGGCCGGTTGGGCGCAGCCGGCGGGCTTTGATAGGGAGCCAGGACCCCCTGCTGGGAGTTCCCAGGAGGATTGGCTGCGGACACGCCCACAGGGGCAGGCTACCTTGATTAGGTTAGGCGGGTTGGAGGGGTTCCGCTTTCTCCCTGGGTCCCTGCCGCTCTGTCTCCGGCAAGTGATGAGCAATTTTGCGGAGTGGCAGAACAGAGACAAAGGTAGCTGTGGGCTTCACGGTAATTTCAAAGGAAGTGCCCTACTTCGTTGCCCATTTCGAAGGCCTCTCTACCTCTGCGTTGGACGATTTCTCCACTTCCTGGTGTGCACCTGCGTGTGTGCGTGCCTGTGTGTGTGTGTGTGTGTGTGTGCGCGCGCGCGCGTGCTGGGGTGTGTGCACACTATGCCGAGAGTCGGGCAAATTTCGAGTGAAGGGAGACCGAGTCCCGCAGGTTCTCTTGCTCCTGCAGTCTGCGGAGGAAAAACTCCTTTCTGGCACGGCGGCAGGAATCCATCTACCGACGTTAGGAAAGGACAGGGTGTGCTTTCGTCCCAGCTTAGTTTTCTATGGAGAAACAGGCAGCAGAGGAGAGTGGGCCAGAGGGCCACATTTTGCCCACGACCAGCCAGGTTTGAGTTGGTTCCTCCTAGGCCTCACGGTCTGATTTTCTCCTCCTCTTTGTGTACCCGACGGGTGTTGCTGTGAGCTCAGGACCATCCCGGCGGGCTGTGGATGGGATCATCGTGTGTGTATGGCCACAGCCCTCCGCCTCGCTCGCTCGGTGAGCACGTGAATCAAGGAAGGGGCACACGACTCTAGGCAGGACCCGGCGGGGTGTGGGGAGGAGAAACTCGGTAAGAGAAGAGAGGGAGAGGGAGACGTGCGAGGCGCAGGCTGTCCCAGGCGAGTCTGAGAAACGGCGTGCGCGGAGACGTCCGCCAGAAAGCAAGCAGGCGAAAGGAAATGGAACATCCGCAGGGCCGGTGCCGTGGGATCCGGTCACGCCCTGACGGCTTTCGGGGACATCTCAGGCTCGCTGTCTCTGCCTTGGACCTGGCGCAGAGAGGAGTGAGGCCTGAGGACAGGGCTGCGTGGCCAGCTGGGTGTGGGAGGTGCCAACACAGTAAGGGCTGGTCAAGGGGTGGCCGGGAGCGATACGGGGGGGTTGCTCAAGAAATCACCGCTGGAACTGGGATTCCAGTCCAGTGGGATACGTCCAGTCATCCCACTTCTGGACGTATCGCCTAAGGACACGAAATCGGGATGTGGTGCAAATATGTGTCCTGCTGCGTTGGTTGTCGGCACGCTACCTGTAACCAAGACGTGGAATCGACCTAAGTGCCCATCAGTAGATGACTAGAGAAGGACAAAGGAGTGGGGTTCGCAGAAGAAACACATCAGGGAAAGGAAAGGAGAGCCGGTCATCTGGGACGTCATGCACGGACCCAAAAGTCATGGTGCCCAGTGAAATCAGCCAGGCCCATCCGACCCGTATTGCGTGATCTCCTTGGGATGTGGGATGGAAAGCGGTGAGGATCGCGAAAGTAGAGAGGAGAAAGGTGGTTGGCCGGGCCTGGGGCCGGGGTAGGGGCAGGGAAAAGATGCCAATGCGAGATGTGGGTCAAAGGGCACAAAGTTTCCGAGAGGCAGGTGGAGTGCTTCCTGGATATCCGTGGCAGGGCAACGTGAGTACGGTGGAGCAGAATGTAAGGTTCTCGTGAATATACCCACGGGAGTAGAGCTGAAAATTCTCCCGACAGGGACAGGGGACGCATGTGGGGCGATAAGTGTGTGAATTCGGCCGATTCTAGTGAATTCCCTAATGAAGACGTCACACACGGTAAGTGTGTATCATATTTATTGTCATTCATACTTGAAGGCACCGGCGGGGGAAGGAAATAATTAAATCGCAAGACAAAACCTCCAAGAGAGATCACCTCGAAGAGAGTCTAACGTCCGTAGGAACGCTCTCGGGTTCACAAGGATTGACCGAACCCCAGGATACGTCGCTCTCCATCTGAGGCTTGCTCCAAATGGCCCTCCACTATTCCAGGCACGTGGGTGTCTCCCCTAACTCTCCCTGCTCTCCTGAGCCCATGCTGCCTATCACCCATCGGTGCAGGTCCTTTCTGAAGAGCTCGGGTGGATTCTCTCCATCCCACTTCCTTTCCCAAGAAAGAAGCCACCGTTCCAAGACACCCAATGGGACATTCCCCTTCCACCTCCTTCTCCAAAGTTGCCCAGGTGTTCATCACAGGTTAGGGAGAGAAGCCCCCAGGTTTCAGTTACAAGGCATAGGACGCTGGCATGAACACACACACACACACACACACACACACACACACACACGACTCGAAGAGGTAGCCACAAGGGTCATTAAACACTTGACGACTGTTTTCCAAAAACGTGGATGCAGTTCATCCACGCCAAAGCCAAGGGTGCAAAGCAAACACGGAATGGTGGAGAGATTCCAGAGGCTCACCAAACCCTCTCAGGAATATTTTCCTGACCCTGGGGGCAGAGGTTGGAAACATTGAGGACATTTCTTGGGACACACGGAGAAGCTGACCGACCAGGCATTTTCCTTTCCACTGCAAATGACCTATGGCGGGGGCATTTCACTTTCCCCTGCAAATCACCTATGGCGAGGTACCTCCCCAAGCCCCCACCCCCACTTCCGCGAATCGGCATGGCTCGGCCTCTATCCGGGTGTCACTCCAGGTAGGCTTCTCAACGCTCTCGGCTCAAAGAAGGACAATCACAGGTCCAAGCCCAAAGCCCACACCTCTTCCTTTTGTTATACCCACAGAAGTTAGAGAAAACGCCACACTTTGAGACAAATTAAGAGTCCTTTATTTAAGCCGGCGGCCAAAGAGATGGCTAACGCTCAAAATTCTCTGGGCCCCGAGGAAGGGGCTTGACTAACTTCTATACCTTGGTTTAGGAAGGGGAGGGGAACTCAAATGCGGTAATTCTACAGAAGTAAAAACATGCAGGAA
Source organism: Homo sapiens (assembly GCF_000001405.40). Lineage (NCBI taxonomy): Eukaryota > Metazoa > Chordata > Mammalia > Primates > Hominidae > Homo > Homo sapiens. Next base: position 113,081,058 of record NC_000009.12, read on the forward strand.
TCAAAAGAAGCAAATGGTTATAGAGAGATAAACAGTTTTAAAAGGCAAATGGTTACAAAAGGCAACGGTACCAGGTGCGGGGCTCTAAATCCTTCATGACACTTAGATATAGGTGCTATGCTGGACACGAACTCAAGGCTTTATGTTGTTATCTCTTCGAGAAAAATCCTGGGAACTTCATGCACTGTTTGTGCCAGTATCTTATCAGTTGATTGGGCTCCCTTGAAATGCTGAGTATCTGCTTACACAGGTCAACTCCTTGCGGAAGGGGGTTGGGTAAGGAGCCCTTCGTGTCTCGTAAATTAAGGGGTCGATTGGAGTTTGTCCAGCATTCCCAGCTACAGAGAGCCTTATTTACATGAGAAGCAAGGCTAGGTGATTAAAGAGACCAACAGGGAAGATTCAAAGTAGCGACTTAGAGTAAAAACAAGGTTAGGCATTTCACTTTCCCAGAGAACGCGCAAACATTCAATGGGAGAGAGGTCCCGAGTCGTCAAAGTCCCAGATGTGGCGAGCCCCCGGGAGGAAAAACCGTGTCTTCCTTAGGATGCCCGGAACAAGAGCTAGGCTTCCGGAGCTAGGCAGCCATCTATGTCCGTGAGCCGGCGGGAGGGAGACCGCCGGGAGGCGAAGTGGGGCGGGGCCATCCTTCTTTCTGCTCTGCTGCTGCCGGGGAGCTCCTGGCTGGCGTCCAAGCGGCAGGAGGCCGCCGTCCTGCAGGGCGCCGTAGAGTTTGCGGTGCAGAGTCGGGATCGCCTCTGGGGCAGAGGGTTCGAGCTTTTCCAAGGCGAGGGTGCTGGCTCCCGTGCGCACCTAAGGGCCCCCAGGAGCGGGCGCAAAGGGCGGCGGGCCCGCGGGCCAGGGCCCCGCAGCCAGCAGGCTGTCGAGCGTGGCCAGCGCCCAGTGCAGGGCGGCCCCGGCGTGCGCCAGCTGCCAGGTGAGCCAGGCGCGCTGCGAGGCGCTGGGCTGCGTGCCGCCGGCGGGCCCCGGGAGGAAGGCGCCCCCCGGGGCCCGAAGCTCGCCCAGGGCCACGTCCAGCCCGCCCAGGTGGTTGACGACTCGCGAGAGCGGGCACGGGAGGGAGACCCAGGCTTCTGGGGAGTGGCGTCGGCGGCGCTTTGGGGAGGTGGGTCGCTCCTCCCGGACGTCAACGCGGCGTTGCGGGCCGCTCGTCCTCCCTGGCGATCTAGGCCGGTGCTTTGGCTCCTCCAGGCGCCTCGGGCTGGGAACAGAACCTGCGCGGGAGACAGAGCGGGAGGTGTCAGAGGGACTGCGCGCAGCGCTAGGGGACCCATTTCCAAGGTCCCGAAGCCGCTCCCGACCCCGCCTCCCCCTGCCCTCCATCCCCCACCCCTCCGCGGCTCGCCTCCGCGCCCCATCCTCTCGGCCCCTCCCTGCATCCTGGGGACTCCGGTGCCCCGTCCGGGGTGCCCTCCCCTCCGCCCGTTCAAACTTGAAGCACATCTCATCTGGGGCCACCGGGGGCCCGGGTTCCTGGCGCACTGAGGGCTTCCTCGGCCCCCTCGGGGCCCCCCACTCCCCGCTCCCCTTCCCGGGGCCCTGCGCCCTCCTCCCCACCCCTCCAAGCTCCCAGCCCCTAAACCTGCCTCCTCTGCGCTCGTGGGGGCGTCGTGCTCTGCCGGACTCGGGCTTGTCGTGGCCTCGCTCTCCGGCTGGGGCTGGTCGTGGCTTGACCTTCCGCCCTCGGTTTCCGGTTTCTCTGCCGGGACTGCGAGGGGAGCCGTCGGGGCTTCTCCACCGTTTGTGCCTGGACGCAGAGGCCTCCCGGCTGTGCCCGCTGGAAGCTGCGGGGGAAGAGGAGGTCGACAGTGAGTGGGCCATGACCCGTCCGTAGACGGCTGCGGGAGGGTTGCAAGGGCCAAGCTCCCAGAGTGACTTCAAGGCAGGAATGGCTCTGCTCCCAGGTGTCCCCCACCCCCTCCTCTTTCTCCAGCTGCCCAAGACCTCCAGGCCCCACTCCCCTGGTCCCTTCCTGTCTCCTCACTCTGGCTGTTCCCCAGCTGCCTGGCACCCTCCAGCAAACCCTCCTCCGCGGGCGCACCCAGAGGATGGCCCAGCTGGCGGAGCCACCCAGCACACAAAAAGTCTGCCTTTCTTTGACCTTAGGTTTCCCCACCACCTGCCGGATCAGGGCCCGTGGGGCGGGGGCCGCTGCCTTTGTCACCCCAGCTCTAACTCTCCTGCCTCCCTGGCCCCTGCCACCCCCTCCACACACCAATCCGCACAGACGAGACACTCGACCCTCACTCACCTCGTCCTCTCTCAGAGCCCTCCCGGTTCTTGCGGGTCTCCATCTTCCCCTGCTTTCCACAGGGAGGTCTGTCTTCTCCCGTCTCCTCAAAGGACAGCTTCCCCATCCAGGAAAGAGCTCTGTGTTCCCGGCGAGGAGGCTCTACCCTCTGGCAGCCTGAGCAGCGCAAGCGGGGCAATGGCCGGTTGGGCGCAGCCGGCGGGCTTTGATAGGGAGCCAGGACCCCCTGCTGGGAGTTCCCAGGAGGATTGGCTGCGGACACGCCCACAGGGGCAGGCTACCTTGATTAGGTTAGGCGGGTTGGAGGGGTTCCGCTTTCTCCCTGGGTCCCTGCCGCTCTGTCTCCGGCAAGTGATGAGCAATTTTGCGGAGTGGCAGAACAGAGACAAAGGTAGCTGTGGGCTTCACGGTAATTTCAAAGGAAGTGCCCTACTTCGTTGCCCATTTCGAAGTCCTCTCTACCTCTGCGTTGGACGATTTCTCCACTTCCTGGTGTGCACCTGCGTGTGTGCGTGCCTGTGTGTGTGTGTGTGTGTGTGTGCGCGCGCGCGCGTGCTGGGGTGTGTGCACACTATGCCGAGAGTCGGGCAAATTTCGAGTGAAGGGAGACCGAGTCCCGCAGGTTCTCTTGCTCCTGCAGTCTGCGGAGGAAAAACTCCTTTCTGGCACGGCGGCAGGAATCCATCTACCGACGTTAGGAAAGGACAGGGTGTGCTTTCGTCCCAGCTTAGTTTTCTATGGAGAAACAGGCAGCAGAGGAGAGTGGGCCAGAGGGCCACATTTTGCCCACGACCAGCCAGGTTTGAGTTGGTTCCTCCTAGGCCTCACGGTCTGATTTTCTCCTCCTCTTTGTGTACCCGACGGGTGTTGCTGTGAGCTCAGGACCATCCCGGCGGGCTGCGGATGGGATCATCGTGTGTGTATGGCCACAGCCCTCCGCCTCGCTCGCTCGGTGAGCACGTGAATCAAGGAAGGGGCACACGACTCTAGGCAGGACCCGGCGGGGTGTGGGGAGGAGAAACTCGGTAAGAGAAGAGAGGGAGAGGGAGACGTGCGAGGCGCAGGCTGTCCCAGGCGAGTCTGAGAAACGGCGTGCGCGGAGACGTCCGCCAGAAAGCAAGCAGGCGAAAGGAAATGGAACATCCGCAGGGCCGGTGCCGTGGGATCCGGTCACGCCCTGACGGCTTTCGGGGACATCTCAGGCTCGCTGTCTCCGCCTTGGACCTGGCGCAGAGAGGAGTGAGGCCTGAGGACAGGGCTGCGTGGCCAGCTGGGTGTGGGAGGTGCCAACACAGTAAGGGCTGGTCAAGGGGTGGCCGGGAGCGATACGGGGGGGTTGCTCAAGAAATCACCGCTGGAACTGGGATTCCAGTCCAGTGGGATACGTCCAGTCATCCCACTTCTGGACGTATCGCCTAAGGACACGAAATCGGGATGTGGTGCAAATATGTGTCCTGCTGCGTTGGTTGTCGGCACGCTACCTGTAACCAAGACGTGGAATCGACCTAAGTGCCCATCAGTAGATGACTAGAGAAGGACAAAGGAGTGGGGTTCGCAGAAGAAACACATCAGGGAAAGGAAAGGAGAGCCGGTCATCTGGGACGTCATGCACGGACCCAAAAGTCATGGTGCCCAGTGAAATCAGCCAGGCCCATCCGACCCGTATTGCGTGATCTCCTTGGGATGTGGGATGGAAAGCGGTGAGGATCGCGAAAGTAGAGAGGAGAAAGGTGGTTGGCCGGGCCTGGGGCCGGGGTAGGGGCAGGGAAAAGATGCCCATGCGAGATGTGGGTCAAAGGGCACAAAGTTTCCGAGAGGCAGGTGGAGTGCTTCCTGGATATCCGTGGCAGGGCAACGCGAGTACGGTGGAGCAGAATGTAAGGTTCTCGTGAATATACCCACGGGAGTAGAGCTGAAAATTCTCCCGACAGGGACAGGGGACGCATGTGGGGCGATAAGTGTGTGAATTCGGCCGATTCTAGTGAATTCCCTAATGAAGACGTCACACACGGTAAGTGTGTATCATATTTATTGTCATTCATACTTGAAGGCACCGGCGGGGGAAGGAAATAATTAAATCGCAAGACAAAACCTCCAAGAGAGATCACCTCGAAGAGAGTCTAACGTCCGTAGGAACGCTCTCGGGTTCACAAGGATTGACCGAACCCCAGGATACGTCGCTCTCCATCTGAGGCTTGCTCCAAATGGCCCTCCACTATTCCAGGCACGTGGGTGTCTCCCCTAACTCTCCCTGCTCTCCTGAGCCCATGCTGCCTATCACCCATCGGTGCAGGTCCTTTCTGAAGAGCTCGGGTGGATTCTCTCCATCCCACTTCCTTTCCCAAGAAAGAAGCCACCGTTCCAAGACACCCAATGGGACATTCCCCTTCCACCTCCTTCTCCAAAGTTGCCCAGGTGTTCATCACAGGTTAGGGAGAGAAGCCCCCAGGTTTCAGTTACAAGGCATAGGACGCTGGCATGAACACACACACACACACACACACACACACACACACACACACACGACTCGAAGAGGTAGCCACAAGGGTCATTAAACACTTGACGACTGTTTTCCAAAAACGTGGATGCAGTTCATCCACGCCAAAGCCAAGGGTGCAAAGCAAACACGGAATGGTGGAGAGATTCCAGAGGCTCACCAAACCCTCTCAGGAATATTTTCCTGACCCTGGGGGCAGAGGTTGGAAACATTGAGGACATTTCTTGGGACACACGGAGAAGCTGACCGACCAGGCATTTTCCTTTCCACTGCAAATGACCTATGGCGGGGGCATTTCACTTTCCCCTGCAAATCACCTATGGCGAGGTACCTCCCCAAGCCCCCACCCCCACTTCCGCGAATCGGCATGGCTCGGCCTCTATCCGGGTGTCACTCCAGGTAGGCTTCTCAACGCTCTCGGCTCAAAGAAGGACAATCACAGGTCCAAGCCCAAAGCCCACACCTCTTCCTTTTGTTATACCCACAGAAGTTAGAGAAAACGCCACACTTTGAGACAAATTAAGAGTCCTTTATTTAAGCCGGCGGCCAAAGAGATGGCTAACGCTCAAAATTCTCTGGGCCCCGAGGAAGGGGCTTGACTAACTTCTATACCTTGGTTTAGGAAGGGGAGGGGAACTCAAATGCGGTAATTCTACAGAAGTAAAAACATGCAGGAATCAAAAGAAGCAAATGGTTATAGAGAGATAAACAGTTTTAAAAGGCAAATGGTTACAAAAGGCAACGGTACCAGGTGCGGGGCTCTAAATCCTTCATGACACTTAGATATAGGTGCTATGCTGGACACGAACTCAAGGCTTTATGTTGTTATCTCTTCGAGAAAAATCCTGGGAACTTCATGCACTGTTTGTGCCAGTATCTTATCAGTTGATTGGGCTCCCTTGAAATGCTGAGTATCTGCTTACACAGGTCAACTCCTTGCGGAAGGGGGTTGGGTAAGGAGCCCTTCGTGTCTCGTAAATTAAGGGGTCGATTGGAGTTTGTCCAGCATTCCCAGCTACAGAGAGCCTTATTTACATGAGAAGCAAGGCTAGGTGATTAAAGAGACCAACAGGGAAGATTCAAAGTAGCGACTTAGAGTAAAAACAAGGTTAGGCATTTCACTTTCCCAGAGAACGCGCAAACATTCAATGGGAGAGAGGTCCCGAGTCGTCAAAGTCCCAGATGTGGCGAGCCCCCGGGAGGAAAAACCGTGTCTTCCTTAGGATGCCCGGAACAAGAGCTAGGCTTCCGGAGCTAGGCAGCCATCTATGTCCGTGAGCCGGCGGGAGGGAGACCGCCGGGAGGCGAAGTGGGGCGGGGCCATCCTTCTTTCTGCTCTGCTGCTGCCGGGGAGCTCCTGGCTGGCGTCCAAGCGGCAGGAGGCCGCCGTCCTGCAGGGCGCCGTAGAGTTTGCGGTGCAGAGTCGGGATCGCCTCTGGGGCAGAGGGTTCGAGCTTTTCCAAGGCGAGGGTGCTGGCTCCCGTGCGCACCTAAGGGCCCCCAGGAGCGGGCGCAAAGGGCGGCGGGCCCGCGGGCCAGGGCCCCGCAGCCAGCAGGCTGTCGAGCGTGGCCAGCGCCCAGTGCAGGGCGGCCCCGGCGTGCGCCAGCTGCCAGGTGAGCCAGGCGCGCTGCGAGGCGCTGGGCTGCGTGCCGCCGGCGGGCCCCGGGAGGAAGGCGCCCCCCGGGGCCCGAAGCTCGCCCAGGGCCACGTCCAGCCCGCCCAGGTGGTTGACGACTCGCGAGAGCGGGCACGGGAGGGAGACCCAGGCTTCTGGGGAGTGGCGTCGGCGGCGCTTTGGGGAGGTGGGTCGCTCCTCCCGGACGTCAACGCGGCGTTGCGGGCCGCTCGTCCTCCCTGGCGATCTAGGCCGGTGCTTTGGCTCCTCCAGGCGCCTCGGGCTGGGAACAGAACCTGCGCGGGAGACAGAGCGGGAGGTGTCAGAGGGACTGCGCGCAGCGCTAGGGGACCCATTTCCAAGGTCCCGAAGCCGCTCCCGACCCCGCCTCCCCCTGCCCTCCATCCCCCACCCCTCCGCGGCTCGCCTCCGCGCCCCATCCTCTCGGCCCCTCCCTGCATCCTGGGGACTCCGGTGCCCCGTCCGGGGTGCCCTCCCCTCCGCCCATTCAAACTTGAAGCACATCTCATCTGGGGCCACCGGGGGCCCGGGTTCCTGGCGCACTGAGGGCTTCCTCGGCCCCCTCGGGGCCCCCCACTCCCCGCTCCCCTTCCCGGGGCCCTGCGCCCTCCTCCCCACCCCTCCAAGCTCCCAGCCCCTAAGCCTGCCTCCTCTGCGCTCGTGGGGGCGTCGTGCTCTGCCGGACTCGGGCTTGTCGTGGCCTCGCTCTCCGGCTGGGGCTGGTCGTGGCTTGACCTTCCGCCCTCGGTTTCCGGTTTCTCTGCCGGGACTGCGAGGGGAGCCGTCGGGGCTTCTCCACCGTTTGTGCCTGGACGCAGAGGCCTCCCGGCTGTGCCCGCTGGAAGCTGCGGGGGAAGAGGAGGTCGACAGTGAGTGGGCCATGACCCGTCCGTAGACGGCTGCGGGAGGGTTGCAAGGGCCAAGCTCCCAGAGTGACTTCAAGGCAGGAATGGCTCTGCTCCCAGGTGTCCCCCACCCCCTCCTCTTTCTCCAGCTGCCCAAGACCTCCAGGCCCCACTCCCCTGGTCCCTTCTTGTCTCCTCACTCTGGCTGTTCCCCAGCTGCCTGGCACCCTCCAGCAAACCCTCCTCCGCGGGCGCACCCAGAGGATGGCCCAGCTGGCGGAGCCACCCAGCACACAAAAAGTCTGCCTTTCTTTGACCTTAGGTTTCCCCACCACCTGCCGGATCAGGGCCCGTGGGGCGGGGACCGCTGCCTTTGTCACCCCAGCTCTAACTCTCCTGCCTCCCTGGCCCCTGCCACCCCCTCCACACACCAATCCGCACAGACGAGACACTCGACCCTCACTCACCTCGTCCTCTCTCAGAACCCTCCCGGTTCTTGCGGGTCTCCATCTTCCCCTGCTTTCCACAGGGAGGTCTGTCTTCTCCCGTCTCCTCAAGGGACAGCTTCCCCATCCAGGAAAGAGCTCTGTGTTCCCGGCGAGGAGGCTCTACCCTCTGGCAGCCTGAGCAGCGCAAGCGGGGAAATGGCCGGTTGGGCGCAGCCGGCGGGCTTTGATAGGGAGCCAGGACCCCCTGCTGGGTGTTCCCAGGAGGATTGGCTGCGGACACGCCCACAGGCGCAGGCTACCTTGATTAGGTTAGGCGGGTTGGAGGGGTTCCGCTTTCTCCCTGGGTCCCTGCCGCTCTGTCTCCGGCAAGTGATGAGCAATTTTGCGGAGTGGCAGAACAGAGACAAAGGTAGCTGTGGGCTTCACGGTAATTTCAAAGGAAGTGCCCTACTTCGTTGCCCATTTCGAAGTCCTCTCTACCTCTGCGTTGGACGATTTCTCCACTTCCTGGTGTGCACCTGCGTGTGTGCGTGCCTGTGTGTGTGTGTGTGTGTGTGCGCGCGCGCGCGTGCTGGGGTGTGTGCACACTATGCCGAGAGTCGGGCAAATTTCGAGTGAAGGGAGACCGAGTCCCGCAGGTTCTCTTGCTCCTGCAGTCTGCGGAGGAAAAACTCCTTTCTGGCACGGCGGCAGGAATCCATCTACCGACGTTAGGAAAGGACAGGGTGTGCTTTCGTCCCAGCTTAGTTTTCTATGGAGAAACAGGCAGCAGAGGAGAGTGGGCCAGAGGGCCACATTTTGCCCACGACCAGCCAGGTTTGAGTTGGTTCCTCCTAGGCCTCACGGTCTGATTTTCTCCTCCCCTTTGTGTACCCGACGGGTGTTGCTGTGAGCTCAGGACCATCCCGGCGGGCTGCGGATGGGATCATCGTGTGTGTATGGCCACAGCCCTCCGCCTCGCTCGCTCGGTGAGCACGTGAATCAAGGAAGGGGCACACGACTCTAGGCAGGACCCGGCGGGGTGTGGGGAGGAGAAACTCGGTAAGAGAAGAGAGGGAGAGGGAGACGTGCGAGGCGCAGGCTGTCCCAGGCGAGTCTGAGAAACGGCGTGCGCGGAGACGTCCGCCAGAAAGCAAGCAGGCGAAAGGAAATGGAACATCCGCAGGGCCGGTGCCGTGGGATCCGGTCACGCCCTGACGGCTTTCGGGGACATCTCAGGCTCGCTGTCTCTGCCTTGGACCTGGCGCAGAGAGGAGTGAGGCCTGAGGACAGGGCTGCGTGGCCAGCTGGGTGTGGGAGGTGCCAACACAGTAAGGGCTGCTCAAGGGGTGGCCGGGAGCGATACGGGGGGGTTGCTCAAGAAATCACCGCTGGAACTGGGATCCAGTCATCCCACTTCTGGACGTATCGCCTAAGGACACGAAATCGGGTTGTGGTGCAAATATGTGTCCTGCTGCATTGGTTGTCGGCACGCTGCCTGTAACCAAGACGTGGAATCGACCGAAGTACCCTTCAGCAGATGACTAGAGAAGGACAAATGAATAGGGTTCGTAGAACAAACACATCAGGGAAAGGAAAGGAAAGCCTGTCATCTGGGACGTTATGCATGGACCCAAAAGTCATGGTGCCCAGTGAAATCAGCCAGGCCCATCCGACCCGTATTGCGTGATCTCCTTGTGATGTTGGATGGAGAAAATGCTGTGAGGATCAGGAAAGTAGAGAGGAGAAAGGTGGTTGGCTGGGCCTGGGGCCGGTGTAGGGGCAGGTGTAGGGGCAGGGAAAGGATGCCAATGCGAGATGTGGGTCAAAGGGCACAAAGTTTCCGAGAGACAGGTGGAGTGCTTCCTGGATATCCGTGGCAGGGCAACGTGAGTACGGTGGAGCAGAATGTAAGGTTCTCGTGAATATATCCACGGGAGTAGAGCTGAAAATTCTCCTGAGCGGGGACAGGGGACGCATGTGTGGTGATAAGTGTGTGAATTCGGCCGATTCTAGTGAATTCCCTAATGAAGACGTCACACACGGTTAGTGTGTATCATATTTATTGTCGTTTAAACTGGACTGATCCAGCTGCCGATGGGTTCCTGTGTTTATCTCTACAGCCTTCTTCTTTGCTTTGTGAGCACGTGAGTCAAAGAAAGAGCTCAATTGTCGGCAGGAATCGGGTAGAAACTCAGGAAGTTTGGGAAAGGAGATTCAGATATTTGGGGCCCTGCCTGTTTTTGGCAAGCCATAGAAAATTTGTTTCCAAAGAGCTGTGCCCAAAAGGGAAAAGCTGAAAAGAAATTTTAATGTCTGGAATGCTAGTGTCATGGGATTCATTCATGGTCTTAAGTCTTTTATATACATCTCAAGGGCCCTCCAAACGAGTCAGCATGGATTGTAGTGTGGCCTTTCTAGAGGGTTTGTTGTTCAGCTTGTTTTCTGAGATGCCCGGAAGATAATTATTGTCTAATATGGGGAGAAAAGGGCATCCTGGTGCAATGTTGCTGAGATAGTCAATTAGGCCAGTGGTGGTAAGGAGCAATGTGGAAGCTGTTTAATTAATAATTAGTGGAACTGGGATCTAAGCATTCCCATCTGGGCATACAGCCTAAGGAAATCCATGTACACAGTAAATATGTACGAGATTATGTTGGTTGTAGGCTTTTTCTTTTTGTAAGGTACAAAATTTTCCTAGGCATCAGTGGAGACATAAAAAGGAATACTATTCACATTTTTAGTGGAAAATCTGTCATTTTTGACTTCATGAATAAACCTGAAGTTTTCCTGTCTAGTGGGCAATCCAGGCCTGTAATGTTGATATTGCGTGATCTCACTTGTATGTGGGATCAACAAAGGTGAAAATTATAGAAGTTTAGAGTGGATAGTTGGGCTTCATGGCCTAGGGCAGGGGCAAGATGGGCATAGGGAGATGTTGGTCAAAGGATACAATTTATCAGAAAGTTAACTAGAGATTTCTGGATATTTATGACATGGCAATGTGAATATAGTTATACATATGTATTGTACACTTGAAGATGGCTATGAGAGCAGATTTCAGAATTCTCAGCACAGGATTCGAAGCATGTGAGGTGATAAATATTAATTAGTTTGACTTAATTCCCAATGAAGATATAATTCATATATATATATGTATATATAACTATATATATTATTTTCTTTAATGAATCTGGGAAAAATATTACATTACCAACAAAGATGAGAATGAAAGAAAGAAACACACTAAAAAAAATACAACATTAACAGGGCTGATCTGCAGTTCATGTGTATTGATTTACCACCTGGATATTTTGATCTATATCTGAGGTTCTCTCCAGCTTGTCCTTCAATATTGTAGATGCACTGGTTGCTCTGTTGACCCCAAGCTGTCTACCTGAATGTCACCCATCAGCTTCAGCTGCTTTGTGCAGCGCTCTCATGGTTTCTATCACATCTGTCTTCATAAGAAAGAAGCAACTATTCCAAGACACGCAGTGGGACATTCGCCTTCCAACTTTTTCTCCAAAGTTTACCAAGTGTTCATCACTAGCTAGGGGGACAACTTCCAACTTTAGGTTAGAGTAGATGAGATTCTATTGTAAAAACTTTATATACCTCAAGGAAGTGTGCATTTTGGGGGAAATAGGCTGCAAACTTGATTATTACCAACATGTGTAGTCATCCCTCTTGCAAGTTGAAATGAATGATTTTTTAATTAATTGATTCTCTATATTAACTATATTTACTTTGTTTCTTCATCAGTGTGAGATTTCTTTTCAGACTAATAACTTGAAAGTGTGATGATATTCTTTACGCAGTTTGGATGACTGAATGATATTTAGGAATTGATTTAGGAGAGCCTGCTGAAAGCAGAAAGACTAGATATTTTATACCCTTGGAGGTTTTGGTCAAGCATTCCAGAGTCAGGCAGGGTGTGGTGGCTCATACCTGTAATCTCAACACTTTTAAAGGACAAGGTGGGTGGATTGCTTGAGCCCAGGGGTTCAAGACCAGCCTGGGCAACATGGGAAACCCAGTCTCTACAAAAAATACAAAAAAAAAAAAAATAGCTGTGTGTGGTGGCAGATGCCTGTAGTCCCAGTAGTCCCAGCTACTGTGGGAGCTGAGGCAGGAGGTTTGCTTGAGCCTGGGAGGTTGAGGCTGCAGTGAGCCATGGTCATGCCACTGCACTTTAGCCTGGACAACAGAGCAAGACTGTGTCTCAAAAAAAAAGTGGTGTATGTACACAATGGAAAACCATTAAGCCTTTAAAAAACACAACAGGAAATTCTGTCATTTGCAGCAACATGGATGAACCTAAAAGACCTTATTTTAAGTAACGTAAGCCAGGCACAGAGACAAATATATGACTTCACCTACATGTAGAATCTACAAAAGCTGAACTCATAGAAGTAGAAAGGTGGTTACTAATGGCTGGTGGGAGGTGGTTTCATGGAGAAATGGGAGATGTTGGTCAGTAGGTACAAAGTTGCAGTTAGGAGGCATAAGTTCTGGTGTTCTTTTGTACAGCAAGGTAACTATAGTTTGTAATAATGTATTATATATTTCAAACTAGCTAAAAGATGGGATTTTAAAGCTGGGGATGATGGCTCGTGTCTGTAATCCCAGCTACTCAGGAGGCTGAGGCAAGAGATTGCTTGAGGCCAGGGGTTTGAGATCCTATCTCTTAAAAAAAGGGGGGAGGGATTTAAATGTTCTCATCACAAATAAATGATAAATATTTGAGGTGACAGACATACGAATTACTCTGATTTGATCATTCCACAATGTATGCATGTATCAAAATATCACTTTGGACCCCACAAATACATACAATTTTTATTTGTCAATTAAAAATAAAATAAAACTAATAGTACATGAAAGAACTTTGAATACTTATTACCAAGTGAAAAAAAAAACCTGAAATGGCTGCATACTGTGTGATTCTAACTATATGGCACTCTGGAAAAGACAGAACTATGGAGACAGTAAAAGATCAGTGGTTTTGGTCAGGCGTGGTGGCTCACACTTGTAATCCCAGCACTTGGGGAGGCTGGGTTGGGAGGATTGCTTGAGGCCAGGAGTTCAATACAAGCTTGGGCAGCATAGTGAGACTCCCATCTCTCCAAAAAGTTTTTTAAAATTAGCAGATGTGGTTGTGTGCACCTGTGGTCCTAGCTGCTCGGAAGGTTGAGTGGGAGGATCACTTGAGCCCAGGAGTTTGAGGCTGCAGTGAGCTATTATTATGCCACTGAACTCAAGCCAGGGCAACAGAGTGAGACCCGGTCTCTAACAAAACAAAACAACCAAAAAGATCAGTGGTTGCCCTGGGTTAAGGGGAGGAAGTGATGAATAGGCAGAGCACAGGGCATTTTTAGGGCAGCAAACCTATTCTGTATGATACTATAGTGGTGGATACATGTTATTTTATATTTGTCAGAACCCAGGGAATCTACAACACCAAGAGTGAACCCTAATGTAAACTATGGGCTCTAGGTGATAATGATGTGTCAATTCAGATTCTCCGACTGCAACAAATGTACCACCCTGGTGAGGGATGTTGACAGTGCAAGGGCTGTATGGTGAGGGGAGGGGGGAATATGGGAACTCTCTGTGCCTTCTGCTCAATTTTTCTGTGTGCCTAAAACTGCTTTATAAAATGAAGTGTTTTTTAAATGAATATCCTGGAAACAATACCTATATCAATTAAATTAACATAGTTATATATTTCATTAATAATGAATATCTGCTGCTTGATTAGAATGAGAGTGAGAAATGGGTCCCAAACTCTCATATTTTTGTCTTTCAGCAGCAACTCAGAGACAAGAAGATGTTAGAGCTAGAGCTTGAAAAGGTCAGGTTTTGCTAGTCAACCCAAGACTTAATTTTTCCTTTCCAAGAAATTTCATGTCCCCAGTGGCTGAGGGCCTCAGTTTTTAGACTCGGTCCTCAGAAAACAGAGCTCTTCAAGGAGAGGCTCCAAGGAAGTAAGTCAGAACCTGGAATACTTGTCCTAATCTTTGTTCTGCCCCTTTATGTGAATTAAACAAGGATGGTGCAGGGCAATGGGTCTTCACTGCTAGATGATGTGGTGAGATGTAATAGACGAAGCATTGGTTGTTTGGCAGGCAGAAATTTGAGGTCTTGACTTTAGTCAAGTTTCAACTTCCCTAAATTTCAGACTCCTCATTTGAAAGAGCCCCTGGTTTGCCAACATCATAGTGTTGTTGTGATGATTCCCTGGAACAATGTGCATGGCAGGGCTTGCAAATGACAAAGCATGGTACACACATAAGCCCTACTAGTATTGACATTGACCCTTTGACCTAGCACAAGTAATCCCTGGTGCTCAGGGTAACTATTGAAATAGTCTATTCCCAATAAAGCATTTAACTCAGCTTCCAACAGATTTCCTTTGCTCCTACATTCGGTTGACGTTACCTGGGCTCCTGATATTCCAGCACAGAGAGCTCACCAGAAAGTCTCTAAGGTGGTACCAGACCAACCTTCTCTTTGAAAAGGGTGATTAATCTCTTCTGTTATTCTAGGTATCCCTCTTCCTTGCTTGCCTCATAGAATTCTAGGTCCCCTGTGCAGCATGGTGTTGACCTGACAACAGAACCATAGGAATGAAATGTGAAAGGAAGTGGTGGGATAAGTGATAAAAGGAGAGTGGCAAATTCAGAGATGTGGGTGAGGCAGGATAGGCAGTCAAGGAAGTAGCAATGTCCTCAGGACATGGCAGCCATGATGGTACAGTCAACACAATAAACCTCAGCATTCGCATTGTAGTCCAGCTCATTCAAGCAAAGCTATCTCTAGTAGGGAATTTCCCCTGCAGAGAGTATGTGCATTTTGATTTCACCTGTCCTCAAACTGACTCTTTGCTCATTATAATAGTAAAAAACATACCCCTGGGTGGAGATTTAAGATGCTAATGAGATATGCAATCTATGAACAAATATGTACTGCTACTGCATCTGTGCACCCAGAAAACCACCCAGAATATGCTTACTAGTAACAACTTTTCCCAACCCCTTATGAATAATCATGTCCAACTCCCATAAAGGGAGTCGCCCTAGTGCCAGTCTTTACTGTCTCATTCTTACGAATAGCCCACCCTGAATCCTCTCTCCCTCAGGGTGTACTGTCTATTCTGCACTTAACTCTCAAAATATTCTTTTTCTTTTGCAATAAACTACTGTATACTGCATTTACTTCGCTGTGTGTCTCTTGTTTAAATTCTTTTTAACTAAGAAGGCAAGAACTTGAGGTCCCACAACAGCTGTCAACATGGGAAAATGGGACATCACTAAGCCTGCCAGTCAAGACTATCCCCATTCTCCTCCAGGACACACTTTTTGCATCTTGTATCCTATAGGCACCTGCATGTGCTTCCTTTTGAGGATAGATGTATAGAGCAGTTACATCAAAATCCATGGTGTAAGGAGCAAGATAGAGCAACCATGAAAATGTACTGTCTGAGTCCATTTGACAATGGACTATAAAAATACCACAAGCTGTATGGCTTATAAACCACAGAAATTTATTTCTCATAGTTTTGGAGACTGCACAGCCCAAGATCCAGGTGGATTCAGTGTCTAATGAGGGCATATCTTCTCACTGTAACCTCATATGGTGGAAGCAGCTAGCTAGCTCTCGGTGTTCTCTTTTATAAGGGCATTAATCTCACTCATGAGGGTTCCACCTTCATGACCTAATCACCCCACAAAGGCACCACCTCTTAATAATACCATCATCTTGGGGGTTATGATTTCAACCTATGAATTTTGGGAGACTCACACATTCAGACCATAACACACATATTGTTTAGTGCCAGGAGCTGAGGGAAGATGTTTGTCCGTCTGTCTGTCTGTCTCTCTCTCTCTCCCCACGGGCTCAATTGAGTCATCATTCATTCTTGCTTACATACTTCTGACCTCAGACTGGATTGAAGTATCCCCTCACTTTCCTTCTTTTCATTATCACGACTGGGTGCCTTTCTTCAATCACAGCACTGTGTGATACTGGATCCAAGATTGTTCATGGATCATATTTTGCCACCCCCTTTGCCTTCTACTCACAGAACACACTCGGATCCTTCTATACTCAGAACACACTTGGGATCCTATTTTGCAACCAGTACCTGCCTTTGTTTTTGGACCTCACCACCTCACCTGACCCCACACTCTCCCAAGATCTCAAATTCTCACCAAGTTGACCTGCCCATGGGTTCCATTAATTCATTGTTTTGTTTTCCTACGGTAACAAGGCTTTATGGGAGAGGCCCACCCAAGTTCCAGCTAAGCAAGGTCTTGGACAAAGGCCTCCTCCATTGGTCCATGAGGGGCCCTAAATGTAACCTAATGAGGGGTTTAGAAATCTATTCAGTGAAGGGTCCTCTGGGAAGGGACAAAATGTGGCTCGGTAAGGTACTCAAAGAATGGATTATCAAGAGGCCCAAGGGAAAATCTAAACCAGAAAGACTGAAAACATCTAGAACATACAGTTGGGCAAGAATATGGGAAGATCAATTCTGGGGGGATGTGTCCTTCATGGACTGCTGCACACTCTACACTGCTCAATCCAGGGAACTTCATCCTAGGAAGTCAGAACCAGACATTTGACAGTCTTGTGACTGGAATATTATCAGAACTAGTCTCAAGACTTTTCCTTTTTTATCTATGTCCTCAAAAGTTTTTAGAAGCCCAAATTATGTGGCTTGGGATACACTTTTTGAAGTCTTCAGATACAAAACACTGTTTAACAATCCCCATTCCCAACCCCTTCCCCAGTCTAAGTTTTGTTTCTCATCAACCCATGTATGATTCAAGGGCTGACTTTATAGCTGTGCCCATGAAGCTTCTTAGAAGAAACCCTCAAGCAGGTCAGACAGAAGAGGTGATCCTGGACAAGATATTATCAACAAATCAAGAGAAAGAGGACCTTAGGATACTCATAGCAGAAGGAGATAAATTAGGGGTTGCAGGATTGGAGCCCATTCACCCTATGGAGAAGAGTCATCCAGCACAGGAGAGGTGATTGGCAGAAATTCTTGGTACAAGATGCCCAGTTCTTGCTATGGACTCTTAAAGCATATCTTAAAAAACATGAGGCATTTGTTTCAGTGCTTTTATCCAATTAAACAGAGAAGAAAAGAAAAGGCTGGCCAGGAGCATGCCAGCCTTTTTTTACAAAGCGCAAGCCCACCAGAAATCAGGGCTACCTCTGCGGACAAAAGGATGCTGAAACTCAAAGAGCAAGTCAGTTATTTGGCCAGAGCCTAAAGAAAACAATAGGGCTGAGAAGTGTAATTAATGCAAGGGAAAGATGTCCACTCACTGAGGAACTCAGTGAGTTAGATACTCACTGAGTTAGAACTCAGTGAGGCTCAGGCAGAACTCAGAGTTAGATATTCCTGTGACTGAAAGACTCCCTATTTCCTGAAGAAGGAAAGGGCTGACATCTGCATCCTGCAGCCTTCAAGTAGATTATAAGAGTCTGCATGATCTCAATAATAGGCAGGTCACAGATAGCTTGGAAAACCAAAGAATGTGGTGTGGTTTCATGATGAGCAATTTGAGGCAATCCACTTCCATCTTCTCTGAGTAGCCTGTATCTCTGGGCAGGCCCTGGCAGCCTGGACCAAGGATCCAAGGGACATCAGGCCATCCCCATGCCTCCTCAGGCTCTGTTTATAAGGTTTGTTTCCTCAAGTCAGCCAGAGAGTTCTCCTCCATCCCCTCCTCCCAGCAACATTTCTCTCAAGAAATATTTTCACCCAATTAGAGAAAATGTATTGCTGCTCACAGTATAGTTCCTCTGAAGAGTCTTGTCTCTGTTTCTCATTTACAGTGGTAGTCATTCTTACCATATATAGCTGTTTCTCCTTAAAGAAAAGTGGTTTCTTCTGTCTTTGCCATGTTTGGAGAAGTTGGGTGTATCTTAAGACTGGGCTTAGAGAAAAGAAGTCAAGTCCAGCTCTTACTGATGACTTGACTTCTTGGGTTAGGGAGGGGTTTTGACAGTGGCATCACACACCTCCCTCTCTCCCAGGTTCTATCATTTGTTCAATGAATACCTCCTTTCTAATAAACACAAAACCCAACTGGACAAGTGTTTAGAGGCTTAAATAATGAGAATAAAATCTGTTAAAGAACAACCCTCACAATCTAGACTTATGCTCTCTGCTCCTTCATCATACTGAACTGTATGCAGACATATGGTGTTATTCTTGGGGGTGCATAGGCACCACAGGGCCACAAGTGTCCTACTCAGCCCTCAGGCAGGGCAAGGGATAAGAAACTTCACACATCTCAATGTGGAACTGGAGTTTGGGAGGCTTGAGGCCCTGAGCTCAGGGGATAAGGAACAATCCTCATGACCCTAAATACATTGGTGAAGAAGAGCTACCTCTTGCACCCAAGATCCCATCCCTTTCCTGATTGAGGCTGGGGAGATGCTTCCCAATTCTTAACATAGCCTTAATGAAAATATGCAGTTGACTACCAACTCCCCTTGACTCTCCCTTTGTGACAGATTCTGGAGTATCAAGGAAGGAGAAATCTTGGCTCTATTTGTGGATTAGGAAGTGGGCAGAGGAAGAGGCCAGAGGGAAGAGGAAGGGTAAGGTCTTAGCAAAGCTGAGGGTGAAAGAACTTATTATTACTGGGCTTGGGAAAGACAAAACCAACACACTCCCCCCAAAAAGTGTCCATGTATTTTCAAGTACACTGAACTCATTCTCCAGCCACTGAAAGCTAGCTGGATTCCCTCCCAGGGACATGAAAATCAGCCTATGGCTGGGCCACCTTGCCCAGTCTCTCATCCACCACAAAACAGCTCAACTCTGAAAGTGTTCAAGCATAAGATTATTTTCCAGAAAATAGTGTTTTGTGAAAGCTAGAAAAGGTAGCCACTGTCCAGTGGCCACAGAGATGGGTGAGCTTCAAGGGGACAGGTTTTGGGGGTTATTGCTAAGGTAGGTCATCAGTGGAGATAGCAAGGCCAAGGAACAAGTTATGTGCTCCTTAAGGATCTTCTGTATATCTGGGGTTCATCTATCTTAACACAAACTTGGAACTCAACATCTGGGAAAAGGGAAGCCCCTCCCTATAGGGACTCAACATGGCGCCTGGCTTGATGACAAAAGGCAAGGAAATCAAATAATCTTCAATAATGAGATGGTTCACAGGGCACCTGCACAGTGCCTGCAGGCAAATAGGAAGATATTGGGGTTTGAGTGCCTAGGAAGGAAGAAAACCAGTGAGGAGAAGAAAGATTGACCCAGCCGGTGGAAAATATGGGAATATTTTCATAGTCACTAATTATGGCATTCTCTCTCCTGCCAAACACACACACAAAACCACACACATACATAAACTCACACACGCTGACCTAGTTTTCCTATTTGCTGTGACTGGCAAGGACTCCATAGAACATAATAGTGCCATCTTGGCCGAAGGGTGTGTGAGCTTGTCTTGAACATAAACACAATGTCGGTATGGATGTTTTTGTGCTTGGACATTTCTTTGTGGGTAAGTGATATTTTTGCCTTCCTTACCGCCATACTTTATTACAAATGTGTAGAATGTTGCCCATGGTGTTAATAATTCATCCAAGAGGGTTTAGGTGCTCCCTATCATCTCCATGTGCTTGATACAGTCCTGGGAGCTCCCCTCCATGGATTCCTACAGGCCATGCATTTTATGTAGGTTGCTCACTGCTATCTAGTGAGCATCTAGTATCCCCAGCATCTAGTGCTTAGCATTTATGTGGTACTCAGGAACCACTTAGGAAACCAAATGACCGATGGGAGGTGTATCTGGGGATAGGGCTTGCCCATCATGTCTTGGGATGGACCCATCCTAAAAGGGGAGGGAAGGAGGCCTGATAGGCATCCAACTCAAACTGTCCAGTGGAGGTCACTAAAGACTTCACTCTGGAACATGAGCTCTGCCTTCATGGCTTCCAGAAGACAAGAAGTAGAAGTGTAACCTCACAAATTAGGTCCTGGAGGACACTTCTGGGTTACTAGAGCTTCTTTCAGCCCTTTCTGATGGATCCCCCACCTCTGCCTCAGTGGGCAGTGATTGGCCTTGTGAGTCTTTGGGGGGCTGCTGTGTTCAGAAGTGACCCTGGGCCCTCAGAATCTCATGCATGCTGTGGCTTTAGAATGTACTCAGAGAGGTGTTGACTGAGCTGGGCCTGCTGCAGATGCATGTACCTTCTGTGGTGTAACTCTGTGGAGATGAAAATAGTAATAGTAATAACAATAATAGTAATACTATTAACTACTGTACAAATTTTCCATGGCCACTGCAATACCACCACAAACTTTGTTCTTAAAAGAACACCCATTTATTATCTCACAATTCTGTAGGTGGATTCAGAAGTCTGGATGGAATCTACTGGACACTCTGCACATGATCCCCAAGGTTGAAATCAAGGCTGCAGCTATTTGGGCTCCTGTCTGGAGATTCTGGGGGAAAATCAACTTTGAAGTTCATTCAGGATGTTGGGAAAAATCAAATTCCTTACACCTACAAGTCTGAGGCAGGTTTTCCTTTTCTGACTGTCAGCTGGGAGCTGCCATCTGCTCCTCTGGGCTTCCTGTATTCTCTCTAACATGGCTGTCTCCATCTTCAAAGCAGCAACAACTTGTGGAGTCTCTAACTTGGAATCTTTCTCTGCCAGGCAGAGCAAGCTTTCCGTTTTTAAGGGCTCGTGTGATTAGATTAGGCCCACTGAGAAGATCATTTTCTGTCAATGGATTAGTAACCTTAATTGCATCTGCAAAATCCCTTTGGCTACAAAATGTAATATAGTCAGGGAAGTAACAATAGGGGGCAGAAAGATATGATGGAGACCAAATTCAGCTTGCTACCACTCGAGTCCATTGAGGTCACTCCATGTACTGGCCTCAAAGCCTTCAGCTTGAGCCTGCAATTTTATGTTATAAAATAAAACTATTATACATGTACATGAGTACCTTTTGTTCTCCAAAATATAAATTCTAAGAAATACTATCTGCAAAATAAACATATAAAAAGAAAGTTCAGGCCGGACGCAGTGGCTCACGCCTATGATCCCAGCACTTTGGGGGGCCGAGGTGGGCTGATCACGAGGTCAGAAGATTGATACCATCCTTGCTAACATGGTGAAACCCTGTCTCTACTAAAAATACAAAAAATTAGCCGGGTGTGGTGGCACATGCCTGTAGTCCGAGCTACTTGAGAGGCTGAAGCAGGAGAATTGCTTGAACCAGGAGGCGGAGGTTGCAGTGAGCCGAGATTGTGCCACTGCACTCCAGCCTGGGCGACAGAGCAAGACTCCATCTCAAAAACAAACAAACAAAAAAACAAATTTCAATCAATCTGACTAATTATTGAACATATTTTTATTCCTTTGCTGCTAAGGTCATCATTAGTTCTAGGCTTTAGTGAATATACCCATGCTTACATACATACATTTCAGTTGATTAGGCAACTTTAAAATATATGAGTCGCCAGAGTTTGTAAAAACCATTTTGCCACTTTTTCATGAGAACCTAGTTCTCTTCTTACTTTTCATTGAGGAAAATATTCACATTTTATAATGCTCACCCAGTAGGCAATAAAAATTGCTGTGTGTTTCCTATTTATCCCTATCTGAGTGGGGGTCTTTATCATCATTACCTTGTCTCCACAATATACACAGAGCCACATCCAGCCACTATGGGGAAGAGTACACATGACCAACCCCACGTTCCAGAACACTGATGTGGATGCATTACTAGATAATACTTTGGCTGGCTCCTAACATCTTCTTTGGAGATATAGTGAATGTGCTCTACCTGAGGGGGAAAGAGAAACATGAATTTTGGTGACCTAAAGACCACTCTGCAGTAGAGTCTATGCTATATGTTCACCAAGCCCAATTCACTTTCCCCTTGGACACAGCAAAATATTGCATCCCTTGCAGTTAGTTGGGGCCCCATGAGTGAGTTTGCTCAATGCAACATGAAGAAAAGTCATGGATGCCATGTTTGTACTTGGCTATATATATTTTCTGTATGCAATCCTCCTGTTTCTCTTCTCCATCTGTAGCAACAATGGAGACTACATGTCAAAGAAAATGTAATCATTAAAAATAATTTTCCAGCACCCGCCACATTGACATATAGAACCCATTCTAGCTCATTCATAGCCCACAATAGCAACTAGGAATTATCTGTTGTATCCCAGGCAATGCTGTGAAAACTATAAGCAAGACCCCCTTCCTGGATACATCTGGGACTCCGTTGCTCCCCTCCAAGGTTTGATCAGAGAGAGTGGTAGTGAATACACTTCTATCCCATACCTTTCCTCTTCTATTTCTCTCTGCTACTGAGACTTAGCCCAAGAACCAGAATGGCTTTTAACCTGTTTTCTGATTGATAAGAACTGCCGCTATTGATATTCTTTCTTCTATGTGTGCAGTGGGGTAAGAAATAGGCAAGAGAACCATGAAAACAAAGTAAGATTTCAAAGCACAGGAAACACATCAGGTTAAATTTCAATTTTTTTTCAGCCCAGTAAGAACAGAAATATAGTGATTAATAGTGAATCAATGGGTCTCTTATAAGCCAATGTATAAGATTTTATTCATAGGATTATAGGAATCCACTGATGGAAATAATATGACTTGTACTTTTAGACTAAATGTATATCTGGCTTTATTCTTGGCCCACACTGCCTGAAGAATTAAGTACAACATTAATGTCAGTTCCTTAAGAAGGGTCTGTAGAAATTAGATGATGACACAGAATACATGCAGTATCTCCCTTTAAACTTCCCCCAAAGTTCTAAGTCATAGGAAAAAATAGCTTCTACTCTCTCAATTCTTATTGTAAGAATTCTTACTGTTACATGTAAGAATGTAAGAGACCTTGGGTCCTAGGACAATGCCTGGAAAATAAGATCATGGAAAGAACAATGGCCAATTGAGAGTAAATTAAACCCAGAGCAGACAGGACAGGCACAGGAAGCACACCATCCCATCCAATCACTCCCTCAAAGCCAGGTACAGAACGCAGGCCTGCAGTCTCCATCAAGTGTCATGTTTTTTTGTTTGTTTGTTTGTTTGTTCATGGAGCATACAAAACTTGAATATCTAACTACCATTTAACTTTTTATCCCATTAAAAATAAAGGGTTTTTTTGTTTTGTTTTTTGGAGATAGGGTCTCCCTCTATGCCGTCAATGTTTTTAGAGCCTTCCACGTGGTTCTGATGACGCAGGCTCCAATTTGAGGAGGCTGAGGAAGGATGCTTAGACGGGGATGAGGGAGGAACTGCATTTACAGGAGGTCATAAGCATCCGAAGACAAGTCTCTATAGCAGGATATATTTATTTTCTTTTTGCTTCTAATTTTGAAATAAAACTACTTCTTTCTTTTTTTTTTAAGATGGAATTTCGCTCTTATTGCCCAGGCTGGAGTGCAACAGCGCTATCTTGGCTCACTGCAACCTCCACCTCCCAGGTTCAAGCGATTCTCCTGCCTCAGCCTCCCAAGTAGCTGGGATTATGGGTGCCCGCCCCATGCTCATCTAATGTTTTTTGTATTTTCAATAAAGATGGGGTTTCACCATGTTGACCAGGCTGTTCTCCAACTCCTGAACTCAGGTGATCTACCTGCCTCGGCCTCCCAAAGTGCTTGGATTACACGCGTGAGCCACTGTGCCCAGCCAAAATAAGACCATTTTTATGTGTATATAATAATGCATAAAAAACAAATTTTTAGGAAAAATATGCTATTTTCTTGTGTGCACATATTTTATCCTAAAGATATCTTACCCAAAATCCCAATTCAAAAACTAAATCCCTACAGAAAAACTGAAGCATTCTCCATCATTCCTGTTGAGGAAATGTTATTAATACCCATATTATCTTTGTTATTTTTAAACCATAGTATTTTGCAGAGAACCTGATTATATCCCTTAACCCTTAACTGAGAACAAAAATATTAATTTTAAATGTTCATTACACATTTCTTTTGAAATTTTCAATGGCATAGTGCATTATTAATCTGCATAATATTTCACAATGGTAGTATCTATGCACACAATAATATACACAGAAACATGTTGGAGGTGTGTGTTCACATTTTTGGAAATGGACAGAACAAAGGGGAAGAAGCCTGCACTTCAATACTCACTCAGGGCAGAGACAGGCCCCTCTAGGGCTGAATTTGAGGTCAGCACCATGTGCAAAGCTGATCTGGGCCTGCTGCAGAAAAGATGCATGTACACCACCTGTCCTCACTTTCCTCCTGTCCTCTGTGAAAGGGACAGGAGAATAACAGTCCCTTACCTGCCACTTAGCAGCTGCGGCCCTTGGGCAAGTAAATCTCTTTCCTCCTCTGAGCCTCCCACTTTCCCAAGGTTCTGAGCTACAGAGAGAGGCTAGACCTGAGGGGGGCAGGGAGACACCTCACCTTCCCATGAAAAGAAGTAGGTATCCGTCACCACCTCCCTCAGCATACAGTTAGCCCGTTTTCCAAACTGCCATGATCTATTTCACAGCTCAGTTTAGTGGGGGAAGAACAGGACTGTGCTGGGGCTCCTGGCTAGACCCCAGCTCTGCCTTTTGCTGCAAGCAAGGCCTTGGCCAGGACACAGCCCCTGTGTCCCCAGGTTTTCTCCTCTGTCATATGGGAATGATCCGATAGGGTTATAGGGATGATTAGACTGAACAACAGCAAGGGTATAAAATTGTGCCCAGCATAAGCAATCAGTGGTGTAATAGGTCAGGAGAAGGTGACCTGCAGGGCTCAGCGGTGATCGGGAGAGGTGATCACAATCAGCAGCTGGAGAGAGCCTCCAGGTCTTGGGAAACACTGCATTTCGACACAGGCAGTTTCACAGCATATTCAATTTCAGACACCATACACACCACATGCTTAGGATACCCGGACTTTATGTTGGTGTATTATTCTTTGCAGAAAGCATTTTAGTTTTAGTTTAGGTTTTGTTTTAAAGCCGGACCTGAGAATTAGAAGACAATCCTGGGAAACGTTCAGGCCTCTGCAGGCTGAGATGGGGCCCAGGACTATATCTCTGAGGAGGAAAGAGGAACCCATTGAATTTTGGGGAGTACAGGGAGCAGAGAGAAATTGCACTGGGTGTGCGTGTGCGTGCGTGCATGTGTGTATGTGCGTACACAAACAGAGGGGCTGGAGGAGGAAATCAGCAAGGCCCAGAGAAGGGTAGAGGATCTCGAGGCCCGAAGGGCTGGTACCGCACTTGGCTGGATGGCAGCACAGTGGCCTGAGGTTCATGGGTCATTTTTGCCCCCTCTCCATGCTCACGGACCCTTCATGACTGTCCACAGCTCTGAGATGTGGGCCTTGCCAGCTAGAACCAGGCATGCTCTCTGCCCATTTCTGAGGCAGTCGTTGGGACTGTGGGGCCGTGGACCCCGCCAGGCTGGCCTGTCCCCGGACACTCAGGATGCACTTCGGCCTCCTGGCTCCTGCAGGCACCTGCACGAGCCTCCTTTTGAAGGTAATTTCAGGAGTTGTTACAGCAACACCTGTGAACTGAGGCGGACGACAGGGCCACCACAGAGGTGACACTGTGTGCAGGGAGGGGAGAGGGGAGCCACCTCTAGCTTTGTTTCCTGTGCCCCCAGGGAGTTGCCACTCATAGTGGGCTCCACCCTCCCCCCACCAACATGTTCCCTATCATCCTCCAACAGCCACTGCCACCGTGCCCAGGGCCATCCGCACCGCTGAGTCCTGCACAGACCAGGGACCATCGGTCACCCCATCACTTTGAGTTTCCTTCTGCCTGGGCCACATCCAGATTCTGGGATGGTTTCCACACTCAGCCTCACTTTGCCTTTGACGCGCTATGGCCTAAATGTCAGTGTCTCCCAAATTTGTATGTTGAAGCCTAATTCCCAATGGGAATTCTACCAATGGGGTAGAATGAACAGGTGGGGCCTTTGGGAATGCCCTGAAACCAGACAGACTTTCTGAATAATCCCCTCCTGAAGGAAGGTAGTGCTCTCATCAAACAGGCTCCAGCAACCTCCCTTGTCCCCTTCGGCCACATGAGGACACAGCTAGAGGCACTGCCCTAAGGAATGGGTCCTCACCAGGCACTGAATCCTCAGGCATCTTGATCTCGGACTTCTCAGCCTTCAGAACTTTGACGACATATTTCGAGCGTCAGTAACTCCCCAGGCTAATGCACTTTGTTAGAGGAGCCCACCGGACTAGGACGGGCCCTCCCTTCTCACCTGACGTCACATCCTCCCAGGATCCGCCCCTCACAAACTCATGCGTTGCGGGAATTCCTCGGGTGAAGGGGCCAGGAGAGGACCCTGTAAACTGCTCACAGGCAATCAGAGGTCCCTTAGAATGGGGAGGACAGCAAGCACGACAGGAATCTATCAACAATGCACGACACACAGGACCCCAGCAGACCCTCACAGAAAAGGATCAAAGAGGGGAGGCAGGAGAGGGGACCCTCCACCACAGTGTGACAGCCTCCCACCCAGAACAGGGCAGTGGCAGAAGACGCAGGGAGAAGAGCCAACAAGAAGAAAGTGAGCCAGAAGATGCACCTCTCAGAGCCCAGAGTGGCTCCTGCTGTGTGCAGAGCCCAGGAACACCAGAAATCAGAGCTGCGTCTATGGTCCAAAGGGACGAGTCAGTCATTGACCACATCCTACATCACAAAACAGGGGACTTTTCTAGAGTGAAGGCAAGGAGAGAACCTATTCACCACCCAAGAATGTATTCACCACCGAGGTGGGGAGCAAATATACAAGATTGGCGGGACTGCCAGGCCCCGCCTTTTCCCACAGAGGAAGAGGATGAAGCCACATTCTGCAGGCTCTAGCAGGCTCCGAAGTTGGGGGCTGTGATCAAGAATAGGAAGGTCACACTCAGAGTTGGAAAGGCCCAGAAAACTAGGAAGTCCCCCCGTCAGCTACTGTGCCCCAGGCCACCCCTGTCCACCCACCCCAGTGCCTCCTGTCCCAGGGAGAAGAGTCTCTGGGTCCAGGACCCGAGGTCTGCAGAGACTCAGGAGACACAGAGTCCAGGGGTTCGCCACAAGCTTCATCCGAGGGTAAAATGCAAACCAGGATGAGGCATTTGATTCAGGGTCCTCCTGCACTGAGAAGAGGAAGGACAAGAAGAGCCATGGCCAAAGCAGGGGGAGTCAGGATGAGGCAGAGGCCCAGCTGCAGGCAGAGCCACCTCTGTGGTCCTAACCCGGGGATGCCAGGTTCCTCCGGCCACCCCCTCCCCATACTCCCCAGCTGGCTTGGGAGGAGGCTTGCCATCACTATCCCGAAATTCTGCTCCAACACTACGCATATAGAGCTTCTGACTCTCTAGAAGCAACGTCTGCATACGCCAAGACAACTTGAATGACCCCCACCTAGCACGGCTCTCTAGTGACGCCCTCTGTCTGGCATCAGCTGGACTTCTGTGTCTCTTCTATCAGCCATGCTGGCTGCTGTCAAGGCAGTGCTTGGGTTTAAGGGATCCCAGGACTTTGTGCTCAGAGCGTGCAGGGCTCCACCTCACCCTTCCTGAGCGCCTGCCTGGGCTGCCCACGCACACCTGCGCTGGGGAGGGGCAGAGGCGGCCACACCCACCCACATCTAACCCTTCCTCTGGGCCAGCTGTTCACAGGCCAATAACTCCAAAATGCCACCCGTTCTTCATACATTTCCAAAAGAAGGAATGAAGAATACGGTGGCATGTTCACAAGCCTTTTTCTTCTGGAGGAAAAACAAAACTTTGACCAATGACACAGATAAACCAAATGTCTGCCCTGCTCCCTGACAATCCTTCACTTTCTGCAACCACGTGCAGAGGTGGGTACGGACAAGGCCACTGAGGCTCCTATGAAAATAAACCTCTCAGTCACCTTGAAAGATGGAGACATGCCATGGAGCTTCCTATTTCACCAAATGTGGAGGGGACGTTTTGGTGTGGCAGATCCTGCATTCCAAGAGTAAAGAAGAAACAGGACCCACTGCTGGGACCCGGGGCCAGCAGCCCCAGGAGTCCCTGGGCATTCAGCTGGAGGTGGCTCCCACTGCATTACCACCCACGGTGCAGCAGCCCCCCCGTTCTTCCCTTCTGTCCATCAGGACCCATGGAACTGGGCACCCGGCTCTGGGGTATGGAGAGCACACAGGAGGCCTGGCTCCTCCTCACCCCTGACTCTACAGAATTGAGTCTCAACTCAAGTCCCACATACAGGTCTTGGCTTTCTTTCCTGTTCCAACCCCAGAGAGGGCACCGATGCCCAGAGTGAGGGGACGGTTACTTGACCTCCAGGTGTGGAGCATCCCTGGCCAGCTGCTGGGAACCCCGCAGACCGAGGGTGTGGCTGGTACAGGGGGAAAGTGAGATCCTCTCCTCCTCTCTCCTGCCAAGAGGGGGCCAAGGAGAGAAGGGCCAGGGAAAGGTCCACTAACAAAACTGAGTGGGGAGGAGGGGTGACAGTCACAGCTTTCTACACGGAATCCTGCATGCCACAGGAAGTGTCCCCACCTGCTTCCATGCTGGGAACACAGTATTAGACCTCGGCACGAGCCACATGTCCCTGCCCACCCCTCGCCCAGAGGGGGATCAGGAACAGGAAGGAGTTTCCAGTGCCATGGACAAGCCCCGGGTGAGCACAGGATGGGGGGTCCTGCTGTGGTGGGTCCTGGGCTGACCGGAGCAGGCCCTAGAAGCAGGCGAGGTGCTGTGCAGTCTGCAGCGTAACTCTGAACTTGACAATGAGGTCTCCCCGCTGAGTGCATACCTTGAGGAAGAGAAGCATCTTTCCATGGAGTCTGCCCCATTGCCTGCCAATGGCATTCGTGCCCATCTAGAGGACCAGCCGCCGCCCCTGCTGGCTGCCAATGTCCTTTCAGGCAAACACGGCACCTTGAGAAAATGAGGCAGAGAGTGAGGGAAGGGTTTGAGTAGGAAAGTCACCAGCTGGTACTGACAAGGACACTGAGGGAACAGTGGTTCCATCTGAGCAGAAGTGTGTGCCAGGGCTTCTCTTGGAGCACAAAGACAATGCTGCAGGGATGGCTTCTGGCCTGGAAACTCCCTTTTTGGAAAGTGACCTGTGGCTCCAGGTAGCTGTTCTGTGTGCGACGGTGCTGAATCTTGTCCTTGTCCTTGGTGGGACCCCCTGTGCTCAGGGTGGAGGAGCTCTCTGTGACCTCCCTGGACCAGGTAGCGCCACGGGAGATCCCCTTCAGGCACTCTTGCACACAGGTCTGCCCCGCCATCTGCAGGAAGCGTGCGGTGTTCCCGGCTCTCCTTAGACACTCTCAGCAGCTGAAGTCACTCCAAGCATCCAAGGGAGGCTTCTCCCTGCACCTCTGGGTCATGTGGTCAAGGCCAATGCAGGGCAGAGGAGTGACCGCTGGAAAAGAAGAGCCCAGATGAAGTGCAGTCACCTACCTGAGGCCGGGCTCCCCTGGAAGTCCCCATGAAGTAAGTCTAGGAAGAAACCACCAGAGGGCCCCTAGATACCCAGTGGGGAGGGAAAGGGCAGTGCGGCTCGTCTTCATGGAGCGATTGCTACAGTGCTGGGATTTCATCACGCCTGCTAGCTTCATTAGTTACTATTCCCATGAAAAAGTAACACAGTAATGCAACATTTTATTTTATTTTATTTTGTTAATTTTTTTTTTGGACGGAATCTTTCTGTGTTGCCCAGGCTGGAGTGCAGTGGCAAGATCTCGGCTCACTGCAACCTCCACCTCCCAGGTTCAAATAATTATCCTGCCTCAGCCTCCCCAGTAGCTGGGATTACAGGCACCCGCCACCATACCTGACCAATTTTTGTATTTTTAGTAGAGACGGGGTTTCACCAGGTTGGCCAGGCTGATCTTGAACCCCTGACCTCAGATGATCTGCCCGCCTTGCCCTCCAAAAGTGCTGAGATTACAGGCGTGAGGCACCATGCCCGGCCTTAATGCAACATTTTAAAAATCAAAATTCATGCTAAATATTCCATTGTGAGCAAAATATCCACATTTTAAATCAAGCCATGGTCAGATCCTGTAACTGCAACACTCTGAGAGTTG
Organism: Homo sapiens; assembly: GCF_000001405.40. Lineage (NCBI taxonomy): Eukaryota > Metazoa > Chordata > Mammalia > Primates > Hominidae > Homo > Homo sapiens. The sequence goes on from NC_000009.12 coordinate 113,110,821, forward strand.
TACAAGCGTTGGGCACGATGGGAAACTAAATTTTGGCAAATTCCATTCAACCTATAAAGTTGTCACCAAAGAAAAGGAAAAGTACTCACTTGCGGAATGTTCCAGACAGCTCCCAGGCACACTGCACTGCCAGAGATGGGGGATCTGCTCCCCGAGGACTGGGGCTTTTCCAATGAAGGCCATTTTCCAGTTTCGTCTAAAAGCACAGAAGGACTTCGTGAAATGTTTGGCTTCTTCCTAAGGGAAGGAGGTGCCTACAGCGTTGCCATCACTGCTGCTGGCCACAGGAAGATGCGTACATATCGTCCCGCCCTAAGATCGTGTTTTGAAAGTGGGCGACTTTGGAAATTAACTGAGGCTGTAACCGCAGAGCTGACGGGATGGGGGAGCTGCTCTGATGAGTCTCCAGAGCGGCCCGGTGACCGCAGGAGCTCTGAGTCATCAAAGACCGGGGCCAGGGAGCCTGGAAGAGGAAGGGCCCGCTGCTCCCGGGCCACGCCGGGACACATGAGTTAGGGGCAAAATTTAATGCCGCAACAAAGCGACTCATTTTTTTGGAACTGAGGCTGTTCCAGAACTTCTTACTCACTCTCGGCGCCGCCCCCGCGCTTCCAGGCCCCGGACCCGCCGCAAACACCGCTGGGCTTGGACTCAAACCGCGGTCCGGTCCCACCCGGTCTGGTCCAGTCCCGTTGGAGGCGGCGGTTGGGCTCAGCGCCAGGCGCGCGCCCTCTGCTGGCCGTTGGGAAGCGGCGAGGGAAGCGCTGAGCTCGCGGCCGAGCGGTGGTCGCTCGCCCCCTCGCGGGCTCTCCCGGAATCGCTGACATTCTCCGTCCCTTGCTCTCTGCTCCTGGCTGGGGACGCTCTGCTCCAGCCTTGCCTGCTCCCTTTCCTGGGATACGCCTTGGAGCCATGGCTTAAAAGTAAGGACATCTTCATGCATTTGAGATACCTGAATAGTAGATATCTGAATAGTATCTCCTCTTAGTCAGGCCTGAATACAAAGACCTGCTCCTAGTTCTCTTGGGAAACAGGACATAGTCTCAAAATCCAGAAGACCCAAGACTCCTGTTCCCACCACCACATTCTGCAGGCTTCAACCAGCTGGACATGGAGGGCCATGGTGGTGCGTGAGATAAGATCTCCTGGAGAAACTACTACCCTCCAGCCTTGATCACTATCAGGAAGATGAAAGCAGGAAATCTACTTTGTCCCTGTTTGGGAATCGCTGTCTAAAGGTTCTTCCAAAAATTTGCCCCCATCTGAAGGCAAAGAAATACAGTCTTTGCCTGGGAGGTTTTTAGGGGTGAAATTGAAGTGCTCTTCTTCCACCAGGCGCGATGTATCACGCCTGTAATCCTAGCATTTGGGAGGCTGGAGGTGAGAGAGGTGAGAGGCTGAGGGGGAAGGATCCCTTGAGGCCAAAGTTAGAGACCAGCCTGGGTAACATAACAAGACCCCATCTTAAAAAAAATTACATTACATGAAAATATGGTTTTATTTCCCTTCATGTGACGTTTCCCACAGGAAAACTGTAGAGGAAGTTAAACTTGTGGCTCTTTCTAATCAATTATACAGATGGTTTGCCCAGCTCAAAAAGAAATCGCAACTCTTTTGCCCCGGTTGGCAAATATTAGTACCAAAATCATGGAATTATTTTGACAATATCTTGTACATTATGAGTTACAAAAATGTTTAGAGAGAAGAAAATTTGTATTCCTTGAATGAATATTATTTGTAATATTCTTTGATCTATTACAATGATATAAAATGGCATTTGCTGTTCTTCTGTTTGAACTTATCTTGTGACACTTTCTTCAGAATGGTATTTTGTTAAAACTGGTAGGTATTATAAAAATAAACAGTGACCAGTAGCTTGATTGTATTACAAATTTTTCTTTCATGTAAGAGGTTGGGGCAGGTATTTCTCATCAGGTGACTCACCTGTTTGGCTGTCTCCCAAACAGTGATTTAGAACATGGGTTACCTGGTGTTTTGAGGCTTTGATTACCGTATAACTGATTTTGTAATTGTGGTGCTTAGGTCTATTCCAATCCATGTAAATGGAGCATCCCCAGCCAGGAGCAGAGAGCAAGGGACGGAGAATGTCAGCGATTCCGGGAGAGCCCGCGAGGGGGCGAGCGACCACCGCTCGGCCGCGAGCTCAGCGCTTCCCTCGCCGCTTCCCAACGGCCAGCAGAGGGCGCGCGCCTGGCGCTGAGCCCAACCGCCGCCTCCAACGGGACTGGACCAGACCGGGTGGGACCGGACCGCGGTTTGAGTCCAAGCCCAGCGGTGTTTGCGGCGGGTCCGGGGCCTGGAAGCGCGGGGGCGGCGCCGAGAGTGAGTAAGAAGTTCTGGAACAGCCTCAGTTCCAAAAAAATGAGTCGCTTTGTTGCGGCATTAAATTTTGCCCCTAACTCATGTGTCCCGGCGTGGCCCGGGAGCAGCGGGCCCTTCCTCTTCCAGGCTCCCTGGCCCCGGTCTTTGATGACTCAGAGCTCCTGCGGTCACCGGGCCGCTCTGGAGACTCATCAGAGCAGCTCCCCCATCCCGTCAGCTCTGCGGTTACAGCCTCAGTTAATTTCCAAAGTCGCCCACTTTCAAAACACGATCTTAGGGCGGGACGATATGTACGCATCTTCCTGTGGCCAGCAGCAGTGATGGCAACGCTGTAGGCACCTCCTTCCCTTAGGAAGAAGCCAAACATTTCACGAAGTCCTTCTGTGCTTTTAGACGAAACTGGAAAATGGCCTTCATTGGAAAAGCCCCAGTCCTCGGGGAGCAGATCCCCCATCTCTGGCAGTGCAGTGTGCCTGGGAGCTGTCTGGAACATTCCGCAAGTGAGTACTTTTCCTTTTCTTTGGTGACAACTTTATAGGTTGAATGGAATTTGCCAAAATTTAGTTTCCCATCGTGCCCAACGCTTGTACAACTCTCAGAGTGTTGCAGTTACAGGATCTGACCATGGCTTGATTTAAAATGTGGATATTTTGCTCACAATGGAATATTTAGCATGAATTTTGATTTTTAAAATGTTGCATTAAGGCCGGGCATGGTGCCTCACGCCTGTAATCTCAGCACTTTTGGAGGGCAAGGCGGGCAGATCATCTGAGGTCAGGGGTTCAAGATCAGCCTGGCCAACCTGGTGAAACCCCGTCTCTACTAAAAATACAAAAATTGGTCAGGTATGGTGGCGGGTGCCTGTAATCCCAGCTACTGGGGAGGCTGAGGCAGGATAATTATTTGAACCTGGGAGGTGGAGGTTGCAGTGAGCCGAGATCTTGCCACTGCACTCCAGCCTGGGCAACACAGAAAGATTCCGTCCAAAAAAAAAATTAACAAAATAAAATAAAATAAAATGTTGCATTACTGTGTTACTTTTTCATGGGAATAGTAACTAATGAAGCTAGCAGGCGTGATGAAATCCCAGCACTGTAGCAATCGCTCCATGAAGACGAGCCGCACTGCCCTTTCCCTCCCCACTGGGTATCTAGGGGCCCTCTGGTGGTTTCTTCCTAGACTTACTTCATGGGGACTTCCAGGGGAGCCCGGCCTCAGGTAGGTGACTGCACTTCATCTGGGCTCTTCTTTTCCAGCGGTCACTCCTCTGCCCTGCATTGGCCTTGACCACATGACCCAGAGGTGCAGGGAGAAGCCTCCCTTGGATGCTTGGAGTGACTTCAGCTGCTGAGAGTGTCTAAGGAGAGCCGGGAACACCGCACGCTTCCTGCAGATGGCGGGGCAGACCTGTGTGCAAGAGTGCCTGAAGGGGATCTCCCGTGGCGCTACCTGGTCCAGGGAGGTCACAGAGAGCTCCTCCACCCTGAGCACAGGGGGTCCCACCAAGGACAAGGACAAGATTCAGCACCGTCGCACACAGAACAGCTACCTGGAGCCACAGGTCACTTTCCAAAAAGGGAGTTTCCAGGCCAGAAGCCATCCCTGCAGCATTGTCTTTGTGCTCCAAGAGAAGCCCTGGCACACACTTCTGCTCAGATGGAACCACTGTTCCCTCAGTGTCCTTGTCAGTACCAGCTGGTGACTTTCCTACTCAAACCCTTCCCTCACTCTCTGCCTCATTTTCTCAAGGTGCCGTGTTTGCCTGAAAGGACATTGGCAGCCAGCAGGGGCGGCGGCTGGTCCTCTAGATGGGCACGAATGCCATTGGCAGGCAATGGGGCAGACTCCATGGAAAGATGCTTCTCTTCCTCAAGGTATGCACTCAGCGGGGAGACCTCATTGTCAAGTTCAGAGTTACGCTGCAGACTGCACAGCACCTCGCCTGCTTCTAGGGCCTGCTCCGGTCAGCCCAGGACCCACCACAGCAGGACCCCCCATCCTGTGCTCACCCGGGGCTTGTCCATGGCACTGGAAACTCCTTCCTGTTCCTGATCCCCCTCTGGGCGAGGGGTGGGCAGGGACATGTGGCTCGTGCCGAGGTCTAATACTGTGTTCCCAGCATGGAAGCAGGTGGGGACACTTCCTGTGGCATGCAGGATTCCGTGTAGAAAGCTGTGACTGTCACCCCTCCTCCCCACTCAGTTTTGTTAGTGGACCTTTCCCTGGCCCTTCTCTCCTTGGCCCCCTCTTGGCAGGAGAGAGGAGGAGAGGATCTCACTTTCCCCCTGTACCAGCCACACCCTCGGTCTGCGGGGTTCCCAGCAGCTGGCCAGGGATGCTCCACACCTGGAGGTCAAGTAACCGTCCCCTCACTCTGGGCATCGGTGCCCTCTCTGGGGTTGGAACAGGAAAGAAAGCCAAGACCTGTATGTGGGACTTGAGTTGAGACTCAATTCTGTAGAGTCAGGGGTGAGGAGGAGCCAGGCCTCCTGTGTGCTCTCCATACCCCAGAGCCGGGTGCCCAGTTCCATGGGTCCTGATGGACAGAAGGGAAGAACGGGGGGGCTGCTGCACCGTGGGTGGTAATGCAGTGGGAGCCACCTCCAGCTGAATGCCCAGGGACTCCTGGGGCTGCTGGCCCCGGGTCCCAGCAGTGGGTCCTGTTTCTTCTTTACTCTTGGAATGCAGGATCTGCCACACCAAAACGTCCCCTCCACATTTGGTGAAATAGGAAGCTCCATGGCATGTCTCCATCTTTCAAGGTGACTGAGAGGTTTATTTTCATAGGAGCCTCAGTGGCCTTGTCCGTACCCACCTCTGCACGTGGTTGCAGAAAGTGAAGGATTGTCAGGGAGCAGGGCAGACATTTGGTTTATCTGTGTCATTGGTCAAAGTTTTGTTTTTCCTCCAGAAGAAAAAGGCTTGTGAACATGCCACCGTATTCTTCATTCCTTCTTTTGGAAATGTATGAAGAACGGGTGGCATTTTGGAGTTATTGGCCTGTGAACAGCTGGCCCAGAGGAAGGGTTAGATGTGGGTGGGTGTGGCCGCCTCTGCCCCTCCCCAGCGCAGGTGTGCGTGGGCAGCCCAGGCAGGCGCTCAGGAAGGGTGAGGTGGAGCCCTGCACGCTCTGAGCACAAAGTCCTGGGATCCCTTAAACCCAAGCACTGCCTTGACAGCAGCCAGCATGGCTGATAGAAGAGACACAGAAGTCCAGCTGATGCCAGACAGAGGGCGTCACTAGAGAGCCGTGCTAGGTGGGGGTCATTCAAGTTGTCTTGGCGTATGCAGACGTTGCTTCTAGAGAGTCAGAAGCTCTATATGCGTAGTGTTGGAGCAGAATTTCGGGATAGTGATGGCAAGCCTCCTCCCAAGCCAGCTGGGGAGTATGGGGAGGGGGTGGCCGGAGGAACCTGGCATCCCCGGGTTAGGACCACAGAGGTGGCTCTGCCTGCAGCTGGGCCTCTGCCTCATCCTGACTCCCCCTGCTTTGGCCATGGCTCTTCTTGTCCTTCCTCTTCTCAGTGCAGGAGGACCCTGAATCAAATGCCTCATCCTGGTTTGCATTTTACCCTCGGATGAAGCTTGTGGCGAACCCCTGGACTCTGTGTCTCCTGAGTCTCTGCAGACCTCGGGTCCTGGACCCAGAGACTCTTCTCCCTGGGACAGGAGGCACTGGGGTGGGTGGACAGGGGTGGCCTGGGGCACAGTAGCTGACGGGGGGACTTCCTAGTTTTCTGGGCCTTTCCAACTCTGAGTGTGACCTTCCTATTCTTGATCACAGCCCCCAACTTCGGAGCCTGCTAGAGCCTGCAGAATGTGGCTTCATCCTCTTCCTCTGTGGGAAAAGGCGGGGCCTGGCAGTCCCGCCAATCTTGTATATTTGCTCCCCACCTCGGTGGTGAATACATTCTTGGGTGGTGAATAGGTTCTCTCCTTGCCTTCACTCTAGAAAAGTCCCCTGTTTTGTGATGTAGGATGTGGTCAATGACTGACTCGTCCCTTTGGACCATAGACGCAGCTCTGATTTCTGGTGTTCCTGGGCTCTGCACACAGCAGGAGCCACTCTGGGCTCTGAGAGGTGCATCTTCTGGCTCACTTTCTTCTTGTTGGCTCTTCTCCCTGCGTCTTCTGCCACTGCCCTGTTCTGGGTGGGAGGCTGTCACACTGTGGTGGAGGGTCCCCTCTCCTGCCTCCCCTCTTTGATCCTTTTCTGTGAGGGTCTGCTGGGGTCCTGTGTGTCGTGCATTGTTGATAGATTCCTGTCGTGCTTGCTGTCCTCCCCATTCTAAGGGACCTCTGATTGCCTGTGAGCAGTTTACAGGGTCCTCTCCTGGCCCCTTCACCCGAGGAATTCCCGCAACGCATGAGTTTGTGAGGGGCGGATCCTGGGAGGATGTGACGTCAGGTGAGAAGGGAGGGCCCGTCCTAGTCCGGTGGGCTCCTCTAACAAAGTGCATTAGCCTGGGGAGTTACTGACGCTCGAAATATGTCGTCAAAGTTCTGAAGGCTGAGAAGTCCGAGATCAAGATGCCTGAGGATTCAGTGCCTGGTGAGGACCCATTCCTTAGGGCAGTGCCTCTAGCTGTGTCCTCATGTGGCCGAAGGGGACAAGGGAGGTTGCTGGAGCCTGTTTGATGAGAGCACTACCTTCCTTCAGGAGGGGATTATTCAGAAAGTCTGTCTGGTTTCAGGGCATTCCCAAAGGCCCCACCTGTTCATTCTACCCCATTGGTAGAATTCCCATTGGGAATTAGGCTTCAACATACAAATTTGGGAGACACTGACATTTAGGCCATAGCGCGTCAAAGGCAAAGTGAGGCTGAGTGTGGAAACCATCCCAGAATCTGGATGTGGCCCAGGCAGAAGGAAACTCAAAGTGATGGGGTGACCGATGGTCCCTGGTCTGTGCAGGACTCAGCGGTGCGGATGGCCCTGGGCACGGTGGCAGTGGCTGTTGGAGGATGATAGGGAACATGTTGGTGGGGGGAGGGTGGAGCCCACTATGAGTGGCAACTCCCTGGGGGCACAGGAAACAAAGCTAGAGGTGGCTCCCCTCTCCCCTCCCTGCACACAGTGTCACCTCTGTGGTGGCCCTGTCGTCCGCCTCAGTTCACAGGTGTTGCTGTAACAACTCCTGAAATTACCTTCAAAAGGAGGCTCGTGCAGGTGCCTGCAGGAGCCAGGAGGCCGAAGTGCATCCTGAGTGTCCGGGGACAGGCCAGCCTGGCGGGGTCCACGGCCCCACAGTCCCAACGACTGCCTCAGAAATGGGCAGAGAGCATGCCTGGTTCTAGCTGGCAAGGCCCACATCTCAGAGCTGTGGACAGTCATGAAGGGTCCGTGAGCATGGAGAGGGGGCAAAAATGACCCATGAACCTCAGGCCACTGTGCTGCCATCCAGCCAAGTGCGGTACCAGCCCTTCGGGCCTCGAGATCCTCTACCCTTCTCTGGGCCTTGCTGATTTCCTCCTCCAGCCCCTCTGTTTGTGTACGCACATACACACATGCACGCACGCACACGCACACCCAGTGCAATTTCTCTCTGCTCCCTGTACTCCCCAAAATTCAATGGGTTCCTCTTTCCTCCTCAGAGATATAGTCCTGGGCCCCATCTCAGCCTGCAGAGGCCTGAACGTTTCCCAGGATTGTCTTCTAATTCTCAGGTCCGGCTTTAAAACAAAACCTAAACTAAAACTAAAATGCTTTCTGCAAAGAATAATACACCAACATAAAGTCCGGGTATCCTAAGCATGTGGTGTGTATGGTGTCTGAAATTGAATATGCTGTGAAACTGCCTGTGTCGAAATGCAGTGTTTCCCAAGACCTGGAGGCTCTCTCCAGCTGCTGATTGTGATCACCTCTCCCGATCACCGCTGAGCCCTGCAGGTCACCTTCTCCTGACCTATTACACCACTGATTGCTTATGCTGGGCACAATTTTATACCCTTGCTGTTGTTCAGTCTAATCATCCCTATAACCCTATCGGATCATTCCCATATGACAGAGGAGAAAACCTGGGGACACAGGGGCTGTGTCCTGGCCAAGGCCTTGCTTGCAGCAAAAGGCAGAGCTGGGGTCTAGCCAGGAGCCCCAGCACAGTCCTGTTCTTCCCCCACTAAACTGAGCTGTGAAATAGATCATGGCGGTCTGGAAAACGAGCTAATTCCGTGCCGATGGAGGTGTTGATGGATGTCCACCACTCTCCACTTGGGAGGAGGCCTTAACATCCCCCTCAGGTCTAGCTTCTCTCTGTGACTGAGTACCTTGGGAAAGTGGGCTCAGAGGAGGAAAGGGACTTACTTGCCCAAGGGCCACAGCTGCCAAGTGGCAGGTAAGGGACCGTTATTCTCCTGTCCCTTTCACAGAGGACAGGAGGAAAGTGAGGACAGGTGGGGTACATGAGTTTAGCCTCTTTTCTGCAGCAGGCCCAGATCAGCTTTGCACACGGTTGGTGCTGACCTCAAATGCAGCCCTAGAGGGGCCTATCTCTGCCCTGAGTATTGAGGTGCAGGCTTCTTCCCCTTTGTTCTGTCCATTTCCAAAAATGTGAACACACACCTCCTACATGTTTATATTATTGTGTGCATAGATACTACCATTGTAACATTTTTTGCGGATTAAAAATGCACTATTGTATTGAAAATTTCAAAGGAAATGTGTAATAAAACATTTAAAATTAATATTTGTGTTTTTATTGTCAATGGATATAATCAAATTCTCTGTAAAATATTATGATTTAAAAAGTAATATGAGCCAGGCGTGGTGCCTCACACCTGTAATCCCAACACTTTGGGAGGTGGAGGCGTTTGGATCACCTGAGGTCAGGAGCTCAAGACCAGCCTGGTCAATGTGGTGAAACCCCCGTCTCTACTAAAAATACAAAAAAATTAGCCAGGCCTGATGGCAGGTTTCTGTAATCCCAACTACTCAGGCAGCTGAGGTAGGAGAAACGCTTGAACCCAGAAGGCAGAGGTTGTGGTGCGCCGAGATTGTGCCATTGCACTCTAGCCTAGGCAACAAGAGTGAAATTCCGTCTCCAAACACACATATACACACACACACATACAAACAAAAAATAAAAGGTAATATGGAGATTAATAATGTTTCCTTGACAGGAATGATGGCGAATGCTTCAGTTTTCCTCTAGGCATTTAATTTTTGAATTTCCGCCTTGGGTAAGATATTCTTGGAATAAAGTGTGTGCACACTGGAAAATGGGCTGATTTTTTCTAAAACTAATATGACTATACCCACACAAAAGTGATTTTATTTTGAATTTAAAAGATAAAACAAGAAGTATGTCCTGCTCTAGAGAACTGTGTCAGGTGCTTTCACCGGCTGTAAAGGCAGTTCCTTCCCTCCTTCACCTGAGGATCCTTCCTCGGCCTCCTCAAATCTGAGTCTGCATCATCAGAACCACCTGGGGGGCTCGTGGAAACACGGATCACATGGCCCTCCCCAAGGGTTTCTGAGCGAGCAGGTCTGATGGAGCTGAGTAGTTGCTTTTTCTTTTCTTTTCTTTTCTTTTTTTTTTTTTTTTGAGATAGAGTCTCGCTCTTGCTTTTGTCGCCAGGCTAGAAAGTGGTGCAATCTCGGCTCACTGCAACCTCTGCCTCCTGGGTTCAAGTGATTCTCCTGCCTCAGCCTCCCAAGTAGCTGGGATTACAGGCACCCGTCACCAGGCCCAGCTAATTTTTTTTTTTTTTGTATTTTTAGTAAAGACGGGGTATCACCATGTTGGCCAGTCTGGCCTCGAACTCCGGACCTCAGGTGATCTGCCTGCCTCAGCCTCCCAAAGTGGAGTAGTTGCATTTTAACCAATTCCAGGCAATGCTGATGCTGTAGGTGCTGTATCCACACATGTGAGCCGCTCGCCCACTTCGTAGAACTGGAAAGCCAGGTGGGGCACCATGGTTCATGCCTGTAATCCCAGCACTTTGGGAGGCTGAGGCAGGAAGATCCCTTTAGACCAGGAGTTCAACACTAGCCTGGGCAACATAGCAAGACCTCATTTCTACACAATAATTTTTAAAATTAGGCAGGTATGGTGGCGTGTGCCTGTCTAGCTATTCAGGAAGGAGGCTGAGGTGGGAGGATCACTTGAGACCAGGAGGTCAAGGCTACGACGAGCTATGATTGTGCCACTACACTCCAGCCTGAAGGACAGAACAAGACCATTAAAAAAAGCAAAAGCTAAAGGCATAATTTTCTTGGGGTTCCTCATCTCATGTGTTCCTTTTAAGACCTGGAAGAAGGAAGCATCTTACGTAGGAGATGTTTGCCAAGAACAGTTTGTTGTTGTTTACTCACTGCACAGTGGCACAGATAAGATGGCCTTTTTTCTACTTACAGAAGCTGTATGTAGAGGCTATTTTAAGACAACAACAAACCCAGACGCTCCCCTATCAATTTAAAGACCATTTTTAAGGACTTTTAAGGAAAATAGTCAAAAGCTTTTTTTTTTCTAGAAGAGTTTCTGGTGCTCATGCAGGTGGTTGAGTGAGGTCAACATGCAACCATAGCAACAGTGATGGAGCAGAATATTGTGGACACAAAGTAAACCACAGTCCTGAAAGGCGATTTCGGAGTGAATGATATATAACGGTCCAATAATTTTGTGGGAAGTATAGATGCTTGGCAAAGGGAAAGATGTTGCAGGTCATAGTAGCTATACAGATGGTCCCCAATTTACCATGGTTCTACTTGATGATTTTTTTTTTTAGACACAGTCTTGCTCTATTGTTGAGGCTGGAGTGCAGTGGCACTATCTCAGCTCACTGCAACCTCTGCCTCCCGGGTTCGAGCGATTCTCATGCCTCAGCCTCCGGAGTAGCTGAGATTACAGGTATGCACCACGAAGCCCCGCTAATTTTTTTCTTTCTTTTTTTTTTTTTTTTTTTTTTAGTAGACATGGGGTTTCACAATGTTGGTCAGGCTGGTCTGGAACTCCTGACTTCAGATGATCCACCTGTCTCAGCCTCCCAAAGTGTTGGGATTACAGGCGTGAGCCACCATGCCCAGCCGACTTACCATTTTTGGGGTTTATGATGGTGCGAAAGCAGTATGCGTTCAGTAGAAACCTTACTTCAAGAGCCCATACGACATTTTGCTTTCATTTTTGGTGCAGTCTTCAATAAGTTACATGAGATATTCAACAGTTTATTATAAAATAGGCTTGTGTCTGATTATGTTAGACCACTGTGGGCTAATGTAAGTGTTCTGAGCATGTTTAGAGTAGGCAAGGCTGAGCCATGGTGTTCAGTAGGTGAGGTGGATTAAATGCATTTTTGACTTACAATATTTTCAACATGGTGGATTTATCAGGATGTAACCCTGTTGTAAGCCGAGGCACACCTGTACTAAAAGACACTGAATTGTCCACTTTAAAAGGATGAATTGTATGGCGTGGTATTGTTAGGGAAACAGAAGAATAGGAGAGCCAGGGTAACACCACTTTAAAATCAATTCCATCTTATTGCTTCTTGGCCTTTTGTCTAAGATCAAGTGTAAAATCAGCTCCATCTTCAAACTAGCAAGGCATGTTCCTTGCCAGTCACCACCCATGGTCTTAAGATGTTTATGGCTGAGTAAACAGCTTAATAACACCAGCAAGAATAAACTTCTAGGACAGCAGAATGTCCAGTTCTCCCAATATCACATAACAGTATATGCTTTTCAGATGATTACAGACATGCTTTGATGTACTTAGGCACCAAAATGCCAAAGATAGTTTTCTTTAAATCAGAAAAATAATAAATTATGTCACGCTGTTAGCCCACCCACACATAGACATAGCTTAGCTTTTATATAGATAAGACCCCTATATAAGAAAAGCCGGCCAGGCGTGGTGGCTCATGCCTGTAATCCCAACACTTTGGGAGGCCGAGGCTGGAGGATCACTTGAGGTCAGGAGTTCGAGACCAGCCTGGCCAATATGGTGAAACCCCATCTGTGCTCAAAATACAAAAATTAGCCAGGCATGGTAGCACGCACCTGTAATCCCAGCCACTAGGGAGGCTGAGGCAAGAGAATCACTGGAACCTGGGAGGCAGAGGTTGCAGTGAGCCGAGATCAAGCCACTGGACTCTAGCCTGGGTGACAGAGTGAGACTGTCTCTCTCTCTCTCTCTCTCTCTCTCACACACACACACACACACACACACACACACACACACACACAAATGGTCATCAACAGAGGCCATGACTGTGCCAGCTATGGGGCAGGAGATACTTTTAAATAATTTGCTGGCTTAACCAAATGTTGATACTTAGCCCCATGGATGCCTAAGGGAATACTTAGTTAAATATGAAGGACAATACAAACTTGCAGATGTCATATAGTTTTTTTGTTTTTGTTTATTTTTGTTGTTGTTGTTTTTGAGATAGAGTCTTGCTCTGTCACCAGGCTGGAGTGCAATGGCGCGATCTCAGCTCACTGCAACTTCCGCCTTCCAGGTTCAAGTGATTCTCCTGCCTCAGCCTCCCAAGTAGCTGGGACTACAGGAGTGCGCCACCACACCCAGCTAATTTTTGTATTTTTAGTAGAGACGGGGTTTCACCATGTTGGCCAGAATGGTCTTGATCTCTTGACCTCAGGTGATCTACCCGCCTCAGCCTCCCAAAGTGCTGGGATTACAGGTGTGAGCCACTGCGCCCAGCCTGAAGAATGTTTTAATTTAAATTCTGTTTAAATAGAAATTTAAAATTCAATGATTCAAAAATTCAGATGAATTTAAAGAATTTGTCTCTATGCAATGGATAACATACCATTTTTTTTCTTTTTATTCAAACTCATTTTCCAACCCATAACCAGTCACTGAAATTTCAGGTATCCTAGGCGAACTTTTCCCTATGATTCATTTTCATTTACTTTTCATTGATTTTATTTTACAGACTTGTGAGTATTAAATAAATAGCTCTCACTGAGAGCTATTAAATGACAGAAGATGTTTAAGTATTATAACATTTAGTTGTTACAGTAAACTCATTAATATTATGTACTTGTCCTATTTGGGCTAAGTAGAAATGTTTGCATAAATTTCTATACAAGGCCAGCTTGCACCACATTGACTACACAAAGCAAATCGTAGGTGTATGACTGTCGCATTGCTGAATACATTCAGATAATCAGAGGCTCCTTGCATAACTTGTAGCCCAAGCATCGCCAGGATGGCCATGGGAATTGTCATCTGACACCTGATGTCACGTCCTGGGAAACACATTCAGACCCTTTGGATGCACAGAGGCAGTGGGGCATCAAGGGTGTGAGTCTTTTCTTTCTGTGACCCAGGTGAGTAACTTGCTTCCCCTTATGTGCCCTGCTAGTGGACCCGGCTCATAACAGCTCCAGACCCTGATGCTACTGGTGGAGGCCAAATTAAAGCATAAGGGAGTGGTTATTCAGGAGGGATATTTCCAAGCTATAGAAGCTAACCAATTGCTTTCCTCTGCTCCAGATATATTTCTTCCTAAAGAACCAGGACTCTGTGGGTGATCAACAGTTACAATACTGATTAGACACTTAGGAATTTTTATTCAGTCTTTTCCTAACCCTGCAGGGACCTTCCTATTTCTTCCCATAATTGCCACGTCTTTTTTTTCACTCCAGGAATTCTCCTGTCAGAATTCATCTCAGTTTCCCATGCTCTCTTGGCCTTTGTAAACTGGCTGGCAGGAAGTCTGGGATCCCAGGATCCTGTCTGTTAATAACAGCAAATTTAGACGGGTGTGGCGGCTCACACTTGTAATCCCAGCACTTTGGGAGGCTGAGGCAGGTGGATCACTTGAGGCCAGGAGTTCGAGACCAACTCCTGGCTAACATGGGGAAAATTTTTGTATTTTCTCTACTAAAAATATAAAAATCACCTGAGCCTGGTGGTGCATGCCTGTAATCCCAGCTGCTTGGGAGGCTGAGGCACGAGAATTGCTTCAACCTGGGAGGCAGAAGTAATAGTGATCTGAGATTGCACTCTAGCCTGGGCGACAGAGCAAGACTCTGTCTCTAAATAAATAATAAACAAAATTAAGAAGAGATAGGGTTGGTAAAGAGGAGCCAGTAAAGGACATGGAAACAGGCAGGCCACCAAAGGTGGTTGTAGTGGCAACTCCTGCTTTTCTTCCAAGTCATAGACCTGCCTCCCTTGGATTGGGGAGATGCCTCCTGTTTTTTTCCTGTAATCTCAACTCCATTTGTTTATGGCACTGTAAAAATATATGTCCCTTTTTCTAACCTCTTGGGATTCCCTGAGGACAGGGACTGTGCCTGAGCATTTTTGTGTCCCAAGCACCTAGCATCTACGAGTGGACAGGCATTTTCTGGGCTCAGGGCCTCTTCCTGCTCTTTCATCCTTAAGCATTATTTGCTGGCCCACTTAAAGAGGAACCATCAGACTGAAGTGGCTGTAATGCCTTGGGTTCCCACAGAAGCAAACCAAAACCTAAGTCAAATGCATTTCTTATAAATGACTGACTGAGAGGAAATGAAATTTAAGCTTCACCAATCCAAAACCTCCAGCTAACCTCCAATTACATAACTAGGGGACTTTTATCTGGGTAATCCAAATAAGGCAACAACATAATTGTAAACAATCAATTATTTTCCATGCTTTGCTTCCTCATTCACCTTATAAAAGCCTTTCCTTCAAGCCTCTCAAATGAAGCTCCAGTCCACGGTTGGGTGCTGCCCAATCCATGGATTTTCGTTTGCTCAAATAAACTCTTTGAATTGTTAATCGTGCCTCAGTTTAATTTCTAACACAGTCAACCTTCTTCAGTCCTTCAGTGAGGTAGAAGATATGGAAGAAAAAGTCCAAGGAAGAATTACCTAGGATCAACACAGAAAGTAAAAGGAAATGAGAATGTGCAGAAGAACAGTTAGTTTCCTTTGAAGTATTAAGGGAGCTTCCTTAATCCTACCTGGACAGTGAAGATCTCTGAGGCCATTGGTGAAAACATCTTCAGACCACCCTAATATCTTTTTTTAAATTTTTTATTTTTTTATTTTTTGAGATGGAGTCTCACTCTGTCTCCAAGCTGGAGTGCAGTGGCACGATCTCACTGCAACCTCCCCCTCCCGGGTTCAAGCAATTCTCCTGCCTCAGCCTCCCAAGTAGCTGGGACTACAGGCACATGCCACCACACCCAGCTAATTTTTGTATTTTTAGCAGAGACGGGGTTTCACCATGTTGGCCAGGATGGTCTTGATCTCTTGCCCTCATGATCTGCCCGCCTCGGCCTCCCAAAGTGCTGGGATTACAGGCACGAGCCACTGCGCCTGGCCCCCACATCCTTTTTATTTAAAAAATTGTTTTTGAGACAGTGTCTCGCTCTGTTGCCCAGGCTGGAGTGCAGTGATACAATCACGGCTCACTGCAGCCTCAACCTCCAGGCTCAAGCAATCCTCCCACCTCAGCCTCCTGAGTAGCTGGGACGACAGGCACACTCTACCATGTCCACCTAATTTTATATTTTGTAGATACAGGATCTCACTATGTTGCCCAGGCTGGTCACAAACTCCTGGGCTCAAGCAATCCTCCCACCTCAGCCTCCCAAAATGCTGGGGTTACAGGTGTGAGCCACCATACTTGTCCCTCACCTCCATATAGTGCGACATGTCATTTTCCTAATACAGACTCTCATTATTCTCTCATTTTTTCAAAAGAGAAACTGTGTTTCCACTATGTCTTCATTTTTCTTATCCCCAGATCTTCCTCCATACATAACTTTTTTCTTTTTAAATTCAGACATGCACAAATATTTCTGTTGTATCAATTAGGAATAAGTATGAATGCTCACAACAGAAAACCCAATTTATAGTGACTTAGGTTTTATTTTTCTTAGGTAACAAGGAGAATAGAAGCAGGCAGTCTAGGACTGGAGTGATGGCTCCGCTGTGCCACCAAAAGTTCTGCTTCCTTCTGTGTCTGCCTGCCCAGCCTGACCTTGTGGCTTGTGTCCTCATGCTCATCACCTTCTGGTTACAAGACACCCATGACCTATAGCATATGATCCCACTTCCAGCCTGAAAAGAAAGAAAAGGCAAAGGGCAAAAATCTTGCTCTAGTTGAGTTTGCCTCCTTGTAAATAACTTTCCTAGAAGCCCCACCCAACAACTTACGTTTACATCTCATTGGCCAGAACTGTGTCATGTGGCCAGTTTGGGTGCAGGGGAGGCTGAGAAGATTTAAGTTGGGCACATTGCTATCCTTAACAAAATCAGGGTCTGTCCGCAGGGAAGAGGAAAGAGTAGATATTGGGTGGACAATCAGCGGTATCTGCCATAACTGTCCGAAAAACAAAATTTGGGTAGGTATTAGATTGGCATAACCTTCCTGGAAAATATTTTGGAATTATGAATCAAGGGCCTTAAAAATAGCTCCACTCTCACCTAGTAATTGCATTTCTAGAAGTCTGTCCTAAGAAAAGAGTCAGAAGTACAGATCAAGAATTCTGTGCATAATTTTTGTCTTTAAATTTTAATTATAATAAATTCTAACTTTTTGAAGAGGTCATACATTTACATGCTTCAGAATTAAAAAGGGACAAAAGACTTCAAAGAATAATCTCCCGCCTACACCTGTCTTCCCCCCATTTAGTTTCCCTTTTCTGGAAGTAACCAGTGTTATCAGTTGCTTATGTATATTTCTGAAAGTACTCTTTACATATACAGCAAACACTTGGGTGTGTGTTTATGAGATACACACGCATTCTTTCTTTTTTCATACAAATGGTAACATGCTATTCATATGACTGTGTGTCTTGGTTTTTTTCACTTAACGAGATATTTTGGAGTTAATTTCATATAAGAGTTTCCTTGTACTTATGAAAATATGGACCATAATTTATTTAATCAGATCCTTATAATCAAACATTTAGATTGTTTGTAACAGCAAAATTACAGTATAGTGTATAATCCTGTATATAATGCCATTTTGTAAATGTGCTAGTTTTATCCACAGGATAAATTCCTAGTAGCAGGATTGTTGGGCTACAGGACATGTGCATTCACAGCATTGTTTATAACAGGGAAAGATGGAAAGTAAATTAAATTGTCCTACTTAAGGGAGCAAATTATATACATTATATTACATTTCTATGGTGCAGTATTACACAGCCCGGGAAGATGCTAATGAACTATGTTAGAGAATTGTGATGTACATACACATACAGACACTGGTGCATACATATCCATAAAGTTCTGACTATAACTGAAAGAACATATCACTGTTCATTGTGGTTTATTTGGTAACAACTGTAGGATTATGAAGGGATGACAATCCCAAATTTTATCCCATACTGGAATGTTATTAAAATAATAAAGGAGTTTGCGGATTAGCCAAGTACATTGTCTTCTCAGGTGTCTAGATTCAATATTATCCCCCTCTACTTTCAAGACTAGAATGTGCAAGTCTTCAGAGAAAAGAAGGATGCTTCTTGGGCATTCCAGGTATTTCCTAAGCTTGAGCAATTCACCTCTTTTATGTCTACTTTGCATTTATACTTACAAACAGGAACAGGCAGGTCACAGAAAAAACTTAACGTTCAAGCTCAATAATAAAGAAACACCGGCCAGGCGTGGTGGCTCACGCCTGTAATCTCAGCACTTTGGAAGGCCACGGCAGGCGGATCGTTTGAGACCAGGAGTTCAAGACTAGTCTGGCCAACATGGTGAAACCCCGTCTCTACCAAAAAATACAAAAATTAGCCAGGCGTGGTGCACACGCCTGTAGTCCCAGCTACTTGGGAGGCTGGGACACAAAAATCGCTTGAACCCAGGAGGAGGAGGTTGCAGTGAGCCAAGATCATGCCACTTCATGCCAGCCTGGGCAACAGAGAGCAACTCTGCCTAAAAAAAGAATAAAAAGAAAAAAAAAGAAATACAAATTAAAGGAATGAGATTCATTCACCTATCATATTGGCAAAATAAGTTATGGTATATCCATATAATAAGATTTGGATATGCAATACAAGGCAGGTCTTTTAAAGATAACTTAATCACTATTAATGAACTTGGAAAGGCAACCACAGTGTGTTAAATGAAGAGAGCAAAAATTCTAGTTCAATAAGTATGGTATGTTCCCATTTTCTATAAATACATTTTGTCTTTGTGGCTATAAAGAAAAGATTCCTGAAAACCATATACCGGACTGTTAATAGTCGTTTCCTCTAGGGAATGGGATGAAGGGGTGATATTCTAAACTTTTTACTTTTCTTTTGCATTACTTGATTTTTTTTTTACAGTTTTACAGTAAGCATGTATTACTTTTGAATTAAAAACAAAAACATAAAACCTTATTTCTGATTAGGTTGTTTTCTAATCTATGCCTGGAATATGTTCCCTTCTTAAAATGCTTTTTGCACATTGCCATAACTGTTTACTTGTTTAACTTTCCAGCCTGACTGTAATCATCCTGAGGGGATGCTGTCTATTTGGTCTCTGCTGATTCCCTAACACCTGGCACTGATCCTGACATTAATGGGTGCCAGTTAATATTTGCTGAATAAACACATTCTCTCCTTAATATTTCTGGGCTCTCCCCTGTTCTATCTGTACTCTCTGTTGTAGGGTATAAAAGGTAGTCAATCAGTAGCATCCCCTTCCTAGCCCCAGTTATCAACAAGCTGAGAAGTAACACAAAGACAGGTGGCATAAAAAAAAGAGTAAGTTAAGTTGGAGGATATAGCAGAATATAAGAACCAAATCAGCCAACTGCCTGCAGCCTGGAATTAGACAGACTTCCCACCATCAGAGGCAGCCGTGGACCAGGGTAAGACTCCTATGTAGAAGGCCTGCCTGGACCGACTGCACAGAGGAGCAGCAGAGGACCCAGGTCACCGGGGCCGTTGAGAACAGCTTGATTCTAAGAGGGGAAAGGGAGGAGCTGAGTTGAGTTTCTTATTCTCCAAATTGTATCAAGTTACTCCTCCCTGGGGAAGAACAAAAGGGTGGAGACAGGGCATGCAAATCATAGTTTACCCTGGAAGGAAATTTCAGAAATGGGGAAGAGTTGTCCCTCTACCAACTCCAACTGCCATTTGTTCATAGTTTGTGCCTTATTTCTTATCCAGGACTGGTTTCTGACTGATCTCTCTCCATTCAGTCTTCAATCCATTTATCCATTCAGATCTCTTTCTTTCTTTCTTTCCTTTTCTTTCTTTCTTTCTTTTTTCTTTCTTCTTTTTCTTTTTCTTTCTTTTCTCTTTTTCTTTTTTTCTTCCTTCTTTCTTTTTTTCTTTCTTCTTTCTTTCTTTTCTTCTTTCCTTCTTTCTTTCTTTCCTTCTTCAGATCACCTGAGCCCAGGAGTTCGAGACCAGCCTGAGCAACATGGCAAAACCCCATTTCTATAAAAAATTAGCTGTGCCTGGGGGCACACACCTGTAATCCCAGCTACTTGGGAGGCTGAGGCACAAGAATCGTTTGAGCCTGGGAGGCGGAGTTTGCAGTAAGCCAAGATTAAGCCACTGCATTCCAGCCTGGGTGACAGGAAAGGTGAAGGGTTGTCCAAGACTCCAGAGTGAACAGGGCTCCGGGCCACAGTTGGCCCTTAGATTGCCTTTCTGTAACCTAAAAATAGGTGCTTTCTCAGGACACACTCAGCTTGTGTGGGTGGCACACCTGAGCACCGCCTTACACAGGGGCTAAGGATCTGACATAAGTGAGATCAGCTGCCTTACAAACAAGAGAGCCTGTTCTCCTTCAGCTGATGCTTGTCATGCCTTGAAGAGCAGTATCCAACCTCAAAGATCAACCAGACCCTCTCCAAAGCTTGACCTTCCTGTCTTACAGAGATACTCAGGGACTAATTCTGCCCTTTATTGTTTTTTGTCTCTTTAAGGATTTTCTTTTCTAACCTTAAAAATGGGAAATTCAATAACCTAAATCTGTTACATTGTTTAGTAGCTTTCACTTTTTCATTTTAATTTGTCATTCTGACAGTGGTGTGAACAACGTAGAAAATCATACTAGGAGTCAGTAAACTTTGTTTTCCACATTTGCCAAAATCATCCCTTGGGTCATGTTTTTTTAAGACTACAAGAAAAGGGTTCAGTATCAGGAATTAGAGAACTCTTCTTGCTGACCTGCCTATAAAGGATTTGATCGTGGAAGCCTGTCCGTATTACTGATTCAGTAGCTCCTCTGAATCTATTTACTCACAACCTTTATTAAGTCCCTCATGTGTGTCAGATGCCACGTTAGTAACTGGGGACACATGGCCTGACCTTAGGGAGGTCTATAATTTAGCACAGAAAGGTGTAGAAACAAGTGCCATAAAGGATTATAGATGCTGTGGTGGTGTGAAGTGTGTGTGTTTAAGGTGTGGGGCAGAGGAGACAGTGGTCAATTCTAATGAGGATAAGGAATTTCTGGAAGTTCTTCATAGAGGATATGATGCTTAAGCTTTGCCTGGCACAGGCATTGGGGAAAGAGCAGACATTGAAGCCAATATTCTTTTTCCAACCTTGAAGCCCAGAATCTTCTAGCTGTGTAACACTGGGCTGGGGAACCTTTGAGCCTGCTTCCAGATCTGTAACATTAGAATAATAATAGTAATCTCATACTGTGGGGGTGAAGCTTACGTTGGTTAGCTCTGAAAGTGCATCATCAGCATGAAACTGCCATTTCTGGAAGCAATCACTTTCTGGTTCTTATAAAAGAGCCCATTGTAAGGGGCAAATGAGGAAGATTCACACTGGCTGCCTCAGACAGGGATCTCCACATGGAAACATTAAAGAACAGACAGTTTCTGGTGGAGTGGGTGAGTAGGGGAAAGGATATTCAAATCCAAACTACCTGTGCTTGAAAGACCTCTAGTTAAAAGTGTCTGAAAAGCCAGTGTCCTTGAGCTGTCCTTGGTACTGATCTCGCCAAGGCTTAACTCTTGTTATCTTGGGAAAGCCTGCTTGGCTCTCTGCCGTGTCACTTTGCAGGGTCTGAACTGTTGCCTCCATCCAGCAATAACATGATGGATTTTACCATATTCTCCAGCCGCCTGAGAGGAGTGCTGGGCTCCCATTCTAAACTTCTGCTGTGGAAACTCACATCACTCCCACAAATGCATAGGAAATGTTTAGTTCTTGCTAGAGCAGTGGTTCTCAACCAGGGCCAATTTTGTCCCCCAGGGAACACTTGGCAATGTCTGGAGATATTTTTAGTTGTCACAATTCAGAGGTGGGGGCATTTGCTTGTGGCCCCCAGAAGCTAGAGGCCAGGGATGCTGCTAAACGTTCTGCAACACACAGGACAGTTCCCCACAGCAAAGAATTATCTGGCCAATCTGGACCAAAACATCAGTAGTACAAACACAGAAACCATGCTTTAGAGTTGAGGCAGTTGGTGTGGTAATTAGAACTTTGCTGGACATAAGTCTGGCTTAATGATCTGGATTTACCATTGTAACCTTGGCTAAGTCATAAGTCACTGAACTGTTCCAAGCCTTATTTTCTTTCTTTCTTTCTTTTTTTTTTTTTTTTTTTTTTGAGACAGAGTCTCACTCTGTCACCCAGGTTGGAGTGCAGTGGCACAATCTTGGCTCACTGCAGCCTCCACCTCCTGGGTTCAAGCAATTCTCCTGCCTCAGCATCCTGAGTAGCTGGGACTACTAAGCCTTATTTTCTATGTGTGAATGTTTAGGCTCCTGAACTAGATGGCCTCAATGCCACCTGTCTGTTCTAACTCAACATATCTTCAGTCCATAAATACTTGGTGAGTAGCATGCTCCTAGCAACTAACATTCTGTGAGACTATTAATATAAAATATAATGGAATGTATAAAATAAAGGAACAGAATGGGTAAAAGTTGTAAGAGCTGATATGATAAAAGGTGACTACTCGGTCAGGCATGGTGGCTCATGCCTGCAATCCCAGCACTTTGGGAGGCCGAGGCAGGTGGATCACCTGAGGCTAGGAGTTCGAGACCAGCCTGACCAACATGGAGAAACCCTGTCTCTACTAAAAATACAAAATTAGCGCTATTGCACTCCAGCCTGGGCAACAAGAGTGAAACTTCATCTCAAAAAAAAATAAAAGGTTACTACTTAAATATATACCAAATTTATATATAATATGCATGCTAGACAAAACACAGACTATAGATCTTCAAGTGGCGAGAAGAATGACACCTTTACTAGCAGTTAAAGAAATATAAAATATGCCACTTTTCCTAATCTTCGGAAAGAAGCAACTCAGTGGCATTGGGACTGTGAGGAAACAGATGCACTTAGATATTCTTCTGTCTCTGAACAAACACAATCTGGCACTATGAAACAGTAGCAACAAATGTGGTTCTTCAGCTCAATCAAATTATTCCGTTACAAAAAGTGTACCTGAAATTCATTGTTACATCTATAAAATTCATAGGAACCTAATATTTTAAAGTAAACACATACTAGATTACCCCCAACACACACACACACACACACACACTTTATCCACTAAACAGTGGATAACAGACACACACACACACACACTTTATCCACTAAACAGTGGATAACAGACACACACACACACACTTTATCCACTAAACAGTGGATAACAGACACACATACACACTTTATCCGCTACACAGTGGATAACAGACACACACACACACACTGTATCCACTAAACAGTGGATAACAGGCACACACACACACACTTTATCCATAAAACAGTGGATAAAGTCACTGGATTTAAAGAGTTAATTTTCAGAATTAGGAATAATCCTTTGTATTATGTCTTCCTCTTAAATATCTTAAATACCAGCTTTAGAGTTCATGGGGGCCAGGGAGGCACACAGGTTCCAGAAGGAAAGGAGCCATCCTGGATTGTGGGCCCACCCTTCAGGAGAGGAAGGTGAGAAGCTCCTGGTGCAACTTTCCATGTGGAGATCCCTGTCTGAGGCAGCCAGTGTGGGTCTTCCTCATTTTCCCCTCACAAGAGGCTCTTTTACAAGAAGAACCAGATAGAGGTTGCTTCCAGGAATGGCAGTTTCAGGTTGGTGATGCAGTTTAAATATAGAGACCTCTACCACGCTGGTTCCAAGTGACTTGACAAGGACATGCCAACCTAGCTGTGCCAAGGAGAGAGAACACATCTTAGGATGCCATCTTTTCATGACCCTCCATTGCACCTCCCCTGAGTGTGAGGAAACAGACATCTTTATTCTGCCTACAGGTCAGGGATGAAGAAGTAGCTTCCACCACCACCACCACATGCAGGAAAAGCTCCAACTAAAGGAGTGAATCTAGGAAGTATTCTTCTGCTCCCTAAAGTCTCACTTGAGCCTACAGCATTTTCAGAAGACTCTTCAAAAGAGAATTCAAAGACTGTCAGATGTAAGCAGTGACTGAAACAAAGGCAATGAGATGAGAGGTGGAAAGGAGACCAAATGTAAAAGACAGCAGAAACTTGAGTGGACGGTGGCACAAAGCAAGACCAAAGGGCAGCAGCTGTCCCCACCCTGGGCACAAAAGGTTGGTTGCATGTACATATGGTACTGGATCAATACTGCATACTGCAAACACTGCAGGTATGGGCATGTGTGCACATGGTCAATTGCATTTGCATGTATACATATGCATTAAGATATCTTTATGAACACAAATGCATATGTGTATTAAATGCATGTGTGTATATGAACATGTGGACAAAAGTATGCAAATGTCCATACCTGCAGTGTCACATACTGAATGTTATATGGAGAACATTTTGGTAATTTTAGGCGTCCTAGCATCCAGGGAACAATGTGCTCCTCAAAGCAAACCCATTGGTGTGTGAGGGGAACCCTGTTCATATCTTTGGTCATAAGCCAACTGGCTGTTGGTTGGATGACACCTAAGAAATCCTCAGAGGAGTTGTTCCCTGATTGATGTGGAGAGGGAGATGGCTGCCTGGGGTGGAGGCCATCACTGCCTCTATTAATCCAGGGACCAGCAGCATCAGTGCCCAGCAGACTAGGCAGGGCACTCAGCACACACAATTATCAGGCCCCTAGGTTGTGCCAGAGTGTTACGAGCTACAGTGGTGGTCTTTCCCTTTTGTAAGACCTCCATGACTTTGCTCCAGTAGTTTTCCTTCCTGGAATGTCTGCTCAATGTTTGGGGCCTAGCTCCAGTGACACTGCTGCATTCAGGAAGCCTTCTCTTGTCTCCACCTCCTCTTCTCCCAAGTTGAAATGTATCGCTACATTCCCAATGCACTGTTTCTATCTTGGCCCATTGTCATGTGAATACCTGCCTCTCATGTGTATGAGAAACATGATTTATCTATCTTTGCATTTGCACCATCTGGTGTAGTACCAAGCATTTAATATGTTTCAGTGTACTGTTGATCTGAAATGGCTCCTCAGTCTTGCCCCTGTATTTGGGGTATGATGAGTGCACACATCCTTCCTCTGATTAAGGCAAGTAACATTTAATCACTTCTGGGGTCTCATAGTGTAGCGAAAAATACAGAAATTTAAAACATCATTTTAATAAAGTGGTGACAGGGTACAGATGCAGAAGTTGCACATATTTGGGCCTCAGAGTGACAGTGCGGGCACGGTTGCTCACCATGCAGTCCTTTAGCTGGTGCCTGGGGTAGGGAATGGCCTGGCAACTGGGAAGGGACAGAGAAGCCCTGCCAGCCAGCAAGGCCAGGTGGCTTTCCCATGAGCTGCTGAAACCTACCCAGGGCGCGGGGCTTCATTCCTTTGCCAGGATGAAACACCCGGATAGGGACACAACCGTTCTCATGGAACCAGGCAGGTCGTTCGTGTTCCCCGCCCAGCTCCAGCATCCAGCCCAGTGCCTAAGGGAGGAAATGCCCTTCCTAGCCAAACCTGGTTTCAGCTTCCAACCATGATGGGAATTGTGTTCTCTGGCTTGGGAAATACATAATGGAGACAGACAATCTGGAGGTTTTGACCCCATCTGCCTCAGCCTGGCCAGAGGAACCAACATGAGGATGATCCACCTTCGGAGGATGCCCCTGTCTTTACCAGCAACCTTGTGACCTTGGGCCAGCCATTTCTCCTCTGAGTTTTCTCCTCAAGGCTGTGAATCCACAAAGACAGGGACTGTAAATGCTGCATTCACCACTGAATTCTAATCACGTACCTGTGCTGGCACATAGGTACGCTCAATAGATATTTTAAAAGTATGTGAATGTATCTCATCTGCTCTAGAATACTGTTTTAGAAATAAAGGACACTTTTACTCATAAAACTAAGTGGGTTCAGCTAAAATCATGATCTTATTTTGTCTTTTTTTCTCCACTGGGGATATTCTCGCACCCCAGAGGTTACTCACACATTCCTCAAATGACACGGAAAGTAGAGGAGTGGAGTGGAAGTTGAGATCGAGGGTCATTCTTCCAACTATTGGGCTTACTCAAGTAGTTTAGGGAAGACACCTCAGAGGGGTAGTTTGGTGGGAGGGGAAATTCTGTGGTCTGGGAGCCAGGAAACTTGTTCTGTTTCCAGGTGGCACCAGTAGCTGTGTAAGCTGTGACAGGCCCAGGCACTGGACACAGGCTCTGTGGCCCTTCTCACCCCTCCCTTCCCAGGTGCCCATCCAGACCATGCATATGAGGACATCTCTGTCTCAGGGACACAGGCAGCCCCTCTCCATGTGCATGGGAGATAGTTCTTAATATTAACAAAAAACTGCCACTGCCATGCTGGGCACTTCAGGCCGCAGCTCAGTGTTTCTTAACTCAGGAGTGTTCCAAACACCTCAGCAGCAAGACCCTATGGAGGCCAGTCCCTCCTTGGTATCTTTTATGTAAGAGAAGAGTTGGTTCAGCTTCACAATCAGGACAAGGAGGGCCAGCTGCAGCCCAGGGCGGGAGGACAAGCCCAGGTCTCAGAATTGGAGTTGAAAGATTGTTAGCAGGTGTCAGAAGATCTGGAAACTGGTCATTAGAAATTGTACAACCTAGAAAATCTGTTTAGCCTCTGTGGACTATCACTTTTGGGACAGTCAGTGAGACAATGCAGATGAAAAGTAGATTCCTAAACTGGGCACAGTAGTGCGTGCTGTAATCCCAGCTATTCAGGAGGCTGAGGCAGGAGGTTCATTTGAGCCCAGGAGCTCGAGACCAAGCTAGGCAACATAGCGACACCCTGTTTTTTTTTTTTTTTTTTAAAAAAAGCATGTTCTTTTACTAAACAGCTGTTGAAATTTAAATATTTACACCCTATCTTTCACAAAGCCCATTTTTCTGAGAAGAAAAAGGAAACTGGTAGAACTTCATTCTTCTTGGAAGAATTGTCAAGATGATCTTTGCACAACCCTCTGAGATCATTTCTCTCCTTTGCTCAGAGATATTTAATGCAGGAATTGCTGCTCTTTTCTTTTTTGTGAATCTGATTAAAATTATGGATCCTCTCGAGAGAGAGAAGTGCCCCTGCACTGACGCACATAAAGTTTTGCATATAACTTCTGTGGCTGTTTTACACCCGGAAGTCTATGAATCCAGGTTGCAAAAATCCAGAAAAGGAATGTTTGAACTCTGAAGCATCTCAGAAGCCAAGATTATGATCCTTGATTACACTGGCCAAGCCAGTCTAGACAGTGCCAGTAGCCTGCCCTGTCTCTCAACTTCTGGTTCATCTCCAGGGAATGTTCAGTTCAGACCTACCAAAGTTGACAGTCCAGGCAAAATCTGCCTTTGAATAGCAGTTCCCTCACCCTCGCTGCTCCTCGGACACTCTCAGCTGCCCTCAATGCATGGCACTGGTGTGGGAATAGGTACAATGGTGAAGCAGTCAGAGGCAGGTGGAGACCTTGTGGTGATGAAATCAGAGCTGGCTTCCAGCTCTGCTCTGCCACCAGTACTGCTTGGTCCTTGGCAGGTCAGGTCCCTTGATCCCAGGCCAGCGCTCCTCCCTCCCTCTGCTGTACCACTGACCTAGGCTCATCTGCAGAGCCACGCCTGGAAAGTCACACTTGAGGAAACAGGCTGCCTCCTAGGAGAGATCCCAGCTTGAATAAAGGCTCCCACTAAATCCAAGAACCTCAGAGAAGGGCAACAGTGCAGGTGTGGAGCTCACACTGTGCTTTCTTTCATAGAGCATAACAGATGTTCTGTACTGTCCCTAAAAAGGGACAGGAATGGAAAATGACCCTCCTCAGCCTTTCAAAAGTTTGGGGCCAAAGTATTGTCCCCACTGTGGTGTCCTGTTGGAGATTTAGATCTCACATTGGGTCAGTGTCTGGAGGGTAAGAAGCTTCAGCTGGACACAGTGGCCCACACCTGTAATACCAGCACTTTGGGAGGCCAAGGTAGGAGGATTGCTTGAGCCCAGGAGTTGGAAGTTACAGTGAGTTATGATCGCACCACTGTACTCCAGCCTGGGTGACAGAGGGAGACTCTGTCTCAAAAAAAAAAAAAAAAAAGAAGAAGAAGAAGCTTGGAAGTGTTCCTGATAGACCAGAATACCTGAAGTCAGTGAACCAGAGCTGCAGCCCCAGCTCTTCCTTTGCCCTCTAAGTGTCTTCAGGGAAGGCACTATCTTTTCTGGCATCAGTTTTCTCTACTATCAAATAGAAAGTATTTAACACAATGATCCCCAAGGTTTTCTCATATCAAAATGTCTCACAATCTCTGTTATTTATTCACTCCTTACCAAGCAAATGCCTCTAAGGCAGTGCCTGATTTCTGCTTATCACAGGTACCCTTCATTTTTTATGGGCTCAGGTCCCTTGGAGAGAAAACAGAGACATACACTTAGCATCTCAGCACAATTCCCTCCTTACCGGGCACTGTCACAATGGCACTTTGGGAAAGAGCAGCCAGGTTGTGATGGTTCTCTCATTTTACAGATGAGGAAAGCGTTTCAGAGAGGCTGTATGACTCACCCAGAGTCAAACATGGACTCACAGGATGTCAGTGTTAGAAAAGATGTCAGAGATTAAAAGAAGATAATCCTCACTGTCATTTTATTGATAAGGAAACAGGCCCAGGTAGTGACAACGGTGGCACCCTCAGATTCTAAGACTCCTAGTCCTGAGTTCTTCCCATAAAACTGCTTCCATTTCACCATTTGTAAACTGAGGCTAATCATACTGCCCAACTCATAGGGTAGTTGTGAGCCCTTAGCACTTACAGGTAAACACTCAATCAATAACAGCCATTATATGATGCTGCCTGCACTACCTCCTATATCCATTTAAGATTTATCCATGACATCTTTGGCTAGAACTACCCCAAACAGACTTTTCATAAAACATTCAACTTTTTGTCACCTGCAGTGGGGAACTGAGAATGGGTTGGGTAAATAAAGATGAGTGAGGACCGAGAGAGTTGAGGGCCTATTGTTTGGGGGTGGGAAGGTAGCTGTGCCATTGGGAAAGATTCTCCTACAGATGTAGAAGAATCCAGAGCCCAACAGTCCCCCGTTGCAGAGATGAACACAATGGAGAGGGACATCCGGGCCCAACTGGCAGCTCACAAAGAGTTATTGTCACTGTGTTTGACCTTGTTCAATGTCCCTGAAACAAGGGCAGCTGAGTTCTTGTGACAATCAGTGCCAGTCATCGGAGCACAAAACAAGCTCTGTGTGAGTTCCTGCCTCTCTTCACATGATGTTATCTCATTTTGCATGGCACTTTACAGTTTATCCAGGATGAGACTTAGGCAGACTTTATCTTACCTTGTCCCACAGAATCCCTGTGCAGGGGACAGAGAATATCTGTCATCATCTCACAAGATTTCATCTCCATTTTACAAGCTAGAAACTGAGATGCAGAGACTGTTGAATGACTTTATATAAGGTCACACAGGACACAGCTTAGCCAAGACCCAAACTATTGTTTTTGATTCCTTATTTAGTCCTGTCCGAGTCTTCTCTCCAAAGGACTATACTGATCAAGTGATTTTAGTGTCTTCCATTGCTCGACTCAAATGATAATTACTCTGAGAAGTTTTATACAGTTCTGTGTGAAGGTCATATTCTTTCTTTGTTCTGGTTTTCTGTGCCTACCCCAAGCTATCATGAAACTACAATAGAGCGCTGAATATACCGCCTCATGTGCTGGAATGGAGCCCTTCAACATAATTAAAGGATCACAAGCATTTGTGCTCCAGGAAATCTCCAGGCCCTATGGTGATGACTTGTCATTTTAAGTAATCACGTTTTTTAATAAAGCAGTATTTCTAAGAATTGCAAAGGACCTCTGAGTGTCAGAGAAAATAGACTGACACAGCAATTCCACTCCTAGGTATTTGCTGAATAAAAATGAAAGCATATATCCACAGAATCACTTGTACATGAGAGTTTATTGTTGCTGGAAACAACCCAAATATACATTGACAGGAAAAATATATCCACACAGTGGAACCCTACTTAGCAATAAAGAAGAACGAACCTCATAGCTCAGTCTAATCTCAGAGACACTGGGTTTACTGTTGCGGGAAGTCAGGAACCCCAAATGGAGGGACCAGCTGAAGCCATGGCAGAAGAACATAAATTGTGAAGATTTCATGGACATTTATTAGTTCCCCAAATTAATACTTTTATAATTTCTTATGCCTGTCTTTACTGCAATCTCTGAACATAAATTGTGAAGATTTCATGGACACTTATCACTTCCCCAATCAATACCCTTGTGATTTCCTATGCCTGTCTTTACTTTAATCTCTTAATCCCGTTATCTTCGTAAGCTGAGGAGGATGTATGTTGCCTCAGGACCCTGTGATGATTGTGTTAACTGCACAAATTGTTTGTAGAGCATGTGTGTTTGAACAATATGAAATCTGGGCACCTTGAAAAAAGAACAGGATAACAGCAATGTTCAGGTAACAAGAAAGATAACCTTAAACTCTGACTGCTGGTAAGCTGGGCAGAACAGAGACATATTTCTCTTCTTTCAAAAGCAAATGGGAGAAATATCGCTGAATTCTTTTTCTCAGCAGGGAACATTCCTGAGAAAGAGAATGTGTCCCTGAGGGTAGGCCTCTGAAATGGCCGCTTCGGAAGGCGGCTGTCTTTTATGGTTGAAGCTGTAGGGGTGAAATAAGCCCCAGTCTCCCATAGCGCTCCCAGGCTTATTAGGATGAGGAAATTCTCGCCTAATAAATTTTGGTCAGACTGGTTGTCTGCTCTCAAACCCTGCTCCTGATAAGATGTTATCAATGACAATACGTGCCCGAAATTTCATTGCGAATTTTAATTTCGCTCCGGTCCTGTGGTCCTGTGATCTCACCCTGCCTCCATTTGCCTTGTGATGTCTTATTACCTTGTGAAGCATGTTATCTCTGTGACCCACACCCTATTCGTACACTCCCTCCCCTTTTGAAAATCACTAATAAAAACTTGCTGGTTTTATGGTTCAGGGGGCATCACGGAACCTGCCGACATGTGATGTCTCCCCCATACACCCAGCTTTAAAATTTCTCTCTTTTGTACTCTGTCCCTTTATTTCTCAGACCGGCCGACACTTAGGGAATATAGAAAAGAACCTACGTGAAATATTGGGGGTGAATTTCACCCGATATCTGGCTGAATTTCCCCCAATAGTTTACCAAAAGAAGCCAAACACAAGTGAGTACATACTGTGTGATTCTATTTAGATGACCTTCCAGAACAGACAGAACTAAACTATAGTGATAAAAATCAGAATAATGGTTGTAGAGGGGAGGAGGGGTGGTGGGAATAATTGAATAGAAAGAGGCACAAGGTAATTTTCTAAGGTGATGGAAAAGTTTATATCTTGTTTAGGACGATAGTTTTATAGATGTGTACATTTATCAATGC
The DNA here is from genome assembly GCF_000001405.40 of Homo sapiens. Classification (NCBI taxonomy): domain Eukaryota; kingdom Metazoa; phylum Chordata; class Mammalia; order Primates; family Hominidae; genus Homo; species Homo sapiens. Next base: position 113,141,883 of record NC_000009.12, read on the forward strand.
TCACCAAAGTGTATGTTATAACTTGTTTAGTAAGTTAATTATACCTTATTAAATTATACCTCATTTTTAAAGGTCCAAATTGAGGGAAGAGCAAGAGTTACTTTAGGAAAATGTGTTTTCCTTACAACTCTATTCACTCTTACACTTTGTTCTGCATATGGTTCCATAGGTTAGTGATATATATTAGATACATATATATAAATATATATGTATTTAGTTTACATCTCCATTTTATAATGTACAAGATATTTTACAATATACAATATACAATACTTATACACAATTGTGTATAAATAAACTCATATATTTAGTTTACATCTCCATTTTACAAGCTGGAAACTGAGATGCAGAGATGGTTGAACAACTTTATTCAAGACAAGACAGTTTTGTTTTGTCTGTTCTGGAAGGTCATCTAGATAGAATCATACAGTATGTACTCAGTGTCTCTGAGATTAGACTGAGCTATGACGTTTGGTCTTTTTTGTTGCTGAGTAGGGTTCCACTGTGTAGATACAGTTTTCCTGTCAATGTGTATTTGGGTTGTTTCCAGCAACAATAAACTCTCATGTACAAGTGATTCTGTGAACATATGCTTTCATTTTATACAAATATATATCTAACTAATATATATCACTAACCTATGGAACCATATGCAGAACAACCCATAATATATATCTCTAACAAATATTATATATATATATATAATGTGGTCACTTTGAGGAAGACTTTCAGAATGATCCTTGGCTTTTTGATATTTAGTCAACCTAACATGTTTTTTCTTTTTCCTTTTTTCATTTTAGAGACTGGGTCTTTCTCTGGCACACAGGCTTCAGTGCAGTGATACAATCATAGCTCACTCCAACCTCTGTCTCCTGGGCTCAAGTGATCCTCCCACCTCAGCCTCCTGAATAGCTAGAGCTACAGCATGCACCACCATGCCTAGCTAATATTTTAGTTTTTTGTAGAGATGGGAGTGTCTCTCTATGTTGCCCAGGCTGGTCTTGAGCTCTGGCCTCAAGTTATTCTCCCACCTTGGCCTGACAAAGCACTGGGATTACAGGTGTGAGCCATCATGCCCATTCTGGAATAGCCCATAATGACATATAGGAAGTCAGGATCACTATGGTAAAAATGAGGAAAAAGCACCATAAGGATGTTCAGAAAAAGTATCCACAAGAGAGTGCAGTGTCCTACTGAGGGTGAGGGAAACTGAATCCTGAAATGGGATTCACAGGTGGGAGGCTGGGGGACAGGCAAATGCAGGGAACAGCTTCTTCCACTTAACAACATTTAATCCTCTTTTGAGCACCTTGATATACCTCCTAAGAAAGGTCCTGTTGCTCATCTCTAAGAAAGAGCCTCCAGAATCAGAGTGCTTGGGCTCTGCCCTTCACCAGCTGTGTGCCCTACTGCAAACTACTTGGCCTCTCTAAAAAGACAGGGATCATGATGGCACCTATGTCATTGGTTATTGTGCTGATAGATTAGAAAAAATAATCCACATGAAGTAGGTAGCATAGAATTAGATACACAGCAATTGTGCAATAACCGTTAGATAACAATTTTTGTTGTCCCTAATATACATGGAAAGCTCAAGCAGGCCCTGGAAATTCAGTGGAAAACTCTGTATTCCAGCAGCAGAGACAGACAAGTTGACAGTTCATTACAAGTATCATGTGCTAATGACACAGACAAATGAGATTTAGCGATTCGGTACTATAGGTTATGTTTATTCCTGCAGGGGCGCCCCAGAGGTGGAAAATGACTTTCCTGTCTTCAGCACAGTCTGGAGTCAGGTCTCCTGAGTCTCAGCCCAGGGGTACATCCACTACACTTTATCCCTTTGAAGGAAAAGGCTCTTTGAATTCTCTAGAGCTCTGTTTATCACTCTTTAGAAACAGCTATCTGTCAGTTACTGGAGAAACAGGTTAGATGACCTCTTTACATGGTCCTTATGCTCAACCTATTTATACAGAAGCAACTCTAGGCTGCTTTCTGGAAGCTGACAGCCCTACCTTCCCCTCTGCAAAGTAGGCAGGGGCCTTACAGATGGAGATAGTCTATAAAGGAGCTGTCTCCAGGCATGAAGAAATGGGAACAGACTATTCAAGAGCTGATATGAGAGTGGGAACCCAGACAGACTGGCTCCAGGTCTGGACAGACACATCCAGGCTCTGGCTGCAAGCAGTGCTGGTTCTGGAGTTTGCCAAATAAGGGATTAGGGATGTGGATTGCCATTAACCCTGCAGCTTTCACAACCCGGATTTGCCTCCTAGGGAATTTCTCATGGCCAGCAGTGAGCATCCACCCATTTCTCCTTCCCCTCCCCATTTTTTTCTTTCTTTTTTTCTTTTCTTTTTATAGAGATTAGGTCTCACCATGTTGCCCAGGCTGGTCTCGAACTCCTGGGCTCAAGCAATTCTCCTATCTCAGCCTCCCAAAGTGCTAGGATTACAGATGTGAGCCACTGCACCTGGCTTCTTCTTTCTTCCTTCTCCTTCTCCTTCTCCTTCTTCTTCTTCTTCTTTTTTTTTGAGATGTCTCAAAAGTCTGTCTCAGTCTGTCACCCAGGGGCTGGAGTGCAGTGGCATGATCTCGGCTTACTGCAACTTCCGCCTCCCGGGGTCAAGCAATTCTCTGCCTCAGCCTCCCGAGTAGCTGGGATTACAGGCGCCTGCCACCATGCCATGCTAATTTTTGTATTTTTAGTACAGGGTTTCACCATCTTGGCTAGGCTGGTCATGAACTCCCGACCTCATGATCCACCCGCCTCGGCCTCCCAACGTGCCGGGATTACAGGCATGAGCCATCGCGCCCGATCTGGCCTTTTCTTCTTTATTTGAAGTGCCACACTCTCAGACCCTCATGTTCACTCACACATCATTCCAGCACTTACCCACATTCTTAGCTCATACATCTGCTCATATAAACTGAGGCTTAGCACTCACTCTGACTCCCAGGCACAGAATCATAAATTCACCAAACACACATGCAGACACTCCCATGCAGTCACACACACACTCATTCACACATACTGTAACATCTGCATACACACTGTGCACACAATTCACATCCCCATACACACACAGGTGACCCCTCATCCACAATGCTTTGCTGACCAATCACTTATGATATCTCCACCAATCACTTATGATATCTCCAAAGGGGCCGTTTAAGCATGTTTGGGAGAGATGCCTGGACCACTGAGTTTTCCCCCAAAAAAGCCTCCCTGACCTGTCAACTACCAGGTGGTTTGTTCTCTGTCCTGCAAAACCCGGACCCCAAACAGTGCAAGGTGTTTGTTGAGTGAATGAAGTATCAACTGCTTATCATCCTATTCTTCAGATTTGCCTCTGAATCACCGTGGTAATAGTGTGACATGGATGTGTCAACAACTTACTGCCAAATTTACACACCTTCTTTGTTTGGCTAAATTAAATATTTCTCAATACTAACTGCTTTAAAAAGAAGAGCTTATATATGGGGAGTCTCAACCAAAAAGAAAAAGATAGAAATGGTACTAACTATCCAGCCCCTCTGCCCCAATCCCTAATTGGTGGCTGCAGAGTTGAGATCTGGGAATGTTGCCTCTTAGAATGGAGGTTGCTCAAAACAGACATGATACAAATGGATTCCTCCCAGGACACTGATTAGCTACTGGAGTCCCATCCTCCCCATCCAGAGAGAACAGAAGGGACAGGGCTGTGTCTCAAAGGTATTGTCCTGGTGGGTACACATAATACTAACCACCAGCCTCAGACTGTGACCAGAGCTAAGATTCATTCAAGTGCCTCCCTGACCCCTCCCCACCACCAGAAAAACACCTTTTGTTATCGGAGCAGAACCAGCTTCTCCCTAGCTGTCTCCCCCACGGCAATGTGTCAGAGACAGGTGGTTTACATCTGCTAGGCATTCTTCCTTCTCAGACTCAGGCACAGTGGGTGGGGAGTCTACCTACAGTGGCCTCAGCTATTGGTTGAACTATATATGAAATTGCCTTTTTTTTTTCAGGTTAAAAATGGTCAAATGTCAGCCATTTCATCTGGTCAAATGAATACTTTACCTTACTCCAAAAGATAAGTCAGAAGATTTTTCCAGTTGGGTCCTTCCTCCAGCACCAAATGATCATTTGGTTTGTGATACATTGGGAGTCAAAATATACATAGTAGATCAACATGGGGATATCAACAAGATGCTCCTGTTTGAACGGTTTTAGGGTTCCTGGGGGTGAAAATCCGTTTATTTCTTCAAGATGAGGAAAACCTGCTGTAGAGGAAATTTACTGTACACAAGCTGAAACCCGCTTTGCCAAATCTCTGTAAGATTAGGAAATGGCGTACAGTCGGGATCAGGTAGAGATTTTTGGGGATACGTTCAGAACTCTGAATGCAGCAGGAAGCCTACACAGGGACAGAGAGAGGGGGTCCATTCCTATCTTCTTTTCATGAGACTGAAAAGAAGTACAGGGCCAAGCTTCTAGATAAGCACTCACTTTTTTAAAACATTGTATTTATAGATCCACATTCACTGCAGCATTATTTACAATAGCCAAAAGGTGAAAGCAACCCAAGTGTCCATCAGTGGATGAATGAATTAGCAAAATATCATATATACTTACAAAGAAATGTTATTCAGCCTTAAAAAGGAAGAAAAGTCTGATACCTGCCACACTATGGACAAACTTTAAGGACATTATGTTAAGTGAAATAAGTCAGTCACAGAAGGACAAATACTATGTGATTCCACTTAAGAGGTATCGAGAGACATTCAAATCATAGAGATACAAAGTAGAATGGTGGTTGTCGGGGGCAGGGGGAGAAGGGAATAGGGAGTTGTTAAATGTTCATAGAATTTCAGTTTTACAAGATGAAAAGCATCTTGGATATGGGTTACATGATGTATAATTAATGAATATAATTAACAATACTGAACTGTACACTTAAAATAGTTGAGAGCAAATTTTATGTTGTGTGTGTGTTTGTTGTTGTTGTTTTGTTTTGTTTTGAGATGGAGTCTCACTCTGTTGCTCAGGCTGGAATGCAGTGATGTGATCTCTGCTCACTGCAGCCTCTGCCTCCCAGGTTCAAGCAATTCTTCTGCCTCAACTTCCCAAGTAGCTGGGATTACAGGCACCCATTACTACGCCCAGCTAATTTCTGTATTTTTAGTAGAGATGGGGTTTCACTATATTGGTCAGGCTGGTCTCAAACTCCTGACCTCAAGCGATCTGCCTGCCTCAGCCTCCCAAAGTGCTGGGATTACAGGCGTGAGCCAACATGTCTGGCCTATGTTATGTGTATTTTGCCGCAAGTTTGCTTAAAAAGTATTTGTAAATTTGCTGTCGTCAGCTGGATGGGACATGGATGGCTGTTTTTCAAACCTGTTTACCCTGCAAATGTGGGGCAGTCTGAGCATTGGCCTTCCAAGCTCAGTGCAGCATTGTTGGAGAAACCAGGGCCCCTCAGTCTTCCTGCAGGAGGCAGGCATGCAGGGCCTGGGAGTCCCGGGCAGCTGGAGTAGACAACCTTGCAGCAGCTGTGAAAGGAACCTGTCAAGACAACTGAGGTAAAGAGCCTATACCTGTGAATTCTCAGGGGTGTTTCCCTCCTCAGCCCTGGCTTCAACAGTGAAGGGATCCTCACAGCACTTACCTTCCCTGCAAAGCTAAAACAAACCATTGCTTTCTTCTCAGCTGTCCAGAGGCCTGCTGTTTGCTCTGGTTTGGCTCAAAGCCCTTCCAGACAGTCAGGAAAGTTATAAATGTGGATGACCCCTACAATTGGCTGGATAATGGCCCTAAAAATTATCCAGGTCCTGATGGTCGGAACCTGTGAATGTTATCTGGCAAAAGAGACTTTGCGCACGTGATTAAATTAAGGATCTTGAAATGGGGACATAACCCTGGATTATCTGATGGGTCCTAGATGTAATCATAAGGATCTTTAAAAGAGGGAGGCAGCCAGGCGTGGTGGCTCATATCTGTAATCCCAGCACTTTGGGAGGCCGAGGCGGGCAGATCACGAGGTCAGGAGATCGAGACCATCCTGGCTAACACGGTGAAACCCCATGCTACTAAAAAACAAAACAAAACAAAACAAAATACAAAAAACTAGCCAGGCGTGGTGGCAGGTGCCTGTAGTCCCAGCTACTCGGGAGGCTGAGGCAGAACGGCATGAACCCGGGAGGCGGAGCTTGCAGTGAGCCGAGATCATGCCACTGCACTCCAGCCTGGGAGACAGAGCGAGACTCTGTCTCAAAAATAAACAAAAAAATTTGTTAAAAATTAGCTGGGCATGCTGTAGTCCCAGCTACTCAGGAGGCTAAGCTAAGGCAGGAGGATCACTTGAGGCCAGGAGTCTAGACTGCAGTGAGCTATCATTGCAATAATGCACTTCAGCCTGAGTGACAGGGCAAGACCCTGTCTCTAAAATAAATAAATAAATTGGGTGGTCAGAGTGGCCTCACTAAGAGAGTGACATTTGGGAAAAAAGAAAAAGAACAAAATGCAGTGAGAAAACATACATATTAAAAACCCATTGGTAGTTCCTTCTTGTCCCAGAGTAAATTCCTGACTTTCAACACAGCCTCCGGGTTGTTGGCGGCCTGGCTCCTGCTTCCTCCAGCCTTACCAGCACAAGATCCAGTAAACACTAGCCCCCACGACACGCACACCCACTGTCTCCACACAGGCCAACCTTGAATGTGCACGCTCCTCCTGTGTCACACACATCAGATCCACAATACTGCTCATGGCATAAATATAAAATAATAGAGGTATCGTTGGAGAGAAGATGGAAGGCTAGTTGATGGAGTTAACAGGGAAAATATGCAAAGGTCCTGGCCATAACATGTTCAACTCCACCCTCAGGCTCACTTATAACTGCAGATCAGCACGTGGAGGGCAGTTGCAGGTCATCCATTCCACCCCTCACTGTACGGATGGGGACATCGAGGTCCCAGAGACGGGCAGTGGCATCCTTGGGGATCACACAGCCTTACCTACACATAAAGACCCAACATTCTGCAGGAATTACATGTTGTGCATGTGGTCTTTTCATGAGTCTCAAGTTCCTCTACTGAACCTCAGAAGGAGAAATGACTGGTTGGATTTCCGCTCTATCAACTGACTACAAATGAGCCCAGGTTAAAGGGCCTCTAAATAATCTTTGTGACACTCAAGGCAGTGCCATCTTTCCTGAGTGGGGATTCTGTCTCGGGGGGTCTAGGTGTGCTATGGAAAGACAACAACAGACTATTGCTCCGTGAAAGGAGGGGAGTCATGGGCTGTCAAAACACAGAATCCGGAATCTCTTGCCATGGACCCAGGCTTGGGTGGCTGTGTTGTGATCTTATGATCTAGGATCCCATGGTTTGCAACAAGCTCTCTGCCTGGGGGACAGGGAAGGAGTGCCTCTGGTGGTACAGAAAGAAATTTTAGGACTCCCTGGCTAAGTGTTGTAACCAAAACATCCATGAGGAAGTTAGAAGTAAGTGTAAAGGTCATCAGATTGTGACAAAGCCAACAAAAACCGTCAAATGAATAAAGCTGTGTTGCAGATTCTTCAATGCAGGTGGGGGGAGTGGGGTGCACCAGAGCCCACTTATGTGAAGGTCAGATTATCTTACTCCTGCTTCCCATGTAAGGCCCAGAGAGGTGAAAAGCTACACCCAAAGCCCTCCCCAGCTCTTGGAACCCAGATGCTTCAGAGATACCCTTAGCCCTTCTCCCCAGTGCTTCCCCATGGCCCAGTAAACCATGACAGCAGCAGCTCTCCCTCTCCAGCCCCATCACAGTGCCACGGCCCATGTTCTCTCCCTGAAGCTGCTCCATTAGCTTTCAGACTGAGAATCTTAAAAGCTGTGTGGGCCGGGCAAGATGGCTCACGTCTGTAATCCCAGCATCCCAGCACTTTGGGAGGCCGAGGCGGGCAGATTACGAGGTCAGGATTTCAAGACCAGCCTGACCAATATGGTGAAACCCCGTCTCTACTAACAATACAAAAATTAACCAGGCATGGTGGTGCGCGCCTGTAGTCCCAGCTACTCGGGAGCCTGAGGCAGGAGAATTGCTTGAACACGGGAGATGGAGGTTGCAGTGAGCCAAGATCGCGCCACTGCACTACAGCCTGGGCGACAGAGCGAGACTCTGTTTCAAAGAAAAGAAAAAAAGCTGTGTGACCCTGAGGATTCTACCATTTACTGAACAAGCTCCCACTGCCAGGTTACATGATAATTTAACATGTATGTTTTCATTTAATCCCTATGACATAGATTTTATTATTATTTTCATTTTACTGACCAGAAAACTGAGGTTCAGAGATGTAAGCTATTTGCCTACGGTCCCAAAGCCAATAGTTGATGCGTATGGATGTGAACTGAGGTTAGCTCCAGGCTCAAGGTCTCTGCTAATACTGTCCTTAGTAAGGTTTCTCTGAAGAGCCTCTTTACTCATAGGCTGATTAGCAAAGGGTTCCTAAATATGCTTAAGAATCAATAACCATTAAAAATCCCTCACCCTACAAGAAACTCCCCATCAAAAAACTGGATCAGTGAAATGAACAGGCAATACACAGAAATGGAAGTACCCGTAAGAAAAATAGTTTACTACCCTAGTAATCAAAGAAAAACAAAATTACACGGGTGTATTCCTTTTGGCTTATCAGATTGGAAAATATTTTTCTAAAAAGAAAAATGTAATTATCTTGTAATGACTACACTAAAAATCTAGGGCATAATTGACTTAATTTACTCCAAATGTGTTGCTATTGCGTCCATAGCACGGACTTGCCCATTTCAACTCAATATATGTTACGCTTGGGGTAGTTTATTACAATGAGCAATAAACATTCTCATAATCGCCAAGACAAGCCAAGTGCAAAACAGGAAGGGCGAAGACAGAGGGCAGCAGGTGGTCCCTCTCGCTCGCGACTCCGGGAACGCCAAGCCTCAGCCCTTGGGAACCTGGGGCGAGGCGCCTGGGTCTCGGCCAGGGGGCGCGCCCGAGGACGCCGAAGTAGGGCGCGTGTGGGGACCACAACTCCCAGGCGCCCGCGCGCCGCCTCGCCCGGACCACGTGATCCGTGCGGCCAGGGTAGCTATCGCGGCGGCGGCGGCGGCGGCGGTTGAACTGACTCGGAGCGAGGAGACCCGAGCGAGCAGACGCGGCCCTGGCGCCCGCCCTGCGCACTCACCATGGCGGTAAGGGCCGGGCGCTACGGTGAAGAGGGTGGGCGGTTGGGGCGGGGTCTCCTGGAGCTGCCATCTCGGCACCCCGAATCCTCGCTGCCGCTGGCCCGGGGCTGGTGAAGGGTGTGTTGGCAGCATTGCCAACAGCTGGAACAGGGTTGGGGGACGCGGCAGGTATAGGTTGCGGTGGCTCTGTGGTTTTCCTCTTTATTTGTCCCTCCTGCTGGGAGGCAGTCCGGCTAGGCGAGCAGTTACCGAGCGCCCGCGGTGGCGCGGCTTGAGAGTGGGGGCGCGGTGGCTGAAGACAGCTGGGTCCGGGGCCCCCGGCCCCGGACCTCTGGCCGGCGCCCCAGGGCGGAGAGCAGCGCCTTGGGAGATTCCAGGAAGGCTTCCACGAAAGGGAAACCCCCGGCGCATTTCAGCCCGCAGCCCCGCGCGCACACCGAGCGCACATCCCCGGCCCTGCTCTTGTCAAGTTTGTAGCCTGATTCTTCGGGGAATAAAACAGAACCAGCTACTTTCCAGCTTCCCTACACTTTCAGTCAGAAAACAGCGTTTCAGACAAGCTGTTTTTCTTGGTAGGGTTCACCTGGGCTGGAGAGAACGACAGCTTGCAAGACTCGTTCGTCTTTGAAGAAGTCATATCATTTTCTTCATCCCATGAAGAATGTCATAGAATTTAAGATACAGGAAGCTCAGCCTGGGCAACATAGCTAGACCCCGTCTCTACAAAAATTAGCCACAAGTGGTGGCAGGCGCCTGTAATCCCAGCTACTCGGAGGCTGAGGCAGGATGAGGAGGATTGCTTGAGCCCAGAAGTTCCAGGCTGCAGTGAGCCATGACCTTCGGCCTGGGCAACAGAACAAGACGTCCTCAAACAAACAAAACAAAAAAAAAAAGATATAGGAAGTGTATGTAGGCCATTTAGTGAAATGATCAGCCGTCCTTTAAAAAGGGAAATAGATGGAAAGCACTTGCAAAAGTTCCCCAGCCAGTCAGCCTAGCAACTGGGACCTTCATCTCCTTCCCAACCCTTGTTTACAAATAAGGAAGCTTTTCTCAAAGTGTAAGTAACCCCAAATGAAGAAATATAGAAGAAAACAAGTTCCAGGGATTGCTCCCTCCTTCACCACAGCCCCACCCTGAAAAAAGCACAAATCAGTTAAACTTTCAGAGGCCAAGATTCATCCCAAGTAGGAAAACAAGATTGGGGCCCTGCCCCTTGCCTATCTGACCACAAAGCCCTTTAATTGAAAACTGTAGCCCAGATCGCTTCTCTCAAGTCAGGGTGTGCTGACTTCCATCTTTTCCTCTAGCAAAAAGGCAAAAGTAGAAAGGGTTGAGTGACAGGTGAGTCTTCGTCCCTCTGGGGCTTCGGACTCCGTGGGTGTTTCCAGCTCTGAACAAACCATACAGTTCATCTTCCCAGCTATCTCCTGCTTCTCTGGCTTCAGAACCATCCTAGCCAACTGCTCTCTGGCCAGGGCAGGTGTCTCTCAGGCGGCTTGGTCCCCAGCACCCCCAGGGAGCCTCCACTGTGCCTCCCTTTCTCTGACCTACAACCTGTTGTAATTATTTGCTCACTTAAATGTCCCCCCTCATAGACAGGTAGCTCCCTAAGGGCCAAAGACTTGTCCCATTCATCTCTGTATCGCCAGGGTCTGCACAGACCTAGCACAACAAAAAGAAATCTTTCAAATTACTCTTACTGTTCTGTGGGTGTTCAGGTCTATGGCAAAACATGTCTGGGCTGTTTTGGGCTCCTAAGATAACTGGCCCAGGCCCAAGGATGATAGAAGGAAACCAGTTATGGCAACTCCCTGACTGATTAATTAGCCACTAGGGACATTCCATTCATACCATCTGCTTTACCAAATGGACTCAGAGAAGGGGTGATGGGTGTCACCCCTACCTCTACCTGGCAGAGATGGTGCTAGAGGCTTCTGCTGAGGATGAGGCCATCTCCGGTGTAAATGGAGTTTCACAGTATTGTTTGTACCTGTTTGGTTTTGTATATCAATCTTGCGTAAACATTTTGCTGTGTCAAAATGTTTTTTTTTTTTTTGAAAGCCTAACAGGAGAGATCTCTGAGTAGTAAGACTCAAAATGATTTTTTACTTTCTTTTCGGTACTGTGTCAGCTTTTTACATTGAGCTAGTGCCATTGGGGGTGGGGGGTAAAAGCTATTCTTATTTTTAAACTCTTCAACATTTTTTAAAGTCTTCAACATGATCTTTATCATGTTGTGATGTGACCGCCTAGATTTCCATTTTGAAGCTCTCATATAATTTACTTGACCAGTCCCTACTGGTTGACAGGAGACCATCATGGTTCCTATGATTTCTCAAAGTGTGACCCCCAACAAACACCTGTCCTAGAAACACCTGTCCCAGAAACACCCAGTACACTAAGGTTTGAGAACCAGTACAGGCTTTCCAGAAAACTCTCTGGCTCTGGGTACCTGATTGCCGAGTGACCATGGGGAGATAAGTGGGCTTTTATGTACCTTCCTTGTTAAAGAGGTTAATAATAGTAGGCACCTGCGGAGATGTCACAGGGAGTGACACATAATAAATGGAAGGTGAACGTGGTACAGGCACATGCAGTCCCTCAGAAGACACAGAGCTGTGTGGCTGTTCTGTCCAATCAGATGCTTTCACATTTCTTTCTCTGTCCTGCAGCTCCACGGTCTCCAGTGAGCCCAGTCCCTGGGTAGGCGCAGGCAGGGGTTGGTGACACAAGTCAGACCCCTTTTGGCACTGAAAGGCATGTTAGCTGAGTGTAGGGAGTAGAACAGCCAGGTTAGTCCCAGGTCTCTACCAAACCCCAGGCTGCAGCGTCCAAATCTGAGAGATGCATAGATGTGGTGCCCCATCCAACCCGGAAACAGAGGCACACTCACTGTTATTGTTGTTGTTTTTGAGACAGAGTCTTACTCTATTACTCAGGCTGGAGTGCAGTGGCATGATCTTGGCTCACTGCAACCTCCACCTCCCGGGCTCAAGTGATCCTCCCACCTCAGCACCTCCCAAGTAGCTGGGACTACAGGCACATGCCACCACACCCAACTAATTTTTGTATTTTTTGTAGAGACAGGGTTTTGCCATGTTGCCCAGGCTAGCACTTTTTTCTTTTACAAGGTTTCAGGAAGAGTAGATAGAGTTCAAGATGGGAGCCTGTGAAAGTGAGGCCAAACCAAGGGAAAGGGTTCCTAGAGTCCTGTCCTCATCTTACAGACGAGGAGACTGGGTCCACAGGGGGCTTTCTGCGTGTCAGCAGCTCAAGGCCACGCAGCTGGTTCCTGGCAGAGCTGGGAGGGAGATCCAGGCAGTGCAGCTTTAGAGACCGTGCCCCTAACCACTAGCCTTGCTGCCTCTGTTCAAACTGCAACAAAGTGAACTGAGCCTCAGAATCTCCTGAAGGGGGCTGGTTAAAATCTATGTCTTCCCTGTCTCCTGTGGCTCTGACCCTGGACTCTGATTTAGGGGCCTGAGGAGGCCCAGGAATCTGTACTTTTAATAAGGCCCTGGAGTCTAAGCAGCTGCTGCTGTCCCTCTACACTAAGCCGCTTGCCAGTGTGGAGCTCATGATTGGCCTGTGGTTTCCCAGTGATTCACCCGGGACTGACTCTGCCTCTGTGGATCCGGCTATAACAGCATCGTCATCCACACCTGTGATCCGCTCCAGTGTCCTCCCTCCCACCCTATCCTCTTTGCCTTTTCATCCTGTTGTCCGCTGTTGTCCCTGGGCTCTGGTCTTACTGTCCCATCCCCAGACTGGTCCTTGTTTGTTTCCTTTATTTAAGGTGCACTCTTCATCTTTCTCAGGAAATATGGGCCAGCTATTGGCTGAACATCCTTCGGGGGCTAAGCATGACTATCCTAATTGCACAGAGGCTTTTTCTCATACATTCCTTCCTCTCCCCAATTTCTTCCCATATTTTGTTCCAAAGTGGCCATATCAGTTTCTTCTGCTGTTTGCATATCTTCCTGAAATGTTAAAACAACCGAACGACAGCACAGCCCTCATCTCTGTCTAGTATTGCACAAGAAAGTGGGCTGTTCTCTGTGTTGTAGCATCTGTTTTCCTCTTGCCAAATGAGGGCCTGGTAAGAAGACCCAGGATCCAGTCCTGATGCTGCCACCAACTCACAGTGTGACCCTGGGCATGTCACAGCTGCCCCTTGGACTTCCAGTGCTGCCCTGAGAAGCTGCATTGAGAGCAGTTAGGAGCACAGAATCTGAAACCAGCCCACCCAGGCAAAATTCTAGCTAGCAACTTGGCAAGTTACTTAAACTCTGTCTGCCTTAGTAGTCTCATCTATGAAATGGAGCTAAGAATAATAATTCCCCTCTTGAAATTGAGTGAGTTAAGACATATAACATTTTTAGAAGAGTGCCTGGCACAGAATAATCAGTGTCATTTCCCTCCCAGCATGAAAAAAGAGGGTTGCTCTAAATTAGCACTTCCTAGAGGATAGTCTATGAGATTCTTTCCCACAGGGCACTCAGCAAGAGAAAAAGGGGAGGAGAGAGTTCTGGGTACAGGCTTCTGGCAGTGCAGAAAGCTATTAAACCTTATTTTGTCTAATTCCAGTCTCTCTCAAACTCCCTTGACCATAGAATCCATTTTTCCCAGTACCTCCTAGCATCCTGTACTTCTCCCATGGAACACTTCTGAGAAACACCCCTCCAGCTTTGACATGTATGGGAAAAAAAGGCACTGGGGTTATTGAGCCCTTACTGTGTGTCACTTTGTGTGGATGGCTTTGCAGAGTTTTCCCCCAGCTCCCCTCGGAGGAAACTGAGGCCAGAGAGAGGCCCTGGTTAACAAATGTGTTTTGTTCCAAATCCTGGACTCAGACTACTATTCTTTACTATCTCCTTTGGTCCTAACTGTTGAGAGGGGGAGGATTGGAGACGACTAGAACATGCAAGGCCTGTGGTTTAGGGCTGTCGTCTGCAAGCAGAAGTTTGTGGCTCTGGTTTCCAGGAGGCTACAGGACACCCACATGGCACAGCTTCCTGACAAAATGGCAGCTAATCAAATCTGCCTACCTTTCCACCCCCACACTGACGTTTGCCTCCACCGGAACTCCTTTTCTGTAAGAACTGATGGCCCCCACAGCCTTCACAAGTACCCACAGTCTCACTCCATATCTTCCTCCCTTGAACAGAAACTGAGAGTAACCCGCTTATAAGGAGGTCCGGCAAATCCTTTTCCCTCTTCATACTCATTTTCCTCACCTGGAAATGAGAGGGGGTGGAGAGGGACTCAAGTTGGGCCAGATCAGCATTTTTCAAACTGAGTTTCATCAGAGCTCATATTTCTCTCCCCTCTCCACCCTGAGCCCCGTGTTTTACATAATGGAATTAGAAGAAAGATTTTAATTGGCTGGTGTTCCCTGGTGAAGAAAGCTGAAAGCCATGGGACTAAAAACTCTGAGGATACCTCTAGTGCTGAGATTCAAGGATTCTAATATTTGGCCATTGTCTTAGAAGGCAAAGGCTTCCACTAGCTGATTACAACTCAGCCAGGATCTCCTTAGCTGGGTAACACTGACAGTGTTTGCAGAACTGCTTGTGCTAGCTGAGGGCTTACCTGGGGACCAGAGGGGGCCTTCACTTCCCTGAGAGGGTGAACTAACTGATAGATCTGTTGGGCCCTCATCTTTCCAAACAGTCATTAAGCCTGGTGTGGGCGTCTGAACTCACCATCCAGCTCCCACTGTACCCTCCTTTCTTGGAGATTGGGAGGAAGCACCGTGTCCTGGAATGTCCAGGGCTTTGGAATCCAGCTAGACTCAGGTTTGAATCCCAGCTCTGCCAACTTACTAGCTTTGTGACCACCAGTAAATTACTTCTCTAAGTCTAGTTTCCCTAACTTTCCTTCCTGTAAAATGGACCTAATTGTCCCTGTCACACAGAGGACTGTTGTGACAATGAAATGAGATGATGTAGAAAAAGCCCTTGATGCCACCCTGAACACAAGGTGGAGCAAGCACCCTCTGAAAAGGCATCTGACAGGCACTGCATGGTCACTGCTTTTACCTGCAGTCTTTCCTGTAAGGCTGTGAACTCACCAAGGTCAGAGACATTAACCTACTTCCATAATGCTTGGCACACAAACTGGGCTCAGCAAATGTATAGTGAATGAGTAGGCAGATGTGGAGTACAGTGAAGACAGCTGCCTCTGGGCCCCTCCACGATAAACACTGTGGGATCTGTCTAGACTGAACAGGACAAAGAGGACTCCAGGCTTCCATCACACGGGAGCCTGTTCTGGAGCTGCAGCAGAATGGCTAGGGTCCCGGGGGGGTAAGAAGAGGCAGTTGCACTTGGAAGGCATGGAGGGGACATCCCCACATAGTCTGAGGACACTGTCACATCCCGAGCCAGTTGGTCCAGTGAGGATGGACACTCCCACACCTCTATTCTCATATGGAGCATGGCCAGCTCAATTATAGCTCTGCTGCTGACCCTCTTGGGCAAGTCTCAGCTCTTTATGGCCTCAGTTGGCCCTGATGACTTCTGATGGCCCTTCCAGCACTTCCAGTGACCCCATTTTTCTGGGCTCCCAGAGGAGGTGCTGGAGAGCATTAAGGACCGTAACTTCCACTGCCCTGTGCCCCTATGATGCAGATTCCTTTCTCTTTCAGATGCATTTCATCTTCTCAGATACAGCGGTGCTTCTGTTTGATTTCTGGAGTGTCCACAGTCCTGCTGGTAAGAATTGGGGACCTCAGACTTGTAGCTTGGAAAGCCTTGTAGTACTAGGCAAGGGAGAATCTGGGTTCTCTTGATTCTCTGTGGGCATTTAAGTGAGGCTGATTCCTCTGGCATAAACACTGAGCAGGAACTTCACAGTTATAATTCCATTTGTAACCACTCCCCTTCAGATCGCAAAGGGCTCCATTATCTTACTGATCCTCACAAAGGCCGAGAGGCAGGGAGGCAGCTTTTCCCTCTGTTACAGGGCAAGAAACTAAAGCCCAGAGACAGGAAGAGAGACTCGTGCAGGGTCACACAGTAAGTACGCATCAGAGCCACTACTAGATCAAGGCCTCCGGGTGTCACCTGGCACCTCCCTTATCCAGGGCTCATTGTTCTGCACCAGTTCAGAAGCCCACAGCAGCTGCTGGAGATGAGACACCAATTTGAAAGGAAAGAATATTCCTTTGATTTGAAAAGGCAGAGTTTGTCACTAATTCATGAAGAAGTTATTTTTCAACTTAAATAACTGCATCTTAAAAAGAGACTGGAAACAGCCCAAATGCCCATTATTGCGGGTGCAGATTAAATAAATTATGGTCAGCCCTACAATGGGTTACTATTTCTTGTTATCTATTGCTGAATAAACAGTGGCTTAAAACAAGTCATTTTATCATTCTCTCTCAAGGTTCTGTGAGTTGACTGGACCCAGGTGAGTGGTCCTTACTGAAGGTCTCTCATGCAGTATAGTCAAACAGTGGCTGGAAGTAGGGTCATTTGGAAGAGTTCCTCACTCTCATGCCAAGTGGCTGATACTGGTTGTTAGCTAGGACCTCAGCTGGAGTTGTTGGCTGAACACCTACATGTGGCATCTCCTATGGCCTGGGCTTCCTCGTGGCAGAGTGGCTAGATTCCAAGATCGAGTGTCGCAAGAGAACAAGGTAGAAGTACGTGGGATTTTCAAGACCTAGCCTTGGAAATCAGATAAAATTACTTCTACCTTTATTGGCTGAAGCAGTCACGAAGGTCTTCCTAGGCTAAAGGAGAGGGAACAAACATGGACCCCACCACTTGATGGCAGGAGTGTTGACATCATAAGAAGGGGATGTGGGGTGGGATACATTGGAGTGGCTGTCTTTGGAAAATGTAATCTATCACAGATACGATGAAGCCACTGGGGAAAAGGTAAATCTGTGTGAACTGAGGTAAAACTGGATGATAAAGTCAAATGCAAAACAGTATGCGTAGATAGGATGCTGTCATTTGGACAAACAGAGGCTGATATATACATTGAGTAACAGAGGTTGCTCTGGGGAGGAGAATTGGGGTGAAGAGAGATTGGGGTGGGAAGAAAACTGATCTTTCTCTTTTTTTGAAATGGAGTCTCTGTCGCCCAGGCTGGAATGCAGTGGCGCGATCTTGGCTCACTGCAATCTCCACCTCCCAGGTTCAAGCAATTCTCTTGCCTCAGCCTACCGAGTAGCTGGGACTACAGGCAGGCACCACAATGCCCAGCTAATTTTTCTGTATTTTTAGTAGAGACAGGGTTTCACCACGTTGGCCAGGCTGGTCTCAAACTCCTGACCTCAAGTGATCCACCCACCTCGACCTCCCAAAGTGCTGGGATTACAGGCATGAGCTACCACACCCGGCCTGAATTTTCATTGTATTCTTTTTTGCACTGTTTGAAGTTTCACCATGTACATGAAATTACCTATAATTTTATGTTTTAAAAACCTGCATCTGTCAGATGATTTCCTCCTGGGAGCCTGTGGGAAAAAAAACCCAACTTTTTCCTTTTCCTACGCTCCACACACTTCTGTGACCAGATGTGTAGGCTTTCCCTCAGTGACAACTTTTCTGATACCAGCTGGGTGTCCTACAACTCAGTTCAAATCTGACACTAACCAGAGTTAGTGCAGATCCCACAAGTTAAGGGTACAGTCCCACAAGGCTGCCCCCTGCTTCAGGCACCAATTGCAAGTCCCAGCTTGTCTCCCGTACTTCTGGCCAACTGGCTATATGTCAGGGTTCCCATAACGCCTTTGTTGGGATCAATTATTTGATAGAATGGTTCACAACACTCAAGGAAACACTTAAAAAGAGTACAAATGGGCCAGGTGTGGTGGCTCATGCCTGTAATCCCAGCACTTTGGGAGGCCGAGGCGAGTGGATCACCTGAGGTTAGGAGTTCAAGACCAGCCTGACCAACATGGTCAAACCCCGTCTCTACTAAAAATACAAAAAAATTAGCCAGGCGTGGTGGGGGGTGTCTGTAATCCCAGCTACTTGGGAGGCTGAGGCAAGATAATTGCTTGAATCCTGAGGCAAGATAATTGCTTGAATCCAGGAGGTGGAGGTTGCAGTGAGCCAAGATTGCGCCACTGCACTCCAGCCTGGGCAACAGAGCGAGACTCCATCTAAAAAAAAAAAGTACAATGAATAGCTGTGTGGAAAAGATGCATGGGGCAAGGCATGTAGGAGGGGGTTCAGAGCCTCCAGGCCCTCCCTGGGCTTGCCACCTTCCAGGTACCCCCATGTGTTCACAGCAGCTGGAAGCTTTTCAAATCCTGTCCTTTTAAAAAAAATTATTCATATATAATAGTTGTACATGTTTTGGGGTACACGTGATATTTTGATACCTATATACAATATGTAATGATCCAATCAGGGTGACTGGGGTGTTTATCACCTCAAACATTTATCTTTGTGTTGGGAACATTACAATTCTATTTTGAAATATACAATAAATTATGGTTAACTATAAATTTCCCTACTGTACTGTCGAATACAACAACTTATTCCTTCTATCTAAACTGCATTCTTTTGGGTTTCTATGGAGTCTTCATATGGAGGAATGATTGATGACCTCATTGGCCACTGGTGATCAATTCAACCTTCAGTCCCTGTCTCCTTCCAGAGGTAGGGAGTGGGGCTGAAAGTGCCAACCTCCAAGCACAAGTTTGGCTCCCCTGGCAACCAGCCCCCATCCAGGAGCCTCAGCCATCAGTCATCTCATTAGCATATAAAAAGACACCACTTGACAGCGTTTCCAAGGGTTCTAGAAGTCGTGTGCCAGGAAACCAGGGCAGAAACAGGATATATATCTCTTATTATGTCGCAGAGTCCAGTAAAATACTTTAGCTGGACCACTTATTATCCCTCTTAGTGAAACAAAAGTAGTAATTAACAGTTAATTTTACACAGCAGCTCTAATAAGCACTTGATAGTTTTGGTAAAATAATTTATTGGGTTTTTCCCCTATTATAAAAGTAATATATATAAAAGAAACCTTAGAAAGTTAGGCAAGAACATAAAAACCACCTGTATCCTACTTTGCTGAGATAACTATTACTCTTGTGCTATTTATCTTTCCTTCCAGACATTTTTTGCATACTTACATATAAATAGGACCTTGCAGTACTCATCACTTAACAAGAAGTCACGACAGATTTGTGCAGCCTGCTGGGGGAGTGGGTGGGGTAATGGTACGTGGCTTCTTCACCCTCAGCCCCTGGATTTTTCAGGTGGCTTCTCTTCCTGATCTCAAAGCCACACTCCAGCTAAGAAAAGTCTGGTGAAGACAGTGAAGAAGTTCGGAACTCAGCAAGGGTGGGGAAGAAGGTGCAGGATAGAGGTGGATGGAGTGGATTCCATGAACAGGTGGAGGTGCTGGAAGGGAAACAGTGCTGGCCTGGCCAGGTCTCCACAACTCTGCCTCCTTTGACAGGCATGGCCCTTTCGGTGTTGGTGCTCCTGCTTCTGGCTGTACTGTATGAAGGCATCAAGGTTGGCAAAGCCAAGCTGCTCAACCAGGTACTGGTGAACCTGCCAACCTCCATCAGCCAGCAGACCATCGCAGAGACAGACGGGGACTCTGCAGGCTCAGATTCATTCCCTGTTGGCAGAACCCACCACAGGTACAGGCAGTGGGTATGGGAAAGGGGCAGAAGCCTCACATTCACCCTGAGAGACAGGCTGGCCCAGACAGCATTAGCCCCACTTCACAGAGAGGACAGCGAGGCCCAGGGAAGGACCAGGACTTGCCAAAGTGGCTACACATAGCCAAGTGAACTAGAGCTCATGTCTCCTGATGCCCAGGCCAAAGCACTCTGTGAACAGCCAGCCACTTGAGAGGCTCAGAAGGCTTTCTTTAGGGAACAGTGATCTTCAGGTGCAGGCCCCTATCTAGCAAATGAGGTGGCCACCCACCCTCCCCCAAATCTCACCAGTTCCATGGGTCACTAGGCTCCCATATCCAGGAGGGGATCTGCAGCTGTCCTGAAGCAATGTATCCCACTTGGTGGGAGGAGGATGACAAGCTCTCCTCTCCTCCCTTCCCACTCGAATCAGGCAACCATTTAGGGTCCCTGTTCTGCCCTCTGTCCAGCCCCAGCCTCACCTGTGCTTAATAAGCCTGCCCGCTCCATCACTAGCCACCCTACATGGGTGTCTCAGATCTTCACAACTGCACTGCAAGGGAAGTATTCTCATTCCTGTTTTACTGATAAGGAATCTTACGTTCAGAGAGGTTAAGACATTTGTCTAGGCCACTTTTAGTTAGTGGCAGGTCTAGGAACTGATAATGTCACCTAAGACCATGCTTTTTCTTTCCATTGTCATACTGCCTCCCGAAGTAGATTCAGGGGGGAAATATGCCTTACTGATGATTTTCTCTTATTCCTTATCAGAAAGACAGATTATAGATACCCTCATTTTCCCCTTTGCCTAGGATGCCAGGAAGCTTGAAACCAAATGTAGTGAAGATATGTCTCTTTAAAAATAAATCTCGAGTTTTTTCTGGGGGCGGGGGTGGGAGGGGCAGAAAGAAATCACTCCTGGGTTAAGCATACAAGTTATAAATCAATCGGGTCACGTAACTCAACAGCTTTCTACTCCCTGATATCTACTCCCAGCTTCCTCATTACCAGCTCATTACCAGGATTAACTTGCTTCTCCTTTTTATCTAGGTGGTATTTGTGTCACTTTGGCCAGTCTCTAATCCATGTCATCCAGGTGGTCATCGGCTACTTCATCATGCTGGCCGTAATGTCCTACAACACCTGGATTTTCCTTGGTGTGGTCTTGGGCTCTGCTGTGGGCTACTACCTAGCTTACCCACTTCTCAGCACAGCTTAGCTGGTGAGGAACGTGCAGGCACTGAGGCTGGAGGGACATGGAGCCCCCTCTTCCAGACACTATACTTCCAACTGCCCTTTCTTCTGATGGCTATTCCTCCACCTTATTCCCAGCCCCTGGAAACTTTGAGCTGAAGCCAGCACTTGCTCCCTGGAGTTCGGAAGCCATTGCAGCAACCTTCCTTCTCAGCCAGCCTACGTAGGGCCCAGGCATGGTCTTGTGTCTTAAGACAGCTGCTGTGACCAAAGGGAGAATGGAGATAACAGGGGTGGCAGGGTTACTGAGCCCATGACAATGCTTCTCTGTGACTCAAACCAGGAATTTCCAAAGATTTCAAGCCAGGGAGAAGGGTTCTTGGTGATGCAGGGCATGGAACCTGGACACCCTCAGCTCTCCTGCTTTGTGCCTTATCTACAGGAGCATCGCCCATTGGACTTCCTGACCTCTTCTGTCTTTGAGGGACAGAGACCAAGCTAGATCCTTTTTCTCACCTTTCTGCCTTTGGAACACATGAAGATCATCTCGTCTATGGATCATGTTGACAAACTAAGTTTTTTTTATTTTTCCCATTGAACTCCTAGTTGGCAATTTTGCACATTCATACAAAAAAATTTTTAATGAAATGATTTCATTGATTCATGATGGATGGCAGAAACTGCTGAGACCTATTTCCCTTTCTTGGGGAGAGAATAAGTGACAGCTGATTAAAGGCAGAGACACAGGACTGCTTTCAGGCTCCTGGTTTATTCTCTGATAGACTGAGCTCCTTCCACCAGAAGGCACTGCCTGCAGGAAGAAGATGATCTGATGGCCGTGGGTGTCTGGGAAGCTCTTCGTGGCCTCAATGCCCTCCTTTATCCTCATCTTTCTTCTATGCAGAACAAAAAGCTGCATCTAATAATGTTCAATACTTAATATTCTCTATTTATTACTTACTGCTTACTCGTAATGATCTAGTGGGGAAACATGATTCATTCACTTAAAATACTGATTAAGCCATGGGCAGGTACTGACTGAAGATGCAATCCAACCAAAGCCATTACATTTTTTGAGTTAGATGGGACTCTCTGGATAGTTGAACCTCTTCACTTTATAAAAAAGGAAAGAGAGAAAATCACTGCTGTATACTAAATACCTCACAGATTAGATGAAAAGATGGTTGTAAGCTTTGGGAATTAAAAACAAACAAATACATTTTAGTAAATATATATTTTTAAATAGTCTATGACTGTTCTGTTCTCCTAATTCCAACAGAAAGCACATGAACCCTTGTAACAACTGCAGGGGCTGAGTGGGGCTAATAGAACTGGTAGTACTCTTTATAAGCCTGTCTGAGGACAGAGTCCATCCATCTGCTACAAAGACAACTCTGCTCAGGGAAACCCAGCCCTGAAATGCTGCACCCAGGTAGACACCCCAGAATGCCAACTGAGGCAAGTCAAGTCATTCTTCATTCATGTAACAAGTATTAATTGAGTACATGCTATAAGAAAAGTAACTGTCACACGGACTTTAAGCACCTGTGTTGGCACAATTACTCAGCATCTTCTCTCCCTGCGGGCAGAAGCAAATATAATAGCCACTAGTTAATTTACAATAAGAAATAACTGCCCTAGAAAGTAGACTATGTCACACCTTTAGGACTGATCAGGGCATTCCCCCATGTTTGCAGGGAACTGGAAAGCTGCCTGGTGTCTCAAGAAGCCTGTTTCTAAAAGCATCACCGCCCCTTCCCCCAACCAGTGACAGTCAGGCTGTGCTGGCCAAGAGCCCAGGCTCTGGAATCAGATGGCCAGGATTTGAATTCTTGTGCTGAGGCTTCCTAGATATGTAACTTTGGGCAAATTACTTTACCTCTCTAAGTCTCAGTTTTCTCCTCTATAAAATGGTGATAACACTGTCTTCTGCAGTGGTTGCTGGAGATAAGCCAGTCTGTGAAAGTGCCAAACAGCACCGCCTTTTGTTAAGCAACAAAGAAATAATTAGTTCTCACTGCCTCCCAGGTCCGCACACGGGAGACATATCCAAAGCCTGCAAGGATGATGCCAGGCCAGATGAAGTGGAATTTTGGGTCCTATCTTTTAAAACATTTAAAATCAAGAAACATTTTTTATTAAAATTAATTATTCTGTTTTTTTAAAGACTGATTGCATAATCTTTGGAAGATCCTGGAATCAAGAAAATGACCACAAGTATTTTCTCACTACTGTTCTCTGCATAAGTCCTGGTCCCATGAGTTCTAAGGGAATGGAAGCTGCTCTCAAAGTGAAGAATCCCTCAGGTGCCATGAACAATGGAAAGAAGGGACCCTCTCACCTTCTTTGCATGGCTTCCTAGACTGCAGGACTAAGCCTGCAGGAGCAAGAGGATGACTGGACTGGTCCTCACAGAACCATCATGCCCCAGGGATGAGCTAGGACTACAGTGGTGACTTTCTTTGAAAGCCTAAAAGTTCCAGGGTTAGGTATCAAAGGGAGTAAATATGCCACAACGTTTTGTGCACATTAACTGACCCAGATCTGTAAGACTCCTACCCTTAGATTCCCAAAAGAGCACAGACAGCCCTTGGAACCAAACTCAATTTTTCTCCAAGGGCTTGGGTCAAGTTTCATTATAGACATTTATTTTAGTTTTATTTTCAAAGTCATTGACCTCTTGTATCAGATTTAAGGCAAAGAAGAAGATACATGTCCCAGGACTATAGGCCAGGCTGTTGACTGCACTGGGATTTAGATGGTGTAATCTCCCTTAGTTCTACCAGGGAGACCTCAGCCCAGGTCTTGTTGCCGGGGCACAGTTGAGCACTGGATTCAGGTAGAGGAGGGCTCCCAGGTCAGTCTGAGAGTTAATGAAGAGATTAAAAAGTCTGGCAGAGGACAGGACTCTTACAGGTGACTGGCTTGGAGGGGAACCTACCAGTCCTTCTTCCAACTTGCTGCTGAAATCCCAGTGTTCTTGAAGACAGGGTTATGATCCTCTTCACCAGGTCTGGCGGGGGTGGGGCTCAGAAGGTGGCCAACCCACCCTCTGAGCCCAAATATTGTTCCCAGAATGCTCACCTTGACCTCACCCTGTGGTTCGCCTAGACCCAGGGTTGGCTGTGCAAAATCATGCTTAGGGAAGGGTTGCAGAGAAACCTTTGCACCAGTTTCCTGGGTCTTCATCCCAGCCAGTCAATGTCATCGTCATCATCATCATCTCCAAAAAGGGGCGTTGGGGGCGGGCGTCCCTTCATGCTCTGATAAAACAGGAAAGAGCAGTCAGTCCTCACTTGTGCCTGCACCACTGGACTTTCCACCTGTGAGTGGAAGCAATCCAACTTCTGTTCCCAGCTCTGGGTCAGAAAGGAGGTTGTACTGACAGGGCCAACTCTGAGGCCAGCAAACCTAGGCTTCCAGATAAAGCTGAGACCAGCAGGCAGAGAAGGGAGGCAGTCTTTCAACAGAGACAAAAGATGAACTTTGTTTGGCTAATCTCATCATTTATTTATGAAGCACATGTACTGATTTGACAGATTTTCCTCTCATGCAGTAACTTACACATTTTGTGTGGAGAAAGAAGGGTCAAAGAGGAAACACTGGAGCAGTAGGAAGAAACAGAAGCAAAGCAGCCCTGAGAGAGCGAGAGGAAGTGGGAAGAAGGGAGGTTGGGAAGAAGACAATCACATATGGAAAAATACTGTCGTCGTGGCCTAAGGTGGCCTGACTGGCTCTGGGTGTGATCCCATCATTTGAAAGAGTTGAATTTGGAGGCTTGGCCAACTGGAGAATCCTAAGAGGTGAAGAACACGGGGCCACAGCCTCCCACACCTCTAGCCTGACTGGCACCACCCTCGCTCCTTCCAGCTAAGGTAGTGGGGGTGAAAGGGACTGATGGGCCATGAGAGACCCTCTCTTTTCACAGCTTGAGCTCCTGGCCTTTCTCCTCTGGCTTGGCAAGGGAACAGGACCTACCCGGCTAGCAGGGATTGATGCTACAGACAGGCACGAACTGAATAGTCTCTACTAAGGCATTCTCTGCTCTGGTGAGCAACTGCCAACCAGAATCCATCTTCACAGGGCCAGGCAAAAGGGAAGGCAGCGTGATGTGTATACAAGTCTCTGGGCTAATCCCACGTCACTACCAATTAGCCAGACCTCGTACTTCTCTCTGGACATCAATGACGTGATCTCTAACTCTGACAGTATAGGATTTTCAAGTGTGGCTCACAGCTTCTGTTTTGTCCTGACTAAAGTTCTGGCTCTACATTTACTAGCTATATAAGCTTAGTTAAATTATTTAATCTTCCTGAGCCTCAGCCCTCTGATATATAAAATGGGATAAAAGTACCTACCTCATTGGATTAGTAGATTAAATGACAACATCTGTGAAGTCGTTTTCAGAGTACCCAAGAACTACATGTTAACTGGACAGTATTGGTACTAATACCAATAATATGCTCACTAATTAAAAGCTTCCAACTATATTTAGGGCAGTCACTTAGAATATACTCAATTTGGTTTTTCCCCCTTTTTTCCTTTTTTTAAGGGCAGAATTGCTATTCTGGATTCTCAAATGAAAATTTAACTCTTGAGAAGAAAGACTCATGGAAGGAACTGGTACATTCCCCAAAGGAACACAGGCAAGAGGGAAGGGCTCCGATACATGCAAGCTGGAGCATAGATCCATCACAGCTCTCTGCTCAAGGTTTTGGCAAAAGGCAAAATCCACTCTGGCTGATACATGAGGGGACAAAATTTGCCCCATTCACCCTCATATTTCTGTCCTTTAGATGGACTGAGCCTGAAGCCCACCTGTGTTCTCCATATGCATTTCAGAGCAGTCAAAATGGCCTAGGGACAGCCAGAACGGTTGTAACCTAGCACAGCGGGGAGCAGCAGAGGCGAGAACCGGGGTTCTAATTCAGTCCCTATCAGTGCCCTCCTCTCCTGGCCTTCACTCTTGTTCTGTGAAGCTATGCTATTAATACTGAACCCATTTTGTGCCCAGGGATATTGTGATGACAAAACAAGGCAGCAGGAAAGCAGGCTGAGTAAGTGGAAAATGCTCAGGAACAGGAGGTCTTTACAGGAGCCTGGGGATTAGTCCTAGCTTTGCCATTAACTCACTCTGTGGCTTTGGGTAAATCATCATTTTGAGCCTCAGGTTTTTTATCTATGAATAAGGATGCCAGGCAAGATGATCTTCAAAGTCCTTTCCAATTCTAAAATATAAATAATATCCTAGCAGATTTGGGGAAAACTAAGGCTTCAGCATTCCAATGTGGGGCTAAGCAGCTCAGCTTTCTTCCTCTGAGGGGACTAATTCCTGCATGGACAGAGACTATGATTCTTTCTCAAAAGTAAAGTGGTATGTGACCGTCCCCTACTCTGCTTACAGAGCTGCGCCCTCCCAGCCCAGCCCCAAGCCTGCTCCCACAGGGCCCTGCACACAGAGTCCAGGGAGTGGGCCACCAACAGGCTCCATTTCTCTTCTCAGAGCCAGTAGGGAAGAGCCCCCAGGTGGGTGTGTGAGGACTTGACAGTGCCTGGGATTTCCTTACCACCTCGTCTTCATCCTCCTCCTCAGGCTGTGCTTTGGGCCTCAGAGCTTTCAGAGTTGCCCCTTTAAACAGTTCATCCTCTTCATCCCCAGAGAGACTGAAGGAAAATCAAGTCATAGAAAATGTTATTGTTCCTGCTCCAGGTCACAGTACCCACCACCTACAAGGGTCACCGGCCCTTGGGTAAGAATTCAACAGCGTTGGTGACTGCTCAGGAATTCCTCCCACCTCCGCTGCCACCATCTCTTCCCACACCCTACAGTGGCCTCCTAGTGCGGTTGGCCCCCTCCAGAACCTACAGCCAGAGTCATCTTTTCAATGTGACCTTCTCAGAATCCTTCCCTAGCCACCCTATCTAAAGTGGAACAACTCCTTTAGAATAGCACCCTGTTTCTTTTTTAAAAGGACTTATCATACTTTATGATATGTAAGTATGTATTTGTTTTCTCCACTTGACTGTCACTCCTTAAACTCAAGAACCAAACCTGCCTTGCCTACCACACTATCACAGGGCCCACCACACTACCACAGTGCCCGCCACACTACCGCAGGGCCCGCCACACTACCACAGGGCCCGCCACACTACTGTAGGGCCCGCCACAGAGCCTTGTACATGGTAGGTGTTGTTGAATTAATACATCAACTAATGAATGAAGACATGAGTAAATTAGTCTCTGAGGGATGAGTTGCCAGCCCTGGAAAAAACAGAGACACTCACCACAGATAACTACCCTGTCCCTGAAGCAGTGCTCAGAGGAACATACCTGGAACGCTGGGAATGATGGCTGGGTCTGAGGGCTGCTCCTGCAACTGTGGAACCTGCCTCTGTGCTTGACAGCTCCTTGTGGGGACCGGTGGAGCTAGTGACATCATCTTTCTTGAGCTGTGGAGGCTGAGGCTCTCCTGGGCTTTCAGGCCCTAAGGCCAGTGGGTCCCCCTCCTCGGGGTCTGAAGTCAGGGACAGTCTTGTGGAGCTTTCTTGTAGTGGGCCATCTGGTGCTACTTCCCTGACACAGACCTTTCCTGATGGGTTGTCGGGCTTAGCTGCCATTGGGCTGGCAGCAAGTGACTCCTCACACTCAGAGTCCATGGATACAGGGCCTAGGGGCTCAGGTGGAATTGAAGTCGGGGGCCCTAGAACTCTGTGGGATGGGATGCAAGACAGTTCGGGTGGAAGGGAACCATCTTTTATCTCTGAGAGTGCCTCAGCTTCTGAGTCCCCTTTCCTTCTGTGTCCATCCTGGGAAGTGGTGAGGGCCTGAGGAGGCAACGGGACAGCTTCCTCGACCACCTGCTCTGAGGGCACCATGGGGGACTCTGGCCTCTCCCTATTCAGGGGTGCTTGAGGCTGCCCAGAACTGGCTGAGGCTGACTGCTCCTGGGAAGGTCTTCGTGGCCGCTCTTCTGCTTTTTCTTCTTCTTCTTCACTGCTGCTCTCTTCCTTCTCTTGCTCCTGTTGGTTTAACAGCTGAAGAGTCACCATCTATTCAAAAGCCAAGGAAGAGATGGTCACTGAAAGGAACACAGTAGCCACTCCTAATTCTTATTAACACTACTGGTCATGTAGTTTAAATGACTTTGCTTCTTTCCTGTTAAAAGAGGCTGACTATATCTGTCAAGTCACTCCAGGCATCCTAATTACTGAGGAACAGTCCTGAATAATTTTCTTTTTTTTTTCTTTGGAGACAGGGTCTTGCTCTGTTATCCAGGCTGGAGTGCAGTTGGGGGCAATCATGGCTCACTGTAGTCTTGAACTCCTGGGCTCAAGTGATTCTCCTGCCTCAGCCTCCCAAGTAGCTGGGACTACAGGCACGTGCCACCATACCCGGCTAATTTTTAAATTTTTAATTTTAGTAGAGACAAAGTCTCATTATGTTGCCCAAGCTGGTCTCAAGCTCCTGGCCTCAAGCAGTCCTCCCACCTTGGCCTCCCAAAATGCTGGGATTACAAGCATAAGCCACTGTGCCAGCTTTGAACAATTTTTTATTCATGATCCCTTAGAAGGTACTTAAGCAACAAAATGCCCAATACGATGAAACAAATGACAGCTGGCTGGCTGTACCTTGATCGTATTCATGATGGTTCCCAGAATGGTCCTGCCATTGTAAGATTCCTCCAGCTCAAACTCTCTCCGTAAGGACTGGAACACCTGGTTCATGATCTTCTTGACCTGTGTGAACATCAAAACACATGCTGTCAAAATCAAGTCACTAAAGGATGCATTAAATTCCAGAGAGGTGTATGGAAGGCCAAAATGAAGCCATCTTAGATCTCTACACTGGGATACTGCTGGTCATAAGCAGAGACACTGAAGGCTGTCACTGTGGAGAGGATGATATTAAATAATGAGCAGCACTTTGACAGAAGGGCTAGTCATGAGAGTTACCTATCAAGGGCAGGCAAGCTGTGGTCTGTGTGCCCAAGACTGCTTAAAGACCATTTCTTGATGTCCCCCTCCCACTGTGAGCACCACTAGGAGCTGCCATAGGCTCTAAGGGTCAGAGGCCAGTGGATGCTGGGCACACTCCCCAAGCCCCATTCTTCTTCTGTGGTTAGAGGCCCTTCCTATACCTGTCAAAACCTCAGAAAGATAGGGTTCTTTTGGGTTTGCCACTTAATATGTAAGTATGTATTTGTTTGTTTTCCCACTAGGCTGTAAGCTCCTTAAACTCAAGAACCAAATCTGGGCCGGGCATGGTGGCTCATGCCTGTAATCCCAGCACTTTGGGAGGCTGAGGCAGGCGGATCACAAGGTCAAGAGACCGAGACCATCCTGGCCAACATGGTGAAACCCTGTCTCTACTAAAAATACAAAAATTAGCTGGGTGTGGTGGCGCGTGCCTGTAGTCCCAGCTACTCAGGCGGCTGCGGCAGGAGAATCGCTTGAACCTGGGAGGCGGAGGTTGCAGTGAGCCAAGATCACATCACTGCACTCTAGCCTGGTGACAAAGTGAGACTCCGTCTCAAACAAACAAACACCAAATCTGGTTCATTTTAAAGTCATCAGACAAGTAAAACATCACTAAAGTTAGAAAAAGAGCTATTAACACAACATACTGGCCATGTTCTTTCTGAATGCTTGATATAAATGGCTTGCTTCTCATTTGAAATACCAGCTCACCTTCTCTGAGGGGTCAGATGCAGCAGCTTCAACCCCAGACATCTGGGACTTGTTCTTCTCTAGTTCCTTGATGTGCTGTTCATTTTGCTTGGTGAGAGCTGTGATTTGGGCCTGGAGGGCTAAACACTGCAAAACAAACAGACTGTGGCTGTGGCCTCAGGAACCAGGTGAAGGTCAGAAAACCCAAGGGGAGGAGAACCACCCAAACATCAAGTCTCTTTTTTTTTTTTTTGCATATAATAAAAAGACAATTTTATTTCAAATTCTTTTTTTTTATTATTATTATACTTTAAGTTCTAGGGCACATGTGCACAATGTGCAGGTTTGATGCATAGGTATACATGTGCCATGTTGGTGTGCTGCACCCATCAACTCATCATTTACATTAGGTATTTCTCCTAATGCTATCCCTCCCCCCGTCCCCCAACCCCCGACAGGCCCCGGTGTGTGATGTTCCCCGCCCTGTGTCCAAGTGTTCTCACTGATCAATTCCCACCTATGAGTGAGAACATGCAGTGTTTGGTTTTCTGTCCTTGTGATAGTTTGCTGGGAGTGATGGTTTCCAGCTTCAACCATGTCCCTGCAAAGGACATGAACTCATCCTTTTTTATGGCTGCATAGTATTCCATGGTGTATATGTGCCACATTTTCTTAATCCAGTCTATCACTGATGGACATTTGGGTTGGTTCCAAGTCTTTGCTATTGTGAATAGTGCCACAATAAACATACATGTGCATGTGTCTTTATAGTAGCATGATTTATAATCCTTTAGGTATATAACCAGTAATGGGATTGCTGGGTCAAATGGTAATTCTAGTTCTAGATCCTTAAGGAATCGCCACACTGTCTTCCACAATGGTTGAACTAATTTACACTCCCACCAACAGTGTAAAAGCGTTCCTATTTCTCCACATCCTCTCCAGAATCTCTAAACATCAAGTCTTAACCTCGCCTAGGTCTGCTGGTGTCCACTCCCTCAGCCCCCACCCACGACCCTCTGCCTCAGAGAGTTCTATCTCCTCATCATTCGACTTCAACGCAAAACTTCACTTTCTCTTTCCCAAGAAGGTTGCTTGCCTTGTTCCCAATCAGGTAAAAAATATAATGAAAAAAGAGCAGGAGGGTAGGTAATAACTAGTCATTTAGACATAAACATTCAGCATTAACAGCAACCCATTTGTCATTCATCTGCAAGATTGCCTCCAAGATCTCTGAGCCAAAAGTTTTCAACTGGACACTTTAAGGAAAGAAACTGACCTCGAATATGGACTTTCACACCATGACCCTAAGCCATGTCCCATCTCTCTTTTTCAGGCCTGATGATCCCACCACACCCCAGCCTCCATCCTATCTCAGTGCCTTTGCCCAGGATGTTCTGCCTCCTTTGCTGCCTTACCAAAGCTATTTGTCCTTCTTGGCTCTGCTCAAATGTCACCACCTTTGGGAAACCTTCCCAGCTCTCCTGGGTACTTCCTCTTCTGGGCCCCATAGCACTTAACACCTATCTTTGTTTCTTTGTCTCCCTTTCTTGACTGTGAGATACATGAGGGAAGGGTTCCTTGTATGCACTTCCTTTAACACACTGGATGGAATACAACTGACTCTCAATAAATATTTGCTTAATAAATGAAGGATCCAATAATAATGGGAAACATGTTCCGGAACACTAGTGCTGTTTTCTCTTTTTCCAGGTCACTGACCTATCACCCCACATAAGTATGTGAAAGATAACTGACAAGCTAAACAAGTGTGGTTTTGTCTTCTAGATATTAATAACTTTCAGGCTTAGAAGGATCGACAGGACTCAAACAGCCTGCTTGCCTCAAATTAACTGGGCTGCCTAAACTGTCTGACTCAAGAAAAATATGTACCTTTTCCTGAAGTTGTACCAGCTTCTGCTGGTAGGCATCTCTCTGTGCGCACACCTCCTGGTACTGCTGCAGGTGCTCATCCTTGGCGGAGGCCAACAAATGTTCACATTTTGCTTCCCACTGGGTCTGTAGCTCAGCCTGTACTAAAGACAGCTGCCAAGAGAAAGTAATGACCATATCATCCTTGGGGGTGGGGGAGTGAGATTCCATTGCACCTAGGGAAACCCATCTTTCAAAAAGCAAAAGAATAAGCTAACAGCCCAGATTTAACTGGGAAACTGTTTAAAAGACTCATTACTTTTAAAATAAATGCACTTCTTAAGATGTCATTGGTTGTCAGGACTCCAAAAGGTACTCCAAGCAGACAAAAGTGTGCCTATCTAGATAGGTCCCTGGAGGGCAGGGCCATGTGATCACTGCTTTTCAGGGTCTGAACCCTAAACTTTATAGGTTCAGAAACTTTTTTTCACCAAAATTCCCAGAGGTGGTCAAATTGAGGGCACCAATGCACTCTAATTAAACAAATGTATGCATATAAATTTTAAGCTTATAATGAGAAAGGTTGCTGTTGCACAGACTAGAGATCCAGCTGTGTCCTGCCACTATCCCTGGTTCCCTTCCTGATGACCTAAATCAATCCCTTCTTTTCAAGGATGATAATGTGCCTGAAGGATGGTGTCCAATGGTTGATGGTTTTGGCCTTACCATGTTTGGAATTTTTTTTGTAAGGAAACTATTTTTCATTTTTACTTATGTAATTAAATATTAACTAAGCTTTAAAAAAAGAAAGAAGATTCTCCATTTGATTCCTGGCTCTCCTGCACATATCTGGATTACTTTTTCTACCTTTCTCCAAAGTGAGAGTATCAGCTATGAGAAATGTCATCCTAAAGGGTAAGGAAGAAACCAGAAGCTTTTCTCTCTGAGTCCTTCACACCTTCCCTCTATTTTCAAAGTGCTTCAGTTTCCCATTACCTGCTCTGCAGCTGCTTGGTCTGTGGACACTCGAGTCTTTTTCAAGAGCTGTCGAAGTTTGTCCAATTCCTCCTGGTATGACTTGCGAATTTCATCTATCTCCTCCTCGGCCTGAGAACGCTCTTGAGCTGACTTCTTTTTCCTTTCTGAGAGGTTCTTAGGAACAAGAGAACCATCATCAGCTCTAGCTTGTTAACAGAGAATAAAGAGGGATGATGGCGGTGGCAGTTAATTACCTTGTGGAATCCTTACTCCATTTCTGAAAACTCCATTTTTTAGTTGAATTTTCCCCTAAATATTTAACATTCTTGGCTACTGGGTGAGGAAAATGGTGACAGGAGAAGGAAAACAAGAAGAGCTGTATCTACCCCTCTATTAAGAGCTAGGGAAATTGGGAGGCCGAGGCGGGCGGATCACGAGGTCAGGAGATCGAGACCATCCCGGCTAAAACGGTGAAACCCCGTCTCTACTAAAAAATACAAAAAATTAGCCGGGCGTAGTGGCGGGCGCCTGTAGTCCCAGCTACTTGGGAGGCTGAGGCAGGAGAATGGCATGAACCCGGGAGGCGGAGCTTGCAGTGAGCCGAGATCCCGCCACTGCACTCCATCCTGGGCGACAGAGCGAGACTCCGCCTCAGAAAAAAAAAAAAAAAAAAAAAAAAAAAAAAAAAAAAAGAGCTAGGGAACATCCTAACTTTAATAAAGGTACAGGAAATCAGACATTCTCATACCCTGATAGTAAGAAAACGAATGGATATACTCTCTTTGGATAGTAATCCTGTGAAAAGCCTTTAAAAACATACGTATCCAGAAATTCCACAAATTGTAATTAAGGATTCAATAAGTCATAGTCATAAAGAGTGTGTTACAAGGATGGTCACTGTAGTAGTATCTATAGTAATGACAAACTGAAAACAGCCAAGAGGTTAGAAGGAATTGGTTAAAAATAAATAAATAAAATGGAAAAAATCCTGGAAAAAAATGCAATTGCAGACCAAGATTTACCCTCTTAAAAGGCACTGGGCCAAAACAGCTTTACCTAATGAGATTTACTGAAGCCTCAGGAGCAGTTTATTATTTTCATATTTAAACGATTCCAGAACAGACAAAAAGATAGAAATGTTCTCACTTTGTTCACTTAGTATTTCCTGATATTAAAATTTTAACCAACAAAAGATACTATAAATAAAGTTAAAAGACAGCAAGCTAGAAAAATATTTACAACATCTATGACTGACAAAGGATTGATACCCTTAAAAGGGTTTACAAATCAAACTAATAATAGGAAAAAGGATAAAGGACACTAAAGAGAGAATGTACATAAGAAATACAAATAGGTATTAAATATATGAAAGCTTTACTACTAATAAAAATACACATTAAAACAAGATAACATATTTCACCTGTCAGACTAATGAAGATTAGAAAAAGTGATATATGTAGAGTGGGGAAGAATGTGACAAATGGGCTCACTCACATACTGCTGAAAGTGTAAGCACTATTCTTTGAGGATAACCTGGTAATATTTATAAAAATTCAAATATGTAGCCTTCCCTTTGATCCCATGATTCTTACTCATGCAATCCATCACGTAGGAATGCTCAAACAAATTTGCAAAAACAGTTATATAATATGAGAATGTCCATAGAAGCAGTGCTTAAAATAATGAAAAAATAAAAACATAAATATCCATCGATAGGCAAATCATTAAACAAATTATGGTACAGCCTCATAGTAGGCTACTATGCAGCAGTTAACTACGAGTGAGAAAGATCTCCTTCTTATGTAGTACAAGTCCATGACATTTTCCTAAAAAACATTAAACGTGATACCACTACTGTAAAAAAAGTTGTCAGTATACATACATGTATGTGTGTGAGAGTGTGAATGTATGTTTTCTACATACAGAAAACAATCTGGAAGGATCATACACTTTATAACTGTCACCTTCAATGTATGAGATTAGAGCGGGGAAAATTTTTTTTTAATTTTACACTTTTCTATATTATTTGTATTTGTTACAATAAGCACATACTATTGTAATTTGTAAAAGGAAAATAAAAATGTTTATTAAACAGCTAATTCTGGCCAACTGGGTTGTAGAGCTTACCTTTTCCAAGGACTCCTTCTCAACTCGAAGGTCAGTCAGTTCCTCCTCCAGGGATGTCACCTTGAGTTCCAGTTGTTTCCGGTTCTGCTTTTCACTTTTGAATTTGGACTGTGCTTGCTCAGAGGTTTCTTGGAGCTCTGGGATACAGGAGCAGAGAGACTTCGCTACAGAACCAAAGCTGTAATGGGCTATGTGTTATCCCAGCAGCTCTTTTTTTAAATTATTTTTTGGAGACAAAGCCTTGCTCCATCACTCAGGCTGGAGTGCAGTGGTGTGATCATAGCTCACTATAGCCTCCATCTCCTGGGCTCAAGCAGTCCTCCTGCCTCAGCCTCCCAGAGTGCTAGGATTACAGGCGTGAGCCCCTGCGCCTGGCCCCAGTGGCTCTTTCAAAGCCGCGTGCTTTGATTTCCCAATCCTACCACACAAGCAGCCTCTGCTCACTTCTTTCAACATCACCTCACTGACCAGCAATAAGATTTGTCAAGCCGTCAGCTGACTCCCTCATCAACCCATATTTATCCCATAGAAAGTCATCTCTGTGTATACATGTCACCTTCTCCACATACGAAATGGAAAGGACATGTTCCCAGCAGTCAGAAATGACCTTTGAAACAGATAACTCTCATAAGTCCATTTTGGCCACCATCTTAACACACTGGACCAATCATTGTTTAGTATTAGTCCAGGTTCTTTCTCACTGCTTGAGTAAGATAGTCTCAACTTTCTTGGTAGCTGGGACATTCTACCAAGAATTTGCTTTCAAAGCATCCCTTCTCAAATAAAGCTCTTTGAAATAAATAAAATTTGTTTGGGAAACTTTTGAGACTCTTATGACTCTTGAGGTAATTGTCATAAGGCACCACAAAAGCAGAAATGAGACATTTGAACAACATTCAAATCTAAGACTGTCTAACACATTTGCCTCATGTGGGCCCAGTCATGCTCTAAAAGGGAAGAGATGGGCTGGGAGCAATGGCCAATGCCTGTTAATCCCAACGCTTTGGGAGAACAGGGCGGAAGGATGGCTTGAGGTCAAGAGTTCACAACCAGCCTGGTCAACATAGTAAGACTCCTGTCTCTACAAAATATAAAAAATTTTTAAAAAAATAAAAGGGAAGGGATGTATCTTCAAGGTAGCACCTTACCAATTGACATCATTGTTTTTTAGTTCTCTATTAGGCAAATGAACTTTGCTTCCACCCAACTCTGCTGCTGCTCCAGCTACCCCCTGCCCACTAGTCCCATGTCTGCCTTCCATATTTGTTTCCATAAACCAAGGTAGATTAATCAACCTGCTGGTCTTCACAAATCTTCTATCCAATCACCATGTCTTGCCAGGCACTGAACTAACACTAATATGGAGGAGAGGACTTTACAAAGATGAGCAAAACACCATGCTTATCAAACTGTGATAAGGGTTATAATAATGCACTATGAGATAAAGGATTTTTTTTTAAAGAGATCAAATGTTCTAGAGAAAACTAGGAAAGCTTCTGAAAGAGGCAGATTTTGAAGAGGACTAAAAGCGAATATTGGTAATGGTGGGCATGTCAAGTCCAGAGAATAGCATGGATAAGAAGCAAGACAAGAACTACAGGATGAGCTGAAGAGCAGCCAGCAGGCTTGCTGGCATGGTCAGGGCCAGGATGAACTGGACAATATAACGGGAGACAAGCCAAGCAGGATGGGCCTTGAGTGTGAGGCTGAAGAGTTGCAATCCATCTTCTAGGAAAGAAGAAACCACACCAGGAAGCATTTCTTTTTTAAACTTCCACTGAGTCATGAGTTAGAACAACACATCAACTATTCCAGGCATTTGAAGCCAATCATAAGTACCAAAGATTTTGAAGCCAACACCTCCCCAAACAAAAGGGAACTGTGGCACTGATCAATTCCACATGAATAGTCAGTTCTTTTGCTGTTCCTTCTGTAAAACAATCATGTAGGTTTTATACTAGTCTCCTTTAATTTTTGGTGTAGTCCTTCAAAAACTTCATGAGCATCATGCCAAAAAAATTGAGAGGAAGAAAACAGCTTAATTCCTTGAGTTTAAATGGCAACAATCCCAGCATCCCCCACCTAGCACATACCTGAGAGCTTTGCCTGCACTTTGGTGAGCTGGCCCCTGAGAAGATCTGTCTCCTTCAGGCTTTCTGTCAGCTGCATCTGCAGCTCTGTTTCCTTTTTTTGGTGAGCAGTCATTTTCAGCTGCAGATGAGAGACCTGTGCAGTGGCCGCTGCTAACTCCTCTGTCACCTTGGCCTGAATAATAACAAAGTATGATGTCACTTTAAACATAGGTGTTCTCCATGCAGGTGATGAACCAACCTCACATAACTCTATGTAGACTGAACTAGTAAACAGGGAGTTATGGCTGCCTTCAACCTGCATTAAACCAAATTCAAATTATGGGGTGGACCATCTCTCCTATACAATTATATTACTACTACTATTATGACTCCTATACTATTATACCTATACCAGTATACTTAAAATTTTTTTTTTTTTAGAGATGGGGTCTCGCTCAGTCACCCAGGCTAGAGTGCAATGACACGACATAGCTCACTGTAGCCTCGGACTCCTGGGCTCAAGCAATCCTCCCACCTCAGCCTCTGGAGTAGCTGGGACCACAGGTGCAAGCTACTATGCCTGTCTCTATTATACCTTACATACATTTTCACAGTTGTCTATTTCCTTATTATCATTTGTCTCTTCTTACTGTGTTCACTGTACCCACTTGTTTTAAATATATTTATTCCTCGCCTTATTCCAAAGTCTTTATCGGTTTTATAGATTGCATTTAAAATCTGATATTTTGACTCTCCTAAAAAAAGAAAATAAAGGCCGGGCGCAGTGGCTCGCGCCTGTAATCCCACCACTTTGGGAGGCCGAAGCGGGCAGATCACGAGGTCAGGAGTTCGAGACCAGCCTGACCAACATGGTGAAACTCGGTCTCTACTAAAAATACAAAAATTAGCCAGGCATGGTGGTGGGCGCCTGTCATCCCAGCTACTCGGAGGCTGAGGCAGGAGAATCACTTGAACCTGGGAGGCAGAGGTTGCAGTGAGCTGAGATCGTGCCACTGCACTCCTGCCTGGGCAACAGAGCAAGACTCCATCTCAAAAGAAAAAAAAAAAAAACAAGAAAACAAAATTGTATATAAAATAAAAATAACATGCCACTGCTCTGCCTGTGGGGTAATCATTCTTTTATTCCTTCACTTAATAAACTTGCTTTCACTTTAAAAAATAAATAAATAAAAATAAATAGGCTATAAATGAGTATCTGAGAGTATATGTAACCTTTAGACTAAGCTTTAAGATACTTATTTTTGCTATTCAGTAGCCTTAGGTTTTCACCTGCTAAACACAGATGACAATGAAATCTAGAAGTTCCAGATATAGGAGTGGCTTTCATCTACTCATTGTCCTGCTTCAAATGGCCTAATGAAAACAAAACTAACTCAGAGCTCAGAGAGCTTTGCATCTATTCATAGCTCAGAGTTCACTAATAACAGAACATGCACCTCTCTCATAAGGACTTGCAGCAGCTAAAACACTGGAAGGGACAAATTCCAAAGGCGTGCCAATGAAATGCAGGGTTACTCTCTTGCTAAAGGTTAAGCAGAGTAGAAAATCACCCAAAAGCTCTTTTTATCTCAGGTCCTTAGCTAGAAAGGCCTCTCAGAAGCATAAAAATTAATGCTGTCCCCCAAATGTACATGTACACAGAAAATAAGGGAATGGATAAGATATTAATAATCATTATTTTTGAGTGGAAGGATTTATATTTTATGTTTGCTTATCTGTATTTCTAAATTTTCCAGACTGAACAGATGCAACTTTTATGATCAGAAAAAAATGTGTGTGTGTGTGTGTGTGTGTGTGTGTGTGTATAGGTGTACTTATAATTTTTTTTTAAGGTCAGGGTATAATCAAGTGAGAAGGGAAAACACAAAAAAATCTACACCCTGGTTCCTACCCTGGATCAAATTCTACTGCTGACATGGAGAGTGAGAAAAAGAAAGCAATGACAGGAAGAACTAACAGTTCAGAAAAACAGTGAAAAAAAGCATGCAAGGTAGAAGCAGGAAAATAGTACTCAAGAGAGATAATAATTTGACACAGGAAAAGGAATATAGCTGAATGGAAATGGGGTCCTATGCAGGTCTTTTACCCTTTCATTCTCTGATCCTTGGTCTGTCCCTGTAAAATAAAAAGGTTAAACTAAGAAGGCAACCTCTAATAGCTCTTCCAGTTTTAGCCATTATTCCACGATTTTTTGTGGTACTATTATATCACAGTGAAAAATAATTTCATTTACCAAATATTCATTGAGCCCTTAACCATACTTTTCTGAGCTGTGTCTGAAGGCAGAAAATTGCCTCCAGGGACAAAAGGACCTTGCCCATCTCCCTTTAAAAGGAGAGATCACCAGGAAAACTGTTAAGTGAGAAGTGGATCAAAAGAAAAAGAGGGGAGAGTCAAGGCTCAAAAAGTTTCATTGAAATAAAGATGATCAAGTAAAACATGTGGTACTTGGCATCCCAGTCATATGCATCAAGAGATTCCCTAAAAAATTTGTGTGAAACATGGTATCTATAACACAGTGGGTTGTGGCAGATATTAGCTGTGATTACTATTGTCATTATTACTTCTACTGTTTTGCTATTATAAATAGAGCATCTACTGGGTTCAGTGCATGGTATCAGACATCTCTGGGGTTTATCAACATGAAAACATTTGGGTAGATTATTGAGCTAATTCAGGGGCTGGCAAACTATGACCTATGAGCCAAACTGACCTATTATTTTTGTAAATAAAGTTTTATTGGAACACATACACACACAAAACAGTGCTTCTCAACATGAGAATCACATGCTGAACTTCTTAAAAATGTTGCCCCTCCAGAGATTATGACAAAAGAAATCACTGACAAGAGCAGTAATTCCTACACCTGGAATCTATAGGATCTTTTTAAAAGTTCAGATTCAGGCCCCAGCTAGATAAACTAAATTAGAATCTCTGGAGGTTCGGGATTTAAGAATATCTAGTTTTAATCAAGCACCCCAAGTAAGTCGGAGGCAGCCAGTGTTTGTGGACCACTGATCTGGAACAAGTTACAGTAATCATTTTAGCCCTGAATAGTAACTGTGAGGCCAAATAATATATTTAGATGCCCTTTATAAAGAAAAAACAAACAAGCAAACAAAAGGAGTAAAGGAAAGGAAGAGAAGAAATAAAAGTAGAGGAAGGAGAAATAGTAAAAAGTACATTTAGTGGGTGGGGAGTGGTGAAGTGACTTCAGTACTACCTAACGATAACAATGTTACAGGCTGCTGATCTTGACCTAGGCATTAGGAGTCAGTCACATAAATAAGAAATGGTATAAAGTAATGGGAACAGAACAGGGTCAGGATTGGACAGGGCTGTGCAGGATGAGGCACTGCTTGCCTGGATTCTAGGGCTAAGAGAAGACAAAGATTAGCATAAGACATAGTAAGGAATCCTCATTACAGAATATGAGAAAGTGAGTAAACTCCACAAGTTACAAGTGTGTTCAATCTAACTTTTCATGTTTTCAAGGAAAACACAAATACAAAATATAAACGAGTTCTAAACCTCTGAGAAGAAAGACAGTAGATGAAAAAGTCAGGATCTCCTAGCTGATGAGTGGTAGCCCAAACAAGAAGGAATCCATTCAGGATAAAGAACGTCACTGGAGCAAGGGGAGAAGCGAGCTTCAGAATCAGCAGATCCCAATCCAAGACCCACTACTTACTGCTACTGCAGGAACAGGTCAAAATTCCTGGTTTTGAAAGGATTGAAGTCAAACAGTAGTACTTTAAAATGCTTTGGCAGACACAGATGAAGGAGCAAACAATCTTAAATTCCACTAAAAAGAACCTACACATCTGTTACCTGGTATAAAGGAAATTTTCTGTTGATTTTGTCAACAGAATAAATTTAGTTTCTAATAAGCTGTGTAATTCTTAACTAATCAAATTACTAAGATCAGTGATTATTTTTGAGTCACCTTACTGCGAAGCATATTATAAAACAGAAATGTAGATGATGAATACATGAAAACCTGCTGGGAGATATCTAGTTCTTTTTGCAGTGACTGCAAAAATTCTGTTGGAAAGCCGACTGGTGAGTATGTACATGGGACCATTCCTTAGCTCTACCCATCCTGACCTGGGCTTTTCTCTCCCCAGTTGCTTTACCTTCTCTTGTTCAGCATGCAATACTCTTGCCTGTGTGTTTTCTGTGGCTGTCTGAAGTGAGTTGTTCCTCTTCTCCATCATCAGGTTACTCTGCTCAACATACCTGTGAAAGAAATAGAGAAAAAGAAAACATTTATCAAGCACTGAGTGTATGGCAGGCACAACCCAATGCCCATTCTGTCCTCACAACATTGCTGCTCTATACCTTTGTCAAAAGCAATTTGAAAGCATTTTCTTTTCCTTAGATCTGAAGTAGTGAGATCTAAGGAAATCAGGTTGGAAGCAGGAACCTGGGCCAGCAGTGAACTACCCTGAATAATGGAGAGGACAACAATGTGAATGGTGTGTGATAATGGGAATGAGTAGGAAAGAGACAGGAGTAAGGAGGCTATAAGAAAGAGGGAAGAAGAGAAAGCCACTCCCCCAGCTCTGTCATGTGGGAGACAAGAGACAGTGGAGAAGAGAAATATGGGAGAATGATTTTTTTTAAGTGAAATGCTGTGTTGTGATGTGTTCCACTCATCCTCCCCACCCACCCCTCCAAATCTTCAGAAGTATCTACAAAAAGTACAAAATCCTTAGGTCTTATATGGGAATCAGTGAAGTTTTGGCTGAGTTCTGATGGATAAAATAGAGTTAGCCCACACAGAAGAGAGAAGAGTTGACACCAGAGTTCTGTAAGTAATAATACCAGTTTTAAAGATAAAGAAACTAGGGCCAGCAGGAATAAATAACATGCCCAGAGCCACAGAATGAATGAGGGTCAGAGCAGGAATCAAACACAGGTCTGCCCTACATCACAGCCTACTAAGCTCCTTCTACTGCAATGCCTCTCAGAAAACAGGCAATAATTCACATGACAGGCAGGAAACAGAAATGGCAGAAATACATACGTACTGCCCTAAACAAATACGTGTACTTAAGCTGGGCATATACATAATAAACCCTTTTGTCCATCCTAGCCAGGCCCCGTACCTGTCATTACCTCTGATTTCGTTCAATTAGTTCACTAATCTTGTCATTCTGTTCTTCTATCCGATTGCTCTTTTCAAGGATCTCTTGCTTCAATCTTTCATTTTCCTAATTTCAAAATATATGATGTACAATTTAAGTGTCTTGGGAGAAAAGTGCCAGATAGAAGAGAATCAACTTGAACTGACAGGTGACATTGTTAACATGTTTTGAGACAAAACACTAGAACTTATGTCCACATGTATGTTAAAACAACACATCAGATTACACCTGATGGATACAAATCACTAGGTCCAATGGATTGAGTGAATAAATGGCTAAAAAAAGAAGTGAAATTCTGAAGTATGGTCAAAAAAGCAATGTTTCCTTCAGAATATATAGTGATAAGTCACTTGGACAGAATTAAGCCATAATGGATTTTCTAGAATTGTCTAACCCAGTGTAGCGTTTATCACAGGCTATTTCTGGGGTGGAGGTGTTAAAGAGTAGTACCTCTGAGAAGAGAGGATGGGTAAGACCTTCAGCCTGAGTGGTATGTTCTTAATCACCCTCACCTGAATGATTCGCTGGATGTTGCTCATAATCATGCTTGTTTCCATTGTAACTGACATGCTAGGAATAAGCATGGAATTGCCAGCACTATGTTTCTGTAACTCTTCAACCTACAAAAGGGATACCAGAAAGACCTTGTGAGAAATTATAAAATGAAGAAATACAATTTACCCAAGATTTGACCCTGTTGTTAAGGGGGTTAATGAGTTCCTGGGACAATCTCTAACTGTTAAGTTAGAGTTTTCTCCTACTAACTGGATCCCAACATAATTATAACTATCCTTGTAGGGAAATAACCTCTCACTACTACCAATGCAGGAAATCAAAGAAGAGTTTACCTACAGTTCTGGCTGCTCCCTGTTTACATCCCCACTTTCAACATCACCCCAACTCTGACTCAGTCACCTTAGTCATGAGATGATCCATTTTATCAGCCACTTTGCTGACTGCCATTCGAATTTCAGTGTTATGTTGCCGGGCTTCAGTCATGAGAAATGAAGCCATATCACCTGATCCTAAACAGATACAAGCCAAAAAGAAACTTATGAAACTGGAGCAGAGGAAACTGTATGAAGAAAAGCTAGTAGCTCTTCCAGTAAAGAAAGAAATTAATACTTCCATACACTAGGAAATGCTATAGGTGACTTCACCCTGTCAGGAGAAGATATATGGGAGAGAGTAGAGGCAAAAGGGCTTCAAAGTAAACAATAACTAAGCCGTGTTCCTGCAAAATGCATCAAGGGCTACATCTGGTCCAAGGGCACAAATATGCCCACTTTGCACTGCCACAGCACCGGCAGCTCAGATTACTTTCCCGTTCATCCAACTGTATGCCAAGCATTGTACCAGGTACCAGGAATACAGCAGTAAACAAAACACGGCTTCTGCCCTTGGTGAGCTCTCAGTCTGGCTGGGAGACTGACATGTAAACAAATCATTACAAGAGAGTGTATTAAGTGCAAAACAATGGACCATATACTAGGTATAAAAGTAGCACAGAGAAAAGCACGATTAACTCTTTGGTGACACGCGTACACAGTTGTGTTTGTGGGAAGAGAGGAAAGAGGGACAGAGAATAGTCAGGGAAGGCTTCACAGAGGGAGATGACAGTTTTGATGGATGAAAAAGCGTATCCCAGATGGAGAAGGGCAGAGCTTCCAGATAAAGGCTGCATTCAGGAAATCCTGACCAGTCCAGAACCACAAATTATGTTGCAGGACATACTGGCTTCTTCCTACCACTGTCCTAATACCAAAGCTGATTACTAAACAGAAGACTAATAGCAGAACAAGGCAGGATTCCATCATAGCAGTTTACACTTTATCTTGGTTTGATTTTTTTACATTAGATACTCACATTTGTACATGCATACAAAATATCTGAAAAGTTACCCAAGTAACTGTTAACAACAGTTTCCCAAGGTCAGGGGGTTTATGGAGGGGAAGGACAGTAACTTCACTTTACACCCTTTTGTACTGCTTGACTTTTTTATAAAAGTCTCTTATTTTCATAATTTAAAAATGTTAACAGAGTAGCTTTCATTAGAGATACTAAACACCTATAGTATTCAACTTTCTCCCAATTTCCTCCAATGTTTTGCTCTTTTACTATTTTCTCTAAACTCTAGCTACTCTAACAGAGGAATTAAAAGGGCCAGGGGAGAAAATCCAAGGAAAAAAACACAGAATGTGGACACAAGGAAACATTGGGGGATGACGGAAATG
Source organism: Homo sapiens (assembly GCF_000001405.40). Taxonomy (NCBI): domain Eukaryota; kingdom Metazoa; phylum Chordata; class Mammalia; order Primates; family Hominidae; genus Homo; species Homo sapiens. The sequence goes on from NC_000009.12 coordinate 113,186,014, forward strand.
TTCTAAAATAGGATTGTAGTGATGAATGCACAACTCTGCAAATTTACTAAAACACTTTTGAATTGCACATTTAAAATGAATGAATGTGTGGAATACATATTATATCTCAACAAAGCTGTTAAAAAAGAGAAGAAACAATGAGTAGAGAGCTGTTGGTGTGAAAATGAAGGAGGAGCAAGAAGAGGGAAAGCACAGCAAGAGCGGAAGATGAGAAACTGAGGGAATTACTCCCTACCTTGGAAATGGGGAGGCTGAGAGAGCGGTGCTGGGTACAAAGGCCGAACGGGCTGCAGCTGGGAGGTGACGGCAGATGCCTGGGGATAAGCGTAGGCTTGCATACCTGCATAGGGCTGAGAAACTGACGAGTTACCACTGGTTGATAAAACATTCATGTCTTTCTTTTTTGTTCACATTTTTCTTTGGTGGAATAAAGTGGATGAGCTGGGAGGAGACTCAAACTTACTGAAGCTAGAGATGGGTGAGATCTGGGTTTGGCAGTTGGTAAGGACTGCAGCAGGAGAGTTATCTATGTATCCCAGGGGAAACCAGTCACTAAAATCCTACCCAGAAACTGAAGAAAGTGTATCTTAGGTCACTACCCAGTCATCTGGTGAGATAATTAAGCAGGGATTCATTCCCCATTATCAGGCCTATTGTCTAAGAAGTTTTTAGATTAATAAACTCTGCTTAGCTTCCATTGAGTTTAAAGAAGAAGTGCTCACTGAGATTCCAAACCAAATCTGCCAATTTCCAAGGATGCCTCTCCCCTGCTAGATTCTGAAGCTAATCCACGAGACCAAGAGCTCTCATGTTCCTTTGAGTCTCGGTCACCTCAACTGTAAGAGGAAGATAATAATATCACTTCATAGGGCTGTTCTGTGGACTAAATGAAGTGAGATAGGTAAAGTTCTGAAAAGCTAGTAAGTTACAGGCCTGACAGATAGTAAGCGCTTAATAAACAGCAGCTTTTATTTTAATGAGGATGGTAATTCTTCCTTGAAATAAGGAAGTCTAGCTCATTTCCAGGGATAGATATAACTACGCATCCACTTAAAAAAAATTCTTAGTCTACAGCATAGTAATTCTCCATGGAGGAGAGGAGGGATGGGGAGAAAGAGGGCAACAGTGGGACTTTTTCCAGTTTCGAGACTCCCCATGTTAATGAGGCATAGCCTATCCACCATCATTCCCACACCTCCATTAAGCATCACAAGGAGTGAGCAGCTGTTCCCAGTGACAGTATGCCTTATCCACCAAGTGTGTTGAGGCAGAAGAAAGGGTCTGCTACCCCTGGCAAACAGGCTGCTGCCATTGTTTTCTGTGATAACAGGAAAAAGGCCTTCTTTAAGAAAAGTTTACTAGATAGCAGAGTCAAGCTACATTTTCCACATGGTTCCACTTTTAAACCATACCATTCTGCTGAATATACTGCAGAATGTTAGCCTGCCAACTTTTAGTAGAAAAGAATACAGAAGAACGCGAATATACACGCTTCAACTGGATATGTGTGAAAAGAAAAGGAAACAAACATTGATTGCATCTTTACTACGTTGTACTAGGGGCTCTACTTGTTCTTGCATTTAATCTTTATGACACTGGAACGTAGGTTATCCTTTGCCTGGTTTAGAGATGAGAAAGTGGTAACCAAGGAAGGGAAAAAAATTACAAACTCTGACTTTGGGGAACTGCTACTGTATGAAATGTACAGGAAGAAGAAAAGAGACTGACTAGAACCACAGCAAATTATAGGATATAATTAATACGGTTATAAAATGTTACCTGAAAGGATTGGGCATTTCCAGATACAGCTGAGTGGGAATCGAGAGATGACACTTGCATTAAGGCAGCAGAAGGTGCCTGGAGCCCAGTAACAGATGGCTGAGGTGCTAAGATAAAGGGAGACATTTTCACTGTTATCCACCCTTGCTTCTTGGTGTGAGTCTAGACTAGCACCTTACATACTATCATGCTTCAGACTCAACTATTTTCCTTGCCTAGTCTCCCTACACTCAGCTCTACTGCAATCTCAGGAATGAGCCAGTGGAAGGAAACTGGGTGCTCTCATGTGCTTCTGACTCAGCCCTAGGATCCCACCCGACAGGAAGTGCAGAACACACCCAGGGAGATGTCTCAATAGCTGAGTGCAGATTTCCAAAACTGACAGTGCAACACAGCAGAAGTCACAACCAGCAGCCAGGTCCATCTCTGGGTATGAAAATGCCTTACCCAGGGACAAACTGACAAGCGTCACACTCTTACATTTACACTTTAGTCCTCAGTACTGAAACAATGCAGCCTAACAGTTTAAGGAACAGTGACGATAATTTTCATGCTGACCCAGTTCAAGGCCACAGAGCCTCAGAGAGGTTCCTTACCCTGTGAGGTCATCTGTGGTAACGCTGGATGGGCCGGATGAAGAGAGGGCTGGACGGACGGAGTCACCACAGGCTGCCCACCTCCTTGCAGAGTGTTCACATCCTGAAACAGGAACAAGCGTTTGGGTTACTCTGTACGGGGTCCCTCATTGAAGACTGAGGCTGACTGTCTGCCCTAAACCTGCTTCCAACACAGGATTTCTAGGCAAAGAAGAGGAAGGAAAGGTAAGCGGAAGGCCAAGAGTTGAGGGTGTGGGTTGTGGAGAAAAAGCACTCTGCTATGCAATAAAGTAAGAGTCCTTCTCCCTATAATCATATTGAATAAGTAAATATAGTTAATTTCCACAAATATTCTCAGAGGTTGATGTTCTATTGTCTGAAGCAGCTAAACTAACCACTCTTCAGAATGTATCATTTTCCAAGCCAGTAACTGCCTTAAGACAAATCTAATCTATTCCCACAAAAAAAGTGGTCTTTTGCAAGAAATAATCCAGCCTCTTCGCTTCTTACAAATCATCCCCATAGTCCTCAAGGTACTCAATGAAAATCAGATAACGTAGGATTCACTGCACCTGATTAACATGCTGTTTTTGGATAATATAGTTTTAGGATGTTTTTCCAACATTCTTTATTTTCATAAAACCAAAGCTTTTCATAAAATCAAAGCTATAACTCTAAACAAAGTTATTCTACCTCCTGCTTCATATAAGAAACAGAAAATCTTGAGGCACAATATACAGTGACTGTAATCTGCTATGCTATAGTTCAAAGACCAAAGTTTCAGACATTCTTTTACTTTAGAACTTCACCTTGTCCCCTTATATTCTCTTCTAGAAAAACATCCCAGTTTTAGATTTCTACAGCTCTTAACCAACCTAAATGTCTAATAACAGAGTGAAAGGAATTATAATAAAATGATATAATGGAACACTGGGTTTCCTTTAAACCACTTTATTTACTTAAATCATTTATGTTAATGTAAATGTTTATGATACAACATTAGGTTTAAAAATCAGGTTACAAAGCAATATATAAAGATGAATGCCCTTTTTGTTCAATATGTTTCTTTTCTATAATTTTAAATTATTCTAAAATGAATAAGTAGCACATAAAATTTTTAATAAAAATATTCTTATTTACACTGCATTTCCAGACCAGAAAAAAATAATCCTATAACAATAGGCCTCAGAAATCCTATCTTCCTTTAAGATGTTAAATCTACATAGAGCTTTTCCAAGAAATAAAACAAAAATGTAAAATATAAAGTATATTCCAGAAAAAATTTTTTCAAGACCATCGCCCTTTCCTTGTTTTCTATCAAAGTAAAAGAATACTAAAAATCAGTCTAAGTTATATATTTCACTTCAATTGAGAAAGGACGATTATATTCAATAAAGAACTAACCACTAGAGAAGAATTAAGTTAAAATTAAGTTACTTTATAGCATACACCAAATTCCAAATGGATTAAAAATTTAGATCTAATTATAAAATATTGATCAATATCTTTAAAAATACATGTGATATTTATAATCTGAAAGTGGAGAGGCTTTCTAAGCATAATGTCAAAAGCAAATAACAAGGGGAGAAAATTGACAGACTTGAATTCAATAAAATTATTGAACTTCTAAATAGAAAACAAACACAAGAATACCACATACAAAGTCAAAAGACATACTAGTTGGAGCTTTAGTGATAGGCAACATCAGCGAGAAGACCAACATTTCCCAAAAGAATCTAAACATTCGCTCAATAAATATGAATTGAACACCTGCTATGGATTGGGCATCATGCTGCCCAGAGAGTGATCTTTAGTAACAACAGAGATTCTAGTAAAGAAGGCTAAATTAACTACTGAAAACTGCCCAGTTCTTGTAAAAGATCTACAAAATTGCTTCCATCTCTCAGGGAAGTACTAATCACAGTAGAAACACATGTACCAATACCAATCTGTATCATTTTGCATATTAGCTCTCTAAATAATGATTCTGCCTTAGAGAAAAAACAATCACTCCAACCAAATGAAAAGAAAGATGATGGCGACATCTGTACTATTCATTCTAATACAGCCAGGGGGACATACTTCGATTTCTGAATCATTGGAATCCAGCTGTGGTGGAAGGATGGGCAGCATGGGCTGGCCCATTTTAGCCATCCGAGAGATCAACTTGGCTTTGACTGCATCGGGACTCTAAAAAGAGAGGAAAGTCACAAAAATCACTGTGATTAAAGCTCATCACCTTCAGGCAGCTCTATCCCTTTGGCTCTTGTATCAAATCCTTCAACAAATCCCCCTACCATATCTATTTAAAAACATTTCCTCTAGAAAATGAGAAAGATTTCTTGCATAGAAGTATACATGGATCACAATTAATAGCAGTAAAAATAATTCCCTGTATCTTTGGAATGGACAAAGTGGTTTCACATACATTGCCTCATTTCAATCAAGTCTCCCCAGCAGGCATAATTAGTCTCATTTTACAGATGAAAAATTAAAGTGAGATGTTAAGAAAGGGAGGCATTTTAGGTGACAGTACCCTCACTCAAAACCCTGAAGCAATTCGGTAGATAATTCAGAAGAGATCTGTGGAGAAAAGGAAACAGGAGCTCTTTGTTTTAACTTCAGGTTCACTTAACTATGACTTGGCATTAACTACCCATTAGACCCTGTGCTAGAAGCTTCCATTAACTGATCCAAAATTTCAGAATGGCAAGTAAGTACACCTGAAGGTGCACAATATGAGCTATTGGGTATAGAAGGAAATGATCATAACCTCCATTTTTATTATTATTACTTTTTTTTTTTTGAGATGGGTTCTCTATCACCCAGGTTGGAGTGCAGTGGCGTGATCTCGGCTCACTGCAACTTCCATTTCCCAGATTTAAGACGTCTTCCCACCCCAGCCTCCCAAGTAGCTGGGACCACAGGCGCTAATTTTTTGTATTTTTGGTCGAGAAAGGGCTTCGCCATGTTGCCCAGGCTGCATTTTTATTATTTTTAAGCTATCAGTGTAAGACACTGAGTTTGCTTACAGGGATTGGTGGTACTTTATGTACATAATTTGTCAATAAACCTATACTGGGAGTGTGTGCTTATTTTTTCGTAACTGATGATGTATCCAAAAAAAGTTGGATACATCAGGAAAGGACTAGTTATATAGACCTTATGCACACAATGGAATATTGTGATATGCAGATTAAAATGAGGAAGCTCTCTATACACCAACATGAAAAGATTCTGCATTATATATATATATAATATAAATTATATATATATAGTTATATGGAAAAGGCAAGGTGCATTACATACAGAGTATGCTACTTTGTGTGTGTGAAAGGAGGGAGGAATAAAAAATACATTTCTACTTGTGTGCACCTGCATAAAGAAACACTGAAAGAATATATAAGAAACTAATAAAAGCAGTTACCTAAGGGGTGTGAGATGGAATAGGGTAGATAAGGACAGGAATAGGAGTGAGTCCTCACAATGTAGATCTTGTTATATTGTTTTGATAACTGTGCCATATAAATGTAATTACCTATTCAAAACAAAAGATAAAAACTAAAATGGAAAAGAAAAAGAAAAAGAAAGGTGGTTAATTTCATGTAACGTGAATTTTGCCTCCATTAAAAAAAACAAATTTGTTTAAAAAAAAAAAGAGAAGAAAAATAGTTGGAGGCCATTAGTCTGCTAGAAGTTACTATAGCCTTAGAAATAGGTAACGAGTTGTTATGACTACAGAGTACAATGGAACCAATATTGGACCATTTTTGTGACTGTTCAAAGATCTGAGATAATAATTATTCTTAAATTTTCTTCTGATTCTTTGATTTAACCTTCTGGGTTTAGGAGATCACTTCAAAACAATTATTTGCTTAATAATTCCTGTTGGATTGAATATAAACAAGTAAACTAGGGTTGCAGAGATATTAGCACCAATTTCACTCCATGCAACTATTCTGTTTCCCAGTGCAATAGGTGAAGGCCACAGGGCTTTAGAATTTGAAGTGCCTCAGCCACTGTCTGGTCCACAGGCAGCAAACTCAGAAGCCTTCACAGACCAGGCAGGCCAGCAGCAAACTACCATATGCATCCTTCTTAAAGGCATTCAAATCCAGATTTTACTAAAACAGCATGCTGGCACTCTCGTCTTACAACTGGGGAAACACAGAGGCTCAGTGACCTGCTCAAAGTCAATCAGCTGGTGAATTAGTACAGAGCTCCTCTGTGAGAATGAAAGTATAAAGATATGTAATGTTAGCAATACTTATGATAATAACAAGAGCTAATGTTTACTGAGCGCTTACAATATGCCAGACACAATACTAAAAACTCCATAGGCATTATTTTATTTACAAGTCATAAAAATCTCTTTGAGATAGGCAATATCTCCATTTTACACATGAGGAAATAAACATGAAGCTTAGAGAAGCTAAATTAAGGTCACAGAAAGCAAGTAGAAGAGACCGTCTAGGATTAACCACTAACACAATCCTCTGAATAAATAATACTTCTAAAATTGAAGTGCACTTTAACTGAGAGAGGCTCCTCCGTCAGTTGAACACCAGTCTCCTAAATCCTAATAATAATCACGGTGACCACTTATTAAAGACAAACTGAACAAAGGCTCTGAACTCAGCACTTTACAAATTATCTCTAATCCTCACAAAAACTGTAAAAAGGGACTATGAGTTCCTTTTAACTAATGAAGAAGCTGAGGATCACAGAAGTTAGACAATTTTCTCAAGGCCACATGCTTATAAGAATCAAGATTTGAATCCCTATGCAGAAGCTGAGGCTAACTTACACTGACTCCCAAGTAAGGGGAAATGAACAAAGTAACCATTGATTTAGCCTAGAAACTTTTTAGCCTCTTAACTTTTTTTTCTCTAACCTACCATATCCTAAGCACATAAAACCTCAGCACACTAGGAGTGAGGGAGAAAAACACTTTTTTTTTTTTTAAAGGAGAGACGAGGTCTCACTATGTTGCCTAGGCTGGTCTTGAACTCCTGCACTGTAGTGATCCTCCTGCCTCAGCTTCGCAAAGTGTTAGGATTACAGGTGTGAACCACCATGCCTGGCCAAGACTCTTATACTTACTGTATTTATTGCAAGTTGTTCACTGAGGGAGTTAGATTTGGTACGAAGAGCTGGCTCCCTGAAAGCAAATAGACCATATTCCAAGATTGAAAACAAAATCCAGAATCACAAGTCCAAATTATATTGGATAAGCAAATTGTTTTTTTAAATGTGTGCCAATTTAATGACTGTAAAACAGAATTTTAACTCTTCTTTAGTTTGCATAATCTTTGAATGCTAGTAAAGATGAACAACTTTCCATCCAAATGCTTATATTTACATTTTTTCCATGAGTATATAATTTTGTATTTATGCCCTTGGCTTAGTTTTCTTCCAGAATTTTATAAGTATTCTTCTGAGTTAGTGCTTTTGTGGCCTATGAATATTAAACCTTTGTCAGAAAAATCTGATGCAAGTATCTTCCCCATTTCCCTGATCCCATTTTTTCCAGTTATTTAAAATTATTTTAGTTTTTAACTATATCTCTATTTCTGAACCCCTCTAAGAATCATTTTTATGAGCCATAAAAGAGCTTGATACAACTGCAGTATCTTACCCTGATTTGAAAGGTATTGATGTGGGTGGTGACACAACAGGATCAGCAGAGAGGTTGTCAGCACCAGGGATGGGAGACGGAGCTGCAGAATCGCGGGAACTAACACTGTGACCATCAGAGCCAGAATCTCTGGCAAACTTCACCTAAGGAAACACCGCATATTCTCACTCATAGGTGGGAATTGAACAATGAGATCACATGGACACAGGAAGGGGAACATCACACTCTGGGGACTGTTGTCGGGTGGGGGTAGAGGGGAGGGATAGCATTGGGAGATATACCTAATGCTAGATGACAAGTTAGTGGGTGCAGCACACCAGCATGGCACATGTATACATATGTAACTAACCTGCACAATGTGCACATGTACCCTAAAACTTAAAGTATAATAATAAAAAATAAATAAATAAATAATAAATAAATTAAAAAAAAAAAAGAGTCATTGCAGGTGGAATAGGTTACAAATACCCTTCCCCTTTCACCCTCCTTTCATTTTACTTATTTTTCCTTACACAAGCCATTACCTGTTCACTGTAGGCAAATCAGAAAATGTAGCTCAGCCAAAAAGACAAAGGTAGCAATCACCTGCAATCCAACTACCATTATATTATCTGTGTCTGTATATACCTTTTACAAAAATGGGCCATGCTGTTTTGTAACCTGTTTTGCTCACTCACTGACATATTAACCTATTTCCATGTCATTAAATATTAATTTGCAACATTATTTTTAACTACTGAAGAGTATATTTAACTTCAAGGGTCAGCCCTTCACTGTTATGATCTATAGGAAAAAGTATCCAAAGGATTTTAGGAACTAAAGTCATAAATATCTATGCTATTAAAAAGTATATTTCACCAATTCCTCACTGTTAGACATTCAGCTTATTTCTATCATAAACAATGCTTCCATGAATAGCTTTGTATATGTATTTTTGTATATAATCTTAAATATTTCCAAACTATAAATTAAATTTTAGTTAAATATTTCCAAACTATAAATTAGTTAAAATTGTTGGATAAAAGGGATGCTCATTTTGAAAGCTTTTAACCCATTTATGCCAAGTGTTCCATTATTGGAACGCTAAGCTTGTGGGAGTTATTTATATCCTACTGCTCAAGGTCATCACCAAGGTCTGATTTTTCACAAAAAAAATTTGCAACCTCCAGCATAAATGGGTTAATATATACCATTAAATTTCCCACCACAAAGAGTGAACTAGTTTATACACCACAGTAGTGTATAAATCTTTCTGAACACTCTTGCCACATGGGGTATGATTCTCTACCAGCCTTGTGAATTTAATATGCATATCGATTTGTCATTCTTTGATTATTGGTAAAACAGAAAATTTTTTGTTTCTCGTGCCAGTCATGATAAGACTCAAATTGGTTTGTTATCTATCACCAGCCATGATTTCTTCAAACTCAAAGGAAAATTGACAGAGAATATAAAAGCTGTAAAAAAGAAAAAAGGCAGCAGGGCGTATGTCATTGAAAGAAGGCTAGAGTGGCCCAGCAGGATGAGAGTGTCCAGTTAGGAACAGTTAGGAAAGCGTCACTGAGAAGGGAAGCACATCCTTTCTCTGTGACAGGTGTAAACAGCCACAGTGAAGATGACCATAATATTCCCTATTTGTATTGTATTTTAGAGTTTATAGTAACAAATCCTATCACATTTGAACCTAACAAACAGTATAAAGCCAACAGGATCATTCTGGGCAGGGAACAGGTAGTATTAAGTTGACTAAGCACAATTTGTTGCATAGAAACTATATATATTCATGTTAAATTTTTTATATGGTACAAAAGGTACAGTGACAAAAAGTAAAACTTTCTGAACTCCATTTCCATTCTACAGAAAAAAAATCACTTTTAATGATTTCTTTTAAAGCTTCCAGGAATTTTCTATGAATATATGAGCATATATGTGTGTATACACATACATGTACATATGACTATGTATATGGATATGTATATACGTATACACACAGACACACACACATGCACACACACACACGCACATATGAGACCATACTATCCACAATGTTCTGCAACTTGCTTCCTTAACAATAGATTTTTCATATTCTTTAAGAGCTACATAAAAATCTATGAAAAAAACATAATTTAACCAGTATCTTAATGATGGACATTTAGGTTGTTGCCAGTTTTTTGCTATTACTATGTGGCAGAGGTAGTCGTAGTAAAACGTACACACACACAATCTTTGCATACTTATGTAAAGATATCAAGATAATAAGTTTGTAGCCATAAAATCACTAAGTAAAAAGAATATACACTGGGCAGGAGTTACTATTTTATAGACAAAATAAAAATCTTAGTGTGAAGAAGTGACTTTTTTTTTTTTTTTTTTTTGAGACAGAGTCTTGCTCTGTCGCCCAGGCTGGAGTGCAGTGGCATGATCTCAGCTCACTGCAATCTCCGCCTCCCAGGTTCAATCAATTCTCCTGCCTCAGCCTCCCAAGTAGCTGGGACTACAGGCGCATGCCACCACGCCTGGCTAATTTTTTGTATTTTTAGTAGAGATGGGGTTTCACCATGTTAGCCAGGATGGTCTCGATCTCCTCACCTCGTGATCTGCCCACCTCGGCCTCCCAAAGTGCTGGGATTACAGGCGTGAGCCACTGCGCCCGGCCGAAGATGTGACTTTCTTAAAGTCACAACCACTTCTAGACTCTGAATAGAGAGCCAGGAAGGACATAATACTTTGGTCCTTAGATTTCAAAGCTGTTGCTATTTCTGACTACTCCATTTCTAATTTTTCAAAGAAATCTATGCCTTCAGAACCTGGTTTTCAAGTATCTTCATTTATTTATTCATTTTGTGTAACTAGCAAAGAGACAGGCAGAGGACTCATCAAACAAAACACAGAGAGTTTCACTCACCCGCCTAACCTCCACCTCGAACACCAGGATCGAGTCCGTTGCTTGAGTCCAGCCTATTACCCCTTCTGAGCCAACAGCACAGGCTGGAGGGACAATAAGCAATCGCTTTCCTCCTTTTTTCATGCCCAGCATTCCATCCTCCCAGCCCTTTAAAAATCAGATAGGAAAAGCTCATCAAACAAGAAGCTCCTCAGAAGACAAAGTGAAGTACAGGAGCAACAGGTTTCACTTATCCACACTTTCACGTTTACTCAGTGCCTCCAGAGGTCGGGTCTGACTACTGCCCCATGTTGGTATAAGAATATCTAGAATACACCCTCTAAACCTACTTGTAAAAGCAGGCATATCTGGGGTTGCATGAAATATACTTATCTTAGATGATGAGAGAAAATGGGAGGAATAAAAGAACAGCAGTAAGAGAGAAAGAAAAGCTATCATTAAAAAGCATGTTTTTGGCTGGGCACAGTGGCTCATGGCTGTAATCCCAGCACTTTGAGAGGCTGAGACGGGTGGATCACCTGAGGTCAGGGGTTCGAGACCAGCCTGGCCAACATGGTGAAACCTCGTCTCTACTAAAAATACAAAAAATTAGCCAGATGTGGTGGTGCGCTCCTGTAGTCCCAGCTACTCGGGAGGCTGAGGCAGGAGAATCGCTTGAACCCAGGAGACAGAGGTTGCAGAGAACTGAGATCGTGCCACTGCACTCCAGCCTGGGCGACAGAGCAAGACTCAGTTTCCCCCCACCAAAAAAGAATGTTTTCTAGGAAGTGTGGAAAATGCTTTACATGCATGATCTTGTTTAAGCCCCTCCAAAAACTTCATAAGGTTGTCAGAATTATCCCCATTTTACTTCAATAACTGAAGCTCGTGGAGATTAAGTAACTAGCCCAAGATCACACAGTTAGTAAGTTGTTAAGCTAAGATTCAACATTAGATCTGTCTAGGTTCAGTGATCATGACTTAACTGCTAAGATCTATGGGAAAAAGTCTCCATAGGATTCTGGGAAAAGTGGTCATGAAATGATGGAGAGAACCTTTTTGCCACACAGATGAATGAGTACAGCATGATGCACCATCACTACTATGTCCTGACACCATAATATACCACATGTGTAAAACATTCTTTATTTTATAAAACACCTGCACAGTTAATAAAGAAAAAATTCACAACTTGAACCCAAGTTCTCGGATTTCAACCCCAGTGCTCCTCCTGCTGCTGTCACAGTTGCCTTCTACAGTGATTGGAAAGTGCTGATTCAAAGCAATCCAGACAGATGAGATTCAACCCTTTATGATAAGTTTCGAGAAGAAACTGTCTCACTTTTTCCCCTGTTAGGCTATAGGAAGGATGAAATAATATTCTCAGAGTCATAGAATGGAAAAGAAAAGGTCAGGACTACAGAAAACAATTGTAACCATCTTCAATGTAGTGTCTCATAGATAAAAATCTCCCAAATGCAATGTAACACATTTTCCCCTCGTATTCTTCATCCAGGCATTTCCAGATGTCAAAAAGATAACCTGATTAGAAATTCCACAGGCCGGACATGGTGGTTCATGCCTGTAATCCCGGCACTTTGGGAGGCTGAGGCGGGTGGATCACCTGATGTCGGGAGTTTGAGACCAGCCTGACCAACATGGAGAAACTCCATCTCCACTAAAAATACAAAATTAGCTGGGTGTGGTGGCGCATGCCTGTAATCCCAGCTACTAGGGAGGCTGAGGCAGGAGAATCGCTTGAACCTGGGAGGTGGAGGTTGCAATGAGCCAAGATCGTGCCATTGCACTCCAGCTTGAACAACAAGAGCGAAACTCCGTCTCAAAAAATAAAAATAAAATAAAAAAAGGAATTCCACAAAATTTAATCTAAGTTAAACCCACTGCAACTGATAAAACCATAAAAAAACACAGTTAAGCCTTTACCTTGATGACTTTTCCTGATCCTAACTTCAAGCGAAGCAACTTATCTTTGTTAGCAGTGGAGTCGAAAACCTGCAATTTGATCGAAGGAAATTAGGCCAGCCAATTTCAAAAATAATAATAACCATTATGATATTCAACTAACTACATACCAGCACACTACTTCTGGAATAGGGAATGTCAAATATACTGGGAAGATAGTTTCTAAAGGACCTGAAATATTAGCCCACATCATAGCTAAAGGGTATTATAATGAATATCTCTGAAACAGTAATTTTCCAGGTTTAGAAAAAAAACACATTACTACAACTGTGTATTTAAGCATTTTTCATCCACAATACACTTTCAAATAAATTATCTCATTTTGATGCTGACACTAACCCTGCCGAGTAAGCAGAGCAAGATCATTAGCCTCCATTCACAAATGGAAAAAAATAAGAGTATAAATGACTTGATCAAAGTCAAATTAGTATATAATTGGATCTCTAATTCAGATTTTTCTAAACTCATAGTCTAAAGGTCTTTCTCTCATATAATATATTGCTTTTAAGGGCTCAATAATATTAAAACACAGTAAGTTCAATGTATTTACAGTATCTACTATAAGAAAAACTATAAGGAGGGTCTAAAAAGAAGTTTTAAGACTTAATCCCATAAGAATATATTCAAGTGTAAAACTGGTATAGGAGGACAAGACATACACATGAACAACTAGCAAAAATAATAGTACTGGGGAAATTGGTTCCCACTTTCCCTAAGTAGAAGTGACAGGGTGGCACTGAGGATCTTTTACACATTCACATTTCATAATATGCCCCCAAAGCAATTGCAGTGTCTAAAGTGGGGATCCTAAAATATTTCTATTTGACAACAGCAGCCGTTCACAGTAATAGTATCTTCCCTGGGAATAGCCCTCATGCTATATAAGTTTACAAAAGAACTTGCAGGGTGCATTTTCTTACCTGGCCCAGCACATGATTCTGAAAGAGCCAGCCGGTATAGGCCACTTCCAAAGAATCTCCAACTTCTACAGCAGGGCCGTCTGCCACAATGAGGTCCTGGGAGAGCACTGCATCCAGGGAAGAGGTACTGTTGCACTTAGCAATGCACACCTGCAAGACAAAATCAAAGCAGCATAAATGTAGTTTAAGCTCAATAAGTACTCATTCCTTTATTGCTACTGCTCTTTCTCAAATAGCTTCATCCACTAACAAAACAGATTACATGTTTAGAAGTAAACCAAACGGAAGCCAGTTATCTTGCCAGGGATCAAAGTGCCTAGGAGTATGGCTTTGCAGTCAGAATGTCTGGGTACAGATCCAGGCACTGCCACTTATTAACTTTGTGACCCTAGCCAAATAATCTCTATGTACCCAAGATGGAGATGATGCTTCACAAATCTCATAGGATGGTTATGAAAATTAAATGAGCTAATATAAGTAGAGTACTTGACAAGGTACCTGGCAAATAATAGTAAGTACTTAATAAACATTAGCTATTGATGATGATACTGATTTACTGTTTCAGTGTTTGGGAACCTAGGAAAGAAAGGGGAGCTTTGAAAAAACGTCAGAAGGCACTTCTAAAGACTGCAGTAGAAAGAAGGGCATTTAAAAAATCATGTTGCATTCCCAGAATCCACATCAATACTATCTACAGATTTGGCCATATTATCTTAGCACAAATCTTAGACAAAGGAGTCAGGGGCATCTTTGTGAATAATTATTCTATTCTATTTATGAATAATTATTCTTGGGCTTGTGTTTTAATATTATTAAGCCCTCAAAAGCAATATAGTATGAAAGATCTTTATGAGTTTAGAAAAATGTGGATTTGAGACCCAATTTTATCAGTGTTTTAACATAGTATCCATTAGGAACTTGCGGCTCATTTTCTTTTAAAAAGTTTCAGAGGCTGGGTACGGTGGCTCACACCTGTAATCTCAGCACTTTGGGAGGCCGAGGTGGGCGGATCACAAGGTCAAGAGATCGAGACCATCCTGGCCAACATGGTGAAACCCTGTCTCTACTAAAAATACAAAAATTAGCTGGGAGTGGTGGTGTGCGCCTGTAGTCCCAGCTACTTGGGAGGCTGGGGCAGAAGAATCGCTTGAACCCGGGAGGCGGAGGTTGCAGTGAGCCGAGATGGCACCACTGCACTCCAGCCTGGCGACAGAGCAGGACTCTGTCTCAAAAAAAAAAAAAAAAAGAGTTTCATTATTGTAATCAAATAAAAACAATGAGGCATCATTTTTTTTTTTTTAACCAAGTGAAGAAGACCAAAAGAAAAAAAGGATCATTCTAAATGCTGGCAAAGGTACGATGAGAAAATTGATATAAATGTGAAATAGTACAATCTCTCTGAAAAGCAGTGTGCCAAAGTGTATTAAGAACCTAAAAATATCTGGACCTTTTGACCCAATCACTCACTTACTGAAATAAAGCTTATGGAAATATGTAGGGGGGAAAAAAGGACAGACTTCTATAAAAAATGCTCACCACGGTATCATTTACTGCAGAGACAGAAAACAATCTAAATGCACAACATAAGGTAATGATTACATCAATTAAGAAACAAATGTTATGGGCTGAATGTTTGTGTCCCCTCCGAATACTTACACTGAAATCCTAATTCCCAGTGTGACAGTATTAGGAGGTGGGGCCTTTGGGAAGTAAGTAAGCCAGGAGGGTGGAGCCCTCATGAATGGGATTAGGGACCTTATTAAAGAGATACAGAGAACTCTCTCACCCTCTTTCTACCATGTGAGGATACAAGAAGAAGATAGTCTGCAACCCAGAAGAGGGTCTCACTAAAACCCGACCGTGCTGGCACCCTGATCTCAGACTTTCAGCCTCGAGAACCGTGAGAAATAAATTTCTGTTGCTTAACCAGACTATGGTAATTTGTTACGGTAGCTTGAACTGACAACATGCATATTATGCAGCCTTCAAAAATGTTTCCAAATAGTTTTTCATGAGGTAGGAAAAGATGAATTATACATTTTTAAATAAAATAAGCATGATAAAGAACTATTAAAGGACTGTATCTACTTATGTATATTATGCATAGAAAAAAGGAAATATGTTAATAGTGGTTACTTTGAGTAGTAAGACTATGAGTGATTTTTTTTAATGCTTTTCTAAATTTTCTACAATGAGTATGTAGTAACTTAACTCTCTTTCTTGCTCTCTCTATCTCTTTCTCTCTCTTTCTTTCTTTTCTTGTACAGATGGGGTTTCACTATGTTGCCCAGGCTGATCTTGAACTCCTAGGCTCAAGTGATCCACCTGCCTCGGCCTCCCAAAATGCTGGGATTACAAGCGTGGCATGAACCACCACACCCAGCCTAAAACATTCTTTGAAAACACTATTTTTTAAAGATAGTTTTATTTATTCCTTAAGATAATTTATGTAGTAGAAAATTTTTTAATATAATAAGATTACATTTAGTCTTTCTCTGTTAAAAAAGAAAAAGGCTAAATTGTCAAGCAGTTTCAGTAAGTATTCCTATTATTTTCCTGAAATCATACAATAGGCCGAAGTGGCAAATTTAGTGGGTTTTTTATGCTAGTCACTAACAAAACACAGCAGATTATGGGTTTTCTATATGTTTCCCTAAAATTAAGGGAAATCCAAACAAGTATTTTGGCTTTTCACAGGGAGAGTAAGATGTTATCACCTGCTTATTGAACTCCACAGCAGCCTTTTCCGACTCAAACATGATGGACCAGTTCTGTCTCTGGTCATCATAAAAGGTGCTATAGTTATTGGGCCGAACCTGGAGAAAGGAGAAATGTTAAATTCATCCACAAGCAGTATTATACCAGATAAACATGACGGCCTAAGCTCATAGAGTAGGGTCTTGACTCAGGTGGACCCAAAGGGAACTATCAGAGATCTTTCTTCTTCCCTCTCACCCTCTACGATTCACCCTTCAGTCCACATTCCTAGAAGGAGCCAAGAGACCTTTCTGAAAGGTTCTGTTAGATACTCACAAGGACACCCAGGGCTGAACCAGTGGATCTAATTTCTATTAGGTACAATCAGACCAGTCTCTCCTGTAAACCTATCCCGAAGGAGCTAATGATTCCAATATGATGAAGTCTTACCATTAGCTCAAAGTTCACATGAATCCTAGCAACCGTAACTGGCTGTTGTTGACTGATATAAAGAAGAATCCTATACTGTAGACAAGCAACGACAGATAGAAAAAAAAAAAGAGAGACAGCAGAAGTTAAAAGGCAATATAAAATCAGCAATATAAAATCAGCAATAAGTATCAAAGGTTGTGCTTCATACTAAACTCAAAATCTATTCATCCTTTAAGGCTTCAACTTTAAATTTTATCTTCTCACTATCCACATTAATCTCTTCTCATTTTGGTCTTACTGTTTAACTGTAATTGGCAATGTCTTCATTTTGTTGGTGTTTTCATTTATACAAGGGGTGACTAAGAGTGGCTGGTTGTGTAAAAGAAAATACAAATTGTTTTTAAATTGATGAAAAACATAAAATACATGTTCATTATACATATATGTGCCCACGTGACCATCAACCAGATTTAAAAAATAGCAGAGCATTTCCCACACCACAGGAAGCTCCCTCATGCCCTTCCTAGTCAATAATCCCCACCCTGAGATAACCAATATTCTGACTTCTGTCGCTGATTAATTTTGCTTTTTTTTTTTTTCTTTTTGAGACAGAGTCTCTCTGTCGCCCAGGCTGGAGTGCAGTGGCGCAATCTCGGCTCACTGCAACCACTGCCTCCCGGGTTCAAGCAATTCTCCTGCCTCAGGCTCCCGAGCAGCTGAGACTACAGGTGCACGCCACCACACCCTACTAATTTTGTATTTTTAGTAGAGACCAGGTTTCACCATGTTGGCCAGGCTGGTCTTGAACTCCTGACCTCAGGTGATCCGCCCACCTTGGCCTCCCAAAGTGCTGAGATTACAGGTGTGAGCCACCGCACCCAGACAATTTTGCTATTCTTAAATTTGTATAAATAGGATTATACAGAGTATACTCTTTTGTCTTGCTTCTTTCACTCACCGTATCTATAAGAGTAAGCCTTGATACTTCATGTTCCAGGACTTTATTCTCTTTTATTGTCATGTAGTATTCTATTATGTGAATATACCATAAACTCTTCATTCATTCTCCTGTTTATGAACATTTGAGTTGTTTCCAGCTAGAGGCTATTATGAATGATACTTCTATGAACATTCTCCACGTCATTTTTTTTTGAGATGACGTTTCACTCTTGTTGCCCAGGCTGGAGTGCAATGGCATGATCTCAGCTTACCGCAACCTCCACCTCCCAGGTTCAAGCAATTCTCCTGCCCCAGCCTCCCAAGTAGCTGGGATTACAGGCATGTGCCATCACACCTGGCTAATTTTTTTGTATTTTTAGTAGACACGGGGTTTCTCCATGTTGGTCAGGCTGGCCTTGAACTCCCGACCTCAGCCTTGGCTTTCCAAAGTGCTGGGATTGCAGGCGTAAGCCACCGCGCCCAGCCTCTCCATGTCTTTTGAAAGACACAGACATTCGTTTCCCTCAACTTAAAGAATGTCCTTTAATGTTCCTTGTAGTGCAAATCTACTACAATGAATTCTCTCACTTTTGTTTGGCTGAAAATTTATTTTGCCTTCATTTTTGAAGGATATTTTTGTTGCTATAGAATTCTGTAATAGGCAGGGTTTTGTTTTCCTTTCAGTACTTTAAAGATATAATTCTACTGTCTTTGGATTCCAATTACATGGACGTTAGACCATGTCCCACATCAATCTTTGCCCTGGTCTCTTTCTATTATTTCTTCTCTCTGTGCTTCAGTCTGAATATTTTCTATGTTACTGCCTTCGAAGTCACTAATTCTGTCTCCTGCTGTATTCTGACTCTGTTAAACCCATCCAATATGTTCTTAGTTTCAGAAATTGTATTTTTCAAATCTAGACTGCCATGTGATTATTCTTATAGATTCTAACTTTTTAAATTCTCCATCTTTTCATCCCTTTTGTACTTTTCCTCTATTTTCTTTAAGATATTATTCCTAGTTGTTTTAAGTGCCTTGTATGTTAACTGCAATATCTAGGTTATTTGTGAGTCTGCTCCTAGTTTATTTGTTCCCTTGATTATTAGTTACATTTTCCCACCTCTTCACATGTCAAGTAATTTTTTACCGTAGGCCCAACTTGTATATAAAACAACATGAGGGATAAAATCATAAAACTCTTAGAAGAAAACGTAGAGGTGAATCGTCATGACCTTGGTTTTGGTAATGGATTCTCAGATAAAACACCAAAAGTACAAGTAACAAAAGAAAAAACTTGATAATATGGACTTCACCAAAATTAAAAACTTTTGTACATCAAAGGACATTATCAAGAAAGTGAAAAGATAATCTATAAAATATCTGCAAATAAGGGTTTAATACTCAGAATATATTAAAAGACTACTACAACTCCACAACAAAAAGACAAACAATCCAATTTTTAAAATGGACAAAGGGCTTGAGTAGACATCTCTCCACAGAAAATACATGAATGGTCAATAAGCAAATGAAAAGATACTCAACATTAGACATTGGGTAAAATGCACATTAAAACCACAATAAAGTACCATTCCACACCTACTAGAATGGCAAGAATTTAAAAATAATAATAATAACAAAATGCTGGCAAGGATGTGAAGAAACTGAAACCCTCATACATTGCTTGTGGGAATGTGAAATGGTGTGGCTGCTGTGGAAAACAGTTTGGCAGTTTCTCAAAAAGTGGTACATAAAATTACCATACGAGTCAGCAATTTCCACTCTTAGTATACAGCCAAAATAGGAACTTGACCATATACTTTTATGTCAGTCTTCACGATACATACTTTTTTTGTCTATTCCCAATAGACAAAAGGTATAAACAACCCAGTGTCCATCAACTGATGAATGAATAAACAAAATGTGGTATATACCTACAATGAAATATTTTTCAGCCATGAAAAGGAATGAAATACTGATGCATGCTATAACATGGGTGAACCTTCAGGACATTATGTGAAATGAAATACATCAGTCACCAAAGACAAATACTGTTATGATTCCACCTATATTAGGTACCTAGAAAGGGCAAATTCATAAAAACAAGAAGAGATTTGACCTTATGGGCAGCTGGGAAAAAGGAAGAAGTAGAGTTATTGCTTAATGGTTACACTTTCTGTTTGGGAAATGGATAGTAGTGATGGTTGCTCAATCAATACTGTGAATGCAATTAATGGCACTGGATTATGCACTTAAAAATGGTTAAATGGCAAATTTTATCTTATATATACATATGTATGTGTATATATATGTGTGTATTTGTGTATGTGTGTGTACACACGCACCCCACAATTGAACAACAAACAAACAAAAAAATGCCCAAATTCTTAAGCTAGGATCATATCACAAAGGTCAAATTTAACAATTTTGAATGGTTGGATTTGTTTTAACGCACAATAGTAAGCAAAATGTGATCATTTACTATATGCTTGATGTTATAAATTAACATTCAATACAAATAATCATCCTTATCTTCTGATAAACAAGACATCGGGCAAGCCAGATAAAAGCCAGCTCATTGGTATTATTTGGGACATCTGAATATACATGAGATGTGGGAGCACTCTCACCTCTCTGGCTGTGTGGTTCCCCAGAACTGCAGCACCAAATTTGCCCTGCTTTACATATTGACCATTTGTGCTATAAAAGGAAGAGAAACAACAAGTATTAATACTTCCCTAAATTCTGCAGAACCAGCTTTCTTTTCTGTCATACAGAAGTGGGAACAACAGTCATTCAGCCTCTAGGCAGGGACACAGGTGAGCGGTTTAAAATTTTTTTTTTTTTTTTTTTTTTTGAGACAGAGTCTCGCTCTGTCACCAGGCTGGAGTGCAGTGACATGATCTTGGCTCACTGCAACCTCTGCCTCCCAGGTTCAAGCAATTCTTCTGCCTCGGCCTCCCAAAGTGCTGGGATTACAGGAGTGCGCCACCGCACCCGGCCCAGCAGTTTATAATTTAAAGCTCATATACTATTCCCTTACTCTTTAAATATAAATATCTATCATTCATGCTATCTCAGTGGAGAGGCTTTCTTTGAGCATTTGACAGCTGTTGAGGGTACAAGCACTCCCTAAAGACAGTAGACAAGATAATGGCTTTTCAAGTTTTACCACAGAAATCTCCAATTCAGATGTTAAAAGTTCTACTGATATTTTGTCCGTGGAAGGGCTAAATAACCGTTTTGCAACAAACAGAGGTTTTTCGAGAAAAAGTAGCTTAACTGCACGCCCTTCCACCAAACTTCAGAGGGTGTTCCTTCTCAGCGACTTACTATCGATATGCATGGACTGCTGTTGCGACCAGTATTGTGGGAGTGCTCATGGTGGCTGGTGCTGTTTTTGGTGTTGCCTGATTTCCTGAAGATGAACAAGAAAACAAAGTTGTCATTCACTTCTTGCTTTAAACTAATTTTTTTTAAAGACGGAGTTTCACTTTGTCACCCAGGCTGGAGTGCAGTGGCGTGATCTCGGTTCACTGCAACCTCCACCTCCCGGGTTCAAGCCATTCTCCTGCCTCAGCCTCATGAGTAGCTGGGATTCCAGTTGCGTGCCACCACATCCGGCTAATTTTTGTATTTTTAGTAGAGATGGGGTTTCACCATGTTGGACAGGCTGGTCTTGAACTCCTGACCTCGTGATCCACCTGCCTCAGCCTCCCAAAGTGCTGGAATTACAGGCGTGAGCTACTGTACCTGGCCTTAAACTAATTTTTAACCACTGAACTAGCTTCAAAATTGATCTTTATAATTTACAGTCAGTGTTGTAATGCTTTTATGATTATCCTTATTTGATCCACAAAGCAGCCCTATGATCTAGTCTGGGGGTGAAGAAACTGAGGTTCTAATCACCCAAGTGCCTCACACAATTATACCATGATAGTGCCTAGGTCTGAAACCCATGACTCCAACTCCCAACCCACACACCCCAAATAAGTCTTTGGCTAGACAAGGAGTACTGTCTAAAAAGTGATAGTCCATCTATTTTATTTTCTCCTTCCAGTATTTTGACAGCTATAATATATGAAAATAAAGTTATTTCCCCTTCCCTGTCTTCTAGGGTGGGAAATTCAGTAAGATATTTAAATCACACCCATTAATTAACTTCACAAAGTACTACAGAGTAGGCTGGGCGCAGTGGCTCGTGCCTGTAATCCCAGCACTTTGGCAGGCCGAGGCAGGTGGATCACGAGGAGTTCGAGACCAGCCTGGCCAATATGGTGAAACCTTATCTCTACTAAAAATACAAAAATTAGCTGGGGGTGGTGGCGCGCACCTGTAGTCCCAGCTACTCATGAGGCTGAAGAGGAAGAATCGCTTGAGCCTGGGAGGCAGAGGTTGCAGTGAGCTGAGATCGCACCACTGCACCCCAGCCTGGGTGATGGAATGAGACTCCGTCTCAAAAAAAACAAAAAAACAACAAAAAAAAGGGACTACAGAGTAACACTAACATTTTCAAATACCATGTTAAGAGTAAATCACATTTATACTCACTATATGAATGTGATGGAAGAGTAGTGAGATAATACTGATGCGGACATGACATGCAAGAACTTATATTTTGAAAGAACTCGTTTGATTTTTTCTGTATTAACACTTTTTTTTCTGATTATAGAGTACAAGTGCATTGTAGGAAACTTAGAAAATACAGAAACACATAAATTAAAATGCAACATTTTTGTGTGTACTTCCAGTTATCTTCTTATAATAAATTCCTTAAAATGGAATTATGGGGTAAAGGAGTATAAAAAATTTAAGGTTTGGTTACATCCTGTCCAACTGTTCCTCAGGCTGGACGAGATGGCTCACACAGGTAATCCCAGCACTTTGGGAAACAGAGGTGGGCAGATCACTTGTGGTCAGGAGTTTGAGACCAGTCTGGCCAACATGGTGAAACCCCATCTCTACTAAAAATACAAAAATTAGCCAGGTATGGTGGGTGCACCTGGAGTCCCAGGTACTTGGGAGGCTGAGGCATGAGAATCACTTGAAACACAGGAGGCAGAGATTGCAATGAGCTGAGATCATGCCACCGCACTCCAGCCTGGGTGACAGAGCGAGACTCCATCTCAAAAAAAAAAAAAAAAAAAAAATTCCCTTGAACAGAGAGGGACTTCTGTATTGCTACTTTATTTATTTGTAAATGCCTAAAGAAAACTGTATAGGCAATCTTGCTTCTATAGCTCCCTGCTAAAAGTGTAATAAACTCATAGTTGCTGTCTTCTGATTTAAATAATCAAGTTAGCCAGGTGCAGTGGCCAGGAGTTCAAGGCCGTAGTGCACTGTGATGGCACCTGTGAATAGCCACTACATTCCAGCCTGGGCAGCAAAGCAAGACTCTGTTTCTAAAATTAAGTACAATAAAAAATAAAAATAAAAAACCAAGTGTTTTCATTGGGTGGGAACTAAGGTTGTTTCTTTTTCTCCCATTAACTCAACCACTTTAACTCTGAAGCACACTGCTGATGAAGAGATGTGCCACAGGAAATATAAAAGCATAGCCTACTAGAAATCTGGCCAGGTTATGAGTTGGAGAATAAGAGAAGCACCTACAGCAAAACTGCCTAAAGTAATAGGTAATATTTAAAGCAGGGATCGGCAAACATTTTCTGTAAAGGGCCTATAGGCTGTGGTATAATATGAAATATGTTTGGTCTTTGTCCTTGGTTCCTGACACACTGCTCCCAAATCCCTTGTAATTTCCTGAGTGATAAGAGTGGTAGGAACATCTTTTGTATAATCCAATTTTAGCCAGCATGATAAGGAAGGAAGTCTTCTCTGCTTTAACCTACACAACAAAAGTAACTTTGAAATGACCAATTGTTTTTTGTTCTGTTTCTGCTTTCTTCAGCACTTTTCTGCCTATAAAGCCAACCTCCTCTGCTCAGCTCATCACAACATTCCATTTTATAGAATGAAGTGTTGCCCAATTCTAGAATCTCAAATAAAAGCCAATTAAGATCTTAAAACTCCATGTGTTATAACTGTATCTTTTGACAATGCTAATGAGGTGACTTAGAGTGGGGCCCTAGAGGGGTGGAGGCTCAGGATGGAGCCTACAGCTAACCTGTCCAGATAAAAGAAGTGAAAAGTAGGTCTTCCTTCTCACCAAAACACTGGACAGTGCCTACTTAGAGTGCCTTGGACAGAGTTTGGGAGAGCGGTGTCCATATGGGGCAGAAGGCCTTGCTTTCGAACCTCTCCATCAGTTCCCAACAAAGCGCACGCTATCTAGCTGCTAGAAATCAGGATCCCAGATCTTAGAGAAGCACTCACCACTGGGGGTGAGCTTAGCCAGACTGGTCAAGGATACACAACCTGGCATGTCACTTTTGGAAGGCTGCTAACCCTTCCATCTAACCTGTTAAGGCACAATCCTAGTGCCAGTTGTGATGGCTTTTTTTTTTTTTTTTTTTGAGACGGAGTCTTGCTCTGTTGCCAGGCTGGAGTGCAGTGGCGTGATCTTGGCTCACTGCAACCTCCGCCTCCCGGCTTCAAGCAATTCTCCTGCCTCAGCCTCCCAAGTAGCTGGGACTACAGGCAAGCGCCACCATGCCCAGCTAATTTTTGTACTTTTAGTAGAGACAGGGTTTCACCATGTTGGCCAGAATCGTCTCGATCTCTTGACCTCGTGATCTGCTCACCTCGGCCTCCCGAAGTGATGGCTAATATTTAGTGTCAACTTGATTGGATTGAAGTACACAAAGTATTGTTCCTGGGTGTGTCTGTGAGGGTGTTGCCAAAGGAGATTAACATCTGAGTCAGTGGACTGGGAAAGGCAAACCCACCCTCAATCTTGTTGGGCACTATCTAATCAACTGCCAGCGTGGCTAGTATAAGGCAGGCAGAAGAAGGTGGAAGGGGCTGACTTGCTGAGTCTTCCGACTTTCATCTTTCTCCTGCGCTGGATGCTTTCTGCCGTCGAACATCAGACTCCAAGTTCTTTGGCTTTTGGACTCTTGGACTTACACTAGCGGTTGGCCAGAGGCTCTCAGGCCTGCAGCCACAGACTGAAGGCTGCACTGTCGGCTTCCCTACTTTTGAGGTTTTGAGACTCGGACTGATCCACTACTGGCTTCCTTGTTCTTCAACTTGCAGACAGCCTATCATGGGGCTTTACCTTGTGATCGTGTGAGTCAGTTCTCCTCAATAAACTCACTTTCACACATACGTATATTCTATTAGCTCTGTCCCTCTAGAGAACCCTAATACACTCTTGTTTTTATTTTGTTTCAGTTTTGTTTTGTTTTTTGAGACAGAGTCTCGCTCTGTTGCCCAGGCTGGAGTACAGTGGCTCACTGCAACCTCTGCCTCCTGGGTTCAAGAGATCCTCCGGCCTCAGCCCCCCTAGTAGCTGGGATTACAGGCACACGCCACCACACCTGGCTAATTTTTGTATTTTTTTTAGAGATGGGGTTTTGCCATCTTGGCCAGGCTGGTCTCAAACTCCTGACCTCAGGTGATCCACCGGCCTCGGCCTCCCAAAGTGCTGGGATTACAGGCATTAGCCACCTCGCTCGGCTAATACACTCTTAACTTACCTGTTGCTGCCGTTCCCTGGCCTTTCTTAGGCTGTTTTGGGGCTGTGTACTGGAAAAATTCATTTCCATGGCCAGCAGCTGCCTGATCCAGTCCAAAAAGTGAGGCCAATCTGGCACTGTTAGTAGAAAATGAAAAATGAAATTTCACTGATATATCCCAAACCTGGAATTATTATAAAAGCTGCTCATCTCCAACCTTGAACAAATACCTCCTTGACTACATCCCACCATTCAATACTAGAAACACTTCAAGCTAGGAAAGCTGATTTAAAAATTAAAAAAAAAAATAAATAAAAATATTGGACACAGCAAAGTGTCTTTGAAATCAAGATTGTGTATGTGATTTGAACATCATCAGTTGACCCTGTTTATCCCCAGGACCTTGGTCAAGGCATTTCTTTTTTCTGGACCTCAGTTTTTCCACCTATAAACTGAAGTGACTAGTTCAGGTGCTCTCTATGGTATCTTCAAACTGTAAATTCTTGCTTTTAGCAAATCACAGTTTCTAGTCACCCTTACTGACTACTCCCCCTCCTGCTTTTTACTAGTTTATTCAATTGAAATGAAGCTATGATACAAACTTACCCATCAAACATGGTCCCTGCCATCCTTTCATCTAACAGAACCATTCTTTCATCATCCCTTGCAAGAAATCTTATCCCCCACCATTCCACTGAAACTGATCTTGCTAAAATCACTAAA
Source organism: Homo sapiens (assembly GCF_000001405.40). Taxonomy (NCBI): domain Eukaryota; kingdom Metazoa; phylum Chordata; class Mammalia; order Primates; family Hominidae; genus Homo; species Homo sapiens. Next base: position 113,212,179 of record NC_000009.12, read on the forward strand.
AATTTTTTTGTTTGTTTTTGTTTTTTTTTAGATGGAGTTTCACTCTGTTGCCCAGGCTGGAGTGCAGTGGTGTGATCCCGGCTCACTGCAACCTCCGCTTCCCAGGTTCAAGTGATTCTCCTGCCTCAGCCTCCCAAGTAGCTGGGACTACAGGCGCGTGTCACCACACCCGGCTAATTTTTGTATTTTTAGTAGAGACGGGGTTTCACCATGCTGGCCAGGCTGGTCTCGAACTCCTGACCTCAAGTGATCCACCCACCTCGGCCTCCCAAAGTGCTGGGATTACAGGTGTGAGCCACCAGGCCCATCCGATCACCAACAACTTCTTTGCTACTAACCCCAGTTTACCAGTCCTTATTTCACCTCATACCACCTTTTTATACTGTCAATTAACTTGTTCTTCTTCAAATTCTTCTCTTGACTTCTGCAGGGGTTGTGGAAGGAACAGGTCCAAATAAGATATCAATAAATACTAATGCAATCCCTGGCTTGTTTTGCCCCATTTCTCTGGCTTCTCTTTAACCCCTTGGGCTCTTCTTCTTCATTTGCCCAATCTTTAAATGTCCATGTCTCCAGGGCTTCATACTTTCTCTCCCTTGGTAGGGTTTCATACTGTCTCTCTGTACTCATTTACCTTGGTATCAAATGCTATCCAAATGCTGGTGATGCTCAAATCTGCATTCCCAGCCCAGAACTTGCTCTTGAGTGCCAGAAAACATAGATATCCCACAGGCAATACAAATGTAACATGTCCAAACCAGAACTCATATCCTCCAATGCCCACTGCCCCAGCAAAACCTGTTCTTCCTTTTGTGCTCCAAGACCACTGCCAGGTTCAAGGATTCTAGAGAAGGACTCAATGGTCTCAGCATATAGTGGTACTCATGGCTAAGATCTATTACAAAAAAATATACAGAAAAATCAGCAAAAATAAAAAGTGCACAGGTCGGCTGGGCACAGTGGCTCATACCCGTAATCCCAGCATTTTGGGAGGCTGAGATGGGAGGATCACTTGAGGTCAGGCGTTCGAGACCAGCCTGACCAACATGGTGAAACCCTATCTCTACTAAAAGTACAAAAATTAGCCGGGCGTGGTGGCACGCACCTGTAATCCCAGCTACTCGGGAGGCTGAGGCAGGAGAATCGCCTGAACCAAGGAGGCAGATGTTGCAGTGAGCTGAGATCACGCCACTGCACTCCAGCCTAGGCAACGAGAGCGAAACTCCGTCTCCAAAAAAAAAAAAAATTATCCAGTCTTGGTGGTAAACGCCTGGAGTCCTAGCGGCTTGAGAGGCTGAGGCAGGAGGCTCAACTGAGCCCAGGAGTTTGAGACTACAGTGAGCTATGATCATGTCACTGCATTACAGCCTAGGTGACAGAGCAAGACCCTGTCTCCCCCGAACCAAAAAAAAAAAAAGGATTACTAGATTATCATAAATGTCATGGGAATGAGACTGGTGGCGTTATAAGAAGAGGAAGAAAGATCTGAGCTAGTATGCTTGCCATGTGATGCCCCATGCCATCTCAGGACCCTGCAGAGAGTTCCTACCAAGAAGAAGACCTTCACCACATGCAGCCCTTCTGACCTTGAACTTCTCAGCCTCCATAACTGTAAAAAATAAATTCCTTTTCTTTATCACACTTTAGGTATTCTGTTATAAGCAACAGAAAACAGACTAAGATATCAGCCAAGAGCCAACCTTGTAAGCAGGGCTTTTTAGGAATAATAGTCTCAGGCTTGCTGTGTTAACTCTTTAAAACAATTTTTTTTTAGAGACAGGGTCTCAATCTGTCACCAGGCTAGAGTGCAGTGGGGCGTTCATGGCTCACTGCAGCTTTTGCCTCCAGGGCTCAACCAATCCTCCCACCTCAGCCTCCCAAATAGCTGAGACTACAGGCATGCACCACCACACTCTAGGGATTCTCCCACCTCAGCCTCTCAAGAAGCTGGGACTACAGGCATGCACCAAGAAACCTGGCTAATTTCTATATTTTTTGTAGAGACAGGGTTTCACCATGTTGCCCAGGCTGCTCTTGAACTCCTGGGCTCAAGTGATCCACCCACCTTGGCCTCCCAAAGTTCTGGGATTACAGGTGTGAGCCACTGTGCTTAGCCATGAAATGTATTTCTTAAATGGTAAGACCTGATCTGAGGTGCAGAATGGATGTTGTGTTAGCAGGCATGAAAACAACATTAATCTTATACATCTCCATCAGAGTTTGTGAGTGACCAAGTACACTGTCAATGGGCAGTAATAATTTGAAAGAAGGCTTTTTTTTTCTGAACAGTGGGTCTCAACAGTGCATTTAAAATATTCAGTAAACTATGCTATAAACAGATGTGCTGTCATCCAGGCTTTGTTCCATTTGCAGAGCACAGGCAGAGTAAATTTAGCATAATGCCTAAGGGCCCTAGGATTTTTGGAATGGTACATGAGCAACGGCTTCAACTTTAAGTCACCAGCTGCATTATCCCCTAATAAGAGTTAAGCCTGTCCTTTGAAGTTTTGAAGCCAAGCATTGACTTCTCCTCTCTAGCCATGAAAGTCCTAGATCTTCTTCCAATAGAAAGCTGTTTTGTCTACACTGAAAATCCGTTGTTTGGTGTAGCCACCATCACCAGTTCTCTTTGCTAGAACTTCTAGTAACTTGCTGCAGCTTGCAATCACTTGCTCCTTCATCTAGCACTTTCATGCTATGAAGACGGCTTCTTTCCTTCAACCTCATGAACCAACCTCTGCTCACTTCCAGCTTTTCTTCTGCAGCATCCTCACCTCGCTCAGCCTTCACAGAATTGAAAAGAGTTAGGGCCTTGCTCTGAATTAGGCTTTGGTTTAAGGAAATTTGTGACTGGTTTGATGTTCTATCAGATTCCCTTAAACTTTCTCCATGTCAGCAATAAGGCTGTTTTGCTTTCTCATCATTTGTGTGTTCACTGGAGTAGCACTTTTAATTTCCTTTAAGAATGTTTCCTTTGCATTCACAATATGGCTAACTGGCACAAGAGGCCTAGCTTTTGGCCTATCTTTGTTTACACGCCTTCCTCACAAAGCTTAATCATTTCTACTTTTTTTAAAGCAAGAGATGTGCAACTCTTCCTTTCACTTAAACACTTGAGGTCGTTGTAGGGTTATTAATTGGCCTAATGCCAATATTGCTGAGTCATGGAGTATAGGTAGGCTCAAGAAGAGATAAAAAAAAAAAAAATAGAGAACTGCCAGTCAGTGGAGCAGTCAGAACATACACAACATTTATCAATTAAGTTCACTATTTTATGTGAGCGTGGTTTGTGGCAACAACAATTACAGTAACACCAAAGATCACACCATAACAGATATAATACCATTGAAAAAGTTTGAAATATTCAGAGGATATATGTGTGTGTATATATAAACATATATACATATGTGTGAATATATATGTGTGCGTGTGTGTGTGTGTGTGTGTATATATATATATATATATATTTTTTTTTTTTTTTTTTTTTTTGAGATGCAGTCTCACTCTGTCGCCCAGGCAGGAGTGCAGTGGCCCAATCTCGGCTCACTACAACCTCCGCCTCCTGGGTTCAAGCGATTCACATGCCTCAGCCTCCCAAATTGCTAGGATTACAGGCGTGCATCACCATGCCCTGCTAATTTCTGTATTTTTTAGTAGAAACAGGGTTTTGCTATGTTGGCCAGGCTGGTTGCAAACTCCTGGCCTCAAGTGATCCACCCGCCTCAGCCTCCCAAAATGCTGGGATTATAGGTGTGAGCCATTGCAACTGACCAAGAGAATATTTTTGAATATTAAGAGAATTACCAAAATGTGACACGGAGACACGAAGGGAGGAATTTTGCTGTTGGCAAAATGATGCCAATAGACTCACTCAACACGGGGTTGGACACAACCTTTATTTTGTGAAAAAAAAAAAAAAAAAAATCTGCAAGGCACAATAAAGCAAACCGAAAAAAAAAAAAAGGGGGTATGCCCAGTGTCTGGTATGTAACAGGCTCAGTAAATGAATTCAAAGTCTAGTCTGGCTCTGAGCACTTCTTCTCCAAAGGCATCCTTAGTTTAGGTGAAGTAAACATTGAAACTTCCCAACAAGTTATTTTGGCTTTTCAGGTTTTTTTAAAACAAGTTTTATGTATAGAGAAATATGCACTAGCATTTTACAAAATAAATTTTATATGACTTGAAACTATTACCTTCTTTTCTCAAAGTAGTCTAATGTAAGTTTAAGTTTCCTGTAAATAGGCCAGAAATGCCTACTGTAAAGGACTAAGAGGTTTAAATGAGATTGTAAACGCAATGCTTGAGTGAGAGCAGCGCTGGCCTAAAAAGACATCACCAAATGCTTATGGAATTTAGAAGACAGCAAGATTTGTCCTTTCAGGCAGGAAAATTCGGGCAAATTGCCTAAAGAATAAGATTCTGGAAGAGTTGGGTTTCACTATCTTTAACACAGTGAAAAATGTACAAAGCTTAGCACCTAGTTAAGATAACATAGCTTATGCACAGATTACTGATAAGAAATGAATGTCCTTGTTAGCTTCAGTAAACCATGAGTATTGGGCTTGCTGTTTTAATTTTGCAGGTATAGCCTTTTTAAAAGGAAAGACAAGAGTGTCATAAGTGAACTGTGTTTCCATAGATGTTCTAAAGACCAGCCAACTGAAGACTACAAAGTCGATCCAAAAGCCAGGTCAACCTAATTAGTTTTCAGATTAATTCCATTTTCTTTTTTTTTTTTTTTTTTGAGACGGAATTTTGCTCTTGGCGTCCAGGCTGGAGTGCAATGGCAGGATCTCGGCTGTGCAACCTCCACCTCCAGGCTTCAAGCGATTCTCCTGCCTCAGCCTCCTGAGCACCCGAGATTACAGGTGCCCGCCACCAGGCCTGGCTAATTTTTGTATTTTTAGTAGAGATGGGGTTTCACCACATTGGCCAGGCTGGTCTTGCACTCCTGACCTCAGGTGATCCACCTGCCTCAGCCTCCCAAAGTGCTGGGATTACAGGTGTGAGCCACCACGCCCAGTTTTTTTTTTTTTTTTTTTTTTTTTTAATGAGACGGAGTCTTGCTTTGTCACCCAGGCTGGAGTGCAGTGGCACGACCTTGGCTCACTGCAACCTCTGCCTCCCAGATTCAAGCGATTCTCCTACCTCAGCCTCCCACGTAGCTGGGATTATAGGCACCTGCCACCACACCCAGTTAATTTTTGTATGTTTGTAGAGACGGGGTTTCATTGTGTTGGCCAGGCTGGTCTCGAACTCCTGACCTCATGATCCACCTGCGTTGGCCTCCCAAAGTGCTGGGATTACAAGCGTGAACCACCACGCACAGTCCCATTTTCTATTAATATCTTTAATGGACTCTGCATCAACTTGGGAGATAAGTTACTTGTAAATTTTTAGCAGGGCATGGTGGCTCACTCTCAGAGGCTGAGACAGGAGGACTGCTTGAGGCCAGGAGTTCAAGACTAGCCTGAGCAATATAGCAAGAACCCATCTTTACAAAAAATTAAAAATTAGCCAGGCGTGGTGGCATGCGCCTGTAATCCCAGCTACTTGGGAGACTGAGGCAAGTGGATTGCTTGAGCCCAGGAGTTCGAAGCTGCAGTGAGCCATGACTGCACCAGTGCACTCCAGCCTGGGCAACAGAGAAAAACCCTGTCTCAAAAAAATAAATAAATAAACAAAAATAAATAAATTTTTAGATTTTTCCACTACTAAGGAACTCTCAAATGTACACAATCTCCCTATGTTGGCAAGAATGAGCTTGCTAACTCTGGACTTGAATCTATATTTATAATTCATAGGAAAAGTCATGACAGAATTAACTACATTAAAAAAAAATGTTAGACAATGCATTTAGTCGCCAAGGACCTCACCTCACCTCAGTTTTATATTTTCTTTCTCATCAAAAACAAAAACACATGCATTTATACTGTATCAATGTATTTTAATAAACAGAGATTCTTTTTGTTGGTAAAGTATTAATACTTTTTTAAACAAACTGACATCAAACATCCATTTCAATAATAACAACAATAGCACATAGGCAGGTCTGGTAGAATCTGCCTACCTGATTTCAGATCCAGGCTCTATTACTTTCTAGCTGCATGATCTTGGGCAATTTACCTCTCTGAGCCTTTCCCATTTGTAAAACGGATATAATAATTAATAGTACCTCATAGAGAGGAGTAAATACAATTATATATATATATATATATATATATATATATATATACATTTCTCATTTGTAAAATGGGCATAGTAGGTAAAATTATTTCATAGAGTAGAAGGGAGGAATAAATACAATAATGTCTATGTATTTCTTAGAACAGTGTATGGCATTAAGTAAGCACAGAGTACGTATTTATATACTTGTGAACACATCCTATTATCTCAAAATGTGGTTCAACTCAGATACCCCTGCAAGGGTGAAAGCATGCTTGATTGACACGGAAGTTGACCTGCAACCATAAACTGGTATTAGCATTAACATTAAAACTACAGAACTGGCAAAGGTCTCAAAGTTTATCTAGGTCAAACCTCATTATTGAATAGGTTGGGGTATGGAGGGACAAGGATGGAAGATAATCTGTCCAAAGTCACATTCCTAACTGGGGATAGAATCAACATTTGAATCTAGGCTTTTTCCTATCTTTTACAGAACTCAAAATGCTTTCTGATGATCGGTTAATTTATCTTTCTACCATCTTTAGACTGGTGATTTATCATTACTATGCTAATCGGATCTGCCTACACATACCTTTATAATCTAAAACAAATATATACATAATTGGCCCCTTAAAAATGCTTTGTGATTATTATTCCTGGATTGATTTTATTCTACTACTAAAATAAAAGTTTCTTAGGGGCAGAAACTGTGCCTTATTCCTATCTGGATTAGCTGAAGCCAAGTACTATTAGTTCATTACTATTACTTCCCACAACGGTGAGGAATGGGCTAAAACAAACTAACAAACAAAAACAAGGCTCCTGATTACTACTTCTAGATTAATAGTAAACTCTAAGAGGCCTAGAAACTCAGAAGGCAGATTATCAGATACTCCTACTTCTATTAGGCTTGAATATCCTTCATGAAATCAAGCAAATCATGTGTTTAAATCAAGAGACTTGGAACTTAAGCAAGTATACTTACAGTAATATATGGCTATAAAAGAGGAAGTGAAAAGTAGCTGCAGTATTCACTGTCATATGTTCTACTTCCTTAGAGAAAACCAAAAAAGGAATAGCTAAATCAGAGAATTGTGGTGAAACTTTCTGTATTCTCAGTGTTAAATTTGATTTGGTTTTCCTGATAACTGTGGGGAACAAAAATAAACTATAACTTTCCTCAGTATGTCTTTTACCATCAAATTAGCTGTTGTCTATGTCTAGGAGCACAGTCACATGCCTAGAATTCAAGTGTCTCAGATCCTTGAGAAGCCTGCTCAGGAAAAAAGAATAGTTGAGCCACCAAGAATTTATCTCTGGCCAGGAATCTGGAAAAGAGCACATGGCTGTCATTACCTATCCCATAATTTTCAGTCAGCTTGGACTGATTGTTGCATGAAAATTGGGAGCCCTAACATTACAGACTTCTCCCAAATACTTTCACATAGTGAAGAATGCGAATTTAAAGTGGAATAGGGAAAAAAGGAACAAAAGCACAGCTTAACTGTAAAATAACTGAGAAACGGAAAGAACTCAAAGTGGAACTAAGTGAATGCAGGCCATCTAAAGACGGGGTAGGAAGGGAACAGAGTGGTGAGAGTGAAAAAGACTAAAAGGTAGGTAATATAGAGCTAGTCAGTGTAAATCAAAAATTCCTACTTAAGGACAAAAGAAGGCCAGTGTCATTTTATGGTCATTCATCTATTAACTCATTTGTTTATGTATTGTCTATGACTACTCTCACCCTACAAGGCAGAACTGAGTATTTGTGGTTGCAATAGAAACCACATGGCCCAACAGATCTGGAAGCAACTTAAGGGCAGGCACAGCAGTTTAATCATTTTTGTAACCTCTTAGCATTTAGCAGAATAAGGGGCATATGTGGTGCATTTGTCATTTTTCCAGTACATTCTTCAGCACGCACAAAATTTGTTAAGCATATGTTCAAAGAAAAGCTCTGCAATGATCAGAGCTTGGTAGCTCACAAGTTTGGAGGAAGTCAAGCTGTCCACTGGCACAACACAATGGAAAAGGCTAAACTGACTACTAAAAGAGACAAAACCCTTCCTCTCTTTAAAGATTTCTATTCCAGGCTGGTATATATTAATATAATGCTTGGGGAAACTGGAGAATGACAGAAGTCTGTTACGTTGGTTTTAAGCTTTAAGCTTTACAAAGTGCAATTTCGCAGCTATTATTCATTCAA